>NC_000015.10:97512200-98150627 GCF_000001405.40 Homo sapiens
AGATTATCATCTAAAAATCTACCCAAATTACTAGTCAGTGCCTCAAAATTCAGAAATATCTTGCAAAAAATATTAATGGTAAACAAAGAAATAAACCCTATTGGGATAAATAATAAACTCAAATAACTGATGGTTCAAAAAATGTTTCTACATATCCTGTACAATAAAACATATGCTGAAGGATTCAAACACAATCAGAATCCAGTCAATTCAGTGAGAAGAAAAATCAGTTGACAGAGTAAGAGACCCATGAACATATCCAGGTAAAATCATGACATTCAAATGTTAGAAATATTTTTATTTTAATTGTATCTTTTTTCTTTTCTTTTTCCTTCTTCCATTTTCTTATGAATCTCCTCAATCACTAGTCAGAGCTTAGACATTGCCAATACATTTCCAACACTGATCTTTGACAAAACTGACAAAAACAAGCAATGGGGAAAGGATTCCCTATTTAATAAATGGTGCTGGGAAAACTGGCTAGCCATATGCAGAAAACTGGAACTGGACCCCTTCCTTACACCTTATACAAAAATTAACTCAAGATGAATTAAAGACTTAAACGTAAAACCCAAAACCATAAAAACCCTGGAAGAAAACCTAGGCAATACCATTCAGGACACAGGCATGGGCAAAGACTTCATGACTAAAACACCAAAGGAAATTGCAACAAAAGCCAAAATTGACCAATGGGATCTAATTAAACTAAAGAGCTTCTTCAAAGTAAAAGAAACTAGCATCAGAGTGAACAGGCCACCTACAGAATGGGAGAAATTTTTTGTAATCTACCCATCTGACAAAGGGCTAATATCCAGAATATACAAGGAAGTTAAACAAATTTACAAGAAAAAAAAATCAAAAAGTGAGTGAAGAAGAACAGGCACTTCTCAAAAGAAGACACCTACGCAGACAACAAACATATGAAAAGAAACTCATCATCACTGGTCATTAAAGAAATGTAAATCAAAACCGCAATGAGATACCATCTCACACCAGTCAGAATGGCAATTATTAAAAAGTCAGAAAACAACAGCTGCTGGCAAGGCTGTAGAGAAATAGGAACACTTTTACATGGTTGGTGGAGGTGTAAATTAGTTTGGCCATTGTGGAAGACAGTGAGGCAATTCCTCAAGGATCTAGAACCAGAAATACCATTTCACCCAGCAATCTCATTACTGTTATATGCCCAAAGGATTATAAATCATTCCACTATAAAGACACATGCATACGTAAGTTTATCGCAGCACTATTTACAATAGCAAAGAGATGGAACCAACCCAAATACCCATCAATAATAGAATGGCTAAAGAAAATGTGGCATATAAATACTATGGAATATTATGCAGCCATAAAAAATAAGTTCATATCCTTTGCAGGGACATGGATGAAGCTGGAAGCCATCATTCTCAGCAAACTAACACAAGAACAGAAAACCAAACACCACATGTTCTTACTCATAAGTGGGAGTTGAACAATGAGAACACATGGACACAGCAAGGGGAACAAAATATACTGGGACCTGTCCAGGGGTGGGGGGCCAGGGGAGGGAGAACATTAGGACAAATATCTAATGTATGCGGTCTTAAAACCTAGATGACGGGTTGATGGGTGCAGCAAACCACCATGGCATGTGTATACCTATGTAACAAACCTGCACATTCTGCACATGTATCCCAGAACTTAAAGTACAATAAAGAAAGAAAAGAGAGCAATATTAAGGGTCTTTTTATACCTAATGATTCATTACAAGATTACTCAAATCTACAGTCGTGTTCTTGAGCATGAGTTATCTGGTGGCACAGGCCTTCTCAGAGGCCATAAATGTCCATTAACCACTAAACATCAACATTATGATCATTTATGTAAAGTGTCAGAAGTCCATGTTAGTGAAACAGAAGCAAATTCTCTTTTCTTAGTCATACAGTGCAAGTGTTTGTTGAATATCTGGTAGTCTAGGGCTCGTGTGTACTTCCCTTTGAGTTACTGCAGGTGATAGAAACCCTACCTCCCTGTCAGCTCTCAGAACAAATCACCCCAAATTATCCTCATCATTATTTCCATAGCTAGTATGAGAAAATGAGTATAAGAAATAAAAATCTAAACATTTCCTTAAGAAAGGTAGAAACCTCATTAACATCTTCATTTATTTTCCTCATTAACATTGTTTAAGCACCCATCTTTTTTGGAGGTTGAAAAGAGTTAAGATTAGGGCCTTCTAACATGCTAAATGACACAATGCGTGATCATTTTTTTCCGAAAATCAAGAATTTGTTTGTAAGTAAACTGGAACAGGCGACATACATATATTTCCTACACTTGATCTTAGCCAAAATAGCGAGAAGCAATCACACATACGTATTTCCCAAATAAATGTTTACCTCACTGCAAGCCAAAGGTCATAGAAGGTTTGTTTGACATTTCAAAACTAAGCTTAGTTTTATGCACAGTGAGTTCCTATCTATATCAAACACAAATAAATTTCCAGAAAGTGCTTTAAGCATTTTAATAAAAATAATCAAAGAATGGCTCAGAGGTATTAAACACTATTTTGGAGTCTTTCTTAGCAATCATGTTGCTAGATACACACATTTTAACAAATATTTAATACAGTTTTTAAAATACTACCTCTCATTGTAGAGAAAAGATATTTCTGAAGCTTGTTCCTGTATAGCTGTGGATAGCAGAGTTCTAGAGATAGATGCATATACAGTAAGGCTGGAGAACAAGGACTAGGAGTAAGAAACCCTTTCTTCCAGTCCAATTAACCAGCACCTGGCTGCTGAAGCTAGAGCCCCAGCTCTCCTTTGGAGCACTCAGGCCACTTCCTTCCCGCTCAAGACAGGTCAGTGGCCCTGAATCACACAATTTGAGAAGATGATTTATAGCTGCAGCTACTTGACTCTCTGACTTTTTTTGGGGGGACAACTGGCCAAGTCTGCCATTTTTTACTCATCATTGTAAAAACGGACAACCATGGTGCAGTTGCTTTTGTGTATTGGGAGACCAGTACAGAAATTAATCTGAGGTACGACAGGGCATCTTTACCAGTGAAAAACAATACAGGGCGAGGGTGTCCGCACACTTACATTTAAGGGAGCATATCGTAGTGCAAATTGGGTCATCGCAGGAAATATAAAAGCATTATTCCTCTGAGATTTGAAAAAAAAATGTAATTACTTCTTCCACCAAGCATGATTCTTTTCAATAACCTTCATTTTTGTCCCCTGGAAATGAAAAGAGGTTTCTGTTAAAAAGGCATTTCCTCTGACTCTGTGTCCTTGAGCTGCACAAAATGTAAACCATTCCCTCCCTCCTTCTTTTGAAGAAAAAGGGGGCTTCAATCTTTCCTTCTGAACACGGTCCATTTAAATAAGGAGATGGAGTCCCATCTTTTCCATCAGCCCCATTGTTTGACTTGTCAGTAATAACACTTGAGCTGAAATTGTACAGGCGTCCCGCTAATTTAGTAATTATTGACATGGTGCTGAGCAGGAAATGATAGCAAACAGAAGGAATGGTTAAGGAGAAATGAAATAAAAGATGTTCATATCATTGTTGAATAATGGTTGAGATCATTTTGTGTTTTAAGTAGGCCCAAGACACCTTTTCCCATTTTCCTGACACATTTATAATTTATGCTTTGTAATAGTTCCAAATATTTTTAGGACACTGGACTTTGTTTGAGAATCTTACCGGACTGAATGAGAGTCACGCCACACACACACAGAGGAGTGGGCGAGGTGACCTGCTGCAGCCTCCCATTTAGAAGACAGCCCCTTTCTCTCTGGCCTGCCTCTCCTTGTTTTGAAATTTACATTTCTATTTATTGTGTCTCAGCTCTAGCTAAGATTTCTGCTGCCAGGCTAGGCAATGTGACCCATGCGGTTACAGGTGTAGATAGTGTTCATGTGTGTATTTATTTTCAAATCTGGAGGCTCTGCTTAGTCATAAGAATTTCTCTAGTAATAAACATAGATTATCCGGCTCATTTAAAGAAAGTTGCATATTTGTGCATTATTCTAACTGTGCTAGAGCAAAGGACATGTGTGTATGTATCATGTGCATATGTGATGATAAACACTGAAAAAGTTGAGGCAGGACTATACAAATTTGGAAATCATTTGCTGGGAGAATATAAATACTGGCTCTGTGAAAATACAGTGCATCTTTTTCTAATTCAGATATTACAGAATAAGAATGACACTTTTTGTATGAGGTCACCCTGTAGTATGGCATTTACCATTAGGTACTGATTACCTATCAGAACATAATTAGTCAATGCTAGCAAACAAAAGATTAATGTGACAAATATGTGACAACAAAGTACTACAGCTGCACAGTATTATATTTTCTTTAAAAACAACTGAAAAACATTTATTTTAAAACATAGTAATATCAACTTTTAGGGCTACAGATATACAGTCTGATCCAAATATGGAAGACAAATAGGCATAATATAAAGCATGGGAAAGAAAGAAACCTCAATGTGTTAGAGGGCTGGGATGTGGGAAATTGTGATGACAATGACAATGGTAATGCTTATCCTAAGAGCATCACCCCTAGATGGGCTGATCACTCTTATGTGCCAGGTGCCATCTGCAGCACTTTGCATGGAGTAACTTATTCATTTCTCCCAAGAAAACATGGTATTCACATTATAACAAGGAGTAAACTGAAGCTCAGAGGGGAGGTCCGCCATGTTATCCAAAGTCTTGATTATGGCTCTAGTCATTATTGGCTCTTTTCCTTTCTGATTCCTGAGGCAGAGCTCTAAAACACTACACTACATCACTCCTTTGAATTTTCTTTTCTTCTTCCTTTTCCTGTTTTTCTGTGGTTCAAATTATTTGTATAAAATTAAGCAAAACAGAGACAATTTTTTAAAAGACTCAGCTGAAGCATGAATTTAGACAATAGGTCACATTGTGTTTTACAGGTACACCCTATTGCCTAGTCCCCTATACTAATGGTACCATTCTCTTCTCTAGCCATTACCTTTTTTTAAAGAAAAACCTCCAACCCTGGGCACAATGGCTCACGCCTGTAATCCCAGCACTTTGGGAGGCCGAGGCAGGCGGATCACCAGGTCAGGAGTTGAAGACTAGCCTGACAAACTTGATGAAACCCTGTCTCTACTAAAATAAAATTTAAAAAATGGTAGCCAGGCATGGTGGCGTGCACCTGTAATCCCAGCTACTCAGGAGGCTGAGGCAGGAGAATCACTTGAACCCAGGAGTTGGAGGTTGCAGTGAGCCAAGATCGCACCACTGTACTCCAGCCTGGGTGACAGAGCGAGACTGCATCTCAAAAAGCAAACAAACAAAAAAACAAAAAAACCCAAAAAACTCCATTGTCTAAATATGGTAATATTGGAGCAATAGTTTAAGTGACACAGTGTAAAATCACTGAAGATGTGCCGAAAAGCCATACAAAAAAGATTTACTGATCATGTAAACGAGAATACCTCCTCAACAGAAACAAGTTACTTAGCTAAATACTCTTTTGAAAGAATCACATAATGTCTGTACACAGGTAATCTTAAAATGTTCATATTCAGTCCAAAAAATATACACTTAAGCCAGGTGGCACCTGCATGTAGTCCAAGCTCCTTGGGAAGCTGAGGCTAGAGGATTGCTTGAGCCAGGTGTTTGAGTCTGTAGTGCACCATGATCGTGCCTGTGAATAGCAACTCCAGCCTGGGCAGCATGATGCAACCGAGTCTCAAAAAAAATACTTATAAAATTCCTTTGTAGTTGTGTTACAAAATAAGTTGTTTTCATAATGCTCTGTTGAGTTGTTAGGCAATGCAGAGTCAGCCCAGAGGAAAGTGCTCTTGCTTTCATTTGTCTCTACTGCTAAGAAGAAAACTTTCTCAGCTTTAAAATTCTACTGATTAGGGCTATCCAAGCTATTCCAACATTTCTACCTTTCTCCAGGAAGTGTAGTATATACTTTGGTCAAACGAGATAAAAATTGTTTGATGTCATTACATGAACATTCATATATATATATATATATATATATATATATATATACACTCATATATATATATACTCATATATATACATATATTCATATACATACATATATTCATATATATACTCATATATATATATACATATATACTCATATATATATACATATATATGTATCAACCAGAGCTAAAACTCTATAGATATATGGACCAGTTATAGCTCTGAATATGTGCACATTACCCATGGGATTCCATGACATTTTGTGCAGATTGCAAGGTGCACATGCCCTGTGGATGCCTGTCATATGCATGAATTATGAACAGAAATCATACTTTATGTCATCCAACTTTATACCTACAAAACCTAGCATTGTGATATTGGCTCCCGACAGCCCCTCCTACATTGGAAGCTTCTGAAGGACAAAGATCACATTCCTTGTGTGAATATATGACAAAATAACACCTTCATTTGGAAGGAGAAGGAGACTTATTATTGGGAATGAGAAGGAATTTGAGGATGACAGCAGTAGTGGTCCATTTACAATTTTGGCACATGCAGGTTTAACTCAGAATTCACCTTAAGAAGTTAAACACATTCCTATAAGCTTGCAGTGATATCTTTGACTTCACAAAGTCTTACACATTAGAGCTGTGAAAGTCTGGTTTCTGCTGGAAGCTCATAACAGCAGGGACATGCAGTGCTCCCCACTGTTTCTACTGCAACTCCACCCAGGATTCACTCTCCCACCCTGTGGTACTTATATTATCCTCTGACAGGTGAGGCCCACAGCTGTGACTAGACACAATGACCAGAGCTGGTTAGGTCAAGTGTGAACAAGCAACTGCAGCTGAGGCATCGGCTGGTCGGAAACCTATTGCCTGCCAGGCCTAAAATAAAACTATGAGCTGGTCAATTATATCAGTGGGAGTGGGGAATAGATGGGTTGGAGGAATAATGGCAGGTGGCAGAAAGAAACTGGGTTATAAAGTTCAGGATCATGTGCAGAAGTTCACTTTGGACAGGATGCAATAACTAACTGATGAAAACTTTTAATGCCTCAAAGACAAGTTTATGGTCACTTGTGTGGCAGTCTAATTAGATGCTTCTAGTTCATGGGTAGCTTTCCTCCATCAGTGGCTCAGGGACCCAGGATCCTTCCCGTTTGTGGCTGTACTATCCCCGAGCGCATTTGTGGCTTGGCCATCCACTAGCATGAGGGTTCCACTTCTTACAAACCTGGGCTCTGAAGCTGCTACTTCTTTTCAGATACCATTGACCAAAACACATCATGGGACCACCCTTCATAGCAAGGCAAGCCTGGAAATTAGTAGGGCTGCCTGTGTGGAAAGACAGATTTTTGGTGACCTGCTACAGGAACAAGCCAAGTCACGTTCAAGGCCCAGCTTTATGAGGGACATAAAGAGATGGCCGCGTTGCTCAGGGAAGAAAAGAGAGGAAAAGTCCTAAGAGAGACCATGAACCTGTCTTGATTCCACTTACTTCACTGTTGTTTTCTTAAAATCCTCACAGTATTTTTTACTATATGCCACTCTTTAATTGAGCTAGCATGAGTAAGTCTTAACCATACATTTTATAAATCTATTGGCATAATCTGCATTCTTCCTGAATGTTCAAACTAGAATTGAGAAAATTGAAAATCGAGACCAGGATGCTGTTGAAACATGAATTCTTTCCATGATCCCCTCAGTAGAATTTAGTGAAATGAAAGGATAGCTTCCATCACGTTATGTTTAATTCTTCCTCGATTTCATTTATCTTTTTACTTAAAACTAGTATTTTCCAACAACTACTTCCCTTAGAATCTCTGTAAGCTACAGAAATGTTAGCAGCTTACTTTGGTCATATCATGGGCCAATGCAGCAGCGCTGTCTCATGATTGTGAGCCTAATTTAACTAAAAATAGCAAGGGAAATGCTGAATTCTGAAGCATTTCTGTCGTTCCCTATAGCTGAATGGGAACGTTTTCACTCAAAGAACAGCTCCTCTTGCCTTATTGCAGCATGGAGGACTCAATCACATTTTCCCTTGAGGCTGACAACAATTAAAAACTAGCTGCCATAAGACAGTATTCACAGATATTCACAACAAACACAAATTGGTGCTTTTCATTGAGACAGGCAGTGTATGCCACACAGACAGCAGGACTCAAGGACAACCATCTCTTTCAATGTCCAGCATCTTTGAAATGAGCTTGGCTGTTAATAAGACTAATGCCTTCAGTGTTACTCAGTTTCATTCTTTACAGCTTTTATTTTCTCTTTAAAGACCCTACCAGTCAGTTGGGCCTCTTGATCAGTTGGGTAGAAGTTGGGAGATATACATTGTTTGGGAGGAGATCATAATTTAAGCAAAAAGCCTCCGAGGAATGAAATGCCACGTCTTTCCATTTGCAAGCATTCCCACCAGGCTCTCTTTTGGAGAACTTCCCTTCCCTTCACCTCCCCCATTTTACTATAACATTGCGTCAGATATTTAGAAATGTTTTGTTTTAATACCAAGTGACTTTCTTTTTTTTCTATATCTGTTTTCTAACCAATCTGATACTTCAAGGCAACAAATAAGAAACGGCTTTGTTATTGAATTGGGAACAAAAGGTACAGTGGAGAAGCATATTAAAATGTTCAGAAAATCCTAAACTGAAATCTGTTTACTAAAGCCACCAGCTGTCACTTCCTCTCCTGGCTGTCGTGCACTACCTATCTGGAACTGTCGCCTTGCACTCATTGCCCTGACCCTACTGTATATCCGCTCTGATGTTTTCTTAGAAAAACAAGTTTACCCCCTTCCCTCTCAATTACATCTAAATGTACTCTAAATGTGCTGTCATTCTCAATTGCATTCAATGTTCTTTTCAATTTTAAAATGGATGTTTATAAGAAGTAGCATGACAATCTATTTAAGAATAAAAGTCAAAGAATTAAACTAAATGACCACAATAGGAATCATCAATGTGGAACTGAGAATGTTGACTTGAGTACCTAGAGTTCAATCATAAATTAAAAATCGTTAAAATGTGGTGTTTGGGGTTACAAACTCTGTTTCAAATTACAAGTAGCTGTGCCTGGCATGTTAGGATTGTTTTCTGATCTTAATGAATGCTAAAGTTGAGATTTTTCAGAAGGATAAAAAGTCTTTTTAGGAAACCATTACGGATCCTCGTATTTCAGTGACCCCATCCACCCACTCCCCGCTTTGCTTCAATGTTGGCAACATCTGACACCCTTTTCGGCATGTTCAGGAGAGAAGCCAAGGATTAAACCGGCCATGAAAACTCTTTTCCTTCTCAACTCACCGCTGGGAAGCGAGTGTATTCTGTAAATTCCTGTATCTGGCCAGGAGGGCTTAGGGGATAGGGTGGGCCGCTCAGAGCTGAGACGTACTCACACTGTGGATAGATAGACGTCCGTCTCCAAAACCGCCAACTTTGCTTCTTCCACTACCGCTTGGCTCCCTGTAGTCAATCTGCATGTGATTCCTATTAAAATCCTGTTTCCTTAAAGCAACAAGGGTTTCAGCCTAGAGAATAAGATATCTGACCTCTGGAGCCCATGAGCTATCACTGCTACATATATTCACTGAATCAACTATCAGCACGCAGGCCCTATCAGCAAAGGAGAGAAATGTGCAAACTTCTTGCAGCATTAATCAAACCTGAAACGTTATTTTTAAGGTGTCACGAAATCCACGTTGACTGACTGGTCCTTTTAATCTTAATTTTGAACAGTTGCTACTCCAATTAAATTCTACCACCTAGCATTTTCAAACAGCTCCTGGTTGTTTCCACAAACTCCGTTAATGGACAGCTGTTTCTGACAGCTCCCTGATTTGCCAGTGCTGTGTTGGCTGCCGGCACAGGAGGCCCGTTCTGTATTCTGCTGCTGGCACCGGGGGATATGCAAATGAACACATGAATCAGTTGTCACCACCACAGACACTGTGCAGGGAGACGATCAGAATGTGTGGGGAGCTTAGTTGGCTGCAAGTGAGGGGAAAAGAAGGGGGGTAGGAAAGCTTCGGTTTCTTGAAGTGAGTTTTCTTTTCTTTTTCTTTTTTGAAGTGTCTCCAGTTTATTTTCACTTTGTGGCATTCATTAGATTTCAGTTCAGGAAAGTGCAATCTGTTCCTCGCCAATCACCAACAGAAACCCTGAAAGTTTGGGAATGATAGAAACATTTCAGGTAAACACCATTAGAACTTTGGTAGCACAAGCAGAATATTATAGGCACTTCCGTTTTTCAAATATTTCCCCATCCGAAGCGGGTGAGGGAACGATGGGGACAAAACAAAACTTTTGTTCCCCGTACGGATGTGCTCGAGAACACTTGGCTTGGGTTCCAAAGCCTGGTCATAAGTGCTCTGAATTATTTCCAGCAAGTAATGCCGAACTGCTCCACCCGCCAAGCTGAATGCTCATACACATGGTGTGAATGCGTTACATGAAGAACAGAGTGAGTGAGCCCCAGCCCCGGGGGCTTCCGTCCCGTCCCTCAGACCTAGCCGACATACGAAACAATGGAGAAACGTTGTTGCTCTTGTGTTATTTAGGATTCAGTCAGGGAAGTAGTTCCACTAAGAGTGACACAGACTGTGGGGATTATGATGGGCTGCATCTTATGTAATTGTGGGATGTGGTGAGGCTCCAGTCACTGTAGGTCAGCAGGACCTGTGGCTGGGAAGAAAAGCTGGACAGAAAGTGGTGACCGCAAGGACAAGTTGAAATCCGTGAGGACATACTGGAACCCGTAGAGACAAATGGGAACCTGTGAGCACAAATTGGTACTGTTTCTGTCTCTCACTGCCTGCAAGTTTGATGGCATGGGTGATCTGAAGAAGGAGTGACACCTTAGGCCACATTTCTGAACAGGACTTGGCCTAAGACTTGAAGAGACAGGAGGAGCTGGAGGAGAGGGGGTCCAAGTGGCTGCCCTTCCCAGCAAGAAGAGCCAGTGGGTCAGTGACAATATGCCCCAGCTCTGGTGAGGCTGGGAGCCCTACTCCAACTCTCTGAACCTTAGGACGACTGTTTTACTTCACCTGCCCAGTCATTTACAAATTCCTCTGCAGGCAACCTTCATTCAAACCATAACAGGAAGGCAATTCTGGAAATCATATTTCCAGCTCTGCTAGGTTGACCCTTAAAAATCACCACAGCTGTATACCCAGTTCCACTTTGCCTTGAGAATCCAACATGACATTGTCTACTGTGGGTTCCATACATCAGTGGTAGTACCAATCACATTACCTGGAACATGGACAAAGAAGACAGGGAGAGCTAGAGTTAGGCATGGAGTCAAGTGATGGAATTACAAGATGGCCTGGAGTGAAATATGGTTAAAAATGTACCACTGTTCAGGGATCAAGGAGCAAATCAGTATCACATATTGGTTTTATTGAAATACTGTTAGAAGTCCTACAAGATGGGGAAAGCTAACCAGGGCCAGGTTTAGCACAGGTACAAAGAATGAGAAAGATAAAATATGATCTCGATTACACCTGGCTAACACATATTATCTGGGACTTTATGTGTCTTCTATCTAAAGAGAAATGAATACAGACTTCATTTCTAAGTTGGTTTCACATTGGTATGTCTAAGCTGATTTAAAATTGCAAATGTTTGAGAATACCTTTGTATAAGGGATACCTCAGACATGATTTAACAAGAGAGCAACAGCCAGAAGAAATCCTATGCTGTCATCAGAGTTAATTCAAAACATTTGTGGGTCTTATGTTGCTACTCATTATCAGGAGAATGATTATAATTTCCCTTAAATCTAAAATAGGTTTAGAGTTCATAGCAGTTAATTTTCACTTATGTTTTGGATCAAGACACCCAAATTTAATATTATTTAATCATAAAATTAACCAAAGGGTGATTGATCCTAATGGCTTTCTGGAAACACACACAGACACACACACACATACACACCCACACCACACAAACTACACAAATACACACACTAATATACATAAATATATATACACAGAGAAACTATAAGTGCAATTCCTGTTCACCAGAGCCAGCCTCACCCTCTGCTTCCAGCCCAATAGGCTTGTTGCTCCCGAAGCGTTCTTATTTATAGATATCTCTCTATACCTACACACACAAATATACGCATAAATGTATAGAACCATATATACACATAGATACTTGTGTGTATATATTTTTTCTTTATAGCAGAGAATTTTTCCATATTCATTCTCTTGTAATTATATTGAACACCTTCCCATATCAATAATAACGAAAATATCTCATTCTTTAGATGTATTTCACTTTCTCTTTACCATAATGTATTTAACCATTCCTTTATTGATGGGCACTTAGGTTACTCCCCTACCCGCCTTGTAAAAAATAACGGTTCCTCCAAAAAGATTCCTGGTGGCATCTATTCTCTTTTGTTTGGTCTTTTATAACTCATGTGTTGGATTCCAGGGCATGAGAGAAAACCTACGTCCTTTCACTCACCTGGCGAGTGAAGAGAACATTAACTTGTATGCTTCTCTCATTCCATAAATGTTTGGGCTATTTGCTTCTTTCTTCTCACTCAGATCGAGATTATATGATGAAGATAACAGCCGGCCTTCATACACTTGGCCCACTGCTGAGCCCACTGCACCTGAGGGAGCCAATGATTATTTTTCTTCAGCTCTATATGGCATTGTCAAAACAGTTTTCTGAGTTTCAAAAATACATTAGAAATTTGCTTCATGGCCATAATAAAATTTATTTATTTTGAAAGAGTTAATTAGATTCATTGCTTGATGTGAACCTAATGATCAGTATAGTTCCACAGTGAAGATTCTTAGCTCTTTCCAGGTTTATAAGAAATGCTATTTTGTATTTCTCACATCTAGATTATTTGCATAAGCATCACTTTATGATAAAGGGTTCATTTCTCCTGGACAGAATACTCCTTCCTAAGAAATATCTCATAAAACAAGATGAAAGCAAATATTTTGCAGCCATTAGTCTGTTGTTTTCTTCATTGGAGGGATTGTGTAGATTTGCACTTAGTCTCTTAGTCAATTCGCAATCAATGCTAACAGCAGAATCACTTGTTTCTCTTCAACAAGACATCCTTCAGCTTTAGTATGTTGTGTCCTGATCATGCTCTTCATAAAAGGACTCAGACTTCAAATTCATAGGTGGCTTAGCATAATCCAGCCTATGGACCAGGTGCTTCTGCCTGGGAAACTATATAACATGTGTCAGATATGTTCTATTACTAACTACCACTGTCCCCTTGAAAAATTTACTTCTTGTTGAAATCCATGGACTAGTGAACATAAAAATACGGTAGCCATCCCATCATTGCCGGTAACGCTTTTATAAAAAAAAGCCCATCAGATCTCAAGAATGGAACTTTAATTAGAGTGACCTTCTCCTATCCCTTACCTTTATCTCATATTTTCATAACTCATTGTAATTCTGGAATGATGGAATTCACTACATCAGTGTTGTTAATGTTTGTCTGTGTCCCACTGTAGATTGTAAGCTACTTGCCTATCATCTGTAGCCTAGGCAATGATGAAGGAAATGAAGAAAGGATGGAAAAAAGGAAAGAAGAAGGGATAGAAGGAGGAAAAAAAGAAAGAGAAGGGGAAAAGGATAGAAGAAGGAAACACCTTTATAGCAGCATGCTGTGGAAAATTACAACTTGAATAAAATCAAATGAGATAATGATATATTTGAATGTACCAATCATTCTACCAACATGCAAACTATTAATACTATGCAGTCTATGCCAAGTGCAATGCTTCAAAAAAAGGCATGACTCATAGGACTGGATGGTTCATAATATTTAAAAATAGGAGTATTTCATCAGTATACCTGGTGTTCTCTTGAAGAGAGCTGATGGGCATGACTGATCTTTGGTAAGCAGCCTCAGAGTCACCCAACTAGAGAGCTCATCTCTAATCCAGCCCCTAACCTGGTGCCTGCAGCTAGCCAGTTTTCAGTAAATATTGGGGAATAAATGCTTAGGTCAAGGAATTCTCACAGCTGCCTTTAGTAAGCCTATCCTCTCTGCCCATGGTTGTTAGCTGTATATGACACAAATAATAAAAATAAAAGAAAAAAAACTATAGGAATAAAAAGTAAAAATATTTAAAACTATATAATATATTAATAATTCAAAGGAAATTAAAAGTGGATAAGGAGTGATGTGATACCAATATCACTGGAGCACATATAGGGGGGAATGGCATTGGATGAGATAGGTTCCAAAGGATCAGATGGAACAGAGCTTTGAGTCATAACTGCTTGTATTTATTCATATTTTATTATTTTAATTAATACTTATTATTCTTCAGCTTAGTTGATTTATTGAATAACCCTGTAGTTTTTAAATTTTCCTTTAAAATATTATGTTATATAGGAAAGGAATCAAGAATGACTTTATCTTCCACATCCACCTACCACAGGATATGATATATGGCAGACACTCAAAACTAGGAGTTTGTTTATAAATAAATGACTAGTAAATATTACTGGCTAATCTGTACAAAACATTGGCGTTTGCAGAGCATTACTTAGAAAATATTCCAATAGACCACATCTGGTTATTCACATAGTTAAGCTAATGTACATGTTATGTTTTGCTTCATCATTACATGTGTGTTTTGCATTATGAATTAGTTTGTTATGGGCACACATTTATTTCCTGATAATTTGGAAGACCATGTTTTGATAATGTCCTTCATATGGTTTGGCTGTGTCCCCACCCAAATCTCATCTTTAATTCCCATGTGTTGTGGGAGGGATCTAATAGGAGGTAATTGAATCTTGGGGGCAGGTCTTTCCCATACTGTTCTCGTGATAGTGAATAAGTCTCATGAGACCTGATGGTTTTGTAAGAAGGAGTTTCCCTGCACAAACTCTCCCTTTGCTCTTTCTTGCCTCCCACCATGATTGTGAGGCCTCCCCAGCCACGTGGAACTGAAAGTCTATTAAAACTCTTTCTTTTGTGAATTGCCCACTCTCAGGTACGTCTTTATTCACAGCATGAAAAGGGACTAACACAGTCCTCTTCCATAATGCTAAAGGCAAAAACTATATGGCTTGTTTATTTGGGGGGCAGATTTCTGCACTTTTTGTTATTCCACTTCCATATCAAACTTGACATTGTTTTTGTTTTTATCAAAGAGATATTTGGACAGAGCTCAAGAACTCTATAAATGGTAAGTAGGTAGAATGAAAAACACTGAATTTTCCAAATCCCAAATGACAAGGCTTCAGAGACGCACCGTAGATGAGTTCTGTTTATCTCTGTAAGATAAAAAATAAGCACAGCAATAAGCCCTAGAGAGACGCCTGGTTCGTAAGCCCCTTTTAAACCACACCAATGTGCTCAAACCAGCAGTGATCTAGGGAGAAAGAGAAAGATTCGGGAGGAAGACAGACCCGATTTATCCTGTGGTTTCACCTCTTGATAATGCCAAAGTTTAGGTAGTTGATTGAATACTCTGGAATGTATTTTTCTAATGTGCAAATCGACATAATAATACTTTCTTCTGAGTGTTTTATTAAGATTAAATGAAATGATGTTTTTATAGAAACTCATTAGTAGCATGATCATAGGCACATTATGCATAAGTGATGCCTATTCTCTTTGCTGATAAATACATCAAATATTCAAATTAAAATATGCTTTTTGTAAATCTAGTTGGGTGAGGTGGAACATTTAATGATTCTCTGTGTGTGCCAAGCCTGAAGGTACTTATTGACAGAAACCCAAAGCAGAAGAATAACTGTTCACACACAAATGACTTTGACACACAGAAATCAAGCATCAAGGTGTGGTAAGCGGTGGATCTGGGCAACCTTTAAAAGCATCTTATTTTACCTGGCTATTTTTTAAGTTACAAAATGAAAAGAAGAAAAGCAGTTGAGGTATCATTCTTCTCATTTTACGGGAGGGAAACTGAAGCTCAGAATGTTTCATTAAGCTACCCCAAAACACAGTTGAACAAAGTGGCGGCAGCAATTGCTATCTCATGCTATGTATGTTCTCATCTCCTCAGTCTATAGATGAGAAAACTGAGGCCTGGAGCAGGAAAGGATGGGAGGAATACACAATGGCGTTCCAGTCCAATGGCTCTGCGTTTCCAATCCTTCCTCTACCCTTTGCAAGCAGTGTGAGCTCTGACAAAAACAATTAACCTCTCTAAACCTCCATAGATTCTAAATGGTATATTTTTAATTGGCTTGTTTAGCGTTTCCTAAAATATATCCCTTTGGAACACTTGTTCCATCAGATGTTTAAAAGTGTTAAATAAAAAAAAATGTTTCAGCAGTCCAATAAGTCTTGGAAACATTGGTTTAAAACAAAGTTAAGCAAGTCCCTTTACTGCAAAATCTTCACAGCCTTGAAAATGCTAATTGTATAAAAATCTCCAAGGGACTTGGGAACGAACAGGAAGCATCAATGTTTTAAACAAAATAATTTGGGAAGTCAAGTTTTATGTGTTCCACCCCATTGTATTGTATCTTAACGTTTCTAAAAGGTGAGGGTTTTTTTTTTTATCATTTAAACATCTTTTCAATTTTTTCATACATAACACTACAAAGATCACAATACAGAACATCCTCCCCTGAGAAGTTCCCCACCTACCCTTTCCCCGTCATCTTCCCCTAAAGGAGCCAATATTCTGGCTACTATCACTTTGGATAAGTTTTGTCTATTCAAGAACGTTATGTAAAGGAAATGTACGTATATGGAGAATATTTTTCAGTGGGCCCGGCTCCCTTATTTCTGTTTCTTTTTATTTGTTTTATTGTTACTGTTTGGGGTATTTTAACCAATTTATTGAGGAACAAAATTGACATACAACAAACCACACTTATTTAAAGTATATCATTTTAGAAGTTTTGACATATGTTTACACCTGTGAAATGATCATTCACAATCAAGACAATGAACATATCTGTTCCCTCTCCAACCCTTGGTAAGTCCCTCCCTCCTTCCTGCCCTCCCCTACCATCGCTGAGCAACAGCTGCTCTGTATTCTGCCACTATAGATTAGTTTGCATTTTCCAGAATTGTATATATATTAAATGATACAATATGCACTTTTGTCTAGTTCCTTTCACTCAGAAAAAATATTTTGTAATTCATCCATGTCATTGCATTTATTAATAGTTCATTGATTCTATTATTTAGTAATATTCTGTTATACGGATATATCATAATTTGTTTACCCATTCACAAGTTAATGCATATTTGAGTTATTTCCAGTTATTGACTGTTACAAACGATGCTGCTCTGAACATCTATGTACAAGTCTTTGGATGGGCATATGCTTTCATTACTCTTGGGTAATACCTAAGGTGGAAATGGCTGAATCGTATGGTAGGTATGTGTTTTACTTTTTCAAAAAGTGCTGATGCACGTTTCAAAGTTTGAACAGCATGTTACATTCTCACCAGCAATGAATAAGAATTCCAGTTTCTCCACACCTCTCTAAGACTTAGTATAGTCAGTTTTTTGTTTAATTTCAGTCATTTTAATAGACTTGTAGTAGTAACTCTTCATGGGTTTAATTTGCGTTTCCCTAATGACTAATGGTGGTGGGCCTCTTTCTATGTGCTGATTGGCTACATCTAATTTGGTGAGACGTATGTTCAAACTTTGTGTCCATAGTTTTATTGCATTTTTTTCTTACTGAATTTTGAGACTTCTTGATATATCCTGCATACAATTCCTTTATGGGTTACATAATTTGAGATCACTTTCTTACAGTCTGTAGCTTATCTTTTCAATCTCTTAATGATGTATTTTGAAGAACAGAAACTTTGAATTTTGGGGAAGCCCAATTTATCAATTTATGTTTTCCTAAATTATGCTTTTGCTGTCACAGCTAAGAAATATTTGCCTAACTCCTGGTCACAAAGATTCATACTATATTTTATTTTAGAAATTTCATGGCGTTAAGTTGTTCTTTAGCTCTTTTATACAGCTTGAGTTTTTATATATACCGTAAGGTATGCTTAGGATTTTATTTTTTCTTATAGATTTCCACATGTTCTAGTACCACTTATTTAAAAAAGACTATTATTTCTACACTCAATTGTTTTTGCACTTTCACTGAAAATCATTTGTTTGCCTATATATTTAGCTGGAAATTTCTGGACTCTATTCTGTTCCACTGACTTATTTTTGTATCTTTGTATCAGTACCACATTGTCTTGATGACAATAGCTTTATAGATTTTAAAGTCAGGTAGTGTTAATTCTCCAATTTTGTTCTCCTTCAAATTGTTTTGGCTCTTCTTAGTCCTTTGAAGTTCTATGTAAATTTTAGAATCATCTTTTCAAGGCCTATGAAAATCCCATGAGATGTTGCGTGCGATTGTGTTAAATTTGTAAATGACTGGGATAAATTGGCATTTTAACAATATTGAGTCCTTCAGAGATAATCACAGTGTATCCCTTCATTTCTTTATGCCTTTGATACTTTGTCTCAGCTGGGTTTTTAAAGTTTTTATTACATAGGTTTTGCACATCTTTTGTCAGATTTCTATCTAAGTATTTCATAGGTTTTTAATATTACAAATGGTGTTATTTTTCATTTCAATTTCCAATTGTGCTTGGAAAAATTCATCTGTCTCTTCATACATCACATATTTGTTCACTATCTTAGCATATGCTGTGTGCTCAGCACTACGCTAGATTTTGAGGAGAATGGGGAAGAAACATAGACTGTAAAATTATGATCCCCTTTTCCAAAAGTGATCTGTTTATATTAAAGGTTTACTTTAAATATGATCCATTTGGAAAGATGGGCCTTAACCAACAGAAAAAGATAGGTAATCATCCCAGCTATGGGTATCAAAATACAAATTGAGGAGTATAAATATTTTCTAACTTTAAGAAAAATAGATAAATTTTATCATGCATTTAATCTGTCCTAGGCACTGGGCTACTAAGCAATTCACATGCTTTTTCTCACCCAGTCTTCACATAAATTCTAGGAGATATTTGTCCATTACATCTTCGATTTATAAAGAAGGAAAATGAGGTAGGAAAACATACATGGTCTTAATTTAGAAGATTTCCAGGAGTGGTAATTATGTGACACCTATAGTTGATTAAAATGTAATGAGGGTGATCTTTCTTGGAATAAAAAAAGTTCCAAGAAAGATTCACAGAAGCAGAGAGTTTCCAAACCCTAGACTACAATGTGAACTGAACACTTTGAATGCTAATCTCAAAAATGTACTTCTATTTCTGGAAGAGTTAGTGACCATCTTGGAATTTCCTATATTTTCTAATATTTGTACAATTTTCAAGCTTATAGACTGTTTCATTTTATTGTGTGTATTCATATCCCAGGGTTGCCATAGCAAAGTACCGCAAACTGAGCTGCTTGCAAAACAGAAATTGATGGTCTCAGTTCTGGAGGCTGAAAGTCCAAAATCAAAGCGTCAGCAGGATTGGTTCTCTCAGGACTGTGAAAAGAAATGAATTCCATGCCTCTCACTTAGCTTCAGGTGGTTTACTGAAATCTTTGGCATTCCTTGGCTTGTAGAAATATCTACAAATCTCTGCTGTTATCTTCAAGTGGCATCGTCCCTGTGTGTAGCTGTGTCTAAAGCTCCCCCTTTTATAAGAACATCAGTCATATTGGTCTCATGGCCCACCCTACTCCAGATCGACCTCATCTTACCTAGTTATGTCTGCAATGGCTTTATTCCCAAGGAAGGTACAGTCTGAAATAATGGGGGTTAACACATCAACGTGTGAATTTATTCAACCCATAATGCATGCTTTAGAAGTCTGTTTTGTTTGTTTGTTTCTAAGTGAAAGCACAGTACCTAAGCAAGAGGTGTCTTTCTTTGTCTTATGGGTGCAAGTCGCAGTAATAGATGTTTACAGGAGAACCATCAAAATATAATCACATTTTAAATGAGGTCCTTATCATGATTACTAATTAACAACAACACTAATAAGCCAAATTTGCTTAGGACTGCATTATTTTATTCATTTTTAAAATTGAATTATTAAGAATGAATCTGATTGGATGTTTCTCTGCCTTCTGCCAGTCAGTTTTGTCCCTAGGAATTTGTGCTCTGTAATCCTGGAGAATTAGCATCACCAGATATTACAACTGGGAAGGAATCTCATGGATCAACTCTTCATAAAATGCTAAGTGGACCCAAGGAAAGCACATCATTAAGCATAATGATAAGCATGACTTTCTGATCATGGACCCTATGAAGTTTCTACAATAAATTGGAGAATTGGGATGAGGGTTAGCCGTTGGTTGTTTTGAAAGTAGACCACAATTGACCTTCTATAAGTACTGCCCTTTCTTTCTTACCCCTCCCCATAGGAATGGCCACTGACTCCATTTTTAACTATCTGATCCAGCTCATTCAGGGCCAGTGATGGATACTTACCCAAGTTGGGGTAATTTGTCTCTCTCAATTGAGACTTTGGGTTAGAGACTCAGAACTACAAGTAATGTCTAATAAGTGCCTGAATTAGAATGTTATATAAGACTAGGACTGGGCTAGAACACATATAAACCAGGGCAGTTTCAAATTTTGGCCTTTAGGGGTAGAGAAGAGTGGTGCCAGTAAGCAAAGAGAAGCAGAGACAAGAGACAAGAGAGCACATATCCTTAAAGAGATTGAGGAAGGAGAGTTTACTACTCAGTGCTCAGTCATTGGGAGTCACCTTCACAGGAGCAGTTAATTCTTGCCCTTGGGTTCTGTAATACCTGAGGTTTCTCAAAAGTCAATGCCCCTTTATCACTCTATTTGCTTTGGAATGCTCCTGTGATTTCCAACCCAAAGAGCATGTCAAGTACAGATGTTTAGTCCAAATTTCTCATTTAACATACCAAAAATATTTATTGAGTGTCTACTATGCAAAACACTCAACACTAGGAAATGAAAGCTAAAGGAACGGCCACAATCGTCTGGTATCAACTAAATCAATGATCACAGAACTGTGGTCAGTTTTATAAAGAGGTAGCAGAGGTTCCTATGAAAAGAACATTTTATCCTACTCAGGAGTCGGGGTGGGACTTCTGAGAAGGTAATATTTTATTTGAGATTGCATTTTCTGCTTGATAGATTCATCATTTTTGCTTTCATATTGTTTCACTTTTGAAACTAAGTAGGAAATTGCTTGATGAAAAAAAAACTTTTCTTTCTTGGTAAAGGGAAAGTTCTGAGGAGTCAAATATCAGGATGAAGAAAGAAACTGCAGATAGTCCCCATTTCTGCAGGGTCACATGCATATGCAGGAGGGAGATGGGAGGGGGGGCTATAAAGGAGAAATGGCAATGATATGAGCTCTGTTCTGAAACTAAGGCGGGGGCTTTTGGGTAGTCTGGGGAGTATAATGACATGATCATATTTGCAGTTTAGGAAGTTTATTTTGGCAGAGTGTGGGGGATCATTTCAAGGGCCATACTGGAGGAAATGAGACAAGTTGGGAGGCTGACCTAGTCATCCAGGTGAGAAATGATGCAAACCTGAACTAAGAAACTGGCAGAATGAATAGAAAAGGTGATGGATATGAGACTTTTAGGAAAGATAATCTGTAAGACTTGGTGACTGATTAAGTAAGAGGGAGGAATATGGACTAATGCCTGGATGTCCCACTTAGGTGAGAGTAATGATAATCCTCAAGATAAAGGAAACACCTCTGTCCTTTCTTCTCCCATTGAAACACCACAGTTTCAGTCTTCATTCATCCTCTTCCACATACTATGGGATCCTGGGAGTGAAGGGTAATTTGTGATTGCTCCTAACCCATGGGTAACCCATTCCGCAGGAAGCCATAATTTAGGACTGGTCCTATCAAAATTTAACATTGTTTTGCCATCATGACTTTGCAAAGTAATGCATGCATGAATATGCCAAAACTGATTTTCATTTTTCTTTTATTTTCTCCCCAGAATATGTTTCAAAAATGCTTCTGAGTGTTTAATGAAGAAGTGCAATACCATCCTCAACATGTAGATATCTATACTACTATGCTTAATATATGTATTGAAGCTGCTCATTGTGTGTTTGTCTTTTTTTTTTTTTCTTTTCTTTTGTGGTGAGTGGTTGGGAGAAGTTAGTATATATCACATGGCTTTCACTGCTATTCAATAAAAAATCTCCTATTGAATGCACCAATTCTCTCCAGAAGTGGCGACCCCTAACAGATGTCAATAGTCTGGGCATGTGTTAGGCCCAGAGGGGTTGTGAAGATAATGAAGGGCAGAGGAGGGACAGAAGGAACCAGAGATCAGCTATGCACAATAAAGAGACAAGTAGATAAATTGAGTTTTACTGTCTCCTTGCTTTTCATATTTTCCGTTGCAATAAAAAAATAATAAAAATGAATTATTCCACCAGCCAGAAAGAAGCAATTACATTCATAGAAACATACCCTGTATGTTAAGAAATGACATATGGGGGCCACTAGTCACCCTACCGTCCTTGCAGAGAAAAAGAATCAACGGTTTTTACCTAGCCTTGGTAAAAAGCAGCAAGCTTTCATTTTTTATGAACTATGAA
This sequence comes from Homo sapiens, assembly GCF_000001405.40. Classification (NCBI taxonomy): domain Eukaryota; kingdom Metazoa; phylum Chordata; class Mammalia; order Primates; family Hominidae; genus Homo; species Homo sapiens. The sequence continues at coordinate 97,534,715 of NC_000015.10, forward strand.
AGATGTGGTGCATAATGCCCCAATCAAAGTGCATTCTTGTTGTGGATGTTCGTTTTGATTGTGTTTATTCATTGCGGTGGTGAATACCATCAGCCTCTCCACCCACTGCAGGCCAAAGAGTGGAGAAGCTGCTGCCCCTGAAGATATCTGTAGACCCAGAATGATGGAAAAATAGGGAAATTTAAGGTATTGAAGTCGGAACTACAAAGAGATATGAAAGAATAGACAGGCATTAGAAAACTCACTGCAGGGGTTTGAAAGCAAGAAAGAGGGGAACAAACATCTATTACAACAAAATAATAAAGTCTTTTTGAAACTTTAAGGGAAAAATCATCTTGTTTTGTGAAAAGATGGCGAGACATGTTCATTGATCTTTTTAAGAGACAACAAAAAATTGGCCGTCTACTGAATAAAAGAAAATGAAGTTCCATTAATACAATCTGCTGAAAGACAACTCAGATAAATTGATCAATGCAGTACAAATCATTTCTAACCTTTCCCCCTATTTGGAGAGGATGTTTTTTCAAGAGTGTAAACAACATACATCATCAACTTCAAGTGCTTTTTAGATGGCTTATCCAGCAATAATGGAAATGGAGAATTTCTGGAACTAAGTATGTAATGCTTTCTATAATTATAGGTCTGAAGAATATCAATACATTTGGAGAGATTTGGCCATAATTTTTTTTTGTTGTTGTTGTTGAGACGGAGTCTCGCTCTGTCGCCCAGGCTGGAGTGCAGTGGTGCAATCTCGGCTCACTGCAAGCTCCGCCTCCCGGGTTCACGCCATTCTCCTGCCTCAGCCTCCCGAGTAGCTGGGACTACAGGCGCCCGCCACTACGCCCGGCTAATTTTTTGTATTTTTAGTAGAGACGGGGTTTCACCGTTTTAGCCGGGATGGTCTCGATCTCCTGACCTCGTGATCCGCCCGCCTCGGCCTCCCAAAGTGCTGGGATTACAGGCGTGAGCCACCGCGCCCAGCCTGGTCATAATTTTTTTAAAATTTTGGTAACTTCCATGTTGACCTTTCTCCTTTGATTTTATCTTTAGACTTCTTTATAGAAAATATTTATGTATAAGCCATAGTGGCTCTATTATTGAATCTAGGATCCACCATTCAAGACCATCTACTGGAAAAGGTAAACATATTTTTATATATATCTGTACAAATTCTTTTGAAAGAAACTGTCTTTCTTCTGAACATGGTTTCTTCTCAATTCAAAGGAAGAATTAAAAAAAAGGAATATTTTTATTTGTTTCTTCTACATCCCTTCCACCAAGTAAAAGATAACCTACCCACAGCCTGAAGTTTACAATAACCTATCCAAAATTTATACTGTAGAATTTCTAAGAAAAGTTTTTGGTTCCTTATAGTCAAATTGTTTGTTTTATTTTAATATGTGACAGTGATTATATATGGCTTATTGTAAACTAAAAAAATTAGGTGGCTCAATGATTATATGGCAATCTATTTGGTACAAAATATTTTAAATGAGTGACTATTTCTTTAAGGAAAGGGGTTTTCTAGAAGGGGTTCACAAAACATGGACTAATATTAAAACAATATTTACAAAGTCCTAACTCATTTTTATTCTGTATATATTGACATGTCTTCAGGTAAGCAGGTATTTAAAGTATGACTTTCCATATTTCTAAACCAAAATAATGATGTTGAGGTTGTCTCTGGATGTTAGGCTTTGTATAGGCCATAAAACCTGTGATACACAATTTTAAGTACTGTGTTTTCTAAATATGTTTTTGGTTATATATGAAAGATTCATTCCAATTTGTATTAAATACATAGGAATTTCTTCCCGGAGAGGCATTTGCTCAACATGAAACCCCAGAGAATTATCCAATAGATAAACGTATCCATGAACACATACACACACAGGGGAGGGGCAAAGAAGACAGGGTCTTGACATCTCGACAGGTGATACCGACTGAAATCTTGCTCTTTAGGCCCTAGTAAATTTCTCTTCAGGGCACTTCTTTCAATACCTAGAGGGGAACAGGCACACTTTGCAGATCCTTTGGTGGATTCAGCATTCTCAATCTCTCAAGCAAGAATTACTCTTGAGATCAAATTGAACTTTTCCAGGGAGAAGGTGCATCTTTGGGATTAAAGCTTCAATTATCTAAGATCAGGGAGTGAAGCAGGGGTGGATCTATTCCATTAGTGATTTTCTAATGCACATTTTAACAACTTGCTAAATGCTCACAGCACATTTTTTCTTTCTTTTTCTATTTTTTTGCTGAGGTTGTACAAGAAAATGGAGACATAGAGGTGTAAAGAGTCACAGGGAAAACAGAGAAAAACATGACTTACAAAAAACCTCTTAAAATTATGAGAGATAGATCCCAGGGAATTACAAATAGTCTACTCCTTCAAAGAAAGCTATTTTCTCAGCCTGGTAGGTCTTCTGAAGAAGACTGTTGTCTGAGATAAGAAAGTTTGGGCATTGTCTCAATTCATATTTTTATTTTTAAATGCCATGGCTGGAAAGCTTCAAGACTTGCATTCCACATGCTCCAGCATGCTGAAACCCTGGGTGAATTTTCTCTTTCCTCTGCAGAGGTGTTTTATACCTAGGAAAGACCTGAGAATTATTTCATCCCACTTGATCCAGGAAGGTGGAAATGACAACTTATTGTAATCTTGCCTGTACTAATAAGAGTATTATGCTAAACACATTTGAAGCTTTTAGTAAGTGAATCTGAATGAAACAGTGTGGTAGGAACAATATTCAATTTAAGGAATTTCTAGATTTCCCTTTTTTCCCTGCAGACTGTGAAATGAAATTCTTTCCTGGCCAGCATCTGGACCCTGGTTAGCAGATCACAGTTCCTGCTCTGCGTGTCAGGGCCTTCCTCTCATTCTCTGTCCACCTTAAGTTTTGGCACCATGACGGCATCCTAAAGGCATTCCCATATAGACAAAATTCAACATATTGTAACATGGGCTCATCCGGTTACCTACCTAAGAAGCACATACACATTCCTACTTGATATTGTTTTTAAACTTTGTTATAAAATCTAATAAAACACTTCAGCCACAAATAGACGCATGAGGATTTTGATAGTTTATTCCCTTTCCTTTCATTTATTTATTTCATTTGGAAGGGCTAATTTAACAAATTTATGTATCCGTCACATCTCAGGTAAATTTGTACTGCTTATGAGAAAAATGTGAGTTAGAAACACGACTCTGGAAGATTCAAATTCAATGATGATGTGTTTTATAAAGCTGAGGAGGATTTAAATAAAGAGTAACTTAAACTCAGAAGGTTCCTCAGGAAAAATGAAGAATTATCTTTTATGGAATGCATACATTGTAAGCATTCAATCCAAGGCATGGTACCAGGCACTTAACATTGACTACAACATTTAGTCTTTGCACTACTCCAGTGAATTAGGCTTGATCACTATTTCAAAGATGAGCCAACTCAGTCTCTCTGAAATTAAATAATTTGCTCAAGCAATGGGGAAATGGCAGGGACTAGACTTGGACCAAACAAATGTATTTTATCCCACTGTGGGAACGAAGAACTGTGATAACATGTCTTTAATTATATTCAAGAATATATATATAGAGAGAGAGGTACATGTGTATCTATATATAGAGAGAGATTATGCATACACATGTATGAATACTTATTTAATCTAATAAAACGCCCTTTGAGGGTCTTTTTGTAGAATTATTTTAGGTGTTTTGCTTGTTTGTTTTCTACATGCCTGGAATAAAAACAGTAGTGACATAGATTTGATTTCATAGTAAATAAAACGCTACTCCTTTTATGAAACCTCTTGTTTCTCTACCAGAACCTTTTCTCTGGGACCACCTTTCTTAACCCAAGAGGAGATACTAGATACTACATCAATTCCCAAGAGATATTTTCTAAATTTTCAATCCCACTAATCTCAGGTTTTCATGCCATTTGATAAAAGTGGAGCTCACCAAATCAGAAAAAGAATTGTTAAACTCTTGAACTCTCCATTCATATGCAACAAACTCAACAGGAAAATCAATGCAATCCATTCACTGAATATTTATTAGGGGTGCCTATATTGTATCAGGTATTCCTCTAGATCTGAGGAGGAAGAAAAAAAAAAAGCAGAAAATAATTCCTGTCCTCATAAAACAGAAAACAATCCCTGTCCTCAAAGAGCTTACATTCTAGTGGAAGAAAGAGAAAATAAGTAACTACATAGATAAGTGCATGTGCAATGTAATTCCAGATGGTGGTAAGTGCACTGCAGCATGATAAAGCAGTTCCAGGAGCTCCTGAGTTAGCGGAGGTGGGGGGCTGTTTCAGGCAGAGCTGTCCTTTCATGCATAGCTGTCCTCACAGCTCTGCCTGAGCCAGCAACTTTATGAGGTCAGAGAACAATGGGAGTATCTTGCAGGACCTACTCCAAGAAGGGGGAAGACCAAGCACAACATCAAAAAAAGAATGAGCATGGTGAATCCCTGCAAATGGGAGAGGGCCAGAGAGGCTGAACGCACTAAGTCAAGGCAAAAGAAGAAACATGTGGACCTTCAGCGGAAGCAAGTGTCAGGTTGTATGTGGCCTTGGAATAGGAGCTTTGATTTTATTCCAGGTGTGATGGGGAGCCATGGGAAGTGTGGGTTCAGAAGAGTGACATAATTTTCATTTTTAAAAATATTCACTCTTGGCCAGGTGTGGTGGCTCACACCTGTAAAGCATTTTGGGAGGCCAAGGCAGGAGGGTCATTTGTGGTTGGGAGTTCGAGATCAGCCTGTCCAACATGGTAAAACCCCGTCTCTACTAAAAACACAAAAATTAGCCAGGCATGGTTATATGCCTATACACAGGCCTATAATCCCAGCTACTCGGGAGGCTGAGGAGGAAGAATTGCTTGAACCGAAGAGGCAGAGGTTGCAGTGAGTCGAGATAGCACCACCACACTCCAGACTGGACAACAGAGTGAGATTCTGTCTTGAAAGAAAGAAAGAAAAAAAGAAGGAAGGAAGGAAAGAAAGAAAGAAAGAAAGAAAGAAAGAAAGAAAGAAAGAAAGAAAGAAAGAAAGAAAGAAAGAGAAAGAAAGAAAAGAAAGAAAGAAAGAAAGAAAGAAAGAGAAAGAAAGAAAGGAGGGAGGGAGGGAGAGAGAGAGGGAAGGAGGGAGGGAGGGAAGGAAGGAGAGAGAAAGAAAGGAAAGAAAGAAAGAGAAAGAAAGAAAAAAAAGAAAACTCACTCTGTCAAGGTGTACCACCAATCACTCTGATGAGGAATTCTCCAATATGATGATAGAATAAAAATCCTGCCACTCTATTTCCACATGGTCATTAAATCTGAAGTTTTTACCAAACTCTGAGATTCTTCTAAAAGGGTAAGGGCTGTGTTTTAAAACATTGTATTTTCAAGCTTCTGGGAAATGCAATATAATTTATTCTACAAATTTTTTAATTCGAGTTAGGCCCTAACATAAAAATTATATAAATTGACCTGGGAACTAAACTTCCAAAATCACATGCAAATATTTTACACGTATTAGAATAGCTATGTTCTGCCTAAAATTGAGTTTGTTTTTTTACATGATGCAAAGCCAGGTGTGTGTGTGTGTGTGTGTGTGTGTGTGTGTGTGTGTGAGACAGAGAGAGAGAGTGCACACACACATAAATACATACATACATGTATTTATAACACACATAAACACATACATATATACATATAATTTCCCCCAAGTTTTTTATTAAAAGTTTAATAGTTCTTTTTAATAACCATACTCTGTACAAGTCATTGTGCTAAGAATGTTGCTGGTCAGGTACTTTGGCAAGCAGACTCTGAGAAGGGGATTAGTGAGCATGAAGTTTTAGGGAGTGTTCTTAAGATGAACACCTGTAGATAGAAAAAGAGCAGCAGGATTGGACACAAAGCAACTGGGCTACAACATCACCTCCATGAAAGTCTCAGCCAACTTATATGAGGAGCTGAAGCAAAGATGGCCCCTCACATTGTACCAAATTGAAGGGAAAGAACCAGCTTTTATACTCCCACACTGACCAGTAATTGAATGTGGGCTTCCCCAGCAAGGGAGTGTGACCTTGGATGAAAAAATTATCTTAGCTTTAGGTAATTCATAAGGAGGACTGGCAGCTAAGAGTGGCCTGAGATAAATACTTCAGCACCTGGAAAAAGAAGGGAGAGGTAAGTGGCATATTATATAATCCACTACAGTATAGCACTCATATTGTTTGTATTCACTTCTTCATGTAAGTTCTGGAAGCAGCTCTTTCAGGATGCTGGTGAGACTCTGTTTCTAAGGGGGACTTATAAAAGGAAGATTTGAAGAACAAACTTTAGGGTCCAACACTGAAGTTGGTCTCCTGGCAATTCACAGATCTTCTTAAACCTAGATTCCTTATAGACTGCTGTCTTTCATAGCTTACTTGGTGACATGACACAGATTCACTCCTCGAGGGTTTGAGCTCTGTGTATTGTGTTCTTTCTTCTCAGCTTGGGGCTGCTGGTCTGTCCACTTACCAACAAAACTGGACAAGGGAACACCGAGAAGCATTCAAGTGGGTCTCCTGCTTGTCAGACATATTCATCATTGTGTCTTGACAGCCCTAGCTTCTGATCTTCAGGGTCAGCTGCTATTCTAGGATGGTGATTCCTCTTGTTGTCTGTTGTCCCCTTGCCGCAAAGATCCCCCAAATTCACAAGCAGTAATCATGACTTATAATTTAGTGAGATTCCTGCTGCATTCCTTAGTGAAAGCATATACCTTTGGAAACCAAGATATCTAAACTCACAGAGCCAATAATTACGGGGATATGAAGGAAAAGTTTCCTAATCGAATACGTAGGAGACAGTCCTGCTTCCACCCTTTAATTCCCAGATGAATGTCTTCTCCTATTACAGAAAGGTACCCTTTGAAAATCATTGATTTATACTGCACCTGACATCTTGGAGGATGACTCTCCTCTCTTGCAAGTCATCACCTCCAAGTCAGTGTTTCTGCTACTCCTTCAGCAAGTCATTCCATTCCTCTGTCAGGCAAGCAGCATCTGTGGGGTGTGAAATGTGATGTGAGCAGTGGATCCCGGGTCATGTCTCACTCCTGCAACTCTTCTACTGCAAATGATTCCCTTGGTCTTACACAATGTTGTATTTGATTTTATAATGACATATCAAACATTTTATGAGCCCTCAGGCAGTGGTGATGTGCCTCTGTGGTTAGAAAAAGAAACTAATAACTAGAATATGTATCTATCCCTGCTCTCTTGTCTTAGTCTTCTCTGGCTGCCATAACAAAATAGGAGAGACTGGGTGACTTAAACAAAACAAAGTTATTTTCTCATAGTCCTAGAGGCTAGAAGTCCCAAATCCAGGTGCCAGCAAGGTTAGGTTCTAGTGAGGATTCTTTTCCTGGCATGCAGATGGCTGCCTTCTACTGTGTGCTCATATGTGAAGTATGTTTCTATGGATACAGAAGAATATATCTCTCTTTACCTCTCTCTTTTTTTAAAAAAATATAATTTAATTTTAAGTCCGGGATACATGTGCAGGATGTGCAGGATTGTCACATAGGTAAACGTATGCCATGGTGGTTTGCTGCACCTATCAACCCATCACCTAGGTATTAAGCCCCACATGCATTAGCTATTAATCCTGATGCTCTCCCCGCCCCACTTCCCCAACAGGCCCCAGGGTGTGTTGTTCCCCTCCCTGTGTCCATGTGTTTTCATTGTTCAGCTCCCACTTATAAATGAGAACATACAGTGTTTGGTTTTCTGTCCCTTCATTAGTTTGCTGAGGATAATGGCTTCCAGCACCATCCATTTCCCTGCAAAGGACATGATCTCATTCCTTTTTGTGGCTGCATACAATTCCATGGTGTATATGTAGCACATTTTCTTTATCCAGTCTATCATTGATGGAAATTTGGGTTGGTTCCATGTCATTGCCATTGTGAATAGCCTTACAGTGAACATATATGTGCATGTTTCTTTATAATAGAATAATTTATATTCCTTTGGGTATATACCCAGTAATGGGATTGCTAGATCAAATGGTATTTCTGGTTTTAGGTCTTTCAGGAATTGCCACACTGTCTTCCACAATGGTTGAACTAATTTACATTCCCATCAATAGTGTAAAAGTGTTCTAATTTCTCCACAACCTCACCAGTATCTGTTCTTTCTTGACTTTTTAATAATCGCCATTCTGACTGGCATGAAATGGTATCTCATTGTGGTTTTGATCTGCATTTCCCTACTGATTAGTGATGTTGAGCTTTCTTACATATGGTTTTTGGCTGCATAACTGACTTCTTCTGAGAAATGTCTGTTCATGTACTTCACCCAATTTTTAATGGGGTTGTTTGTTTTTTTCTTGTAAATTTGTTTAAGTTCCTTGTAGACTCTGAATATTAGACCTCTGTCAGATGGATAGATTGCAAAATTTTTCTCCTATTCTGTAGGTTGTCTGTTCACTCTGATGATAGTTTCTTTTGCTATCATCAGAAGCTCTTTATTTTAATTAGATCTGATTTATGAATTTTTTCTTTTGTTGCAATTGTATTTGATGTTTCGTTATGAAATCATTACTTATGCCTATGTCCTGAATGGTAATACCTAGAGTTTCTTCTAGGATTTTACTCCCAATTATATGATCAATTGTAGAGCAAGTGTCATGTGGCACCAAGAAGAATGTATATTCTGTTGTTTTGGGTGGAGAGTTCTGTAGATATCTATCAGGTCCACTTGATCCAGACCTGAGTTCAAGTCCTGAATTTCCTAGTTAATTTTCTGTCTCAATGATCTAATATAGACAGTGGGGTGTTAAAGTCTCTCACTATTATTGTATGGGAGTCTAAGACTCATGATAGGTCTCTAAGAAATTGTTTTATGAATCTGAATGCTCCTGTCTTGGGTGCATATGTATTTAGAATTAATTCTTATTGAATTGAACCTTTTACCATTATGTAATGCCCTTTGACTTTTTAAATGTTTTTTTGGTTTAAAGTCTGTTTTGTCAGAAACTAGAATTGCAACCTCTGCTTTTTTGTGCTTTCCATTTGCTTGGTAAATTTTCCTCCATCCCTTTATTTTGAGCCTATGTGTGTCTTTGCATATCAGATGGGTCTCTTGAATACAGCACACCAATGTGTCTTGACTCTTTATCCAGTTTGCTATTCTGTGCCTTTCAATAGGGGCATTTAGCCCATTTACATTTAAGGTTAATATTGTTATGTGTGAATTTGATCCTGTCATCATGATGCTAGCTGGTTATTTGGCAGACGTGTTGATGTAGTTGCTTCATAATGTCATTGGTCTTTGTACTTCAGTGTTTTTTTTTCAGTGCCTGGTAATGTTTATTCCTTTTCATATTTAGTGCTTCCTTCAGGAGCTCTTGCAAGGCAGGCCTAGTGGTAATGAATTGCCTTATCATTCGCTTGTCTGAAAAGGATTTTATTTCTCCATCATTTATGAAGCTTAGTTTGGCTGGATATGAAATTCTTGGTTGGAAATTCTTTTCTTTAAGAATGTTGAATATTGGCCCCCAATCTTTCTGGCTTGTAGAGTTTCTACTGAGAGGTCTGCTGTTAGTCTTATGGGCTTCCCTTTATAGAAGATCTGGCCTTTCTGTCTTGCTACCCTGAACAATTTTTCCTTCATTTTGACCTAGGAGAATCTAAAGATTATGTGTCTTGGAGTTGATCTTCCCATGGAGTATCTTACTAGGGTTCTCTGGATTCCTGAACATGAATATTGGCCTATCTTGTTAAGTTGGGGAAGTTCTCCTGGATGATATCCTGAAGTATGTTTTCCAACTTGGTTCCATTCTCCCCATCTCCTTCAGGTACTCCAAACAGTCATAGGTTTGGCCTTTTCCCTTCTCGTCTTATAAGGACACTAATTATTTCAGATTAAGACTCCACCACTATTATTTCATTTAACCTCAATTACATCCTCAAAACCCTATCTCCAAATATACTCACATTGAGGTTTAGGGTTTTCACACATGAATTTCAAGGGATCTAAAACAAGTACAAAACCAGGCAAGTCAAATTGTTCCATTTGATCTTAAGGCTAAAGAGCACTCTTCTTTAGTTTAATAGTCTTTTCTCCAGGACCACTGAGATAGGAGCATCACACCCACACTATGGGTCAATTTCCTGTTCCCAAAGCTCATGGAAGTCCCATTCCAATGGTTCTGCAGCATGCTCCTAACCCCCAATGCTTTAGGCAGAAGCTTCTTGGCCTGTTGAAACCAAGGAAGTATCCCTGATCTCTGAATTGCCTGGATAATTCAGAGCCCATCCATAGTGCAATAAATGGGGCATTCTTCCTCTTCCTGGAAAATAGTGCATGTGTGCAGCCAAATAGCTTTATCTTCTCATTCTGTCCAATTATCCCATCTTTATCCCTTTTAGTTCCAACTGGCAGTGTCTGTGCTCATATAATTCCATAGTTCTTTATTGAAGGACAGTCTAGTAGTCACACCGTTGGTGTTCTCTTCAGAACATGCTTTCTCATTTATTGCATTATGGATGGGATGAGAATTTTCAATTTTCAAGTTCTGGTTCCTTTTTGCTTAACAATTCCTTCTTTATCTCTTCCTTTGCATTTTACTATAAGGAATCAAAAGAAAGCAACCACCTTTTCAACACTTTGCTTAAAAATTTTATCAGCTAAATAACAACTCTCATCACTCACAATTTCTACCTTCCATTAAATACTAGAATGCATTTCCATCAAGTTCTTTGCTGCTTTATAATAAGAATCATCTTCCTCCCATTCCTAATCATATGCTCCTAATTTTCATCTGAGACCCTACTAGAATCTCCTTTAACATCCATATTTCCAGGATGTACTGAAAACTCTCCAGCTTCTACCCATTAACCATTTCCAGGTGCTTAGGTATTGGTTGCAGCAGCACCTGGTTTCTCAGTATTAAAATCTGTATTAATCTGTGCTCTTCAGAGAAACAGAATCAATAGATCAATAGATGATAGATAGATAGATAGACAGATTGCCAAATGCCAGGGGTTTATCTAAGGTCCATTTTCTCACAGCACAGAAAGTCAATCACTGAGATGAGTATTGCCAGGGAAGAAAGGCTTTAATGTTGGTGATGTCAGCCAGGTAATGGGAGATAAGTCTCAAATCCATCTCCCCAACTGATTAAAATTAGGAGTTTATATAGAGAGGAAGGAATGTAATTACACACAGGAAAACAGGAATTTGTGAGGGGTAAGAAAGAGGCACTGGTCAACAGGAAGCAGATGGTGAGTTAGGCAATCATGACAGATAAGGGGTCTGGCATCTCATTGTCTGGTAAGACCGTGATCTGGTCAGTTTCAGTTCCCTGATACTCTCTGGGAGGCCTGAGGATTGGTTTCCTGAGAAAGGAACCCAGATAAGACAAGTTTAAGTTTCAAGGCTTAAGACTGTGAGGGTTAAATCCTATGTTTATTTAAAAAACCCAAAACATCAGTTCTATGGGAAAATTGGGCTGGTTTCAGGTAGATAGATGGATGGATGGATAGATAGATAGATAGATAGATAGATAGATAGATAGATAGACAAATTTATTTTAAGACATTAACCCATGAAATTTTGAAAGCTGAGAAGTCCCAAGATCTCTAGTCAGCAAGGCGGGAAACCTATGGTATAGATTCCAGTCTGAAGGACAGCAGACTTGACACTCAAGAAAAACTAAAGCTTCAGTCCAAGTCCAAAGGCTGGAAAAGACAAATATCTCACCTTAAAATACTCAGGCAGGAGAAGTTTCTTCTTATTTATAAGTAGATCAGGCTTTTTGTTCTATTCAGACCTTTAAGTGACTGGATAAGGGCAACTAACCTTAGAAAGGGCAACTTGATATATTCAGTCTGCTTATTCATATGTTAATCTTATCCAAAAACACCTTTGCAATTACTCCAAGAATAACGTTTGACCAAATATCTGGGCACCACATGGCCCAGTCAAGTTAGCACATAAAATTAACAACATCCTTCCAGGGGGAGGTATGTCCAATGTAGATAATTTATAATTAAGTTGGTGGTTGGTCTCCTTTAGGGATGGTTCTGTGTCAGGAACTTAGCCTTGGTGTCTTTGGCAGAGTTGATATCTAGCAGGGGAAGTAGCTAGATCAGATTTGGCAAGTACAAGTTCATACTGTTGGGTCCATGCTTAGTATCAATCTTTACCACTATAGCTACTCTATATGCCCATATGCAACCACTCCAACAGTAAGCTCATATGATACTTCAAGTCTCTATACATCAATATCAACTAGGACCCAACTTCAAAAGTATTCAAAATATTTCCATGTTCTTCTCTGCCCAGTCTACTGTTACCTGAGTAAATAATCATGTGTTTATTTAGGAAAGGAATGGGAAAGTTTGCATATACACATACTGTTGCAGAGTCTTAATTCCTGGGAGACCTAGGCACTACTTAAGCCAGTAAGTCTGGACCCGAAAACTTGCAGAAACTGGATAACATATTGTGACTTATTGAAGTGGCTGCCTTTATCTACAAATTATGCTTCCTTAGTTTATTTTGATCTTACAGATTGAGAAGGATCCTCCTTTGCTATCCAAGTGTTTTGACCCTGTGGAAACTAAGTTTTGTTACCTATGGCTCTCTACAGGTCAAGACCATTGGTTTCCACTTGACCATACTGATAATTATAATAATTACATTCAACTGGCTTCTTTGTTAGACCATTCTTTCATTGCTATAAATAAATACCTGAGACTGGGTAATTTAAAATGAAAAGAGGCTTAATTGGCTCACGATGCTGCAGGCTGTACAGGAAGCATGGTGCTGGCATCTGCTTCTGGTGAGTGTCTCAGGAAACTCACAATTATGACAGAAGGTGAAGGGAAGCCAGCACATCACATGGGGAGAGGAAGCAACAAGGGAAACGGGGAGGTGCCACACACTTTTAAGCAACCAGATCTTGCAAGAACTCACTATTGTACCAAGACATGAGGGATCTGCCTACAAGACCCAAACACTTCTCATCAGGTTCCATCTCCAGCATTGGGGATTACATTTCAACATGAGATCTGGGTGGGACAAACACCCAAAGTTTATCAGCTTCTGATGATCGCGCGATGCCACCTGTTTTCTTCTGTTTTCTTTTCTTTTGTCCGTTCTTCATGTCCACTGCTATCACTGAGCCTTGTTCTCTATTGAACTTTCCCATCAACAGTTTCTGGCCTACAGATGGGAGACACCTTTGAGCTTCTTAGTGATACTAGTGCCCCTTATGCTAGTTTCCTCCTAAATGATTTTTAAAAATAATCAAGCCCTTCTATGGAACAGTCATTTGATGGGTGTTTCTACTTTTCATTGTATACCTCCTCCAGCATGCTCATTTCTCGGACTTTTAAATCCCTGTTTTCCAGCACCTGCCATAGTAATTCTGGTATGCCCACTTTGCTTAATTTAAGTCATCACTTTCTCTCTGCCTTTAGGAGCCATGCTAGCAGCATGTTTGCACTATTTCACTTGCTTCTTTCAATGGTGTTGAATACTGTATTTGGGGAGAGTACTCCCAAATTGATAACTTTCTCTTATTCCATCTTATCTTACACCCTCATGGACCTCAAATTCTAGTTTCATACATACTCTCCCAATTTCTGCAATATATTTTGGCTAAGACTGCAGCTCCTTACCAAAACAGAAATATGGTGCTTTTCTCTTTTTGCACTGATACAAAGGTTGATACATGCTATTTTGCATAGAAGAGGTCTCTTCATTATCTTCTTGCTAAGGGAAACACTACCACATAATAGAGAAGACTGTGCTACTTCTGTAGGTTCAGCGAATTTAGGAGAATATGGGTATTTTGGTACATTAATCCAGATATCGTATTTCACCTACGTTATCTTATTAGCATACAATAGCATACAATTGTTCATACTATTCCATTATAATAATTAACAGCACATAATACATCTAATTTATTTATTATTTTATTTATTTTTGAAAATGGAGTCTCACTATGTTGCTCAGGCTGGACTCAACTCCTGGAAGTTCAGGAATTTAATGAAAGCAATTCCCTGGGAGAACTCCTGGGAGTTCGAGAATTCATTGAGCAACTCCTGCCTCAGCCTCCCAAGTAGGTTGGAATATAGGCATGTGCCACTGCAACCAGCCCTTATAAGCACTTTTATTTTTGCAAGATTGGCAGCAATGTCCATTCTCATGTGTATGACTTTCATAATTCGACTCTTCTTTGTTTTTTTTTTCAGTTAGACTACTTAAGGTTTTGTCAATTTTGTCGATCTTTTGAAGGAATTAATATTTGCTTACCTTGATTTTCTTTTATTCTACTCTTTAATTTTTTTCTCTGTTTAGTATTTCCTTTGTTATGTTTGCTACATATTTAGTTTATTCTTTATCTTCTATTTTCTTTATCTGAAAATTAATTTATTTATTTGAGATCTTTCTACTTTTTTATTATAGCATTTACAGCTATAAATTTCCCTATTAACACAGTTTTAGCTGCATACTGTATGTTTTGGTATGTGTTGCTTTCAGTCCCATTCATATTGAAGTATTTATTTATATAAATTTTTTATGATCTTTTTTCTGTCTTACTAGTTTATTTTGCAGCGTGTTCTTTAATTTTCATATATTTGTGAATTTTCCAAGTATTCTTTTGTTATTTATTTCTACTTTCATTCTGTTGTGGACTAAGGACATACTTTTGTATTAATTTTAAATTTTAAAAAATGTTGAGGCTTATTTTATGGCCTAACGTATAGTTGACCCTGGAGAATGCTTCATTTGCACTTGAGAAGAATGTGTATATTATTCTTGTTGGGTGCAGGGTTGTACAGTTTTCTGTGAGGTTTTGTTGATTTATAGTGTCGTTCAAGCTTTCTATTTCTTTGTTGATTTTTTATTTAGTTGTTCAATTCATTATTGAAAGTGTAGTATTGAAGTCTCCAAATACTATATTATATGTTTAGTTGATTATTTGATTAGGTGAGTATATGTTTATACTTGTTATATATTTCTGATGGCTTGGCCCTTTTATTATTATAAGATGTTCCTCTTAATCTCTAGTAACATTTTATGTTTTAATGTTTCTCCTTTATAATATTAGCATAACCATCTCAGTTCTTTTGTGGTTGTAGTCTGCAAGTTGTTTCAGGTTGTTTACATATTACAATCTAAAATATGTCTCTTGTAGCTCAAATCTAACAATCTTTTCCTTTTGATTGGACTATTTAATCTATTTACATTTAATGTTATTGACATGATTGTATGTACTTCTGCCATTTTGCTTTTTGCTTTCTATATGCCTCATGTCTTTTTCTGCCTTGATTACTTGTTTTGGTCTTCTCATATTAAATGAATATTTTCTAATGGAATATTTAAATATTTTAATAATATTAATTATATTTTTAGGTATTTCCTTAGTGGTTTCCTGAAGGACTATGATATTCCCTCAACTTATCAGAATCTACATTAGATTTACAGTCACTTAGTTCCAGTGAAATATCAAAATTTACTTCTATATAGCTCAATTCCCACCCTGAGTTGTTGTGCTATTATTGCTAAATAAATTATGTCTTTGTATGCTACAAGCCCCAAAATACACTGATAAAATCATTGCTTTATAATACTTTAAGGTTTTTAAGGAAGCTAAGAGAAGAAAGGAGATAAATCACATATTATAGACTTTGCTATATTAATCTCCTTATTTGCTCTTTCTGGTTCTCTTTATTTCTTCCTAGGTATTTGAGTTGTGGTATCATTTTCTCATTCCTATATAGCTTTATTTCTACCTACTTCCTCTATGCTCTTATTTTCAAATATATTACATTTCTACATATTATAGGCTCAATAATATAATTATTTACATATTTTTAACAATTGCTTTTTAAAATGGTTACGAGAAGAAAAAAACAAATAGGAAATTATCTCATTTTTTGTAGTTGCCTACCTAATTGCCTTTTTGAGTGTTTTTTTTTTCTCTCTGTGGATTTGATTACTGACTGGTTTAACTTGCTTTCAGTTTGATTAATTTCCTTTGGTATTTTTGAAAAGCAGTTCTTATAGAAACAATTATCTGGGGTTTTATTTAGCTCGCAAGGTACTCACTGCACCTTCTTACTTTTTTTTCTTTTTGTTTTTTTTGTTTGTTTGCTTGTTTTTTTGAGAGGAGGTCTCGCTCTGTCACCCAGGCTGGAGTGCAGTGGTGCCATCTTGGCTCACTGCAACATCTGCCTCCTGGGTTCAAGCAATTCTCCTGCCTCAACCTCCTGAGTAGCTGGGATTACAGGCATGTGCCACCACGCCAGCTAATTTTTCTGTTTTCAGTAGAGATGCAGTTTCTCAATGTTGTCACGGCTGGTTTCGAACTCCTGACTTCAGGTGATCTGCCAGCCTGGGCCTCCCAAAGTGCTAGGATTACAGGTATGAGCCACTGCACCTGGCCTGAACCTTCATTTTTAAAAAATAATTTCAATGTGTGTATATTTGGCTGACAGTTATTTTTACTTTTAGCCCTTTAAGTATGTCACCCCACTGCTTTCTGACCTCCATTGTTTCTGTTGCAAAGTCAGCTATTAATTTTAGTGGAATCTCCTGGTACTTGAGTACTTTTCCTCTTACCAGTTTCAAAATATTATGTTTATCTCTGGGTTTTAACGTGTTGACTATGATGTGTGTGGGTGTTGATATATCTCTGCATTTATCCTCCTTCTAGTTCATTAATTGATCTTGGATGTTTAGATAATGTCTTCATCAAATTTTGGAAGTTTTCATTCATTTTTTCTTTGAATATTTATTTGTCCTTTTCTCTCTTGCCTATACTTCTGGTAACTCCATTATATGTATGTTAATGTATTTATTGTTATCCCACATTTTTCTGAGGCTGCCTGCATGTTTTTATTATTTTTTTCTCTACTCTTCAGATTGCATGATCTCTTTTGAATCTATCTTCAAATCTACACATTCTTTCTCATGCTTCCTTGTATCTACTGTTGAACCCTGCTAGTAAACTTTTAATTTTGTTTTTATTTTACTTCTAATATAGAATTTCCATTTGATTCCTTTCGATATTTTTCTATCTGTATTGATATATAATACATTTGATAAGACATTGTCATTATAATCATTAATTATTGAAATACGGTTTTTCTTTAGTCTTTGAACATATCTGTAATAATTGCTTGGAGGTGTTTTATAATTCACCATCTGGGCCTCTTCCAAAGCAATATTTCCATTGCCCACTTCCTTTCTTCTGTCTAACATTTTCCTATTTCTTCGTAGATGACATTTTTGTTGTTGCTGTTGAAAACTGAAATTTTAAAAATAATATATTCTAGCAAGTCCCTATTCTAATTCCCCTCACCAACACACACTAAGGGTTGTTTTGGCTGTGTATGTGGTTGTTTATTTATTTGTTTAGTAAGTTTGGTGAAGTAATTCTATAGTCTATTTCCATTATAGCATTAAATTTCTGCTGTTCCTGCTCAAATTTTAACCCATGTCTGCATCTTGACACCTGATTAGTTACGTGTTGTCCCTGGTTCATATAAGATACTTATTCCTCAAAGGCTGCATTTAACACCTAGTAGCCAGACAGATTTTTACCTGTTTCATTGGATGGGTGTATGTGGTTTGGAGGCTGATGTCAGAGTTTAGGAAACTCATGTTTTGATGGAGGATCTTACTCCACCATCCTAAAAGTAGTAATTACTAATAATGTTTTTCAGTATACTGTCAGTCTCCAAAGCTATTTTCAGGTGATAACCTGTCTTCATTTGAAGGCATACATACTGAATCCTTGCCTTATGCACTTTTTTCCATTTTATCTAATTTATTGAACATGCTGCAGAAGAACTCCAGGAAAATTGTTTCAGCCATGGCCATTGCTAATTTCTAAAAGGACCAAAACCAGCACTTCATTGAACTGGTCATTAATTGCTTGAACTCCATGTGTCAAGAGAAACAACCTTTTACTTAAGTACTAGTGCATAAGTACCCTGAGCTGACTTGGGTGAAATTCATGACAATAGGTTTTTGATGGTGGCAAAGCTGTCAATCAAATCAGTTGTTTGGGGAAGTTAAAATGCTGGGTAAAGGAAAAACAGACATATCATTTGAGCTTAGTTTGTAATCTGAAAGGTGCCAAGCCATTTTCTCACTTCTTCATGATGCCTGCAGTACACTTGATTCTTTAGAACAGTGAAACCCAAAGTAACTATGAGATAACATTTCTTGCTAAATTACATCTTTGTGTATCTTTGCAATAAACACCTATTACCAAAGGCAATGTGTGTGTGTCTTTTCCATGGAACCTTAAAGAGCCTGGCAATATATCTTGCATTTCCTACAGAGAATTATCCCCAAACATCCGTGTTAGTTTGTACAAGATGAAGTTTCCATTCTAACTACAAATGAGTTTGCATTGTTCAGGTTGTATAGCTAAGTTATGGTTCCCTGACTCTCTTTTTTGAGAGGTTTTTTGTTTAATTTAATAGAAAATCCAATTATTATGTAAATATAAATGTAGTATAATTGCCACAAACAAGAGGCGAAACAATGAACTGATGGAGTTTCTGGAGTTTAAGGAACCTGTGATTTATGACTGACTCTCAGGTATGATTGATACAGACAGTTCAGAGAAATGTTCTTAATCATTTTCCCCCAACATAATGTTAATATTTTCGCTTTTAGATCATCTAATATGATGCATATCAGTGAAGAAAAGTTGCTTTGGGAAGGAATGTATCACAAATTCATTTTTCTTCTTTTTCAGACTTATTAAAGACCAAGAAGCTATAAACGTCATTATTTAAAATGCCTCCCTTTAAAATGTTTCCAGCAGATGTTTATGTAGAAAAAATGCTGGATCTCTCTTGGCAAGACAGAGAAGTGACATTTCTTGAGGGTTCTGGTTGAAAAATTTGTCTTTGCCTTCATGTCTTTAAACATCTGCAAAAACGAAATAATCTTTATTATAACTTGGAGAAAAGCAAAGTACATAGGCCCCTAATCTTTGAAACACTCTTCAAGGAAGTGACAAAGAAAAATATTCCAAAGTTCTTTTTCTTCAGTCGAATTTCTCTGTGACTGCTGAACTTCAGAGTCACAGTTATGTCATTAAACATTAACAACTTACTTAAATGAGGGAGAAGCTAGAAAACACAAACTGAAAATTCCACTTCCTGCCTAAATTACCGATTTTCTACGTTTTCCCTGTATGCCTACTATCATTATAAGAATCCAAGACCAACTGGGAAATTTGAGATGCAATGAGAAAAAAAAGGGGTGCTAGACTGAATGAGAGAAACATGTGCCATATTTTCTAATGGGTGTGAGGTTTTGTAAATTTTGAATTGTTTTCTTCATTCCTTCTAAATTCAAATACTTTCAGCGTCTAAGACCTCAACTGAGTTAAACTGGGCACCATCTGAAAAAGAACTGAACATAATGCTCAAATCTCAGAATGACTTGTTCTTTCTTACACAGTAACATTTTAAACAAATAATTCCAACTACCAAGAAGGTCTTTTTAATTTTTTTTTCCATTCAGGTGTTATACTCATTTGTAAAGCTACCATCCTGCCCTATACTCTTCCTCCTTTATTTTTACCTCCACGATTTTCTCTAGAACGGGTTTTATGGATTGACACCCAACTGGTGTAACATTTCTCAGCTGTACTGTTTGCTCCAAGGACTTTAAGCTGCTTTTTAGGTACGTTCGAGATCCAAGGTTTCTTTATGAACATGATGTCCTCCTATTCTCTTAAAGTAAAGGTTGCATCAGTTGCAGGGACCTAGAAGTAAAAGTGAAAAGTCTGCTAGAACTCACAAATTGATAGTACAAATTTTAGTTTGTATATTTCTTTACTATCCTATTTAATTCTATTTGAGGAATTGGGAGGGAAATAGAGAATATGAATGATTCTTATTAAAATATGTGCCAAAATTAAATTTCTAATTTTTGATTCATTATTTTAGCAATTAATATTAGTAATAGAGTTTTCAGTGGTTTGTTTAGAAATATATGTGTGTATGTTTTCATATAAAGCTAATGAAAAAGATTGCATTAAATTTTTTTAAAAAAGAAAATATAAAAGTAAAATTTTCTTCTCTTATCAACCAGAGATAACTACTATTAATTATACAGCATACTTCCTTGTAGCTTTTTCATTGCATATATATAATATATGCCAAATCGGGATCATGCTACTTTTTTAAGTTAAAATTATATTGAGTAACGTTTCTGTGCAGAAAATATTCCTTCAAGCTTTCATTTATTTATTGCATAAAACCCATTATACGTTTATACATGTAAATTGCTAACATTTTTTGCTCTTATAAGGATAACACTATATAATACACATCCTGTGTATAAAGTTTGTAAGCATGCTGCTTATTTCAGGAAGGTAAATTTATAAAAATAGAATTACTAAATCAAAATGCATGTATATTCTTGGCTCTTGACCTTTTGACAATAGTTTTAAAAATTGCTTTGAAGATATTTTTGATAATTTACACTTCCACCTATAGATAAGACAACCATATCTGGACAAGTATTATTAAATAATTTTATGTATCATTGCCCTTTTGTTAGGAAATAAAAAAGTTATTGCACTCTTTTTTTAACCTGTTTCCTCTTTAATCTACTGTTCAGTTGAAAATATATTCATTAAACAATTGTTTATTGAACACTTACAGCCCTTCATATGCAAAGTTTCTGTAATATCTTTTGGATATTCAGTTAGAATGTTGACAATTTTGTGCACTGGTTTTTAGTAACTCTCTGAATATAAATAATATTATTGTTTTTGGTTTACTGTAAATATGTTTCCCATTTTGTCATTTGTGTCATTTTTTTCTTAGGGTTATGTAAAATAATAAAATTGTATATATTTGTATACTATCTGTACTTTTTCCACTTGTTTTATATATTAGCAATTATTTCTCTATCCTGAGACTAAATAACACAATTTCTCTTAAGTCTCAGGTTAGTGGAAGAATTACTCCATGTATCACTGCAATACAAATATTTAACTTACTTTGGAAATAATATTTGATGTTTGTAAGATGAATCTTAGAATAATAGGTCACTTTTCCATGTATTTGAAATGCTTTCACTATTATATTGCAGGTTGAAACACACACACACACGTACACACACAAGCAGACAGAAATACCTCTACTTTAGAATCATAAACCCTTTTTAAAAATAATTCAAAATATATATTCCCTGATAACTTCTCATTTTAATTATTGTGGTTTTATATTTTAATATATTGTAAAGTAAGTATGCTTCTATTACTGTACTTTTTCAAATGTCTTACTTATTTTCATCTATTTATTCTTCTAGATTAAAATGATTTTACAAGTTTTAGAACACTCTATCAGAAATTGAATTAAACCTATAAACTAATTTGAAATACAGGAACATCAGTATATATGTATATGCATGTGTATTTATATACATATATATCATTTATTAAAGCTTCTTTTGTCTCTCTTTGTAAGGTTCTATTATTTAACCGTGTTTACATATATTTCAGCTTAGGTTAGCTCTAAGTATCTTATGTGTTTCAGACTCCTGTGCAATCTTACATTTTTTTTCTAATTCTTTGGATTTGTATTGAGAACTTATACAAAAGATATTGATTTTTCTGTACTTACCAATTATCCTGTTGCTTTACAAAATGCTGTTAGCTCTTAGTGTTTCAGTTGCTTTCCAAAGAATCGTTAGGTACATTATCAAATTATTTTCAAATCATGAGGGCGTTTTTTGTCTCTTTCTACTATACCTTGTAAACATTTCTACTTAATATATTAGCATATTGACTAGAAGTTATGAAAAAATTCAGTAATTAACATGTAGTATGTATTATAGTTATGTTTCTGACTGATGGAAATTTTTAAAAATTTCATCCATTTAATACGTTATATTGGCTGGTATTTCTATGCATTTATGTTAAGAACGTTATGTTTTTCTTAAAGTAGTAGGTTTTGAATAGGAGTTTCATTTTTCTGTGTATAGCTTTTTGCTTTCTTTTGTTTTACTTATTTATTATTATAAGTTGGTGATAAAGTCTATGGATTTTGGCTTCTGTTGAGGTTCTCATAGCTTTTGTTTGGTCTTTAGGTATGTATGTGTTTACCCATATGAAGCCTCTTAAATATTCCTGGGATCACCACTGTTTATTTTCAATGATGATTATTTTACAATATTATTATTATTGAATGGCTCTGGTGTTTGAAAAATCTATATTAACATCTTGCTCTTTCCTTGTTTGTTTGTAACCTTGAATCATTTATTTAATATTGTTAACATTTAGCTGTCTTCTGTAAAATGGGAATAATAATGACATCTACTAACAGGTGGATATAAAAATTATCTGAGATAAAGCATTCTTAACCCATTGTCTGTCAGATAACAAGAACACAATAAATAATGTAACAATGGTAGTGGTAGTTGTAGGAGAATTGGTATTTTTCCTAGAATTTTTGTAGTTTACTCTTATAAGATATAATAATACATAGTTGTCTTTTCATGTCATCCCTCAGGTTTTCAGAACAAGATTGTGCCAGCTTCAGGAAATGGTTTTTGAATTTCTCCATATTTGTTACAGACAACTTAAATGGTATGAAAATTATATATTCCATGGAAGTCTAAAATAATTCATGGTCCTAGAACCTATATTTTATAAAATTTGAAAATATTTTTTAAATTTGTTTTATGTTCATTGATCTTTTCTGGTTGTTCAATACCTTCTTAATCCCTTCTTTACCTAGCTTTTCAATTCCCCAAAGACTCAGCATTACAGCCTTTCTCTCAATTAATTTTGCTTATCTATGCTTTAAGTCTTGTCTCTTTGATTGGCTCTATAGGCTAAAAACTTTTATTTATTGATCAGTGGCATATATCTATATTTGGTTTTGATAATATTTTCTTTTTCTTTACTGTCCTCCTATTTTTTGTTTTTCTTCTTAATATTTTTGCAATATTTGATATTATTTCTCTTTTTGAAGAATAAAATCACTGGTTGCTATGATTTATCCTAGAGTATGGCTTTGGTCTTATCCCGTAATTGTATTTTCTCAAATCCTTCTAGCTATGCAGCTGGTTTGAGCCTTATCTTCTTGGTGATTTTTGGAAGGTAAATCATTTGGGCTCATGAGGAACAGAGGAGCCAAACCACTATTGAGAAGATTGCTGTTCACCATTTTGACAACCACACAAGCCACAGATGATACTCTCAGGTAGTTTAGCCTGTAAGAAGAGTATTTGTGGATCACAGATTTAAACATACAGTTAGAATTTTGACTTTCCTCTCTCTTGTCTATGTCTCTTCTTACTCAGGAATTAATTACATATTATAATAGGTCTTTAGGGGTATAGGACTGAACGATACCTGGTTTCTGACCTTAGGAAGCTCCCAGCCTAGTGGAAGAAACATACAAGCAAACCCTTTGGAATGGTCTTTATCCACAGACAGTGTACTAGTTTCCCTTTGCTGCTGTAACAAATTACCACAAATTTAGTGGCTTAAAACAATACACATTTATCCTCTTAGAGTTCTGGATGTCAGCAGTCAAACCTGAGTCTCACAAGTTAAAACCAAGGTGATAGAGGTCTGCATTCCTTTCTGGAGACTAAACCTAATCTGTTACCTTGCCTTTTTCAGATTCTAAAGCCTGCCTCCATTCTCTGGCTGTGGCCCCTTCCTCCATCTTCAAATCTAGCAATTCTGCGAAAATCTTTCTTATGATGCATTTCTCTGGTTCCAACTCCTCTGCCTCCCCTTTCACCATTTAAGGACCCTCTGATTAAACTGGACTCACCCAGAAAATCCAGGGTAATCTTTTCATTTTAACATCAGCTGATTGGCAACCTTGCTTCCATCTGCTACCTGAATTCCCTTAGCCATGTAAGGTAATATATTCACAAGTTCTGGAGAAGAAGACATGTACTTCTTTGGAGTGACAGAGGGACTAGCTACTACACACTGGAAGAATCAAATATTCAATATGAGGATATTGACACAAGGAAGAACACATACAAGAATTTTATGTAAAAGGGGTCTAAGAATGACCAGGAGTTAATGCGGTAAAGAGAGCATGAAAGAACATTTCAATCCCCAGGAACAGTGCGAGCAAAGGAATGAAGTGAAGAGAGGAAATCAAGTCTGGGTTATCGGACTTACTGCTGAGTGATTTTACAGCTTGGAAGTAACACTTCTCTGGTAGCCAGGTTCTCCAGAAGTGTGCTTGTGAGCTCACAGGTTTGTCATTGGTTCTGTTTAGGGTCCAATGTTGCATGTCATTCATTCTCTTCTTTCCTCCAGACGGGAAGTTCTCAATTAGTGTTACAATGGGATGGGACCCATATATTGGAAATAAAGCTATAGAGGAAAAGGTTGGAGATTGCATTTATGTACAGATTTGGGAGTGTCTGTCAACTCAGTAATGGCTAACATGTCATACATACACGTGGCAAAGATAGTAAAGACAGCAAATAACAAGTACAACAGAAGCCATTGAGGTGGTCATAAAAGAACACACACAAATGTATGCAGATATTTAGTAAGCGCTCATGACAAAACAGTATATAATTTGCGGAAATATTTTCAAATCTAGGCAACACCTCTATGTTTCACTGTCACTGAGGCATGTTAAGCAACTCTCATTTACATGTGAACTCCACAGTGCCCATAATCTTAAACTTGATTTGTAAGATTGTAATACCCATCAGCACCCTTACTCTAATCTAAGAAATTCTGGGAATGAAGAGCAAATAGGCAATATAAAGTCTATCTGAATATTTAGACAAAGAAGAAGTACTTCACTTGTTGCACTAGAAGTAAAGCAACAATTAATTAACACAGGCAATAGGAATTTCTCCTGCCATACCACTTCTACATCTTCTGGGTGACAAGGACCCACTATTCTTTTCAGGAAATGTATTTGACTTTTACTTCGGTATAAACATATGTGAAATAAATAACTTATATTATTTATTTATTATGATGTATAAACATATGTTTATACCTGAAATAAAAGTCAAATGGCTTTGGGAGGCCGAGGTGGGCAGATCATGAGGTCAGGAGTTTGAGACAATCCTGGCCAATATGGTGAAACCCCATCTCTGCTAAAAATATAAAAATTAGCTGGACATGGTGACACACTCCTGTAGTCCCAGCTACTTGGGAGGCTGAGTCAGAAGAATCGCTTGAACCTGGGGGTTGGAGGTTGCAGTGAGCCGAGATCATGCCACTGCACTTCAGCCTGGGCGATGGAGCGAGACTTGGTTTCAAAAAGTCAAATGGCACTGGGGACATAAGACTGAGCCCTGGGGGACCAACCTTCTTGTTATCTCAGACTGTTCCTGAAGTTTTGCTCCTTATTTTCGTGTGACCACAAATTCTTTTTGTTCATTCAGTCTTAAGTTACCTTCTCCTGGTAAACTCATGACCCCTCACCCACTGGAGTTTGTTCTAACTTCCTATCTATGACCAACTTCAAAGTGTCGACCATGTGGAGATTTCCTTCTTGACTTCCATTATTCCAGCCACTTGCATGGGGCCAGCAATAGTCTCTCCTTGGTGTTAGCCAGCAGGACTCTGTCAGGCTCAACTAAATTCCGAGTGTCCCACATAAAATAAAAATTTCTGGCATGTCTTTGATCTTCTACCATATTCCCTGTTTTCGGTAATCAAATGTGTTTAACAATTTGCTTAACCACATGATAAATCGAAAAACATTGTTGCCCTGTTAATATTACGTTAATGCAAATAATAACTCAAAAGGCAAAAATCTGTGGTGTTCAAAATTTCTTCTGTAAAATTTCCGTACAGCGATACTTTTAAAACTTGACAAAGAAATCTGGCTCTCCTTTTTGCTTGCCCCAGCCTTCCTTTCTTCTTCCCTCTTGTCCCCATTTTTAAGGGCCCATTGTGCTCCAAGCACTGTGGTCTGATTAAGGATATGTTCAGCTTGATAAGTACAGAACGTTATTGTCAAGGTTCTGTTCTTTGAATTTTTATGACGCAGAACTTAGAGACCAAGAAAGTCAAAGAAGAAAGGGACTGAAGAATGTCAAGGAAATGACCTAGCACTACAAGCCATAAAGTAATGACAGTTTCAAGGGGAAGAATAGAGAGAAAGAGGAATCATGTGGAGAGGAAGAAGGTGGGGAGTTAAGGAGAGAATTTGGTAAGTAATGACCTGAGAAAAGACGTGCTAGAGTAACTCTGGGATCAAAGAAAGATGAACAGCCAGAAAAAGGAGATTTTTTTTTAATGTTTCTAAGTACTTCATATTCTGATGCCCTGTGAGTAAAATAAGGAGTTTCTTTTTAATTAGGCTGTTCCGTTAAACTTTGTCTTTTGCACATGCCGTAGCTCTGAGACTGACTATATAGATTTATGAATGCAGAGAAAATATAACTAAAACAAAACATCTGGCCAGTCTACGACATAATGCCTGTTATATTTTATAATTCTGTCTGAATAAATATATTTAGAACAAATAATATGACTTATCTTCATTAATTTCTTGAAATAGTTTGAGGACCTAAACTTTTAGCATTTTTAATACTTATAAATTTTGTTTGTCCCATAGTATGTAAGTATGTACAACAAGTTTTCTGAGTTTCATTCTCTCCACTTTGGGCCTGTTGCATGTGGGGGTGTGTATGTGTGTGTGTGTGTGTGTGTGTGTGTGTGTGACTGTGGTCTCAGAATCAAGAACTAGCTTGAGTATTTAACCAACTCAACATGCAAGGTTATATGGTCTCAATTTTACTCATGATAAACTTATGACAAAGTACTTTGTTTTGGCTCATAATAAATATGTGTGTTTCAGCTCCCTTCTTAAGAGACAATGGTGTTAAAATTTAAATTTCACCCCCTCAGTATCATTTTGCCTAAGGCTTCTTTGAAAAAAATAAAAGCAAAAATATCTGGCTTCACCTCAGCCATCTTCTCTGCCTCTGCCCACCCCCAACCCCAGCCTTTTTATTCTCAATTCTCACTTCCCTTTTCAGGTTATAGCCAACAGGAATAGATCTGACAACTGAAATTCTTATGGGTAAAGGCATTGTGGACAAATACAAACTCACACACAATGGGTTCCAAAGTAAGTACGCCTGCAATCCAGGTGGGAAGGATTTCTATGGCCATGCTACTTTTGCTGTCTCTGCTTGACAAACACTCGTTGTTCATTTCAGATAATTTATTTCTGCCCTGCATTAGAAGATGGGTGTCTGCTCAACCTAGATGAGGCTCAACAATATCTCAGAGGGTGAGCAAGGCTTTCTTCCCGGGGGCAGCTCCACACAGAAAACCGACAACCCACTTCCTGGGAAGAGGAGTGGAGAGCAGTTTCATGAAAACAAATGTGCTCTTCAAAGGTGCAAAGGTCTGGAAGAGAGAGAAAGTAGATGGGGAGGGGGGTGAAATTGAAAACAATGTATTTTTCCTTCATTGCCAATCATTTTGCACTGATGTTTCTCACTCACTGGATCAATGGCATTAATTGTTTCAGGAGGATTTCAGATGCCATCTAGGACAAAGAAGTCATTGCTCAGCTAGAATTTCAAACTAACTTTGTTTTTAAGTTCATGATATTAAAAGCCTAGCTTTGTTGAATTAATAAACGATTTCTAAATCCCAAGGAACATCTTTCAGCATATCCCTAGAGAAGCTCTGGGGACTGACTACAGAGGTTTACTGTAAGCCATTGAAACCTAAAGAACGTTGCAACAAACAGAATGAGAAAGCTTGCTGGGGCTGGGAGGAACTTGGAGTAATTTAGAGGCACAAGTCTAAGGCTAAGATGTTTTTCTGAGTCCTTTCAAAGAAGAGCAATCCCATGTTCAGATATGGTGACGAGGTAATTCACCTCCTATTTGGGGCTTAGGGCTCTTTGCAATAGAGTAGAAGTTGCAATGGGCAGATACAGGAAGAATCAGTCTGGGATAGTACATCTGGCTCCCCACTGCCTGTATTTATCTGGGGCATAGAGAATGATTTGATGTGGCTGGAACATAGGTGATGGATTAGGGTGAGCAGTAAAAGCCTGGAAAATTGCTTGCCATTCTCAAAAATTTGGCCACCCCCCTCTTCTCTTCTTCTGATAGTCTCTTCCCTTCTCACTGCTTTAAATGTCATCTGTTTGCAGGGGACACCCAAGTTTATATCTCCTAAGCACCTCCCAAGAGATCTGAAGTCATATATGTATATGTATATGTATGTGTATACGTATATGTATATGTATATATAAAATTGCCTACTTGACATCTCAACTGGGATATGTCATAGGCATCTCAACTGGGACATGTCATAGGCATCTCAAAGTTAATATGTCCAATATTTGAATTTTTATTCTTCTGTAGGACACTTTTCCGTCCCAGGCTTAGTCATATCCATAAAGGGTGCCAGTATCCCCAGCTGCTTAAGGCAAAATTCTTAGCGCCTTTCTTGGCTCCCTGCCTTCACTGTCTCCTCACATCCCACCCATCAGCAGTTCTTGACTTGGTCATTGCCACTCTAGTACAGGAAAAATTTAAGTAAGGAAATCCTAAACTACGACAGAGAGAGTAAAATGGAGTAACGAGGGCATGTCTTACGGCTTGATAACTGTACAGAGAGGACGAGGGAGAGACAAGAGTTGAAGGTATTAGTTGCATGGGCGGATACAAGGGTCGCCCAAATGAATACTATGGGAGAAGCCGATTCGGGCACATTGCATGTGAAGAATATGAGTGACCTACAGACACAGGCATTTATCAGGCAGTTATACAGCCATGCCTGCTACTAAAAGGGAAATGAGAGCTAAAAACACAGATCTTTATAGCTACTAGCTGCTTCAGTGATGCAAGTGAATTTCAACCTAGATTCTCAGATCTTTCATCACCTGGAAAAACTTGTAAAAGCACAGATTCCTTGGCCCACTCCATCATGGTTTATATTCAGCATGTCAGGTAAGGTGGCCAAGACCTGCATGGTTAGAAAGCCCCCTGAGGAAATCTGACGTGTGTCCAGTTTTGGAAACCAATGGATTGGGCCACACTGGGGAATGCTGTGTAAAGAGCAAATGGCAAAGATACTGGTCTTTGTAGAACCCAGCTTTAAGGATCGAGCTTGGAGAAAGAGGAGCTTGTAAAAAGAGACTCTAAAGGAATGATCCGACAGGTTGATGGGGCAGCCACAGAGAGAGATGTCAGAGAATGAGCCTCTTTATCCTCTTTTGTACCATGATTCATGACTACATTATCATTTTCCCAGTATTATTTTCTCAAAGCTAAAAATGTTCCTTTTCTATAGACTACTTCTCTGTAGACTATTTTTTTACGGTATCCTATTGAGTGAAAAAAGCATTTTATTAAAAGCAGTAATTTGTTACTGCTCTAAATGATCTTTTATAGTTTCTAAAACACAGTGTCTTCTTGATAAAGCAGGTCTGAGAGTGAAGTATTAAGCTACTGGAAGTCCTTGCCAATGAACAAAGACATAAAACATAATGTGACTAAGTCTGCTAATGCAAAATGGCTGGGTTGTATTTGCTAATTAGTTTGCTGCTGTTAGCACCTTTCACCTTTTTTTGTTTCTTTGGTAGGTTTCTTCTTGAAAAAAATTAGATTACTTGCAAAAATAATTTTTGAGATTCAAACCAAAGCCATAACTTTGTGTAGGCAGAATTTACACAATGGCGTTCTAAAATATCTTTCCCTTTTCTTCAGCAAGGTGATGCTCACTGAATGAACCATAGGTTAACTTCTCTGCAAAATCAGAGTGCACAGATGATGAGACATTTTATTTTTACTCTTTTGCACTTCCTCAGGCCATACCTGACCCTTTACAGCTAATGTGATCTGAAAGTGAGGAAATGAAGGTATTTGGATGTAAATGCTCAGCCACCTCCACACCTGGGTTTGCACACACCTGAGTGAGGATGCTGTCTTGTATCTCTGTCCTTCCTGTTAAAGACAACTGAGAAAGACCTTGGAGGACGACAAAATCCTCCAATATGTTGTCACTGAAAAGCTGTCGGAAATTTCACAGCTGACAGCGTTGCATCTAATTACTGAATTATTAAAAGGAAGGCATCTGCCTAAGAAGCAACCTCCTGTCACTCAAAAAGATAAATTCAAGTGAAAAGCAGAGGTACAATTAGGTCATCTCACTCACTTTTGCAGATAAATTTGAAATATTCAAACTCAAGAGGCAAGGAAACTTAATTGCGTCTGGTACCCTCTTTAAGAGTAACTTGAAATATTAAGGCAAGTGCATTTTCAGTCCTTGCATTAGTTGCTGGGAGCAACAGTCTGAGCCTTCTGCTAATTTATATTTTTGTTTCAGGCCCAAAGTGTCTCTTTGAACTTAGACTCATTTTTTTTAGTGACCCATTCTCACAAAAATTGTACCTATGAGATTTCAATAGAGGAAATAAGTAGGGGTCGTGGGGCACAGGGTAGGGGCCAAGGATGATTAGAAGGGCCACCGTATAAGACAGGCCATTTTGTTCATAAGCCCCCTTTTTTTGCGTGTAGCTTTGAAATCATCTCACAGAAATCCGCTAGCTTCTCTTGGCCTGTCCATAGAGAAAGTCAATAGCTTGCATTTGTTCTGTTTTTGTATTTGTGTCCTCAAAAAACCACATTTCTTTGTGATCATATTAAGAATACAGTAAGAAATCTAAATTATTGAGCTTTCAATGTTTGCTAGTCTCTATATGTAAAAGCTTATTTTTTTTCTGTTTTATCGCATAGTATCTCTACAAGTTAGACAACAATCATTCATTCCATTTCAGAGAAGGGAAAAATGAGTCACAGGTAAGTAACTTGCATGCTCAAAATAACATGGCTAGAAAGTGGATGAGCCAGAGAATAGCACTAGTGTTTAAACTATCTACGTGTCTTAATTAGTTATTTCTTTTCTTTTAAAGGATTTTATAAAAAGATGTAAAGAGAATGGTAATTGTGGCAGCCTTTTTCAACTTCGTGTTGCAATTGGATGTCTATATTTTCTTAACTGAAGGAGAACATCAACTTTTAGCATAATTTCCTTGCCAGTCTTTACTTGGCCCCTGAGCCT
Source organism: Homo sapiens (assembly GCF_000001405.40). NCBI lineage: Eukaryota > Metazoa > Chordata > Mammalia > Primates > Hominidae > Homo > Homo sapiens. The sequence goes on from NC_000015.10 coordinate 97,565,792, forward strand.
CCCTTTGCACAGCACATCCAACTTTGCCTGCATTACCTTTTCTCCATTTGTACCTCTACTAAGGCGGCAGATAAAAAAAAATAAAAAATAAAACAGGAATCCTTGCTTATTTGTACAACCCAGTTGGCATCTTTTTTCAGTTTCCACTCAATAAATATTTTTCAAACTAATGGAGTCCAACTCCTTCAACTGCAGAGTCCAACTCCTAATGATTGACTTTGTTTTGTGCTGCTTATGACAGGCTAAGGATATTTACCTGTATGACTACCAGACTACCCATGTCTCCAAGTCAGGCAGGATGACCCATTCTAGAGTATGTTTATGATGGAGACCTGGCTCTACGAAATGCATTCAGAAGCATGAAGTCTTCCAGGATGTTTAGTATTTGAAATTTGACCCTGAAGATAAGCTTCTCTAAAGAGACAAGAGGGACTCATTGGCTCAGATTAAGGTCATGTGATTCTTTCCATGCTACTGAATTATATTTTAAAAATTATAAATATTTATATATATATATACAAAAATATATATTATAAAATATGAATTAATAAATAAAAAAATAAGTAAATTTGTAAAGTGTCTAAATATTTATATTATATATATTATATATAATATATGTATTTCCCCTTCCTCACGATGGTATTTAACATTCTTCTCTGTTTAAACCGAACAACGAATCAACTTAGACTCCAGAACCATGATGACATAATGGGTTCCATACAGTGTGTGTAGCCAAAATCCCTAGGTCTAGCTCTCAGTTCTGCTGCATAGCATCTGTGTGAACTTGTGCCTCAGTTTCCCAGTCTATACAATAATAACATATTTAAAAGTGACATACTCACAATCCATAGAGCTGGAACTTAAACTCTGTGCCTCTGCTAGTTGCATTAAATGTTAATTTAATTTTTACCAGTTCATCTACTTAAGGATCTGAACTTGGTCTTATTTATCTTTTCATTCACAGAACCTAGTACAATGTCTAGCACATAGTACCTGCTCAGTAAATTTATGTTGCATGGATTTTTATTATTGTTAAAAGTTTGGCCTAACATGAGAAAATTGCCAAAATTTTAAAGAAATAATATCTTATGGCCCTGTAGGCAAGATATTTTCTAGCAGTAAACAATGATCAGAATTCAGCTATTGAAAAATTATATTTTCTTCCAATATAATGAAACAAAAGCTTATAATGGCATGCTGAGTATAGCATGAAAGCCAGAAGCCTACAAACATGTGAAAAATGTTAACATCACATTTTTAGGCTTATTAGAAACAGCCTAAATAATTACAGCAGTCAAATTACTGGTGGCTTTTGGCTCATGTCCAGGATGAAAGGTCATAACCCAACATACCAGAAGTTTTCCTGGCATGATTGACAGGAAGAGGAAATACACTGATACCTTTCACATGGGAATCACAGCTTGTTGCAAATAGAAGCAAAACACATATCTGGATTTTGTGGGAAAAGTTCATTGTGTTCTGATTCTAATTCTTTGTTCCCAAACTTGCTTAATTGTGATTTATTGGTATATGTGTGTGGGTGTGGATGTGGGGATGTGAAATGAAACAAATGCATACCACAGCAAAATAGAAATCATGCGCTGCTACTTAAAATTGTCATTGGATATATCCCTGTTTTCTCCTCATTGCAGTATCTATTGGATATTTTGGCCCTAGCCAGAAAGGAACCTATTTCTCACATGAATTTCTTTTTCAACTCCTAGATGGGAAATTATGAATTTTGGAGTTTCCAGACAATTGTCTACAATCCACCCACATGAATACAGAAAGTACTACCCCCAGGACTGACGTAACAGGGTAGTCAATCACAGCCTGTCCTAAGTCTATAATATGTGCATGGGTATTCCCATGCTGCAGCTCTAGCTCTGTGCTCTGGATCTGTTGGTATTCCAATGATTCAACACTTGGAGTAAGAGAAGGTTTTATCTTATGTTGGGGATTTTTATTTGGAGGCAGATGGTATACTTCTCAGCTTCAGTTCCATAATGTTTGAGAAGACGTAGGTATTCACAAGATTCTATAAGCTAATTTATCAGCAGGGTCCATTTTGGGTCCAGGTGTGGCTCGTATGACATTTGGATGCTATTTTATTATAAGGCAAGAGTTTTCAACCTCCACTGCACATTAGTCTCACCTGGGGAGCTATTAGCCACAACCATCCACACCTATTACACCTCTGAGCACTTGGGTGGGACCCCGACATCAGTGATTTATATAGCTCCCAGGTGATTCCAATCTGCGATCAACACTAAGAACCACTATTAGGTCATAATCCTCTCCATAGGCAGATGAAACTATATGTACATTATGCATTATTGAGGTTTTCTAAAGCAGTCACTAGCTCATAAAGACTAAGTTGTCTTTAGACTTTTTGAGGAACAAAAATTACATTGCTTGCTCTTAAAATATAAAGAGGTTCATTTTAACTTGGAACGAACAACCTGAATCAATTTCCATTTCGTGTCCTTGGAATATAGAAAAAACTCTGATCATATTCATGTCTATATTTTGAAATATTTTTATTTAATATATTCTCATGTTTCATGAGAGAAAACCCTTTGAAGAGCCCACCAGAGTATGAGATACTGGGTCTTTGAATTCATTTTTATTCAATAATAATTTTTAAGTTCTTTTAACTTTCCTAGCAATAAGAGCTCCCAAATAGTGTCCATGCTACTAAAGAATTCACGATCAGTAGGAAAACCAGTTGTGTGTGCAATTAACTATAATACTATGAGATAATTGCACTAAATGAACTGTTTATTAAGTACTAGGTCGTATGAGCAAGGGAAGATCAGGGAAATTTCCAGGGAGAAATCAACGTTTATGCTAGTGCATGAAGGGTGCTTAGAGGGATCCCAGGTGGGCACCTGGGCAAGGACACGAGAAAGTTGCTAGATAGATGAAATTTACATTAGTTTTGGGATTGAAAAATATGCTGAAAGTGCCAGATCACTGAGAATTTTTACTAATAGCCCTGCTGTGAAAGACAAACTAACCTTCTCAGTGACTCAAAAGAAGTGGGGATGATCGCCATTCTAAGTGGTGTGAGATGGTATCTCATTGTGGTTTTGATTTGCATTTCTTGTGCACATGTACCCTAAAACTTAAAGTATAATAATAATAAAATAAAATTAAATTAAATTAAAATAAAAAATAAAAAAAAAGTGGGGATGAGACACTTATTTTTTAAAAATATTTTCAAGTTAAAATAGTGAAAATTAACAAAATTCAGAATGATTGCTGGTTATTTGTATTTCTATCTTTTCCTCATTTTATGAAATACAGCAAGAGCTTTTTTCTACTCATGATATAGTTATTATAGTTATATTTTCTTGAATTAATGTATTACACAGGGCTAGTAGTCCCACATGGCATGTGCTAATAAGGTAGTCATTAAATCACAAAGACTAAGTGAAAACAATTGCTTTCATAACCTTATATTTAATTGCATGCACAGGTGTTTTTGTTTTGTAGAAGAAATTTTAAGTAAAAAGTATGATTAATTCTCATGCCATCCCAGAATGCCAGATGAAGAGAATTTTTGCCCAATTTAGAGAGAATAGAGCACACAGTTGTTAAGGTCACGGTGACAGAAAGAAAGTGTTTCTGACCTGCAACAGTTTACTTTTCTCCAAATTGCCAAATGACTTCACAGTGGGTTTCAGGGTGGCCACCGACCCGGAGTGTTCCTCTGTATTTATTGTAAACCTGGTACTGTGGACCCACTCCATATTATCTGTGCTATTTTGTCACAGAAAACCTTATCTTTCTCAGCTGTTACTGGAAGGACTCCTGGAATTATTCAGGAGTGTTTACTTGGAGCCCAGAAGTGGAATTCAGATTATCTACCAAATCCAAGTAATCTACAATGAGTTCTTCAAGATAGAAATTAGGCACTGCATACAAAGGAAAGAAACGTCTTGATGAGTGGAATAAACACTGAACTAGAAACCAGGAATTGAGGTCCCACTACTTACAAGCTAGATAACCTTGGGGAAGTCGCTCACCATGACTGGAACAACTGAACCTCACATTCTTTTTTTTTTTTTTTCTTGTTTTATACTTTAAGTTCTAGGGTACATGTGCACAACATGCAGGTTTGTAACAGGTATACATGTGCCACGTTGGTTTGCTGCACCCATCAACCCATCATTTACATTAGGTATTTCTCCTAATGCTATCCCTCCCCCAGCCCCCAGCCCCGAACAAGACCCAGTGTGTGATATTCCCCACCCTGTGTCCATGTGTTCTCATTGTTCAACTCCCACCTATGAGTGAGAACATGCAGTGTTTGGTTTTTCTGTCCTTGTGATAGTTTGCTTAGAATGATGGTTTCGAGCTTCATCCATGTCCCCACAAAGGACATTAACTCATCCTTTTTTATGGCTGCATAGTATTCCATGGTGTATAAGTGCCACATTTTCTTAATCCAGTCTATCATTGATGGACATTTGGGTTGGTTCCAAGTCTCTGCTATTGTGAATAGTGCCACAATAAACATACGCATGCATGTGTCTTTATAGTAGCATGATTTATAATCCTTTGCGTATATACCCAGTAATGGGATCACTGAGTCAAATGGTATTTCTAGTTCTAGACCCTTGAGTAATCGCCACACTGTCTTCCACAATGGTTGAACTAATTTACAATCTCACCAACAGTGTAAAAACAGAGAGCATCTCCAGCATCTGTTGTTTTCTGACTTTTTAATGATTTCCATTCTAACTGGCATGAGATGATATCTCATTGTGGTTTTGATTTGCATTTCTCTGATGACCAGTGATGATGAGCATTTTTTCATATATATGTTGGCTGCATAAATGTCTTCTTTTGAGAAGTGTCTGTTCATATACTTTGCCTGCTTTTTGATGGGGTCGTTTGTTTTTTTCTTGTAAATTTTTTTAAGTTCTTTGTAGTTCTGGATATTAGCCCTTTGTCAGATGGGTAGATTGCAAAAATTTTCTCCCATTCTGTAGGTTGTTCACTCTGATGATAGTTCTTTTGCTGTGCAGAAGCTCTTTAGTTTAATTAGATCCCATTTGTCTATTTTGGCTTTTGTTGCCATTGCTTTTGGTGTTTTAGTCATGAAGTCTTTGCCCATCCACTGCCCATTTGCCCATACCACTGACTTTCTTCACAGAATTGGAAAAAACTACTTTTAAGTTCATAAGGAATCAAAAAAAAGCCCAAATAGCCAAGACAATCCTAAGCAAAAAGAACAAAGCTAGAGGCATCACACTACCTTACTTCAAACTATACTACAAGGCTACGGTAACCAAAACAGCATGGTACTGCTACCAAAACAGATGTATAGAGCAATGGAACAGAACAGAGGCCTCAGAAATAACACCGCACATCTACAACCATCTGATCTTTGACAAACCTGACAAAAACAAGCAATGGGGAAAGTATTCGCTATTTAATAAATGGTGCTGGGAAAACTGACTAGCCATATGTAGAAATTTGAAACTGGGTTCCTTCCTTACACTGTATAAAAAAATTAACTCAAGAACCTCACATTCTTTAACTGAATATGGAGAAAGTATGCTTGTCTTTTCATCCTCACAGTGTTGGGAAAACCAAATAAATGTGGGAGGATTTTACAGTATGTAATGTGGTTCACAAGGGAGAGCCACAGATATTGGGGTTGCTATTATTATTTGGCTTTTACAGTTTGTCAAAGCCATCTTTCTTTAAAGTAGAAATGTTAGAACCAGCAGAAAAATACAGGTAAACCAGCAGAAATTACTAGAGAGAAATGATTTAGAATTGTGGGTTTAGTCTCTCCAAATTATCTTTTACATAATGAGGTGATACTTTATGAATAATTTTGTATCTGGATTTTTCACTTACTAGTTATGAAAACAATCTATGTCTTTAAAATTTTCTATATGTATAATTTAAAAACCTTGTATTATTCAAGTTTGTAGATGCCTCATTTTTATAATTTTATTTTTATGCATAAAACTTTGCCTGGATTTCAAATGTTCTAATCATAAATTCCCAATAAGGACATGATTGAATCAAAATACAGAAACACCATCAATCAAAGCTTTTAATTTGTAATTCCAAGCTGATTTCTTAAAAGCTTTTTATAATTGTACCAACACCATCAATTTGTGAGTGTATCTGTTTCAGCACACCCTTATCAACATTGTATATCCCAATGTTTAGGAATAAATGTTGTTGTTTTGTTTTCCATTGTTTTTGGAAAGGGAGGCAGGCTTAAGGGTAGAGTAGAATTTCTCCATTTATAGAACCCTTATTATGACAATCATTCTCCACGTAATCAAAAGTTTTTTTTTCCTTTTCCTCTGCCAAATAAAAATGAACATTATATGAAGTTAAGAAACTTATAGTCATGCTGATAGATTTAAAATGAACGTTATGAACATACTTTTATTTTCTTCTGAAGCATATAGCAGAGATAATAATCACACAAGTGAAGCCGTTTGAATTTTCTAATCTAGGATTTTAGGAAACTAGATAAGGATTTCAGTGTGGCAGATACTTTGCTTATCCAGAATCCACATACCCCACGTTTTTCTTAAGAGCACTTTCATGATGCACTTTGGAAGTGCCCAATTTGCCCAGACCTAGTGGCTCGGGCATGATTGTCCTCAGCCAGTCAGTATAACTCCATTCTCTTTTAGCAGATGATGCTTATTTTTCTGTTTCTCTTAAATTAAGGAATCCATATGTCATCATTTCTGGCCAGTGACCTCTGAGTGGAAGTCTGAGAAGAAGTTTCTGGGAAGAAGAGTCCTGTTATGTCCTCACTCTGTTGTTTCCTGTGAAGGATACTGGTGGGCAGAAGGGAAGACTAGATTGAGGCATCCATCTTGACATCATGAGATAAAGACCATCAAAATTCCAGAAGTACCTAAACAAATGCTGGAAGCAATCAACCAATGATGAGACCACCTCCCGCCAAGGGTATGTCCAGCTCTTTAAGGTTTTAAGATACTAAGAGTCGATTCATAACATTAGTAAAAAAGATATAAACTAGATATATGAAATTTGCTAATAATAAACTGGATAGGAAAACACGCCAATAATACACAAATTTGAAAAAAGAAAAGGCAGTCACAATGAAAATAAAGCCATGAGCCGTCACCTGGAGAAGACAGTTGACCAGCCATAGCTATAAGCTAAGGTTCCCCCAGAATGGGTATTTGCCATAGACCAGGAAATATGCAGAAGTCAATCAATCACAGAAGTTGAGTATAGAATCAAGATTTACCAAATATTTGAGAGAGGTGATGCGCATGAAAGAGAAATAGAAAATCCAAAATTAAGAATAACTTATACCCAGGATAATAAAGGTAATAGAGCAAATATATATTAAAAAAATCTTAAAATAGGAGCTACAGGGGGTATTATGATTGTCATTAAAAAAATAAAAGAATATATGTGAGGAAACAAGTACCAGTAGTAGTGAAAAGAACAAAATAGAGATTTGGGGAGGAAAAGTTAGTCCTGTAATAATTGTCGTACATGTATAAATAAGCACATTACATGTACAGAATAGCAAATTAGATAAAATGAAGGGCAAATTGAAGAGCTAGAAGGTCAAATTGGGAGACATTTGTAGAACACAGCACAAAAAGTTAAAGAGAAATAAATGTGTAAAATGAGGTCTAAATATTTTAAAGAGAGATCCAAATTTTCAATGTCTATGTAAAACCGTTTGTATATTGAGTGACAAGAGAGTGGAAGAGAGGAAAAGATTGAAAAAAACAGTAGCAATAAATATCCCAGAAATGTTGCATAATAAATATATTCATAAACAAATAAATATCATCTGTCCTCAAGTTGAATGAGTACATGGTACTGAGTGGACAAAATTTAATCACAAGCTAACCAAAAACTCACATTGAGACAACAATAAAATCAAGTTTTATAAAACTAATACTGAAAGAAGTAATCTTAGATGCCAGAAGAAAAAGAAAGATTATCTAGAAGGAAAGGGAGGTCAGACTGACACCAGATTTCTCCTTAGCAGTATGGAGTAAAGAAACCCAGCAAAGTGACATCAAAATTCTGAGAAAGAGTATTTCAAACCTAGCATGCTATACTCAGTCAAACCAGCCAAACTATCATTGGAGATTGAAGGGGATAATAAAGTTTCTTTCCGACATAGAAACCTTACAATTTATAGAACTTCTCTGAAATAACCATAAGAGAATGTACTCAAAAATAAAAATGGAAGAGGGAATATACAAGAATTAGTTTAAACAAATAAATATCTAAAGCCCTATCAAGTTTTTATCACTTGTAAAATTTATTCCACAATAAACTAAGGGGTAAAATGCCTATGAAAGGAGTGAGGTGAGCACAGAAAAGAAAAGTTTGCTCAGATATAGGATATAAATATTGAGTAAATTCTGAACTGAATACTTCCCGAACCCATCATAATGAGAATATCTGGGGAGAATCCTGGAATATATTTTCAGGGAGGACTACACCTATTGACCAAATTAAATTGAACTGCAATAATTTAAATATAAAAAGGGAGATGGATTCATGAATTTTAGTAAAAAGTAGTAAAAATTGAAAGTAGTATATATGCGTGATAAGATATATACAAAAAAGAATAAAGATTTTTTTCAAACATCTATAATGCTACTATAAAATTTTTAAAAACCACCATTGATACTTGGGAGGTATTTTTTTCTGGAGTCTTTTCTTTGCATATTTTTATCTACCTGTGATCAGAATGTCTGAAAAATGCTATCAGACATTTCTACTTATTGTTACAATGTTACGTTGTATTTTTGTATCACCTATTTTTTAATATAGCAAAGTTTTGCCTTGTGAATGGGCATCATTTTCTGACTCCTCTTTTATCTCAATATTTCTCAGTTTAGTTGTCCATACTTCCTGTTTCTACACAGATTTCCTTTGGGGCAGAACATAATCCCATTGGGCTTGTTTCCACCACTTCATTTGAAATGCCTATCGCAGTTATCAATAGCCCTCTATGGCAAGTTTCAAGTTCTGAGCCCGTCTTACCAGATGGCCTCACAGCATTTGGTATATACACTAAAATCCAAATTTCCATCTCCACCATCACCCCCTAAGCTGAACTTGCATATATATTTCCCTTCTCAAAATCTCCAATCGGGCATCTGTTAATCCTATCACATATGAGGTATCTGAAACCAACCTCTTGATTTGCACTCCCCTATGAACCTTCCTTTAGTTTTACCTATTTCAGTAAATGGCAACCCCATCCACTCCATTGCTCAGGACAAAAGCATCATAGTTTTTTATTATTTCTTCCTCTTATACCCCTGTTCTGAATTAAACTGTTTCAGGTTGTCACGACAAGGACCCCATCCAAGTCCATGTTAATCCAAGTGGGCAGATCGCTTGAGCCCACGAGTTAGTTTGAGATGAACCTGAGCAACATGGCGAAACCCTGTCTCTACCAAAAAACACTAAAAATTAGCTGGGCTTGGTGGTGCCGCGCCTGTAGTCCCAGCTACTCAGGGGGCTCAGGTGGGAGGATTCCTTGAGCCCAGGGAGGGGGAGGTTGCAGTGAGCCCAGACCATGCCACTGCACTTCATCCTGAGTGACAGAGCGAGACCCTATCTCAAAAAAAAAAAAAAAAAAAAAAAAGAAAGAAAAAGAAAAAGAAAACAATAATAAAATGAAAATATAATTATGTTACCCCCAACTTCTGCTAAAAATACTTTAATGGCTTTTAATCTCCAAATCCAAAACCATCCCCTTGGCTGTACGCCGCTGTGACATATGATCTGGTTACTTCCCTCCTTCACTCCTGCCTTTGAGCCACACTTCTTGGCTTGCTGTCCCTTGAGCACACCAAGCAAGCTTCCCGTAGTCAAGTCACATACGCTTGCTATCCTCTGTGCCTGGAACACTCTTTCTCTAGATATTTTCCTTTCTGACTCCCTCACTCTCTTTGGTGTCTTGCCAAATGTCACCTCCTCAGAGTGTCCTTCCCTGACCTTTAGACCTGAAACTAACCACCAATCAGTACTCTTCATCCTTTTACGTTTATTTTTATTTTTAGTGTCTGTTACTCTTAAAATTATACATCGTTGTCTCTGTTTCTTCCCTCAAATATAAATGGTTATTTATATTACGAGTGAAGAAATGGAGGTTTTGAGGTGACAATAGAACTATTTGATGTGGGGATGAAACCCTAGATTTTGAAGTCAATAGATGCAGGGAAGAGAGAGAGACAGAGTTAGTTCAAGAGCATTTTTTTTTAAATGTTTGAAAGTGGAAGACAAAGAACTCTTTTAATTATAAATCACACCTTGGTCCAGTAAGGAATGAAAGGTTTGAATTCCAGCTGGTGTCAGGAATTGACCACAGCTTGCTGATACTGTTTTAAATGACTCCAAGTGTGATTTAAAGGCACCAAAGAAGCCAGGGCAGGGTGGAGGTCACCCTTTCGATGCTATCGGTGATTAAGGTAATTTGGGAGCTGAGTCAAGGAAGGTGTGGTTTGCTGACCCACAAATCCAAAGGGAAAAGGTAAAACCTTTGAAAATGGGTCAGGGTAAGTATTCCTTTGTCCAATTTGGGGAAAAGGCAAAGTAGACCCAGCTGGACACAATTAAGTCTGCAAAAGGTCCAAAGGGCCATGAGCAAGAAAGAGCAACAGGTAAAAACTAACCTCTACGCCAACTCTGATACAAACCAGTGAGACCTACAAATGTGTTGTCAATTTGCATATTTCCAGGAGAGGAGAAGGCAGCCATCCGCACAATGTTAACTGAGGTATATGTTGAGAAGATCACCTGAAATGAAATATGAATCTCATTGAAGGTACTCTGAAAGTGCTGATGTTACATACAAGATGGGGACTTCAGTCACTAGCAAGTCCCCAAAGCTTATACCAATGTCTGAGATGAGGACCCTGCTCCCGTACACTCCATCCTCCTACTCGTATCTCCTCCACACCAATCATTACACTGTTTTCATCTCTGCTTTTATGACTTTCTTCCTAACCCTATTGTGAGTTCCCTCTCCCCAAGGCAGAAATCTGTCTTTCATCTACAGATGCCCCAGATGTTTGGATGGTTTTTGGTGTGTAGAAAGTATTCAAAAATATTTGGTCGAATTATTGTAAATGAATGAAAACACTCAAATGAAAAAGATCTCATTTCCCATTTTTAGAAACAAATATTTGTCTCTGGCCATATGAATGAGACTCAAATGCTGTCCATAGAGCAACAGCTTGCCCAGTATTATATATAGGGACAAGGTCTGTATTGTGCAGACGATTTGGATGCTTGTAAGTCACATGCTTGCCATCAGAGAATAGGTGTGTCCACGAACAAATAAAATGCACCAGGAAATGGGAGTCTCACCTTTGTATCCCAAGGGCCTCCTTTGTAGGTCTGCAAATGAGCTAGAGAAGTCATGTGGATTAGAGGATTAATAACAGAAAGATTTCTCTTTGAAAGTACTATTTTAGTTCCTTTTTAAATAATGCATGCTTTCCATGGGAAAAGTAAGAGGGAGAGAAAATCAAAGTTGTAGTCACTGATATTTCTCTTATCTAGATACAGCAACTGTTAACTGGTTGCTATGCTCCCACCCACTGTGGTATAAATAGAAAAACATTGTATTTGACACTGTGTGTGTGTGTGTGTGTGCGTATGCGTTTGTGTCTGCATGCGCACAGGTGTGTATACACTCACAGTTCTTTTTTTTTTTATTTTACTTTAAGTTCCAGGATACATGTGCAGAATGTGCAGGTTTGTTATGTAGGTATATGTGTGCCATGGTGGTTTGCTGCACCTGTTGACTTGTCCTCTAGGGTCCCTCCCCTTTCCCCCCCACACCCCAACAAGCCCCAGTGTGTCTTGCTCCCCTCCCTGTGTCCATGTGTTCTCATTGCTCAACTCCCACTTATGAGTGAGAACATGCAGTGTTTTGTTTTCTGTTCCTTTGTTAGTTTGCTGAGGATGATGGCTTCCAGCTTCATCCATGTCCCTGCAAAGGACATGATCTAGTTCCTTTTTACGGCTGCATAGTATTCCATGGTGTATATGTAGCACATTTTCTTTATCCAGTCTATCATTAATGGGCATTTAGGTTGGTTCCATCTCTTTGCTATTGCAAACAGTGCTGCAATAAACATACATGTGCATGTTTCTTTATAGTAGAATGATTTATATTCCTCGGAGTATATACCCAGTAATGGGATTGCTGGATCAAATGGTATTTCTACTTCAAGATCCTTGAGGAATTGCCATACTGTCTTTCACAATGGTTGAACTAATTTACATTCCCACCAACAGTATAAAAGCATTCGTATTTCTCCACATCTCCAGCATCTATTGTTTCTTGACTTTTTAGTAATTGCCATTCCGACTGGTGTTAGATGTTATCTCATTTTGGTTTTGATTTGCATTTCTCTAATGATCAGTGATGTGGAGCTTTTTTTCATATGTTTGTTGGCTGCATAAATGTCTTGTTTTCAGAAGTATCTGTTTATATCCTTAGCCACTTTTTGATGGGGTTGTGTTTTTCTTGTAAATTTGTTTAAGTTCCTTGTAGACTCTGGATATTAGACCTTTGTCAGATGAGTAGATTGTAAAAATTTTCTCCCATTCTGTAGGTTGCCTGTTTGCTCTGATGCTAGTTTCTTTTGCTGTACAGAAGCTCTTTATTATAATTAGATCTCATTTGTCAATTTTGGCTTTCGTTGCAATTGATTTTGGCCATTTCGTCATGAAGTCCTTTCCCATGGCTATGTCCTGAATGGTATTGCCTAGGTTTTCCTCTAGGGTCCTTATGGTTTGGGGTTTTACATTTAAGTCGTTAATCCATCTTGAGTTAATTTTTGTATAAGGTGTAAGGAAGGGATCCAGTTTCAGTTTCTGCATACTGCTGGCCAGTTTTCCCAGCAGCATTTATTAAATAGGAAATCCTTTCCTCATTGCTGGTTTTTGTCAGGTTTGTTGAAGAGCAGATAATTGTAGATGTGCCGTCGTATTTCTGAGTTCTCTATTCTGTTCCATTCATCTGTGTGTCTGTTTTGGTAGCAATACCATGCTGTTTTGGTTGCTGAAGCCTTGTAGTATACTTTGAAGTCAGGTAGCGTGATGCCTCCAGCTTTGTTCTTTTTGCCTAGGATTGCCTTCGCTATATGGGCTCTACTTTGGTTCCATATGAAATTTAAAGTAGTTTTATTTTTTCTAATACTGTGAAGAATGTCAATGGTAGTTTGATTGGAATGCCACTGAATCTATAAATTACTTTGGGCAGTATGGCCGTTTTCACAATATTGATTCTTCCTATCCATGAGGATGAAATGTTTTACCACTTGTTTGTGTCCTCTCTTATTTCCTTGTGCAGTGGTTTGTAGTTTTCCTTGAAGAGGTCCTTCACATCCCTTGTTAACTTTATTCCTAGATATTTTATTATTCTCTTTATAGCAATTGTGAATGGGAGTTCACTCATGATTTGGCTCTCTGCCTGTCTGTTGTGGATGTATAGGAATGGTTGTGATATATGTTTGACATTTTTTATTCTTTATTTAATTTACAGCAAACTTTTCTCGGGGTGGGGGTGTATGAAATCATACAGTGCATAGTCTTTGAGTGGGGTTTCTTGCACTTAGCATAATGCATTTGAGATCGTTCATGTCATACATATCAGTAGTTGCTTTTCATTGCTGAGCAATGTTGCACTGAATGTATGTGCAACTGTTTCACTAACTGAGGGACATTTTGGTTGTTTTCAATTTTTAGCAGTTATGAATAAAGCACTTTGCTTACAGTGTTTTGGTAAACCTAAGTTTTTATTTCTCTTGTATAAACAGGAGTGGGATTGTTGGATCATATGGTAAGTGTATGTTTAACTTTAGAAGAAACAGCCAAACCGCTTTCAAAGTGGCTGTGCCATTTTACATTCCCACCAGCAATGTGTGAGAGTTCCAGTTGCTCTGCATCATTGCCAGACTTATGACTGTTCGTTCTATCGGTTTCAGCTATTTAAATAGATGTATGTTGCATTGCATTGTGGTTTTAATTTTCTCTTTGTCCTAATGACTAATGACATTGAGGTTATTTTCCATTTGTGTGTGTATATATATATATATATATATACACACACACACACACACACATATTATATATATATTATATATATAATATATATAATGTATACATTATATATATATACACAGAGAGAGAGAGAGATGGGAGTCTCGCTCGCTCTGTCACCCAGGCTGGAGTGCATGGTGCAATCTCATCTCACTGCAACCTCCGCCTCCCGGGTTCAAGCAATTCTCCTGCCTCAGCGTCCCAAGTAGCTGGGACTACAGGTGCACGCCTCCATGCCTCGCTAATTTTTTGTATTTTTGTAAAGACAGGGTTTCACCATGTTGCCCAGGCTGGTCTCGAACTCCTGAGCTCAGGCAATCCACCCACCTCGGCTTCCCAAAGAACTGGGATTAAAGGCGTGAGCCACCACGCCCAGCCCCATTTGTATATTTTCTTTGGTGAAGCATTTAAAAACAAATCTTTGACCAAAAATTGGATGATTGTTTTAAACGTTGAGTTTTGAAGGATTTGTTTTTTGTTTTTGTTTTTGTTGTACATATTGTGGATATAAGTCATTTGTCAGATATGTGATTTGAAAATAGATTAATATACATGTTGTTTAATGTACTTGTTTTATTCTCTTAACGCTGTCTTTCACAGAGTAAAAGGTGTTTTTTAAAAAAGCCCTATTTAACAATTTTTTATTTTAGGGCTCATGCTTTTGGTGTCATATCTAAAACCACTTTGCCTAATCCAAGGTCTTAAAAACTTTCTCCTGTGTATTCTTGCAGATTTTTTTTTAAGGATAGCTTAATGTTCAAGTCATCCTAGACAGAACCTTGCTGATTCTGTTAGGTCTTTGAACACTGAACCTGATTATCTAGGTTCCTATATTGATTTTGAGACCATCCAAGTGAAAGTGCTTTGTAAATTCTAAAATGCCGTAGACTTTTTAGTTATGCTTCCTGATGTTTAAAATTATGAAAACAGGAACTGCTATACACTTATATGTTGATCACAACCTTGTGCCTCATTTCTTGACTTCCCTGTACCTCTGCTCTTTCTAGCTCAGTAAAATAAAGCATGATGTTTATGAGTTCTGGATTTTTACGCATTGATTTTGTATCCTGAGACTTTGCTGAAGTTGCCTATTAGCTTAAGGAGCTTTGGACTGAGACAGTGGGGTTTTCTGAATATAGAATCATGTCATCTGCAACAGAGACAATTTTACTTCTTCTCTTCCTATTTGAATGCCCTTTATTTCTTTCACTTGCCTGATTCACCTAGCCAGAACTTCCAATACTATATTGAATAGGCGTGGCTAGAGAAGGGATTCTTGTCTTGTACTGATTTGGAATGCTTCCAGTTTTTGCCCATTCAATATAATATTGGCTGTGGGTTTGTCATAAATAGCTCTTATTATTTTGAGATACGTTCCATCAATACCTAGTTTATTGAGAGTTTTTAACATGAAGAGATGTTGAATTTTATCAAAGGCCTTTTCTGCATCTATTGAGATAATCGTGTGATTTTTGTCATTGGTTCTGTTTATGTGATGGATTATGTTTATTAATTTGCATATGTTGAACCAGGCTTTTATCCCAGGGATGAAGTTAACTTGATCGTGGTGGACAAGTTTTTTGATGTGCTGCTGGATTCAGTTTGCCAGTATTTTATTGAGAATTTTCATATCCATGTTCATCAGAGGTGTTGGCCTGAAGTTCTTGTTGTTGTTGTGTCTCTGCCAGGTTTTGGTATCAGGATGATGCTGGCCTAATAAAATGAGTTAGGGAGGAGTCCCTCCCTTTCAATTGTTTGGAATAGTTTCAGAAGGAATGGTACCAGTGCCTCTTTGTACCTCTGGTAGACTTTGGCTGTGAATCTGTCTGGTCCTGGGCTTGTTTTGGTGAGTAGGCTATTAATTACTGCCTCAATTCCGGAACTTGTTATTGGTCTGTTCAGGCATTAGACTTCTTCCTGGTTTAGTATCTGGAGGGTGTATGTGTCCGAAATTTATCCATTTTTTCTAGATTTTCTAGTTTATTTGCATAGTGTTTATAGTATTCTCTGATGATAGTTTGTATTTCTGTGGGGTCAGTGGTGATATCCCCTTTATCATTTTTATATTGTGTGTATTTGATGCTTCTTTCTTTTCTTATTAGTCTAGCTAAAGTCCTATCTATCTTATTAATTTTTTTCACAAAAACAGCTTCTGGATTCATTAATTTTTTTGGAGGGTTTTTTTGTGTTTCTATTGCCTTCAATTCTCCTCTGATCTTAGTTATTTTTTGCCTTCTGCTAGCTTTTGGATTTGTTTGCTCTTGCTTCTATAACTCTTTTATTTGTGATGTTAGGGTGTCAATTTGAGATCTTTCTTGCTTTCTAATGTGTGCATTTAGTGCTACAAATTTCCCTCTTAACACTGCTTTAGCAGTGTCCCAGAGATAATAGTGCATTGCCTCTTTGTTCCCATTGGTTTCAAAGAACTTCTTGATTTCTGACCTAATTTCATTATTTATCCAGTTGTCATTTAGGAGCAGGTTGTTTGGTTTCCATGTAATTTGTTTGATTTTGAGTGAGTTTCTTAATCCTGAGTTCTAATTTGATTGCACTGTGGTCTGAGAGACTGCTTGTTATGATTTCAGTTCTTTTGCATTTACTGAGGAGTGTTTTACTTCCAATTGTGAGGCCAATTTTAGAATAAGTGTCATGTGGCACTGAGAAGAGTGTATATTCTGTTGATTTGGGGTGGAGAGTTCTGTAGATGTCTATTAGGTCCACTTGATCCAAAGCTGAGTTCAAGTCCTGAATATCCTTGTTAACTTTCTTTTTTTTTTTTTTTTTTTTTTTTTGAGACGGAGTCTCGCTCTGTTGCCCAGGCTGGAGTGCCGTGGCAGGATCTCGGCTCACTGCAAGCTCCGCCTCCCGGGTTCACGCCATTCTCCTGCCTCAGCCTCCCAAGTAGCTGGGACTACAGGCACCCACCACTATGCCCGGCTAATTTTTTGTATTTTTAGTAGAGACGGGGTTTCACCATTTTTAGCCGGGATGGTCTCGATCTCCTGACCTCATGATCCGCCCGCCTCGGCCTCCCAAAGTGCTGGGATTACAGGCGTGAGCCACCGCGCCCGGCCTCCTTGTTAACTTTCTGTCTCGTTCATCTAATATTGACAGTGAGTTGTTAAAGTCTCCCACTATCATTGTGTGAGAGTCTAAGTCTCTTTGTAGGTCTCTAAGAACTTTTTTATTTAATCTGGGTGCTCCTGTATTGGTTGTATATATATTTAGGATAGTTAGCTCTTCTTGTTTAATTGATGCCTTTACCGTTAGGTAATGCCCTTGTCTTTTTTTACCTTTGTTGGTTTAAAGTCTGTTTTGTCAGAGACTAGGATTGCAACCCCTGCTTTCTCTTTTTTTTTTTTTTTTTTTTTGCTTTCCATTTGCTTGGTAAATTTTCCTCCATCCTTTTATTTTGAGCCTATATGTGTCTTTCCACATGAGATAGGCCTCCTGAATACAGCACATCGGTTGGCCTTGATCTTTATCCAATTTGCCAGTATCTGTCTTTTAATTGGAACATTTAGTCCATTTATATTTAAGGTTAGTATCGTTATGTGTGAATTTGATCCTGTCATCACAATGCTGTCTGGTTATTTTGCACACTAGTGGATGCAGTTTCTTCATAGTGTTATTGGTGTTTATATTTTGGTGTGTTTTTGCAGTAACTGTTACTGGTTTTTCCTTTCCATATTTAGTGCTTCCTTTAGGAGCTCTTGCAAGGCAGGCCTAGTGGTGACAAAATCCCTCAGCATTTGGTTGTCTGGAAGGGATTTTATTTCTCCTTCACTTACGAAGTTTAGTTTGGCTGGATATGAAATTCTGGGTTGAAAATTATTTTCTTTAAGAATGCTGAATATTGCCCCCTACTGTCTTCTGGCTTTCAGGGTTTCTGTTGAGTGGTCTGCTGTTTGTCTGATGGGCTTCCTTTTGTGGGTAACCCAACCTTTCTCTCTGTCTGCTTTTAACATTTTTTCCTTAATTTCGACCTTGGAGAATCTCATGATTATGTGTCTTCAGGTTGATCTTCTCGTGGAGTTTCTTGGTGGTTTTCTCTGTATTTCCTGAATTTGAATGTTGGCCTCTCTTGCTAGGTTAGGGAAGTTCTCCTGGATAATATCCTGAAGTGTATTTTCCAGCTTTTTCCATTTTCCCCATCTCCTTCAGGTACTCTAATCAATTGTAGATTCAGTCTTTCTACGCAGTCCCATATTTTTCAGAGGCTTTGTTCATTCCTTTTCATTCTTTTTTCTCTAATCTTGTCTGAATGCCTTACTCCAGTAAGGTGGTCTTCAATCTCTGATATCCTTTCTTCTGCTTGGTCGATTTGGCTATTGATAATTGTGTATGCTTCACAAAGTTCTCATGCTGTGTTTTTCAGCTGCATCAGGTCGTTTATGGTCCTCTCTAAACTGGTTATTCTAGTTAGCTGCTCCTCTAACCTTTTATCAAGGTTCTTAGCTTCTTTGTATTGGGTTAGAACATACTCCTTTAGCTCAGTGGTGTTTGTTATTATCCATCTGCTGAAGCCTACTTCTGTCAATTCGTCCATCTCATCCTCTGTCCAGTTCTGCGCCCTTGCTGGAGAGGTGTTGCGATCATTTGGAGGAGAAGAGGCACTCTGGCCAGTTGGGTTTTCAGTGCTTTCTTTTTGTTGATTCTTTCTCATCTCCACGAGTTTGTCTAATTTCAATATTTGAGGCTGCTGAACTGTGGATGGGATTTTTGTGGGTACTTTTTTATTGTTTTTGATGCTCTTGTTGTTGCTTTCTGTTTGTTTTTCTTTAAATAGTCAGGTCCCTCTTCTGCAGGGCTGCTGCAGTTTGCTGGGGGTTCACTTCAGACCCTACTCATCTGGTTCACTCCTGCACCTGGAGATGTCACTTAAGGAGGCTAGAGAACAGCAAAGATGGGTGCCTGCTCATTCCTCTGGGATCTCTGACCTCAAGGAGCACCAACCTGATGTCAGTAGGATGGCTCCTATATAGAGTGCCTGACAATCCCTGTTGGAAGGTCTCAACCAGTTGAGTGGCATGGGGAACAGGACCATTTAATGAAGCACTTTGACTGTCCCTTGGTGGAGAGGGTGTGCTTAGCTGGGAGGAAACCCACTCATCTGGGCTGCTGGATTCCTAAGAACTAGCGGGAGGAAAGGCTAAGTCAGCTGGTCCACAGAGACTACGGCCACCCCTTCCCCTAGAAGCTCAGGCCCAGGGAGATTAGACTTCTGTCTCTGAGCCCCTGGCTGGAGTTGGAGTTCCTGCAGGGAGGCCCCATACAGTGAGGAGGAGGGTCAGGGTCAGGCCTAAAGAGGTGCTCTAGCCACAGTCTGCCACAGCAGGTGTGTTGGGCTGTGGGGGACACCACTTGGGACCAAGTGTCTAGCCTCGCTGGTGCCAGCAGGGAGAAAGCACAGCCTGGAGCTATGGAGATGGCTGCCACCACCATTCCTATGCCCAGGGAACTTAGCATGTCAGGCAGCTATCAGCTCCAGTGCTGGTTGCTGCCCCTAATACAAGGAGCTCAAATGGCTTAGACAGCAGGCAGCTGCAGCTGTGGTGCTGGTTGCCTCTCCCTCCAGGAGCCCGGAGGATTAACCAGGTTCTAGCTGAGAGGCTGTTGAGAATCTGCGCGGCTCCAGGGTTGGGAACCTAGGTCCTGGCGGGATGGGTTCACTAGTGCGACCTTAGGATCCATGGGTTGCACAGTTCCGTGGGAAAAGCGGTTTCCCAGCTGGGAAGCACGCTCACTCACCACCTCCTTTGGTTGTGGGGGTGGGGGCTCCCCTGTCCCGTGTGGCTGTTAGATGAGCCCCCGCACCACACTGCTCTTCCTTCCTCTCTGTGGGTCATGCCAGCCACCTCCTCAGTTCTGATGAGAGAACCTGGATACCTCAGTTACCCGTGCAGGATTCACACGCTATTATGATTCTTTTCAACAGGAACCTCCTACCACTGCTGCTTCTAGTCGGCCATCTTGGCCCCACCCACTGCACTCATAGTTCTGTCTGTCTGTGTCTTCCTAGAGTTTTAAAGTATGCATTTTAAAGTCAGAAAAAACCTGGTTTTTAATCCACCAGTAAGGAAAGATATATAAATCATTATAGATAACCTTGATAAAAGGTTAGAGGAGCAGCTAACTAGAATGGTGATAACATACAGCTCCCACTTAAAAGTGGACACATGAGGGGGAACAACACACACTGGGGCCCACTGGTGTGGGTGAAGAGATGGAGAGCTTCAGGAAGAATAACTAATGAATGCTGGGCTTAATACATAGTTAGTGAGTTGATCTGCGCAGCAAACCACCAAGGCACACGTTTACCTATCTAACAAACCTTCACATTCTGCACATGTACCCCGGAACTTAAAATACATGTTGAAGAAAAAAAAAAGGTATAAAACTACTTTGACTTATCACTCTCTACCTGGGTTACCCCCAACTCTATAATGAGGATAATAATAGTATGCGTTTCACTTACCTAGAATACCTAGCATAATTAAACAGAATAATTAACTTAAAGGATTTAGCAAAATGTTTGCAAATGTAATCTCTAAAATATTAGCTATCTTCATTATGAAAATGAGAATATATTTCAGATTGCTTTTAACCTATGTTTTTCATAAAATCTCTTGTCATTAAAGTGCTTCAAAACATGCTTTTTCAATTATTGCATAGGACTTCATCATATCCATGTGCCATAATATGGATAACCATGTTCTTATCTTTGAAAATATACATGAGTTTCAATCTTTTACTATTGTAAATAGCATTGTAATGGAAAATCTTAATTCTGCCCATGTTGGTGGAACATTTATCCTGCATAGAATAATGTTCTGGGCACTAGAACAAACAATGCAGGTATAATCACTATCCCCATGGTATTTATGGAAATTAAATAAGCAGTTTGAACAAAGCATAATGCCATAGTATATGAAGTAGATGTTATCGTAGAACAGTCTCCTCAGAATTGGGGGTCAGGAAGTCTTCTGGGAGGAAGTAATATCTGAATGGATGCTGTGGGATGAGTGGAAATCTTCCTAATGGACAAAAGCCTGTCAGAAAGTGCTTGTGGTATTCCAACAAAAAGGAATATCACACAAGAAGGCTTGGGGATACAAGAGTGCATGAACTAGAAAGAAACCCACGCACGTACAGTCAACTGATCTTCAACAAGCATGTTGAGAATACACAATGGGGAAAGAAGAGTATCTTCAACAAATAATGTTGGGATAACTGGACATCCACATGCCAAAGAATGTTAACTGGTTGCTATGCTCCTATCTGCTAACGAGCAAACTGTTGTACCCCTATCTTACACCATACCCCAAAATGATCTCAAAATGGATTAAAATTTAAATGAAAGAACTGAAGTTGTAAATTTCCTCAAAGAAAACATAGGAGCAAAGCTTCATGACATTGGTCTTGTCAATGATTTCATGGGTATGACATCAAAGGCACCAGAAACAAAAGCAACAATAGACAAATGGGCTTATACTAAGTTAGAACACGTCTACATGTAAAGAAAACACTCTACAGTGAAAAGGCAACCTAAGCAATGTGAGAAATTATTCACAAATCACATATTCAATAAAAAGCTAATAACCAAAATATATAGGGAACTCCTACAACTCAATTAAAAATTGAGAAAAGACTTGAATAGACATTTCTCCACAAAAGACAGACAAATGGCCAACAGGTCTACGAAAAGGTGCTCAAGGTCACTAATCATCAGGGAAATGCAACTCAAAACCACAAAGAGCTATTTCACACCTGTTAGGATGACTATTATTTTAAAAATAAATAAAAGATAACAATTTTAACAAGGTTGTGGATAAATTGCTCAACCTCAATTTTAATAAGAAAAATACAAATTTAAACGGACATCTCATGAAAGTTTTGACACAAGACTCAGTTGGAAGAGCAGTGGGCCAACCTACACTCTCATGGGTTGATGGTGGCAATGCAAAATGGTAGACACATGGAAAAAGAAATGATCATACCTGGCAAAATGACAAACAAATTTTTTGACTGAATAGTACAAATTTTAGAAATCTATCCCAATTTTACCTGGCCAAAAAAAATTGCTTAGGCACAAGAATATTCTCTGTGGCATTATTTTTAAAAGCAAGCAATTGAAAACAATCCAAATATCTTTCAATAGGGCAATGTTTGAATAAACTACAGTACATTAATATATTATCAACTCAAATTATATTTTAAGAAAACCTAGGTTATTTAAATATAGACTGGGTACAAGGTAATATCTATGAATTATTGATCATTTTGTAAGATATAAGTATGGCATTACGACTACATAAAAAACAAACTTTTTTTCTTTAAACAGAGGCATATGGATACATATAGGGGTGAGGTGACATGATGTCTGTGATTTGCTTTAAAATGTGATTAAGGTGACCAAGAAATTAAACAATGGTTTTAAATAAAAGTTGTGATTACCAGTGATTTGTCTACTTGGAGGTAGTATAAAAATATGTGTTAAAGTATACAATAGCTTAACTAGTGAAAACAACTCTATGGCTATTTTTAAAATATAGAAAGATTATATGTCAATATTAAATATATTTTAAATAATATTCTGTCAATTCAGATTTTAAAATGCTAATGCCATGAATCAGTGTAGATAGCATAATGCTCACTGATGTACTGGAATCATAGAATTCCATCCTGGGAAATTCTTTATCCATTATTGCCCGTACATATTCCTTTCTGATGCCTGAGTGAAGTAATTATCCAGCCTCTATTCACACACATTTAGAAACAGAGAACTCACTACTTTATGAGGTGGCTCATTTTATGCTTGAGCAGCTCTTCCTTTTAGTGATCCAAAGAAATTTTCCATGAAAGTTTTAGAGCTTAGATAACCTCTTGTGCCCCTAGAGATGCAAGCACAATGCATGAAGAGAAAAAGCAAGAGCTCAGGAAAAGACTAAGGCAAAAGCTGGTGAATCCAAATCAGGATCCCATCCCAGAAACCCACGTCCCTAATCTTCACCCTTTCCCTCAACAGACACTAGTCACTTTCAGTTCCAGTGACATGAGTGATTCTAGCCATGAAATTCTGGATTCAGTGGCATACATCTGGTGACATGCTATTGAATAGTTGACTTCTATTCTAGATCAACTAAATCAACTGACTGGTTTCTGGTTTTTGTTTTTGTTTTTTATCTCTTCCTTCCTACAACTTTGGGTAAGAGTGTGATTATGAGGAAGAGGGAATTGCATGGAGTGTGATCACAGCCAATGAGTTAACATTGACCTTAAGGCAGACTAGGATCCCTCTTTGGGAGCCCCAGTCTAAGCTCCCATCTTATGTCAATGTGTAAATATTTGAAAAAACAATATTACTCTTGAGTCACATCCTTGCTAACATTAATTGGCTGTTTACTGTGTGTTAGGTGATTTAACATATTTATAATATTCACAAAGATAGCATGAGCGATGTTGTCTTATTCCTGTTTTACAGAGAAGGAAACAAAGAGAAAGAAAAATCATAATAAATAAAGAGTCAGTACTCAAGTTCTTGTATATTGGACTCCAGAGTCTATAAATGTGTTTTATGACTAAAAGCTATTGGTACAGAAATTAATTCCAAATTCCAGAGATGATCCACATAGTCCATAGGCCTAAGTGGCTTTCTCACTACTTATGACAGACTTTATACTTCTTTAAAAGAGCTGAAGTCCAAGTCAGGAATTTTGCATCCAGATTACTATTTTGCTTTCTTATGCATGAACTTAGGGTCAGCTATATAGGGTATCATAAAATCACCGCATCTCCTTCTTGGGTTTGTGCTGTTGACTTTTTGGGCCCAAAGTTTGGTTATTACACTGATTCCCATTAAATTTTCCTAACTTTTTATTCAGCCCACTGATTAGTTGATTATGAACTTATAAGGCCCTGGATCTATTTGGAAATGTTTTCTAATTTTTCAAGTTTTGTGAACTCTGTTTTGATTTCTCCATTTTTTTTTCAATTATTCCCTACAACATTAAACAGATATCCCTGTAACATACAGCTAGAAATCACATTTCAATTTGGACCTCAATTTACCATCCAGCAGCCTGTGATACAATAATTCAATCTCCTAACTTCAACAGCTGCACCTATGCCTCTCTTTGTTCACGGGTGTCTTAGGAGAAGACTTGTATATACTCACTGACACCCATCTATATTGTGGCTGTCACAGTGGCTCTGCAAAAAGTAACATAAAACAAAAAGAAGGCCTTATGAGACTGTGCCTCCTCTACAATCTGTGTTGATTCTGAAACTGTTATCTCCAGAATCTGGCTCTGAGTCCGTATCAGTTTTCCTAGTCTCTCCTTTGTGCCCTTCTCTTCCTCCTTTTGCCATCCCGCCTGTTTCCTGTTCCCCCATTCTTCAAAGACCAGGGACCCCCAGACCATGTCAACCTTGCTCAAAGTCTTTCACATTACTACAGCTTCTTCATTTCATCTTTCTGGAGACATTCTACTTGTTGTTCCCACTGTGTGAGATGGTTCTCCTGGATTTTCACTCATTCAACACAAGTTTACTCTAATGCTTTTCAGAGAGAGCGCAGATGTAAAATGAAAGTTGACATGTGCCTTGCATCCACTGAGGATGTCACAGTGTAAACAGCAGCCCCATTGCCTAGCCTGAATAGAACAAAATAGCTGAGGAGACTGAATGTTTGGTTTTTCTTAACCTACACTTTCATTCCTGAGTGTATGTGGAATTTCATCTCTCTAGGTATTAATCGGTCGATTGCTGTCACTCCCAAGTTTTTATCTCATCACTCCATTTTTTTAAGAAGCGTGCTTGAAAATCTGCACTTGTCAGAGAGTTTGCTCCCAGTTCCTCTCCCATTACAAATGTGGCACCATCTTCCCTCCTTCACATGATAGCGGACTTCACAGCGCTCCCTGTTAACAGGATGAAAACTAGCTATGGACTATCTAATAAAGAGTATATTTATGATATCTTTATTAATATTCTGGTTTACTACAAAAAAAGCATATGCCATATATATCATATTCAATCATCTTTTAAATAAGCCTTTAATATGAGCCAGATACATAGATAGCTCTGGAGATGCAATAATGAATGGAACAGATTCTTTCCCCAGAGAGTGACCCTGTGTGTATTAGTGCACACAGTTAAAGACAGACAGAGATTGTATATAATAACAATGAACAAAGACTGAAAAATAGGGGCTCGAAATTAGTATGTTACAGACTTTTCCTGTTTATTTCTGTTGATTTTCAGTTTATTCCTGATATTTCAGTTCTTCTGTTAGGAAAATAGCATAGCCTAGTGATTTAGATCTTCAGCTTTGAAATTATTTGCTATTTAAATGCTTCCGCTTGCCACCTCTGTGACCTTGTGGAAGCTAATAACCTCTCTGATACTCAGTTCCTTCAACTAGAAAAATCCTGTAAGAGTATTCTGAAGACATAACATATGCCACATGTGCACGGTGCCTTACCAGCTAGCACTGGGTGTGCACTTACCTGCCATGTGTCTCACACTGTTGGAAGAGTTTTGCATGTATTTTCTCATGCCTGTTTCACAATTACCTTTGAAGTGTGTGCTTTCATGCTTTCCATGTTTCAGATCACTATGCTGACACAGGTTAAGTGGAGGTGTCAGTGTGCTAACTCAGGCTGTCCAACACCAGAGTCCTGGGGTTAGCCATCAGGTACATGAAGGGTAGCTTTAATCAGTTACAGGAAAAGCAAAAAGTAAAGTACCATGAACCCCTTCTACTTTTTGTTCATCCATTCCTCACAAACAACTTTAGCTCGGTAGCTAATGGGCAGTTTCTGCCTCTCCAGTAAGTACTTTCATTCCCTTTTGCATATTGATATAAGTTCATATGACCCAGGTCCCACATGACCGCAGACAACCACGGTTCTTGCTGTACTTGGGGTGCAGGGCTGTTGGATGTGACAAAGTTTAAAGAGCATTTTTGCTTCCCATTCTTCAGGCTGGAAGGTGGTGCAGCAATTCTTGTCCAAAATCAAAGGTGACTGCTTGGAATGCATAGACCTCTGTGGTCTCGTCAGAGAAGCAGTGTTTAACCCTTCAGTCCATCTTCAGAAGCAATATGACTCAGAAAAAAAAAAAAAAAAAGTCTAGTCTTCCTGTCCCTAATATATAATCATCCAGAGCTGATGATGGTCATGCTTGTTGATAATAATCCAAAAACATTCTAATAAATGAACCTCAGAATATTTTATGGCTGGTGTTGTGGTTAGTTTTACGTCATCTTGGCTAGGCAATAATATCCAATTATTCAATCAAACACTAAAATAGCTGTTGCTTTGTGGGTATTTTGTAGCTGTGATTAACACCTCAGTCTGTTGACTAAATCACAGATTGGTCACAGATTGGTTGGATGACTGAGAAGAAATCATCCACAATAATCTGGGTGGGCTTCATCCAATCAATCAAAAGACTGAAAAGCAAAATTGGGGTTGCCCTGAGGAAGAAGAAATGTGGTCTGCGGACTGCGCCATCAGCTCCTGCCTGCTCCTGGCCTGCCCTGCAGATTTCAGATGTGCCTAGTCAACCCCCACAATCACATGGCATATACCAATTCGTTGAACTAAAATTTCTAAACGATGGTGCAAACACCACACACACACACACACACACACACACACACACACACACACACAGGTTCTGTTTCTTTGGTAGAACTCTGATGGATATATAGTAGTCGATGTCCAAAAGCACCACATGCACTCACTTGCTAAGGGTACAAGACTATACCAGGCTGTAATGATTTTTCACCCACTGTGAGTGATATTGCACATTTAATTCACGTCACGGAACAGAAGAGTGACAAACATCTTTCAAAATGGAATTCTGGTGTCTGAAGTGCCCCATCTTCACTTACTTGTGGATTAGTCAGTTGCCATAGAAACCCCAACAACCTGCAGCTGCGGGTCCCCCAATTCTGGCTATGACAACAGTCAGGAAGAAGGGATTCTGCATGGTTAGCGTTGCTGTTGACGCAGAGCTTCAGAGCTAGGAAAACTGACAAATGGGGCACTGTGGAGTGAGGTCATCAGGGAGGAAGGGATTATGACACCATTGTTGTTATCAGTCTTGCATTTTTTCTGGTGTTCAGAGAGAACCAAGGGACAGGATAAAATAGTGGCTGGGTACCCACCAGCACTGCCTGCCCTCTGCGAGCTGTTCTTCTGACACCCTCCTTAGTGTTTATGTCTCTTCAAGAATTCTCATGCCCATATGTTCTCACTCATAAGTGGGAGGTGAACAATGAGAACACATGGACACAGGGAGGGGAACATCACACACCCACACCAGGGCCTGTCACGGGGTGGGGGAAAGGGGAGGGAGAGCATTAGGACAAATACCTAATACATGTGGGGCTTAAAACCTAGATGATGGGTTGATAAGTGCAGCAAACCACCATGGCACATATATACCTGCGTAACAAACCTCCACGTTCAGCACATGTATCCCAGAACTTAAAGTAAAATAAAATAAAATAATAAATAAAAGAATTGTCATGCCCATAGATATGCACAGCAATATTTCAAATTTCTAATCAGACCTGAAAGGCATTCTAAGAAATCTCACTTGAGCTATTTTATTAATGATTAGAGTCAGTCAGTTTTTCCATTCTTCACTTTTCACAAGTGATTATCCAAATTGATCCCCAAATCCCATAAAGAAAAACATATTTCTACCTGTGCTTTTACGTAATTACACTATCGCAGTTATAAAGGCAATGATGGCACATTGCATCACATGTGTGTCTTATGTGTGTGTTAGGCCTCAATATATATAAAGTATATAAATCAATATAATATATGTCGATGTATATTCATGTTTAATTATTTGATGGTCAGGAAGATTTTAATATGTCTTTGTAATATTTGAATCCCCTAAAAATATTTTCCCAATTCGACCTGGAAAATTCAAGGAAAAAAAATTTCTGAATCCTCGGTGAAATTAATATTTATTTACAAACAATATACAGTTGGTAGAGACGTACTGGTCTAAGAAAAAAACTTGACTAATTTCTAAAATTTGTTTTGGAGTAGGCCTGAATCTCAAGATATATTGTTAGTGCTGTTAAAAAGGAAAAGGAGCATGGAGGCCATGTTTCCTGCTATCCATTTCATCCTCCATGTTTGTTCAGCTACTTTTCATTTCATATTTTTAAAGGCCACATTTTATATTTAATAGCTTAAAACTATTTTAAAATTACACCTTTTAAACCTCACTTAAATACTTTCTGAGGAAATGAATACAGGTTTGCTACAACTGAAATATAAATCTTCTTTTAATTAGTTCCAAAAGCATATTTTATTGGAATTTAAGACCATGTAAAGAATGAAAGGAGATCCCAGAATCTTAAAAGCATGACTCGGCCACTTCTAAAATTCTAAATCATATCAACACAAAATGACCATAACTAGATATATTTTATGTTGTACATTAGGTGTATACTTTTGCTGTAGGAAATATATAAAAAAGTATAAATGTGTATACATACACATACACACACATACCCCTATATATTACCAAAGTCTCATGTAGAGTAACATCAGTATCTATTACGGACCAGACACGGTCTGGTTTTTTTGCACATTTGACTAGTCAAACATTATAAAAGCTATGGAAGTTCTTAATTATTTAATATTGGACCTTTTCCAATTTGAAGGATTTCTAATTGTTTTCAGTGACATATAAAATGTGCCCAAATGGCCCAATTGGAAAGTAAGGACATTTTTTCCGTCACTCATGGATTTTTTACAAGTGATCATATGTTAGGCCACAAATATCCCAATGTTTAAATCTTACAACAAATAATACGTGCAAGGTTTGTTATTGAGTTAATGTCCCGCATTATTTCAGAAATAATTTAAGGTGTATTATGAGGCAGGTGAACGTATCTCCCATTTCATCCAGGATAACCTAGTGTAGCTTGTTGTCCAGAAATAATTAACAGTCCCTTTCACTCTCAAAAGTGTTCCCATTAGGATGATAAATTAACTGGTTTCCCCATTTAAAAGCCAACATAACACAGACCAAAATAACATCAATAAGAAAGGTGATAGGAAGTATGGCTTGGATTTCCACTGCTGTTGCGGTTAATTCTATTGTTGTTTTCCCAGAAGCAAAGGGGTTAGTTGCAAAAGCCACTTACGGTTCAAAAACAAAGTCTTAAAAATTTTCCAAAGTAAAATGTGCACTAGTCACATTCACTGGACACAATAAAATTACTAGAACATGGTATCAAAAGTTTCAGTGGAAATCCCATCCACTTAGAAATTAGAAGGTATTCCTTCATAAAAATAATTTCTGGGTCATAGTGGAAATCAGAAGAACAGAAAATAGTGATAAATGGTAATAATCAGATTTTTTAAGACACGCAGCTCCACCTATATTTAGAATAAATTTTACATAATAAATAATGCTTTTATTATTGCACAAAAAATATAAAGAAACAGAGCATTTGATTTAAAACACTTTAATGAGAACAACTAGATGTCCAAGGAAAGCAAGAAAAAATATACAGTAATGTAAAAAATAATGAATTGTAACAAAATATTTAAATGACAAACAAAAATTAGTTTGTTTCCTCTTTAAAAATATCAACCAAAAGACATATTTTGGCCTAGAAAATGTAAGAAGAGGGAGAGGACTTACAGTAATCAGAGAAAGAAACGGAAAACAATACCAGTTACTGAGGACATTTTATCATAAGAGCCACTCGTGCAATTCTATCCTAAAACATATGGAAATGTGGACATAATATAAAGCTTTGTGGAAAAACATAAATGCCAAAATTTTACTAAAAAGAAAAAATACACAAATAATCCGGTAGCTATAAAAATATGTTGAAAAAGTCACAGCTACTTCTGTAAAGCTCAGCTTTGGATTTTGTTTTTAGCACCTTCAAATATTTAGGTACTTAGATATTAGATCATGTTCATGTCCCATGAACTTGTCCAAACTATAAGAAAAGGAAGCCTTCCATGTCTTTTTCCAAAGCTAAGACAACCCTGGCATCAAAGACAGCAGACGCTCCCCATATACAACTTCTAAAATAAGTTAGTCATTTTAATTATTACACCAGGATTAATTGGGGATTATTAAAGAAATATGACGATGGTTTAAAATTAGATATCCAAGTTAAATAATTCATAAGTTCAGAAAAGAAATCCTATGTGCTAATCTTAATATTTGCCAAAAAGTTATTTTGAAACATTTTACATTCTTTCCTAATTTAAAAAAGAAAAACTATTTAATTAATTACTGACATTAAGAACTGATATTAAGTACTTATACTCCAAAATATCCTACTGAATTTCTCTCTGAAATAAACCACAATTTTCATGCCTAATGGTAAAATTCAAAGTGTGTTCTCATTAAAATCAATAACATGTCAAGATTTATACACATGGATGGAGGCCCAAAGAAGTTGGTGGTGGTGATGTCAGGGTAGGGAGATATATATATATATATATATATATATATATGTATTTTTTTTTTTTTTTTTGAGACGGAGTTTTGCTTTTGTTGCCCATGCTGGAGTGCAATGGTGTAATCTCAGCTCACCACAACCTCCACCTCCCGGGTTCAAGCGATTCTCCTGCCTCAGCCTCCTGAGTAGCTGGGATTACAGGCATGCGCCACCACACCCGGCTAATTTTTGTATTTTTAGTAGAGACAGGGTTTCTCCATGTTGGCCAGGCTGGTCTCGACCTCCCGACCTCAGGTGATCCGCCCGCCTCGGCCTCCCAAAGTGCTGGATTAAAAGGCGTGAGCCACCGTGCCCGGCCCAGAGATTTTGAAAAGATCATTTATTTTACTTTTTTCTTTAGATGGTCTCTACTTTCTAAATATTTACATGTTGCCATATGTACCCTTTAATAATAATTTATAAATAAATTTTAAAGGAAAGAAAAATGAGGTTAAGAACACAACATAGAGACCAATATAAAAATGTGTGCCATGGAGTTTATGCTTTTCCTATAGGTAGGGCTGGCAGTTGTCAGGTATCCACCAGTACAGCCAGACAGTTGTTAAAAGAGTGAAATATTTCTGTATTAGAGAAATTGCTTGCTTCCTAAACCTTCAAGTGGCTCCAGTCAGTACTCAGTACTCAAGCTGCTGAGCCCCTTTTCTAGGCAACCAAACTTCATCGGCAATTTAGGATTCACGGCCAGTTAAGCAGCAAGGCTAGGAGACTGCTCCAACTCTAAAGCCAGGGCACACTCTAAATAGTAGGTAGGCCCTTGTGTTGCTGGTTTCTAAATCTTTTGAACATCAGCCTCCTCTATGCGCTTGCCTCATATTTGCCTGTGAATTCCTCAGCAGTAATCCAATTGCATGACATAAGTTAGGCAATCCTCTAGATTTTTAAATAAAATACAAACCAATTGCTCAGCAGAAACTGTATCCCCAGTTAAAAAAAAAATTATTGTCACCGTCTTGGTCCCAACCAGGACTCCTCACACAGGGAATTCTGGTAATATAATCAACAGGGTCCTCAACGGCATTCCTGCTCTCCCTCCATGGAAATGATCGGGGAGCTGCTTCATATGGCACCACATGGAGCATGAACCAAAGCGTAGGTCTTCATTACCGAATGTTATGTTATGTTAGATTATGTCGAGGTGCTCTGGCTTATGTCAGGGGAACCATGAAATATTTGCACATGAGGAAATGAGACTCTAGGAGATTAAACAATATCTTATATCTAGTCACATGCTACTATTTATCATAAGGTATCTGTCGGGCATTAACCCAACCACTTTATATACACTATCTCTTGATTCTCCAACCGCACCGTGAGACAGGTATTATCAACAGCTATTTTATCCTCTATAAGACGGTGTTAGGCTCAGAGCTGTGAGGTAGCTTGTTCATGATCAGACGACCATGAAGCATCAGAAGCTTCATAAGGCATTCAAAACCAATCCTGTCTGTCTTTACAACTTTTACTTCTTCAGTATTTTAACATCTAATTCTCCTGATCATTCCACTATCCTCCCTCCCTACCATCTGGCTTAATCTGGTTCCTTCTAATCCCCAGCTCTCCCTGGGGCACCGTCACTGCCTTCTCAAGGATGATGTGAGATCCTTTAAAACATGTCCCAAGCGTAAGTAAAGATCTTCGAGCACAAAGGGTGTTGCACAGAGCAGCAGGCTTCCATCCTTTGTTATAAAACAGAGCTTCTCTGCTACCCTATTTCCATTCAACTTTCTTCACCAAGCATGCACTTTAGCAACCTCGTTCAAAGCCCCTATAAATGGCGATGTGAAATGGGAATGGTGACACAGCGGCGAGGGCAGAAGTACGCAGTGCCACCATCATGAATTAGTAAAGCATCTTCGCAACGGGGGTCTTCTGCCCATTTGGCCTCAGCCATGCCAGCCGTGCCCCAAGCACAGAGAACAAAACTTGGGCTTCTGTTCTCCTTTTATCGGCAATGTTTTCCTTTACTTTGACGTCAGCTCCCAGATTGCTTGCTGTGATGTGCTACACCTTTCATATTTTCTTTCCAGTCATAATATTACTTCAGTCATAACCTCGGCACTTTGAGGAATAATTGTCCCTGACAAGAGGGTGAATCACTGACAGAGAGTTGATAAGCATTACATACAGATGACAGAAGTCAGGACATATCGGATTACTGCTGTGAATTTAATAAAAGAGAGACTAAACACTTGGCAGCTCAAAGACAAGCCATTTCATAAGTCTCTAGTGGGGCTATTATCTTCCATTTACTGCCACTGATAACCAGGTTGTGACTGTCTCCCTACGATCTAGTTTCAATTCACTTAACACATTGCTGACCAGACATGGAGAAGGAGGCAGAAAAGATAATCGGGAGTTTTGGGACATTTATTTTTAATGTTTATCTTCTGGATCCCCCTTCCAGACTGATAAGGCCCTAAGTGTGGAAGCTTTAAACCTTCCTGGGAAAGGCTGGGTATGGCTACACTCCCTTTAATCTATGACTCTTTGTTTCCTTTGAAGCTGCCATATCCAGCCAAGGAAGTGATAATCCACTTTCTCCACTCCGCTGATATACCTGGGTCTAAAAGCCTGATGCAATAAACAGCCAGACTATTTTTGCATTTAGGAGCTTTGAGAAGATAAGATTATTATTTTTGCTTAGCTAGTCTGAGCCACCTGAAGAGACAGATCAAGAGTTGTGTTGTCTGGCGGTATAGACTGCTGGAGCAGTAAGAATGTGAAATGCACCTATGGAATTGGAAGGCACATGGGATAGATAGTGACTGTAAGAGATTCTGTTTCTAAATATGTAGGAAATAATTTAACAGATCAGAATTTGTGGTATACAAGTTAGAACAAAGACTAAAGTCTTTTTAAAAGATGAAAGAAAGCCTCAACTGAAAATTATTCTATTCCTGCAAGTAGCCATGGTGGTGTCAGAGTTTAATAAAGGGTTATACTCTGCAACACGCTCCCTCTTAAATAATGTTGCCTCCCAGCTTGTTGCAGTTAGGAATGTGTTCTCAGATCCAAGAAATTCTAGATATTCTCCTTGAACATATAGCTACTTGAGTCATACATTTATTGTCTTTATGTTGACATAAAACAATTTGTTTATTGGCAACATACATTGTGAGATCCACTAGATAAATTAAGGGATTTTTTAGGAGCAGGCTCAACAATAAGGCAGGCTGGGATTACAGTAAGGTGTGCCTGAAAGAAGCAGGAAGCCACCCAAATGGGACAGATATGAGCATAAGAAAACAGAACTGGCACATGAAAAATCTCCAGAGGACTCGAAATATTCAAACAGAATTTAAGCAACTATTATTGGTATGAGGGAGTCAGTATGTGAGACCTAATTAGAAAGTGAGGTGTCACTCAAAATTTCTTTGAACACGTCTACCTCTGTTAGGTACCAGACGCTGGGTTAGAGCTAATTGGATTATCATGTAAGCTTGGGCAGATTGTGTCCTGCCCAGCTCCATAGAGCGCAAGTCACAGTAGAGTCTACGTGAAGGACACACATTCCTGTTGTTCAGTGATAATCTATCTGCACAGTTTTACTTGCAGCTCCCCAAGAATATAAAACCAAAAATCTGTCCCTTTTTATCCAATGTTCTCTGGGCTTTCTTCAGAGAATTCACATAGCCTATCAATTGAGAAAATCCGAAATGAAGCCCAGTTGATCAGTGGCCTATGGAGTAGAACAGAAACACCCTGTAGAGGGGATGTTTCAGCTCCACCCTAGCAAAACATTCACCAGTTTTTATTCTAAAACCCACAATATGGTGATGCTGAGTTTGCTGATAAACTTCCTGCTTCTCTCCAGATGGCTCAGACGCTGGAGCAAATACTCCCAGGCTGATGGGTGAAGTTTTCTCAGTAGACACATCTGCAGGCATGATAAATTAGACAGAGACTGACAACAACCAGATCCAATTGACGTGTGGTAAGAGGTTTTTCAGTTCCGAAACCACACAGCATCCTCTCTAAACTTGCCTATGAGTTTCCTAGAAGCCTGAATCAATGCGGGATGGCCACTGCATAGTCAACGCTGGGTTTTTGCAAACCAGCATTTTGAGCTTCAGTTCAGGCCACAAGATTTTAAAAAGAGGTGATAGCACTGAATTATTTGTTTTCTTCATTGTAGTTTTTCATGTGGAGAGTTTCATTAAGATGAGGCTTATGAACAAATTGTATGACATGAGCTTTTATATCTTATTGTTCTAGATTCCACATCCCAGGGGTATTCTAGGGTACGCTCAAAATCACCATCTCTGTAGTGAAAGGGTTTTATTCTACAACAGTGCCTAGGAACTCAATTGCCAATGGATAGGGTCAACCCAGGAGAAACAGGAAAACTGTAGGAAAAGGACCAGGATCTCCACGATGGCTATAATTCACCCATAGTCAGTACTCAAACATGTCAACATCAAAGCAGCCTTCAAAGCTAAGCAGTATTATCCCTGTTTTAAGGAGGCAGTAACTAAGATTCAGAGTTTGTCAAGGTCCCTTAGTAAGTGAGCAGCGGCTCAAAGATTGAGCCCATGCACCTGACCAAAACCAAGTTCATTTGACTCCTCTGAGCTAACTCTCATTAATGGAACTGGAGTCCATCAGGCCTCTCTCCCATTCCTTCACCTTCCAGAAAAAGGCCCAGCTATAGACTAAAGAGAAAAGTTCATCCAGATAAAATGTGAGGAACATGATCAAATCAGAAATAGAAGTTATTATTATCATTAGCACCTCTCTAGATAACATGCAAAAATATCTATCCAAGCAACAATTGGAGACACTTGCAACAGGCAGTAAGTTATTGGCCCCCAGATCCAGAAGCTGAATTTTAGTTCTTTGGAGAAGAGGGAATTGTATGAGAGTGAGTAAATGCTATCATGTATAAAAGGAGTTCCAGGAAAGCTCTCCAGGCAGAAACTCAGCATCTGCGGATATATGAGTAGAAGTCTCTCCAGTAACTAGGCCACAGGGTGAGGTGAGAGTGGGACCTACTAAAGTCAGAGGACAATTGCTAGGAAGGTTGAACTTACTGCTGAACTATCTGAGCAATGGACTTTGTATTTCTGAGCCCCGACCAACCCAAGACATGATCAAAGCCCACACTTGGGTGGACCTGAAGGCCTTTGGAAGTAAAAGATTTTATAGGAACAAGGAATCAAGAAGGATGACAGAATTTGTTTCTTGAGATCTTCCCCTGGCCTTCCATATCATTTCTGTGCATTTTACGTCCCTTGTGGATAATCATCAGGCAAAGTAATATTCAGAGATGCTATGAATTACTTCCTAGAAATAGGATATTTGAAAGCTATTTTTACCTCTAGGCATAACAACCTTATATGAAAAAAAATTACAGAAAGAACTTATGGACAACTTTTGTTAGATACAGCCTTGTAGTGTGATGGGTAGCTCAGGAACATTAACTCTAGAGTTGGACAGTCTTATTCCACTAGTAGCCCTCTTCTACCTACCGCCCAGGGATGTTGGTGCAGTAATTTAAGTTTCTCCTTCTCTTAGTTTCCTCTCATACTAAATGAGATAATGATTGAGTTGTTATGAAATTAAACTAATTTTAAATGTAATTTAACATTGGAATCATAGTAAACTCAGTAAATGTAGGCTATGATGATTATTATCATTATTATAATTAGTTTGAATGCCCAAGCATAAAATATCTGTCTTTTTCCATGAATTTTAGAGTCAATGAGAAGAATATTTGGAACAGGCTTTAAAAACCAGGATGAAACTGCAGGGGCTGAAGCTCAAGCATCTCCATATATTCATACGTGTAGTTTTAAACCATTTAGAAAACTGTTGTCCTATGAAATGGTGGTGCTTTATGGATTAGCTCTTTAAATGTGGCCTTCTTCCTGTGTGCTGCAATTCGAGTTGTTATCAGCTGAAATGCACCTAGGCCAATAGATGATTTCAGTGACAGTAAGTAAAGTCACCCAATAAAATTGTTTAACTTTATATCATTAGGAAAGCATTCTTTTAGGATGATTCAAAAAAGATAAAACCTGTGGAATTCATTTCCGAACTATAAAACCATGGAACAAAGATTTTACGAAGTAAAGTACTTGGACAGCCATACAAATGACTGGCTCTTGTCTGAAAAATAGTCCTTGGTATATTTTAAAAATTAGGAATTGGTTCTGTTTGAAATACAGAAAACCAAGAGTGAATTCAAATGTCTCTCAGGATTATTTTTAGAAATGCTTACTTATTAACTTTAGAGTAAGTTCTATCAATCAAACATAAATGGATCAGGGTGGAAGTACTTAATAGGATAGTCATTATGTCCATAATTGTGAGAGGTTTCTGCACTCTGAAAACCATCTTCTTAATTATTTTAGGTTAACACTTGTGCCCATAGCAGGGGGAGGAAAGGGGGCATGTGTAATCTGAAACCCCAGATATGGTGCCTGGCCTGAATTGAGATAACACTGAAGATTTTATTGCTGATATATTATAAATTATTTCTATTACTGTGGTCCTGCGGGTATTGCATTGTCAATGCACTTTGCTTATTACCTCACTTAATGTTATTAACACACTTTGGGGTATAAAATTACAGTTTTATCATGGAAACCTTAAACACTTACATCCAAAGTACTGAATCAAGTTATTATCTTTACTGACCAGACCTATTTTATTGTCATTTTATCGCTCATAAAATCTGAGATTCAATTTGATTTAACTATTAAGTAAAGCTTGGTCTACTAGAGTTTAAACCCAGCTGTAATATTAATATATTAATATATAAGATGACTTCATTTTATTAAAGGTGAGGTAACTTTGAAAACCTCTTTTAATGTCTTTCTGCAGCTAAGAAATTTAACGTGACCTGTTTGCACTTCTATTTCACCAACATCGACAAAAATTTAAGATCACCTTCTTGCAGGATGCTGAGCGCTGACTCTAACCTGCTTCTGGCCTGCAGAAATGCCTGGGACACATTAATCAGCCACAAAATAGCACCGCTCATCAAAGTGTCAAGACAAGATGTTCAGTTTTAAAACAAAAGCACTAAGAATCCAGCATGTTAATGAAACACGATCCACGGTTAAGAAATTTGAAGCAGAAGTCTATAAGCACATCATTTCAATAGCTCCTAAAAATTATTTGTAAATGAAGATTGGGTCCCCAAATTAAGCTATCATTCAGAAAGTAAAAACTACAGATAAGGGCATGGTTATGCCAAAGTTTTTCTATAGGGACCCCTTGTAGTCTTGCATCCATGACTACATATTAGGAAGAAATTTGTTGCTAGCCTAATTTGATCGTAAAAAGCAATACATAATTATATCTTGTTATGTTAAATGCCATCTTGATATTGGTCAAAAAAGTTTTAAATTAAAAAAACAAAATATGCTATAGTCTATGTAAGAAATCATACAAGAGGAAGTTGTTTTATTAAAGTTCAGAGCTTTGCTTTTTTCAAAATGCATTACTCCTAAGTGTTAAAAATCGAGGCTCCACTACCGGGTATTATTATTACGAGAAAGTGCTGCAATTCTGTAACTCTGAGGAGGCAGGATAGAGTAGAGATTTTGGTTGGCCAAATGACTAGTATTCTGACCTTTCATTTCAGCACCTGTAAAGAAGAAATAACACCTCCCGGAGCTGCTGAGGGGTTTCATAATGAAAGCGTCTGGCACATAGAAGGTGCTCAGTAAGCAATCATTCAATAATTTTCTCTATTCCTACAGTATCATATCAGCATGAAATACGGCCCTTAGGAGATAGTGTGCCATTAGACTGCTAAACCTGGAATAATAACTAGATGGAAATGCAGCCAAAGTTGGGTATGGGGGTCCCTAATGCACAGGTTAGTGCACTTGAAGCAATGGTCTTGCTCCATGACAATCCAGGCCTTGTGGCCAGCACCCGGAAATCATCAGATACCAGAAGCTGCATCCAGTTTACAGAAATCTCCTTTCTCTGTCCATGGAGAAATCCTCATGTTACATGAGATAAAGACATTTTTTTAACACAGAATTTTGAGGAAAAAGCTTGAAACTTATCTAACAAGAGTCAGCAGGAACAACATAGATTTTCTCATAAAATAAGAAGTGGAAAATTCCTTGAAATTTAAAGAAAGCATGATGCCAGCCATATGAAGCAACTTCAATAGTGGATAAAATTGTCAAAAATTAGTTGGAGTGGATGAGCTTCATTGGAGATGGAAAAATAAAGCTAGAATAGGCTTTGGAGATCACTAAAGTTAACTCTTACCTTGATAGGCAAAAAAAAGTTTGGGGGGGGGGCGGGAACTTAACAAGCTTCAGAAATTTGCCTAAAGTCACACAGCTATTTGATGGGAAGACTGAGCCCAACACTAAGGCTTTCTAATCCTAAGTGTAGTATCTTCCCTCTGCACAGTAAATCATGGCAGCTCTCTTCGGACCTTCAACCTCCTGTTTATATGCCTATTTCCTGCAATAAACTGATTTCTCCCCTGCTGAATGACAGGTTATATGCTGAGCCCTGTGGTAAGACACCAGTGACCAAGACTTGCTCTCTATTTGTCTTGTAAGAAAAGGCAAACACAAATAATGGATTCATTTTCTTCTGTGCATTATTTGTTGTGTATGAGAGAATGTGTGATTAGAGGTATATATGTATGTATGTGTGTCTGCATATGTGTGTGTTCCTCCTCAGCTAATTCCATCATAAAATTTGAAGTTTCGAAGTTTCATTATAGGGTATTTGGGTGGGTCTTCTACCTCTTGTTCTTTCTTTCTGGAGCTGGGGAAGCTCTTTCTGTGTAAGGCCATCTTTTCTTGGAATATTCTCTCATTGTTTCAAGTACAACCTTTCTCCATCCAATTGCATCTCTATTCCTTTTGAGCTCCTTATTAAAAGACATGGAGATTTCGTGGTATGTTTACCATGTCGCTTACATTTTCCTCTACCATTTTTGTATCTCTTTGTTCTTTTGCATTGTCTTCTAGTAGATATTCGTCAGAATGACCTTTGAGCTCACTAATTTCCATTCAGCTATGCCCTTTTGCCATTTGGCCTGTTTACTTAGTGTTTTATTTTACCTGAATAATCAAATATTAAATTTCTAAGGCATATCGATGATTGTGTTTCTGTGGATTTACCATATTTCATATCTTTCTGATAATATTGACAATTATTTATATATCTATGTAAATGAAATTAATATAAATGAAATTAATATAAGTGATAATATTTATATTCTTCTAAGTGATAAAAATTGTTTATATTTTCTGAGAGTCCTATTTATATAATTAGCTCTGGTTTTTCATAGTTTCTTCCCTTTCCTTCCGTTCCATGATAATGCCTCTAGAGGTAATTTCCTTCTTTTACAAATCTGGAAAACAAGGAATGTGATCAAAGAAGGCTAACTACCTTTCTTATTCCCTTCACCTCACTCCAACCCTCCTCCAGCTTTAACAAATGTTTTCCCTTTCTTTGGTTTTAATTAATCCTTCCTTTGTGTACACACAAACACACACACACACACACACACACACACACACGCATGCACAATCCTACAATGTCTATGACATAAATACTATATAACTACCATAGATACTTTTCTCCAGTTTGCTTTTTTTTTTTCATTTAAAAAAGCATGCTGGCCAGGTGCGGTGGCTCCCGCCTGTAATCCCAACACTTTGAGAGGCCGGGCTGGGCGAATCATGAGGTCAGGAGCTCCAGACCAAACTGAACAAGATGGTGAAACCCCAACTCTACTAAAAATACAAAAATTAGCCGAGCGTGGTGGTGTGTGCCTTTAATCCCAGCTATTCAAGAGGCTGAGGCAGGAGAATCACTTGAACAAGGGAGGCAGAGGTTGCAGTGAGCCAAGATTGCGCCACTGCACTCCAGCCTAGGTGACAGAGTGAGACTCCATCCCAAAAACAAAACAAAACAAAACAAAAAAAAAGCATGCTGAAGATCAACCACATAAAACATGAAGATATTTCCCATTTTTGTTATAGCTACACAATATTCCACTGTGTAGGTATACCTTTAGGCTATTCAATCAATGCCTTAGGGTCTAAATTTGATCTCGAGTGATTTAACCTCTATGAGCCAAGCTCATGCTCAGTGCCTCATTGATGGTAGCTGCTCAATAAGTTTTGGTAAATAGATGAGGAAACCCTGACTGGAAAACTTTATCAGAATTTTAAAGGAAATAAATGTAAATACATATAAAGAACTTAGAACAATCACTAGAATATATTGAGTGCTCAATAAATGGTATCTTTTCACATTATTATTGATTTTTTTTTACTTATAATTTTTAATTAATAGCAAAAGAGTACCCAGAGTGGCTGCTGATACATTGGCATGATTATTTTTCCCATGATTGGGAAATTTCATGATTAGTTTTACAAGAGATGACTCCATTTGGCCCAAGCACTTAATTTGTTGGAAAAGGCCATACAAAGATCAGCTATGAGATTTGAAAGGCTCTTATTCTCCAAGAAGGTAATTTTGCCCCTAGGTGAGAGCTGATAGGGAATTTTAAATAACTGGGTAAACTCAAACATCTCTCTCTCTCTCCTCTCTCTCTCTCTCTCTCTCTCTCTCACACACACACACACACACACACACCCACACACAGAGCTAGATAGCGTTTCCTGATGGAAAAACATACCACCACTTATGAGATATTTTTGCCAAATGATTGAACCTGAAGCTGATCCACCTCTGATCCAACAGCCTGTTAGGAAGAAATGCAGGCATGACAGAACAAAGACGAAATTAGCAAAATTCAGAAAGTGAGAAATTTTACAGAAAAACAAATATATGAGGTTTGTCAAAAAGTGAATTACAAGGGAAAAATACATAGAGTGGAAATATACAGATCAAAAGAGACTGTACAGCTCCCCACTCGTCCCTCTAGCCCCTGAAGACCACCATTCCACGCTACTTCTATGTGTTTGACTGTGTTATACACTTTCAATAACTGGTATCATGCAGTATTTGTCCCTTTGTGATCGGCTTATTTTACTTCCTTCCTCAAGGTTCCTCGATGTTGTTGCATGATTATACAAGATTAATACATTCTAGAAATTTGATATACAACATTGGATCTATCATTAACAATACTATATCGTGCACTTAAAAAAATTTTAAGAGGGTAGATTTCATATTAAGTGTTCTTGTTCCAGCTGAAAAAAAAAAGATAGAGTTTTTTGTTTGTTTGTTTTTGTTTTTTCTGAGATGGAGACTTGCTCTGTCACCCAGGCTCGAGTGAAATGGCATGATCTTGGCTCACTGCAACCTCTGCTTCTGGGTGCAAGCGATTCTCCTGCCTCAGCCTCCCGAGTAGCTGGGATTACAGGTGCCTGCCACCACCACGCCTAGCTATTTTTTATATTTTTATTTTTAGTTTCACCATGTTTGTCAGGCTGGTCTCAAACTCCTGACCTCAGGTGATCTATCAGCCTCGGCCTCCCAAAGTGCTGGAATTACAGGCATGAGCCACCACACCCAGCAAGAGAGAGAGACTTTATAGCTGTATACCTTTTGGGGAAATACTATTTGAGTCAGCCAACTTTTACGAAGTATAAAATCAAGAAAATATGAACAATAACAGGTATTTGAGAATGGGAAGAAATTACTACTGATTTCCTTAAGTGCTGTAATAGTATTGTGTTTATATTTTTAAAGATCTTTGTCTTTTAGAAATGTATACTGAATTTGCTGGAGGGAGGTGGTATAGCTGAAGAGAAGCCTTCAGCAATTATCCTGCCGCAGGAACACCAAATTGAACCACTATCCATACAAAAAAAGTACCTTCATAAGAACCAAAAAAATCAAGTAAGCAATCACAATATCTGATTTTAACGTCATATTAAGGAAAGAGGCACTGAAGAGGGTAGGAAAGGTAGTCTTGAATCACTACAGCATTTCTCCTTCATCCCCCAGCAGGGACCATGGGGTGCAGAGAGACAACTTGTGCTCTTGGAGGAAGGAAAGTGCAGTGATTGTGGGACTTTGCATTGGAATTAAGCACTGCTTTGTCACAGCAGAAAGCAATATAGGGCAGAATTCAACCTGAGCCCATGGAGAGAGTGTTTAAACCAGCCCTAGCAAGAGGCAAATCATCCATCCTAGGTTGGAACCTGAGTTTGAATAAGCCCTGACTGACACTGTGGGTTAAAGTGGTCTGGGGTCATAAACTTGAAAGGCAGTCTAGGCTACAAGGACTTTAATTCCTGGGCAAGTTCTGGTGCTGTGCTGGGCTCAGGGCCAGTGGACATGGAGTGCACTGACCTACTGAGAGACACGAGCCAGGGCAACAAAGGGAGGGCTTGTGTCACCCCTCCGCCAAGCCCAGGCAGTGCAGCTCGCAGGTCCAGGAGAGACTCCTTCCTTCCACTTGAAGAGAGGAGAGGGAAGAATAAAGGGGACTTTGTCTTGCAACTTGGATACCCGCTCAGCCACAGTAGAACAGGTTACCAGGCAGAGTCCTGAGGCCCCCATTCAAGGCCCTAGCTGAACATTTCTAAACATACCGTGGGCCAGAAGGGAACCTACTGCCTTGAAGAGAAGAACCCAATCCTGGCAGAATTTATCATCTGCTGATTAAGGAGCAATTTGAGCCCTAAAAAATCAGCAGTGGTAGCCAGGCAGTACTTGACATGGAAATTGGGTGAGACTCAGAGCTGTGCTGGCTTCAGGTATAACCCAGAACACTCCCAGCTATGATGGCTAGAGGGGAAGACACCTTCTGTTTGAGGAAAAGAGAGGAAAGAGTAAAGGGAAATTTGTCTTGCAGCTTGAGTACCAACTTGACTACAGTGGAGTAGAACACCAAGTGGGCTCCTGGAGTCCTAGATTCCAGGCCTTAGCTCCTGGATAGCATTTCTGGACTTTCTCTGGGCCAGAGAGGAGCTCACTTCCCTGAAAAGAGAGACTCAGGACTGGCAACATTCACCACAAGCCAACTGAAGAGCCCTTGGACCTTCTGTGAACATCGATGATAGCCAGGCAGTACTTGCCATGGGCCTAAGGCAGTGGTGGCCACCGAGAGACTCCTCTGCTTGAAGAAAGGGAAGGGAAGACTGGGAAGGACTTTGTATTGCAGCTTTGGTACCAGCCAGATGCAGTACAATAGACCACCAGGTAGATTCCTAAGTTTCTCGACTCCAGGTCTTGGTTCCTGGATGGCATCCCTGGATGCACCTGGGGCTGGGAGGAACTCTCCACCATGAAAGGAAGAACACAAGCCTGGCTGGATTTGTCACCTGCTGATTGTAAAGCCCTTGGGCCTTGAGTGAATATAGGTGGTATTAAGGTGGTTGTTACTGTGTGTCTTGGGTGAGACCCAGTGCTGTGCTAGCTTTGGGTCTGACCCAGTACAGTCCCAGTGGTTGTGGCCACAGGGGTGCTTGTATCACTCCTCCCCCTGCTCTAGGTAGCTCAGCACAGAGACAGTCTCCATTTGTTTGGGGGAAAGTAAGGAAAGAGATCAAGAAGCTCCATCAGGTAATTCCTCTGGAATTCTTCTGGATCTTATAGAAGACCAACAAGATGATACCTCTGTGAGTCTGCAAGAGCCACAGCATTACTCACCTTGGGGTGCCCCCTAAAGCAGATATGGCTGTGGTGACAAAAGACAATGTCGAAGTCCTTTCAAATACCTGGAAAGCCTTCCTAAAAAGGACAGGTATCATTGCTGCTTGCAACAAATACCTAACGCTTCAATGCCTAGACATCCACGAGCGTTATGACCACCCAGAAAAACATGACTTCACCAAACAATCTAAATAAGACACCTGTGACCAATCCTCAAGAGACAGAGACATGCGAACTTTCAGACAGAATTCAAAATAGCTGTTTTGAGGAAGCTCAATGAAATATAAGGTGATGCAGAGAAGAAATTCAGAATTCTATCAGATACATTTAACAAAAAGGTTGAAATAATAAAAAAGAATCAAGAAGAAATTCTGGAACTAAAAA
The DNA here is from genome assembly GCF_000001405.40 of Homo sapiens. Taxonomy (NCBI): domain Eukaryota; kingdom Metazoa; phylum Chordata; class Mammalia; order Primates; family Hominidae; genus Homo; species Homo sapiens. The sequence goes on from NC_000015.10 coordinate 97,610,391, forward strand.
ATGCAATTGACATACTGAAGAATGCATCAGAGTCTCTTAATATCAGAATTGATCAAACAGAAGAAAATTAGTGGGCTTGAAGACAGTCTATTTGAAAATACACAGTAAGAGGAGGCAAAAGAAAAAACAATAAAAAAATGAAGCATGTCTACAAGTTCTAGAAAAGAGCCTCAGAAGGGCAAATCTAAGAGTTATTGGCCTTAAAGAGGAGGTATAAACAGATCATAGTAGAAAGTTCATTCAAATGGATAATAATGGAGAACTTTCCAAACCTAGAGAAAGATATCAATACTCAAGTAGAAGAAGGTTGTAAAACACCAAACAGATTTAACCCAAATAAGAGTACTTCAAAACATTTAACACTCAGACTCCCAAAGGTCAAGTTTAAAGAAAAGATCCAAAAAGCAGAAAGAGAAAAGAAACAAACAACATACAGTGGAGCTCAAATACAACTAGCATCAGATTTTTCAGTGGAAACCTTACAGACCAGGAAAGAGTTGTTACTGTGTGCCTTAGGTGAGACCCAGTGCTGTGCTAGCTTTGGGTCTGACCCAGCACAGTCCTGGTGGTGGTGGCCACTGGGGTGCTTGTATCACTCCTCCCCCGGCTCCAGGTAGCTCAGGAGAGAGAGAGAGTCTCCGTTTGTTTTGGGGAAAGTAACGAAAGAGATCAAGAGGCTCCATCAGGTAATTCTTCTGTAATTCCGGCATGACATATTTAAGGGCTGAAGAAGAAAAACTTATATTCTAGAATAGTATATCTAGTGAAGATATTCTTCAAACATGGAGCTTTACAGACAAACAAAAGCTGAGCAATTTCATCAGCACCAGACCTGTGCTATAACAAATGCTAAAGAGAGTTCTTCAATCTGATAGAAATGGAAGTAAATGATCATCTGAAGGTACAAAACTCACTGGTAATAGTAAATACACAGAAAAACACAGAATATTATAAAACCGTACCTGTGGTGTGTAAACTATTCATATCTTGAGTAGAAAGACTAAAATATAAAATTATCAAAAATAATAACAATGGCAACTAATAAAGCTATTGTATAACATATGAATAGAAACAACAAAAATTTAAAAAGTGGGTGGATAAAGTTAAAGTGTACAGTTGTTGTTAGTTTTCTCTTGGTTTCTTTGTTGGTTGGTTTGTTTATACAATGTGTTAAGTTGTAATCAGTTTAAAATAATAAGTTATGTGATATTATTTTCAAGCCTCATGGCAATCTGAAAAAAAATACAATAGATACACAAAAAATAAAAAAGAAATTAAAACTTACCACCTGAGAAAATCACCTTCACTGAAAGAAAGACAGAAAGGAAGAAAATAAGGAAAAGAAGGCCACAAAACACCAGAAAACAGATAACAAAATGGCAGGGTAAGGCCTTACTTATCAATACTGACATGGAGTGTAAATGAACTAAACTCTGCAATCAAAAGACAGAGTGGCAGAATGGATGAAAAACAAAACAAAACAAAATAAGACACAATGATCCTGTTGCTTACAAGAAACACACTTAACCTATAAAGACACACACAAAGTAAAAATAAAAGAATGGAAAAAGATATTCCTTGCAAGTGGAAACCAGAAGAGAGCAGGAAGCTGTACTTACATCAAACAAAATAGATTTCAAGACAAAAACTATAAAAAGAGAAACAGAAGGTTATTATATAATGATAAAGGGGTCAATTCAGCAAGGAAATATAACAAATGTAAATACAAATATAGCCAACACTGGAACACCCAGATATATATATCTATATATAAATAAAGCAAATAATATTAGAGCTAAAGAGAGAGATCAACCACAATACAATAATAGCGGAAGACTCCAACACCTCACTTTCAGCACTGGACAGATCATCTAAACAAAATATCAACAAAGAAACATTGGACTTAATCTGCACTATAGACCAAATGGACTTAATAGCTATTTACAGAAGAATTCCTCTAACAGCTGTAGAATACGCATTCTTTCTCTTCGGCACATAGGTCATTTTCAAGGATAGAACATATGTGAGGACGAAAAATCAAGTCTTAGAATATTCAAAAGAATTGAAATAATAAGTATCTTCTCTGACAATAATGAAATAAAACTAAAAATCAATGATTGGAGGAATTTGGGAAACTATACAAATACATGAAAATTAAACAATATGCTTCTGAATGACCAGTGGGTCAATGAAGAGATTAAGAAGAAAATTAAAAATTTTCTTGAAACAAACAACAATGAAAACAAAATATAGAAATCCTATGGGATACAGTGAATGCAGTACTAAAAGGAAAGTTTATAGTCATAAGTGCCTAAATCAAAAAATGGAAAAACTTCAAATAAGCCATGAAATGATGCATCTTAAAAAAGTAAAAAAGTAATATCAATCTAAAGTCAAAGTTAGTAGAATAAAATGAGATCAGAGTAGAAGTAAATGGAATTGAAATGAAAATAATACAAAAGATCAATGAAACAAAAAGCTGCATTAAAAAAAAAAAAACTGACAAACCGTTAGCCAGACTAAGAAAAAAAAACAAAGAAGACTAGATAGCCAAAATCAGAGATGAAAAAGGAGACATAATTGAGGTCGGGTGCGGTGGCTCACGCCTGTAATCCCAGCACTTTGGGAGGCCGAGGCTGGTGGATCACCAGGTCAGGTGATCGAGACCATCTTGGCTAACACGGTGAAACCCCATCTCTACTAAAAATACAAAAAATTAGCCGGGCGTGGTGGTGGGTGCCTGTAGTCCCAGCGACTCGGGAGGCTGAGGCAGGAGAATGGCGTGAACCTGGGAGGAGGAGTTTTCAGTGAGCCAAGATGGTGCCACTGCACTCCAGCCTGGGCGACAGAGCGAGACTCTGTCTCAAATAAAAAAAAGAGGAGACATTACAACCAATACCTAAGAAATTCAAAGGATCATTAGAGACTACACTGAGCAACTAAATGTCAATACATTGGGAAACCTAGAAGAAATACATAAATTCCTAGACACATACAACCTACCCAGATTGAACCATAAAGAAATCCAAAACCTGAATAGACCAATAGCAAGTAAAGAGACAGAAGCCATAATAAAAAGGTTCCCAGCAAATAAAAGCCCAGGACCCAATGGCTTCACTGCAAAATTTTACTGAACATTTAAAGAGGAAGAAATAGCAATCCTACTCAGACTATTCCAAAAAATAGAGGAGGGAATATTTCCAAACTCATTCTATGTCTCCAGTATTATCTTTGCACTATAACCAGACCAAAGCACATCAATAAACTACAGGCCAATATCTCAGATGAACAGTGATGCAAAAAATCCTCAATAAAATACTAGGAAACTGAATTCAACAACACTGAAAAGATCATTCAACTTGAGCAACTGGTATTTGTCCCAGGGATGCAAGAATGTTTCAACATACACAAATCAATCAATGTGATACATTATATCAACAGAATGAAAGACAAAATCCATATGATCATTTCAATTAATGTTGAAAACTCATTTGATAAAATTCAACATCTTTTCGTGATTAAAAATCCTCAAAAAGAAAACGGGAAGAAACATACCTCAACACAATAAAAACCATATATGACAGACCCACAGCTAGTATCATTGAATGGAGGAAAACTGAATAACTTTCTTCTCAGATGCAGAACACGTCAAGGCTGCCCACTTTCACCACCATTATTCAATAGAATACTAGAAGTCCTAACCAGAGGAGTCAGACAAGAGAAAGAAATAAAGGGCATCCAAATTGGAAAGGAATAAGACAAATTATTCTTGTCTGCAGATGATCTGATCTTATTTTGGGAAAAACCTAAAAACTCCACCAAAAAACTATTAGAATTGATAAATGAATTCAGTGAAGTTAAAGCATACAAAATCAACATACAAAAATCAGTAGCATTTCTATCTGCCAACAGCAAACAATCTGAAAAAGAAGGCAAGAAAGTAATCTCATTTACAATATTGCAAATAAAATAAATTCCTAGGAATAAACTTAACCTAAGAAGTTAAAAATTTCTACAATTAAAACTATGAAACATGGATGCAAAAAAAATTGATGAGGACACAAAAATGAAAAGATATTCTATGTCCATTATTGGAAGAATCAATGTTGTTAAAATGTTCATAGTACCCAGAGCAATTTACACATTCAGTGCTATCTCTATCAAAATACCAATGACGTTCTTCACAGAAATAGAGAAAACAATTCTAAAATTCATATGGAATCATAAAAATATCCAGAATGGACTAAGCCATCCTGAGAAAAAGTAACAAACTGAAAGTATCACATTATTTGACATCAAATTATACTACAAAGTTATATTAATCAGAACAGCATGGTACTGGCATGAAAACAGAAACACAGAACAATGGAACAGAACAGAGAACCCAGAAATAAATCCCTATATCTAAAATGAACTCTCTTTTGACAAAGGTGCTTATAACATATGTTGGGGAAAAGGAAGTCTTTTCAATAAATGAGGCTGTGAAAACAAGATATTCATATACAGAACAATGAAATGAGACCCCTATCTCTCACCACATACAAAAATCAAAGCAAAATGGATTAAATATTAAATCTAAGACCTCAAACTAGGAAATTATTGCAAGAAAACATTGGGAAACTCTCCAGGACATTGGTCTGGGCAAAGATTTCTTGAATAATTCCCCACAAGCACAGGCAACCAAAGCAAAAATGCAACTGTAGTATCACTTCAAGTAAAAGGTTTCTGCACAGCAAAGGAAACAACAAACCCAAGAGACAACCCACAGAATGGGAGAAAATATTTGCCAACTATTTATCTAACAAGGAATTAATAACCAGAATATAACTATAATTGCTCTTTCTCTTCCTTCCTTTTTTTCTTTCCTTCTCCTTCCTTCCTTTTTTTTCTTTCCTTCTCCTTCCTTCCTTCCTTTCTCTCTCTCTTTCTTTCTTCCTTTCCTCTTCCTTCCTTCCTTCTTTCCTCCCTCCCTCCCTTCCTTCTTTCCTTTCTTCCTTCCTTCCTTTTCCTTTCTTTCTCTTCTCGTCTTCTCTCCTCTTCTCTTCTCCTCTCCTCTCCTCTCCTCTCCCCTCCTCTTTTTCTTTTTTTGAGACATGGTCTCCCCTTATCTTCCAGGTTGGAGTTCAGTGGCATGATCATAGGTCACTGTACCCTGGAACTCCTGGGCTCAAGCAATCTTTGCACCTCAGCCTCCCCTGTAGGTGCAAGTACAGGCACACCCCACAAAGCCTAACTAATTTTTAAAATTTTTTTATAGAGATGGGAGGTCTCACTATATTTTCCAGGCTTGTCTTGAACTTCTGGCCTCAAGTAATCCTCCTGCCTTGGCCTCCCAAAGTGCTGGGATTACAGCCATGAGCCACCATACTTGTCCTCTATTTCTGTTATTTCCAAATTCACTCTACTGCTTTGAAAGAGAATAGGACAAAATAAAGTTTATAAATGAAATATACGTATATTACATAATATATATAATTTTCAAATATATACATATATTTGAAAGGTACAAAATATAATAGAGGAGTTTTGCTGAAAAACATCTATTTACCTCTAGTTAGTACAGGGATATTTTAAGTGATCATTATTCTTAATGATCATATACTTCCCAGGCAAGGATGGCAGTAAATACATGGAAGACATAGAGCTATAAAACTAAAGATATAGGCCGGGTGTGGTGGCTCGCGCCTGTAATCCCAGCACTTTGGGAGGCCAAGGCAGGCAGATCACAAGCCCAGGAATTCAAGACCAGCCTGGCCAACATAGTGAAAACCCATCTCTACTAAAAATACAAAAAATTAGCCAGGCATGGTGGCCGGCGCCTGTAATCCCAGCTACTTGGAAGGCTGAGGCAGGAGAATCGCTTGACTATGGGAGGCAGAGTTTGCAGTGAGTGGAGATCGCACCACTGTACTCCAGCCTGGCGACAGTGTGAGACAAAAAACAAACAAACAAACAAACAAACAAAACTAAAGATATACACATATTATGAAGAAATAAAACAACAGTGTAGTGGAAAGAAAGCTGTATTAGTCAGGAGAAGGTATAGGTTATTCTTCAGAAACCCACAATCCCTAAAATGTGCTTTACCACAACAAAGGTTTATTTCTCACTCACAGCCCACAGCATGATCAGGAAACCTAAGTTCTAGCCCCCAAAACATCAATAAGCCATTTGTCCATAAAATACTCATAAGAGCTGGGCGTGGTGGCACATGCTTGTAATCTCAGCTACTCAGGAGGCTAAAGCAGGAGGATTGTGTATACCCAGGAGATTAAGACCAGCGTGAGCAACATAGTGAGACCCCATCTCAAAAAAAAAAAAAAAGCTTATGGGCACAAGATTTGTTCTGAGGATACAGTTATATTTGGTCTTCAAGAGCCTTGAAACAGAAAGAAAACTTTAAAATGCATAGGAGGTATTTTTAAATGGCTGGAAGAAAGGCTGAGAAACCCAGAGTAATATCAATGGCTGTGATGACAAAGACGGGGCAGATGGTGTAGGATGAGCTTTTGCAGTCTCTTCTCTAATCTCTCAAAATAGGTGTGTTTATTACATGCAAGACCACAAGGTATAGAAAGAAACATAAGATATAATTCCTGTTCTCAATGAGAAGACAACCTGGTCGCAAAAAGATAGCAAGTGTAGAATATATTATGCTATTTTTCCTATTAGTTTATTTGAAGTTTTAGCTTATTTGATTTGTTCAGCTAAAGGATAGAATAGACCAGGTCACATATATTGCAACCAAAATATTTCAGTAGCATCCTCAAGACTAGGAAGAGATTCACATCACTGTGGAATATGCAGGAAATATCCCTGCAGATTTTAAAATATATTGTCGGATAAAACTATGCCAGGTCAAAGGAATAAGTCTCTCCATTCATGAAGGTAGCAATTTTCTACTTAGGATTTTACAGGTCTAGATGAGGAGGCAAAGGCTTGAAGATGGGAGAAAATTCCTATACCCTCCATTTCAAAGACTCTGAAAGGCTGGGTAATAAGAAGATACTCATTGAATGGGTTCATTCATTCAGCAAAGACCCTTCCAATACTTCTTGTATGCCAGACTTGATGCCAGGAGCTGGATCTGTGGGGTTTAGCTCTTGAATTTAGTCTGTTCTCTGAGTGGTTCATTACTGCAGGGTGGCCCTGTGTGCATGAAGTGACAACTCTCCATCCATTGCATGCTGGGAGACTTTACTTTTGTTACCTAGGATCTGCTCAGTTATACTGGGGAAACTGAAGAAACATAGCTGATTCAGTTAGTCACAAAATGCCAACAAGATTCTTAACTCTAGGCCCGGTGCAGTGGCTCACGCCTGTAATCCCCGCACTTTAGGAGGCTGAGGCGGGCAGATCACTTGAGGTCAGGAGTTCGAGACTAGCCTGGCCAACGTGGTAAAACCTCATCTATACTAAAAATACAAAAATTAGCCAGGCAGGCTACAGGCTCACACCTGTAGTCCCAGCTACTTCGGAGGCTGAGGCACAAGAATCACTTAAACCTGGGAGGCAGAGGTTGCAGTGAGCTGAGATCACTCCACTGCACTCCAGCCTGGGTAACAGAGGGAGACTTGGTTTAAAAAAAAAAAATTCTTAACTTTTGGATTCTCTTTGTCCTAGCAGTCTCATCTGACTCATGAGAATCTTAACTAGTTTCAGATAAAGATGAGCTATCAACCACAGGTAGATTTAATAGAAAAAATGGTGCTGCTTTCAAGCCCCTATTAGATTAACAGTGTTAACAGAGGTACTTTATAAGAGTCCTAGCAATGGGATAAGTATATTAAAGTTACCAGTCCTGCACCAACACACACACAAAACCCCCTTAGCAACAGAGATGACAGCTTGGTAATAGCAGCTGCTGCTTAATTGAAAACATTAGAAAAATATTACATTATATCTGTATTCCTTGTTTTTATGTTTATTTTCATCACGAGTGAGAAAATAACCCAGGAAGAATACAAAGGAAACATGAAACAAAGGTTCAAGACTAACAATGGTAATGGGTGAACTGTTGCTTGATATTTAGTTTCTGGGGACTCATTCCACATGTCCTGCAAATGAGCAGTCTTTTTTGGTGTGCCAAGGTCCAGAATTTCTCTCATAATGTTGAATTTAGTTCCTAATAAACCTTTTACATTTGATTAACTCAGAGGAGAAATGGCATACATAGGTGTCTTTGTGTACATCTGTGTTTGTGTGTTGAGGAAGTGGTGTTCAGATTTTGAAGTGCCTCTTCACATACAGAGATAAATGTGGGGCACATCATTATACTAATGTAAAGCTAGGAGTGCATGTTTTTGAACAATGACATGAGTCCAGCCTTAATAAAGTGACCCATTTACATCAAAGCCAACATCAATGTACAGAGCACGATTAGGAGAGAGATAGCAAGGAAAGAGGAGTATACCTGCAGTTTTATGCAAGCAGACTAAATTAAACAATGAACGCACGTGGACGCATTTGTGTCTTGAAATGTGAATCAGGAAGCAACCTTGGAATTTGCTGGGGCCCCCCATTTATTCAGACAGGATACTCAAAACTTTATATGGGTAGCTTAGAAAGCCAGAAAAAGGCAGGAGATTATGTTTATTTCAGGGCAATGATTTTTTTTCCCTAAACTCATGCCAAAAGTAATAGTACTAATGAATTTCATGGGCCCAAAACATTACTTGGCATGTAGTCAGGATCCATCTGGCCATTGGAAACCAGGCAGCCCCATATGCAAACACAATTTTCAAATGTGGGCAATGCACTGAAGGCTGTTTCTTCAAAGTAAATATCTAATGTTCTGTTTGATAGCAGTGAACTCACAAAAGAAACATGCTGCAGACTCATATGTCCAGAATCTCTATCCTGCAATTACAACTACTATGTTTTTTGCAATAGAATTTGAGCGCTTTTCAAGATTAACTAAATCCTATGAAAGAAAAAAATGCTATTCTGTAAGCTTCCTGAGGTCAAAAACTGTCTTATTTATTCTTATGTCTCCTATTACACATAGTGAGAAGTCTTGTTTTTTTTTTTTGTTTTTTTAGTTTTTTTCTTGAGACGGAGTCTCACATTGTCACTCAGGCTGGAGTGCAGTGGTGCAATCTCCGCTCTCTGCAACCTCCACCGTCCGGGTTCAAGCAATTCTCCTGCCTCAGCCTCCCGAGTAGCTGGGATTACAGGCACCTGCCACCATGCCCGGCTAATTTTTTGTATTTTTAGCAGAGACAGGGTTTGTATTTTCAGTAGAGACGGTGAACTCCTGACCTTGTGATGTGCCCGCCTCGGCCTCCCAAAGTGCTGAGATTACAGGCGTGAGCCACTGCTCCTGGCCGAGAAGGCTTTCATGTAGTAGACACACTACTAATAAACATGGCCATGAATCAAAAGTGAAATTGATATGCTACTGAAAGATTCAATGGAATGGCAGCTAAGGTTTTTTGGATTAATCAGAAATTCCAGTGTATTTTTAGTTGATTCATTTATTTCTTGGTTCAACTAATATGTAACAAGCATCTACTCTGGGTCAACCAAAGTGCTAGGCACAGGACTGAGATTTTTTACCCAACTCTTACATTGTTCTCTTGGATGACAGAGGTGGGAAAGATATTCTTCCCATGTCAATGACTCCAGTTCTTTGACTTACTAGTCAATAAACAAGTTTGTTATTACATAAATATTTTAGGTAAATTTGATTAATGTTGACAAACAGCATTTGAAAGAAATAATGCATCTGTATTATATTTGAGGCTTTACTGCCTTCACTCCTTGAGTCTGTGAAGACAGTAGAGACAGAAATACTTTTCTCAATATTCACTAGCAAGCCATGCAAAATTATTATAGTAGTCTCACCCTCTTAAATCATCTTAGAAATAGCAAGTGTCAATAAAGTAGATATATTAATAACCTGCTAATGAGATTATAGCGCTTTATGCACTCACTAATGTTGTCATATGTATCTTTATAAGGTGCTTTATAAATAAGAAAATACCTTGTTTTGATTTGAAAGAGATGTTTTCCTCCTCATTTGGCTTTTCAAGTTGAAGAAACGTGCCCCGGTTTTAAAAAGTAAATTAAATAACTTCCAAGAATACTGAACAACAGGATTACAAAATGACTAATTAAAAGTCACCAATGAAAGCAGTGGATACGTATGAATTAGGCTGATGATAACTCAAGGGTATATTCAAGTCGTGTTTAATATTTGGCTCATTGGTGGTGGAAATTAGTCGCTGAGTTCATACATAACCTTTCTGTGATACAAAGATAATAATTATATAGGAAATCTCATAATCAAATGGGAAGACATAAAAACTTAAAAAATAATCTCTTCAATGGGTTTATTATTGATTTACTATAGAGGTAGAAGTTTGCTCCACCCTTTTTCAGGATCTATTAGTGCTTCCAAGTCAGGAAAATAAATGGAGATTAAATATTTTAAGTATACAAACTTCTATCGGAAATCCAAATCGATAATGTAAAAAACTCAACTGAATCTTTGGAAAATGCTTTAAAAGATACATTAATGCAAGTTTTATTAAGGAATTGATTAACAAAAATTATTAAGTATAGCTCTTGTAGATTTCTGGTGTTAGAGTTGGAAATATTTCAGAAGCTATCTATGTCTAAAATAGTCCCTCGTTATCAATGCAGGACTCTTTTCTGGTACTCTTTGAGTCTGTGAAGAACATACAGATAAAAATACGTTTCTCAATGTTCACTAACAACCCATGCAAAATTATCATTGTGCTCTCACTTTTGATCATATATGTCCAGTAACCAAAAATAACTATCAATAGCTCAGCTGTAGTACATTCAAAACAAATTATATTTATGTCTTGCATTATTTGGGGTTTAGCTAGAGCTTGTATTCTAGAGCCATCAAAAGTCTCAAGCACAAAATCCTGAAGAGGTCAAATTATACAGGTTTTAGAAAGCCTTACTTTCGTTTAAAATAAAAAACTTCATATCTACACAAGGTTCGCAATTGCTAGAGCTCTAGGTTGCTGTACTGTGCTGAATTTGCCCAGTAATGATGGCCAATTACCCAAAAGAAAATGAGAAACAAGCCACGTTGAGAATTGTGAAAACAGGTGTGGTCAGGAGAACCAGGTTAGGTGCCCACCACTAGCCAGAAAAATACTCGCTTGCCTTTGGAGAAAAGTTTTGTTAATGTCTCTCAAGTCAAGTGTAAATATCTGCAAAATGGGAATTATAACGTTTAATTTTCTTGCAGAGTGATTGTGAAGAATACATGAGATAAAATTTGTAAAAATGCTTAGAATTGTTCAGTGATTGGTACAGGATCAAAATTCCAAAATCTGCCAGTGAATGTAACTGAATAGTTGGGGTCTCATTTTTGCTGTATCTGTTATAGATAGCATTAAAAGAGAAAAAATAATCTTTTATTATGGAAATGTTAATTGAATGTGATAAAACATCTCTTTAACCAAGGAGATATGTGAAAATTAATTAAATTTGACAACTTTTCTTCTCTAGTTATGTTCACAATTTTTATTCATGTAGCATGGTTAAATTGTATTTCTGAGATGGAATGAGAGACCCTCTAAGTTTCTATCAATTGCTCACTCTAAATCCATCATTGTCCAATGTGTCAAAAAGTGTAACTAAAATACAGTGCATCTCATAAAATAAATATATAATTATGTATCATAAATATTGTAAAATTTTTAAAAGAACAAATTTTAAAATGTATATTGTAAGACTTACATGAGCTTATAAAACTTAGATGCCAATCACATTATATAAGTACTATAAATCTTATGTAGTACATAAAAATTCTAATGGAAATTCAAGCCAACAGCATGTATGTCATATTGTCATGTCATATTACCGTATAGGATAGTGTAGTATAGTATTATATTACATTACATTAATCACATTGATTTCGGGATAGCTTTGCAATGAAAATCAGAAATGCTAAGGCATACTGTCCGTACACTGAGCAAAACTGCATTTTTGTTTCTAGGATACATTTTCATATCACCTAGAGAGATAATTTATTCATTGAATGCTAGATTTAAAATAATTTTCAGTTGATACTAGATTGAAAAATTGAAAAAAAATGCAGCAAAATAAGGTTGTTAAGGGTTTTACATGTAAGATTATATTATTTATGGGTATTAAAAATCTACCAAGATTTTACCTTAAATAAGAATTTCCCTTAATCTTACTGATTAAAATTTCTTCCATCCAAATTTATAAAAATAATCCTACATTAGGGTATTAAATCTCTTTCAGATAAATTATGCATGAGAAATCTGATCAGATACATTAGGAACTGAGAATGTTGATTATCCTATAATCTCTACATATTCATTTCTAATAAGGGGTAATTCCATTTAATGTAGTGATCCTTTTCCAGTTGGAGATTTGAATTTGATATCTCAGTGCTTATATTAATTCCAACATTTATGTGCAAGCATATTGATTCATTTGTGCAGTGGCGGTATTGGCTGCTTCAGGGGGCTCTTACATCAATCCTTTAAAAAAAACAGGCTATGGAAATGATAATGGATATTGTTACTAACTTTGTCATTTAAACATTGCTGTTTCCATTGCTGTTGGACGTTAGAGCCAAGGGCATTTTAAAAGGCCATATCCATTTCTGTAAGCATATTAACATTGTGAGATCCCTCCTGGAAATTTTAGAGGATTGTGTGTTAAGAGGAGGTTAAACTCATTTGAAAAGCTATGACAAACTTTTGGTTGGTTGTTAATCACTGTGATTTTAGCAAGTTGAATAAAAGTATTTTTTGCAGTAGGCTCATAACACCTCTGACAAATTTGCTGTCTTTAGCATTTTAGAACTATGACTCAGGCCTTCCCAGAAAAGGTGGGAAGGAAGGGATGGAAGTGGGGATGTGAGGAGGCTGGGACTTAAGGGGAGCAGAAGAGAAGAGGCAGGCACCAGGAGGAAGAAGCATCCCTTTGCTAATCACCCATCACAAGCAATGAAATTCCTCAGGCTAGGAGTCAGCCAGGTGCATTTCAAAGAGAAGTGTTGGAGGGAGAAAGTGTCACTCAGGCAGATATTTATGAAAGATGACAGTCTGCAAATATCTCAATCTTGGACAAGGCTGTGCCAGTGACATAAAGGAGTGCAGCAAAATTGGACGAGTCAGCAGCCAACATTTATTTCATCAAGACCTGTCCAATCTCCACTGATGGTTTGATAGTCTGGGGAGAGCAGGCATCAGTGGGGCTCATTCTGCCGGTTACTCTCAGTCACTTTGCATGGATCCGTCCAAAATGTTCTAATAAATATGTAAAGAAGGATAAAAAGAAGAATTTAGAAAAGCTCTGTTTGCAGAACTAGCACACGATTGAATTGCCTTTTTAGCTATGCCAAAGAGGAGGCTTAGTAATTACAGAAATATTGATTGCTGCTCCTGCCAGTTGACAGGAAGACAGGCCTGTGTCCTGCCAGTGTGGAGACCTTCACCCCAGTACAAACGCCCTGCAGGTCCAGGGACTTAAGAGGGGATCCCCTGAGATGCTCTGCCCCATGACAGCAGCCTCACTGCCTCTGATATACTGAGCCTAGTGAGCTTTGTTAGACATAGAAGTCTGTATTTCTTCCCCAAGGGGTAAAATACTAGACACACTGGCCTGAACAAATGCTAAAATAAATACCGGGGGTAGAGATCTTCCATACTATTTCTATCAAGCTGGAATTCAGCAGAGACATCAGAAAGAAATAGGCTTTTGGGGACAAGCAGGCTGTTTTTGACATTACAGTATATCAGAGGTCACTACCTGGCCAAACTCAACTAGCAGGTGTGTTTAGTTTGTTATTCAAAATTCTTTTCATGCACATATTTTATAAGTCATCATTAAAAAAGGAGATTTTTTTAAAATCATCATTAAAACAGGAGATTTTAGGTTCAAATCTTAATTTTAGGCTTCCTTGGGAGAAAAAAAACTAATAAGACAACATTGGGCGCATAATATTTTGGCCACAACTTGGAAGAACTGAAAAACGGCTGCTGTCTTTAAAAGATGTGTCATTCCCCACTCGCTCTATTTCTCCTGAAAATCAATGCTGAGGATCAGTTGTCCTTTACCATGAAAATCGTATCTTTTCTCATTTACTCTAGGTTTTATTTCACTTACTTATATTACCCATGTGTTAAGCATTTGAGTTTTGACCACAGAAAACAAACACACTAGCTCTGTTATTTGGATAAGTTGCAATCCCTCAGGTTCCTGATCTTTGAAATAAGATTAAGGCTGATTGTTTCATATGGTTGTTCATGAAGATTAGAGATATAGATTGGAAAAGCTCAGGACAGTGTTGGGCAGATACCAGACATTAAATAAATGCTAGTTTCATTCATTCTTCCCCTCTACTCCCCAGTCTTCTTAGAAGGACTCATCGGTAATTAAAAGAGAAAAAATATTATTTCATTTTGAGAGCTAAGTGTAGATAAGCAGTCTGCTTACCTAGATGTGGTATTTTAAAAGCTGTCCATACATTTTTGTGAGTCTTCAATCATCATAGCATTTCGTAAGCATCAGGCTATCACAGCAGTTCTCAGATTTGAGGGTCAATCAGAATCACCTGGAGGCCTCATTACAGCACAAAAACATTCCCAGAGTTTCTTATCCAGTAGATCCAAGGTGGGGCCCTGAGAATGTGTGTGTCTAATGGGTTTCCAGGTAAGTCTGATGCTTTGAGAAGCACCTGCTACTTAATTAGGGCTGGAATTCTAAAAGCTGGAAAAGAAGGCATGTGTTATACCCATTGCCTGCAGCAAAGACAAGTGAGGGACAATTCTTTTGTTGTTTGTTTGTTCTTAACAATTGTAACAAAGTCAAATTATTTGATCTCAGGAGTTTTTCTTTCTAAGCAATAGAATGGTTAAAGATCATGAAATGAGATAATGTAAATTAGATACATGTAAATCTAGGGAGCGTGACCACTACAACCAGAGATTTTGAGTTCTTCTAAGTTAATGGCATGATAATCAACATCCTCAAGAAGGAGCACAGTAGGGACACACGCTCTTAAATGCCAGCTGATGTGTTATTCTTATTATTATCAGTATTCATTATTTTGGTTGAAATGGTCATTAGTTTCTCCCTATAGGTAACCCTATAATTGTTAGCATTAGCCACCTGAGCTGTGTTTAGGGGAGATTCCAGTGTGTTTAGTTATTCAGGTAACTGTGTCACAACAGCACATTTCTAAGGATGCCAGACTTCTCTGTGTATTCCTCCTAGCAAAGTCAGCTGCAGATGGAGGTAGGTTAACTTTACAGAATACACAAAGCCCTGCTTCTACTTAGACTTTCTGCCATTCTATCAAAATAAAAGGTGAATTCAATTAAATGCCATTTTCTTCCTTCATTTATACTTTGCATTTCTCAGAATATTGAAAAATTAAAAATAAATGTGCTGTAATGCAGTTCTCGTTTCAGTCACGCCAAATTCAGTTTCATGTTTCCACCGTTTTGAACAATTTGGGGTCATCCCTGAATGCATGAAATCAAGCAAGTGTGCTGTGAGAGTTCTTACCCACTGGGAGCTAGCAGACAGTTGCACAGACTCATGCAGAGGCAAGTGTTCTATCACCCCACATCTCAGCAATTTGGGGTGAAGACGAATCTGGGCCACTTTTTAATTATTATTTTAAAATTTTGCTTTCCATCTTTTCACCTTTTAGCATAACTCCTCCTCTTCTGTGGAGTAAATGTGGCCCCTGGGGCCTCTAGGCTACTTCATGTTAGGGACAATATTAAAATATGCATATAACTGATCATATTTTCCAGAAGAAATACAGTTATTTGGCAAAATTTGTTTAATTGGGGCACAGGAGGAGGCCATTGCTTGGGACTGAGCTCCTGCACTAGGCCCCAACAGACCAAACCAAAATGAAGTCACTCATGCTAAATGCCACATGATCAAACTGAAGCTTTAAGGAAGTAGATGGATCCCCAAACAGAATAGTTTTCTTGAAAACAGGAGACTCCAGTCTACCTGAGTCCAAGTATTAAGAAAGTTCTCTCTGCTTTAACCCTTACAAAAAAAAAAAAAAAGTAATTTGATGTTAACCAATCAGCTTTTTTTTCTATTATTCTGTTTCCTTGCTCCCCGCTTACAGACCTCACTGTTCTGCCACTGCCCCGTGAGAGGTCTCATTCTATTTTGTAGAATGGAGTCTGTCCTGAATCATAAATTCTGCATAAAAGCCATTTAGATCTAAATTTGTTGCAATTTTGTCTTTCTAGAGGGGTGAAGAAGAATCTGAGTCACTCCTTTATTATTATTATTATTATTATTATTATTATTATTATTTTGCCTTCCATCTGGTCACCCTGTAGCACAAACCCCCTTCCTCTATGGAGTAAGTGCAGCCCCTGTGGCTTCTATGCAACATCATACTTGGGACAATAGTAAAATAAATATACGTATGTCCACATTATCAAAATAGAGATGTAATTGTTTTGCAATGATTGTTTAATGCAGGGAGAGAAACTGAGATGCTCAAAAGTCTCATAAAGAATACTAAATCTTAACATTCAGAAGGCTAGAAGACTTGTGGAAGGGTCTGTAGGTGATACCTCCTCTTTTCTACTCACAAATAAAATTTAACTGAACTTTCCTCTTCCTGCTGCCCCCGCGCTCCCCACCAAGCCAAGAGTGGAGGGCAGGAAGAAGTGTTTTCCACTTACCTTTCTATCACTATCTATTATCAATACCTGAAATGTCTTCCATCTGAGACTCAGAAACAGCACACATGTCTTCACTTTACTTTCCGTGGGAAATAGCATAGTCAGATGGCCACACCTGACTGCAGGGGAGGCCGGGATATGACAATGAACTGAGCAGCCATGCGCATAGCCAGGATAACTCTTCTAGGGAAGAAGGCGAACAGGAATTTTGTAGATAGCTGGCCATCTCTTCTTGACAGATGGGTAGCCTTGAGAAGTGGGGACCTCTGGATGATCAAATTGAGGTTGGTCAAGGTTGTTAGGGGATCCCAGCCTCAACGGTAAGGCTGAGGCCAATAACTTCTCCAACCCTAAAATTATTTTATTCTCTAAGAAAAATACCAACCTAAAGTAGCCTTCCCAGAGTTTCAATATGAAGCTTTAAAAGAATTCCTTCTGCTTCCTTTCCTGATTTTTGAAACTTCTTTTACTTCTGCTACTGCCCAATTACTCTGGGATCTGGAGCCCTTGAGTACAGACCTTTCTAATGGCAAGTATACCCAACACCATTTGAAATATTTCCTACATACTAGCAGTATATAAGAATGTGAAAAATGGTGATGTGTATCACTTGAAATCTTGTTTTTATCACGTCTATATTTTGCTCAAAATAACCCCAATGGACCAGTGTTTTTAGATATAAACCAGTTTATAGATACCAGGCCAACATCTACATTCCCTCATTCAAAAAACAAGAAAAATCTGTGGTCAGCAAATTTTTCAGGATCACTCCTCATCCCTCTACAATATCAATGTTGTATTCTATTGGCCTTATACCTTTTGAAGTTGTGCTTTGTTCAGGTTATTCCTTAAGGGATAATCCAAATAACAGACTCTTGAGTGCTTCCATCATCATGGTAGCCAGGAATTACTATATTTCCTTAGTGTTTCATTTCAGTTACATTATATATGTGGGATAAACATTCGTGGAAACTCAAATTTATCAAGAAATTCATACACTTATCAACAAATTCCTAATACAGTATGGTAATTCAGAGCTCTGTATATGAACTTAGGGAGATCCGGGTTCAAAACCAAATTCCACTACTTGCTAGCTGTGTATTCTTGGACAAATAACTTAAATTTTCTTACCTTCATTTACCTTATAAATCATGGAAGACAAAAATAGTATCTATCTGATAGAGTGGCAGTAATGATCAGCTGATATTATGTATGATTCCTTGATTAATATTAAACACTTGATAAATTTGACTATTTTTACTTATTTCATGTATCATTCATTACTCTCTCCTTATGTATACTTACATATACATTCATACTGATTGTCAAAGTTGTTTGTTTCACTTTTATTTTTATCTTATTGAGTAGAGAGGGACCTTAATGTTTACTGATTCAAAATAAGCCCAATGTTAGGATCTTCTCTACAGTGCCATCCAGCCACTGCAAGCACCACCCACGAAAAGCAAACACATTTTTCCATTTTACTGTGTCAGCAGGGAAACCTTTTCATATTCAAGTCTGCCTGTTCAAGTCTTAATCCTTACCTTTGGAGCTGCCCAGGAGAACTACGGTATTGTGCCATATAGCAGTAATTAAGATATTAAATTATGATTGTGCCAATAGTTCTCTTACTGAGGCTCAATAACATTGTATCTTCGTACAATTATATTTTCCTTTTATTAATCAATTTTATTTTAAGTTCCAGGGTACACGTGCAGGATGTGCAAGTTTGACATAGGTAAATGTGTGCCATGGTGGTTTCCTACACAGATCAACCTGTATTAGTCTGTTTTCACACTGCTATAAAAACATACCCAAGACTGGGTAATTTATAAAGAAAAAAGCTTTAATTTACTCACAGTTCCACAGGGCTGGAGAGGCCTCAGGAAACTTAAAATAATGGTGGAAGGGGAAGAGGCACATCTTACATGGCAGCAAGCAAGACAGTGGCGTGCAAAGGGGGAAGACCCCCTTATAAAATCATCAGATCTCTTGATAACTCACTTATTATCATGACGACTGAAGGGGTGGCCTGCCCCTCCACACCTGTGGGTATTTCTAGTCAGGTGGGACGAGAGACTGAGAAAAGAAATAAGACACAGAGACAAAGTACAGAGAAACAACAGTGGGCCCAGGGGACCGGCGCTCAGCATACCAAGGACCTGCACTGGCACCGGTCTCTGAGTTCCCTCAGTTTTTATTGATTATTATTTTCATTATTTCAGCAAAAAGGAATGTAGTAGGAGAGCAGGGTGATAATAAGGAGAAGGTCAGCAACAAACATGTGAGCAATAGAATCTACGTCATAATTAAGTTCAAGGGAAGGTACTATGACTGGACATACACGTAAGCCAGATTTATGTTTCTCTCCACCCAAACATCTCAGTGGAGTAAAGAATAACAAGGCAGCATTGCTGCAAACATGTCTCGCCTCCCACCACAGGGTGGTTTTCCTCTCATCTCAGAATTGAACAAATGTACAATCGGGTTTTATACCGAGACATTCAGTTCCCAGGGGCAGGCAGGAGACAGTAGCCTTCCTCTATCTCAACTGCAAGAGGCTTTCCTCTTTTACTAATCCACCTCAGCACAAACCCTTTACGGGTGTCGGGCTGGGGGACGGTCAGGTCTTTCTCATCCCACGAGGCCATATTTCAGACTATCGCATGGGGAGAAACCTTGGACAAGACCCAGCTTTCAAGGGCAGAGGTCCCTGCAGCTTTCCGCAGTGCATTGTGCCCCTGGTTTACTGAGACTAGAGAATGGCAATGACTTTTACCAAGTATACTGCTTGTAAACATTTTGTTAATAAGGCACGTCCTGCACAGCCCTAGATCCCTTAAACCTTGATTTCATACAACACATGTTTTTGTGAGCTCCAGGTTGGGTCAAAGTGGTTTGGGCAAAGTGGTTGGGGCAAAGCTACAAATTAACAACATGTCAGCAAAGCAATTGTTTAAAGTACAAGTCTTTTTCAAAATGGAGTCTCTTATGTCTTTCCTTTCTACATAGACACGGTAACAGTCTGATCTCTCTTTCTTTTCCGTACAACCACAGCATGGGGGAAACCGCCCCCATGATTTAATCACCCCCTACCAGGTATCTCCCTAGACACTTGGCGATTACAGGGATTACAATTCAAGATAAGATCTGGGTGGGGACAAAAAGCCTAACCATATCACAAACCATCACCTAGGTATTAAGCCCAACATCCATTAACTATTCTTCTGATGCTCTCCCTCCCTCCATCCCCACAACAGGCCCCAGTGTGTGTTGATCCCCCTAATGTGTCCATGTGTTCTCATCATTCTGCTCTCACTTATAAGTGAGAACATGCAGTGTTTGGCTTTCTGTTCCTGTGTTAGTTTGCTGAAAGTAACGGCTTCCAGCTCCATCCATGACCCTGCAAAGAACATGATCTCATTCCTTTTATGGCTGCATAGTATTCATGGTATACATGTACTACTTTTTTTTTCTAATTCAGTCTATCATTGATTGGCATTTGGATTGATTCCATGTCTTTGCTATTGTGATTGGTGCTGTAATGAACATACGCGTACATGTATCTTTATAATGAAATGATTTATATTCCTTTGGGTAGATACCCAGGAATGGAATTGCTGGGTCAAATGGTATTTCTGCTTCTAGTTCTTTAAGGAATCACCACACTGTCTTCCACAATGTTTGAACTAATTTACATTCCCACCAACAGTGTAAAAGTGTTCCTTTTTCTCCACAATCTCACCAGCATCTGTTGTTTATTGACTTTTTAATAATTGCCATTCTGACTGGCATGTGGTGGTATCTCATTGTGGTTTTGATTTGGATTTCTCTAATGAGTAGTAATGTCGAGCTTTTTTCATATCTTTGTTGGCTGCATGAATGTCTTCTTTGGAGAAGTGTCTGTTCATCTCCTTTGCCCACTTTTTAACGGGGTCGTTTGTTTTTTTCTTGTAAATTTGTTTAAGTTCTTTGTAAACTTTGGATTTTAGACTTTTGTCAGATGGATAGATGGCACAAATGCTCTCCCATTCTGTAGGTTGTCTGTTCGCTCTGATGATCATGTCTTTTGCTGTGCAGAAGCCAAGTCATTCATCACTGTGATCACCTTCATTGGAGAAACTCAAGTTCACTGGTATTTCCTAAAGTACAAAGAACAGAACCCAGCCCAATGTATCAAACAGACACAGATTATTGCAAAATACTAGTGTATCTGTTCCATCGTTGTAAGTACTATTACTTCCAGTTTTAAGTAATTTAAGAGTTCATTAGTAAATGCAAGCCCTCATACTATATGTAGGTCTATAATTAAAGTCAAGAAAAAATCCCTAATCACCCTCATAAACCACAAGCAAGCATAGTACTTACCGCAGCAAAATCTTTCTTTATAACCCTTCTTTTTCTCCTCCCAATAATCATTTTAACAGTTCATAACCATACTTCTCCTCCCAATAATCATCTTAACACATAAGTCTCAAATTATTCTGTTATAAAATAAAATAATACTATCTACATCAAAGCACTAATGAAAATCTAAATGAAATGAGGCATGTGAAATATTTAATAGAAGGTTCTATATTTTTTACTATTATGCTTTGGTTAAACCTGTATACCTTCATTTTGTACATAGGTTTTAAACCTAAAATATATCCCCCATTATGTATCATTCTTCAAAATAGCTCTACTGAAGTCTAATTAACATGCAGTGTTAATTAACATGCAATGCTTAAGGTGAAAAATTTAATAAATTTCAACATATGTACATACCAATGAAAGCATCACCACAAATAAGATAATGAGCATATCCATCACATCCAAACGTTTTCTCTTGCCCCTTGATATGGTTTTGCTCTGTGTCCCCACCCAAATCTTTTCTTGAATTGTAATCCCCATGTGTTGAGGGAGGAGCCTGTAATCTCCATGTGTTGGGGGAGGGAGGTGATTGGATGATGGAAGTGGTTCCCCCATGCTGTTCTTATGATAGTGAGTGTGTCCTCACGAGAGCTGATGGCTTTATAAGGGGCTCTTCCCCCTTTGCATTCCCTTCTTTCTCTTGCCATATTATGAAGAAGGTGCCTGCTTCCCCTTCTGTCATGATTGTAAGTTTTCTGAGGCCTCCCCATCCATGTGGAACTGAGTCAATTAAACCTCTTTCCTTTATAAATTACCCAGTCTCAGGTATTTCTTTATAGCAGTGTGAAAACAGACTATTATACCCCCTTATGACATTCACATGTTTTCATTTATCTTAGAAAAATTTCTAAGATGAGAATGGCTGGGTTACATGGTACATCTATATGTAACATTTATTTTAAGAAATTACTGAGATATTTTTCCAAGAGATTATATCATTTCTGTATCAAAGTCCATTTTTGTAGATGAATATCAAATTGTCAGCAACATTTACTGAAATAATAATTTTCTCAATTAAATTGCTTTTTCACTTTTGTCAAGAATTAATTGACCATAAATGCACATCTATTTTGAAACTCATTATTGTGTTTCATTAATCTAATTTTGTATCATGACACCAATACCACACAGTCTTTATTACTTTAGATTTATAATCAGTCATGAAGTCAGACACTACAAGTCCTTCAACTTTGTTTTTTTTCTAAGGTTATTTTGGCCTTTACATTTCCTGTGAATTTTAGAATTGACTTGCCAATTTTCACACATAAAAAATAAATAAAGCCAGCTAGGATTTTGATTAGGACTGAACATCAATCTACAAATGCATATGGGGATAACTGACATCTTAACAATATCAAGTATTCTGAGCCATGAACATGGTATATCTCTCCACACATTTAGATATTGTTCTATTTCTCTTAGCAATATTTTGTAGTTTTCAGTATTTAGCCCTTGCACAAATTCATTATCTCTAATTTTTAAATCTGTTTATGCTTTTATAAATGGCATTGTTTTCTACATTTTAATTTGCAATTATCTTGTGTTAGTATTAACATATGAATTATAATTAATCTATAATTGATCTTATATTCTCTAACTAAATAGTTAGATGTTATAGTAGCTTTTTCCTAGATTCTATAGGAATTTCTATGTAGATACTCATATTGTCTGGGAATAAAGTGAGTTTTACTTCTTCCTTTCCAATTTGAAAACCTTTTCTCTATTTTTCTTGTCATATTGTGCAGATGAGTAGCCTTCAATCTAATATTGAATAAAAGTTGTGAGAACAAACATACCTGTCTTTTTTTTTCAAATCTTAAAGTGAAAGTATTCACTCTTTCACTGTTAAGTATAATGCCAGCTATATGTTTATTCACAGGTATACTCCATCAGACTAAGTTTATTTCTTTCTGGTTTGTTTAGAGATGATAACAGTGATGAATGTGATATTTTGCCAAATTTCTGTCATCATTGATTGAGATGTGCATCAGATTACCTTGTTAATATTGTGTATTGCATTGATTAATTAATTTTTGAAAGTTAACCAAAATTGGAAGCCTAGGAAAAACATCATTCTTTATTATCCAATTTTTTGGTGTATTTAACTTATTAAAAATATGTTTAGAATTTTTGTATCTATATTTTTGTGACTTTTTCGTTCATAGGATTTTTTTTCTTATTCTCTTTTTTTCTGTCTCTTTTTTATTTGAGACAGCTTTGTCTATATTTTGTATCAGGGATATACAATCTTCATAGAATAAGTTGAGACATATTCCCTCCTCTTTAATATTCTGGAGGCGTATATATGGAATTTGTATTATTTCTTACTTAAAAGCCATATATTTTGTCAAATTTTTGAAGCTGCCTGGGCTTGGAGTTTTCTTTGTGGGAAGTTTTTGTTTGTTTTCTTTTTGCTTTTATTAAAAATTAAATTTCCTTAACAGATATAGGGAAATTCAGGTTACATATTTCTGTTTGAGTGAACTTGGTGGTTAATGTCTTTCAAAACATTTGCCCACTTCATATAAATTGTCAAATTTATTGGCATAATGTTGTACATAATATTCTCATCATTTTTTTAAATCTCTAAACTCCATCGTGTCTGTCTACCTCTTGTATTTCTAATATTGCCAATTTGTGTCTTCTTGCTATTTTCCTCATCACTCTAGGTAGAGATTAATTAAACCTGCCTTTCATTTCTCGCATTTTTCTCTATTGTTTCCCTGTATTATTTCATTGATTTCTACTCTGATCCATATTGTTTTCTTTCTTCTGCTCCTGGGCTTTATTTACTTTTCTTTTTATAGTTTCTTAAGGTTAAACTGATATCATTAAGTTTAGACTTCTTTTATTTTGTAGCAAAGTTGTTTAGGGCTATAAGTTTTCCTCAAATGCTACTTTAGCTGCATCTCAAACATTTTTTATATCTTCTGTTTGCATTTTCATGCTGATAAAAATAAATTCTAATTTCTCTTGTAATTTTTTCTTATAGAAATGTGTTACCTAGCTCCCAAATATTTGGAGATTTTTTAAATATATCTTTCTATCATTGATTTCTGATTTAATGCCATGATGTTCAGATAATCTATCTGATATGACATAAATTATTTTAAATTTAAAGCTTGTTTTATGACCCAGAATATGGTCTGTCTCAGTGAGTGTTCCATGTACATTTCAAAAGAATGTGTATTCTGCTGTTGTTGGCTGGAAATATTTCGTAAATATTAATTTGGTCTATTTGGTTAATTATGTTATTTAAATCTTTATTACTCCTGATGTTATGGCTACTTATTCTATAAATTATTACACAGATGGTACTGAATTATCTGACAATAGTTGTAAATTTGTCTACTTTTCTTAGCAATTTTATCAGCTTTTCTTCACGTGTTTTGAAATCTGTTATTAGATACATTATGTGCTCTTGATGAATCAACAGATTTATTATTATGAATTTACCTTTTTATGCCTGAAAATATTTTTGCACTGAAATACACTTTTTCTGATATTAATATAGCCACTCCAATTTTTCTACAAAATCACAGCATGTTAGAAAAAGTTTTGTTGAGATGTAATTCATGTAGCATAAAGTTTAACATTTTAAAATATATAATTCAGTGGGTTTTAACTTATTCCTGTGTGACCCTCACCACATCTAATTTTAGAACATTTTCGTCACCCTAAAAGAAACCAGTAGCCATTGGCAGCCACTCCCTCCTCCTTCTCCTTCCACCCCTGACATCCACTAATCTCCCCACAAGAGTGTTGGTCGTTGTTCACTCTAATCCTTTCAGATGCTCTTTCCCCTGCCTTGAGTACACATTCTTCACAGATGTGTGCTAATTTTTACTCAACTGAATACTCAGAGGGAGACTTCGACAGCATAGAGTTAAGGATTACCTCTCAGGATGGCGGGACTAGATGGTCACAGCTTATAATTGCCCAACAAGCGAGGACACTGGTGCAACATGCCACCCATGCGGCACACATCCTGCCCTTTCAACCACCTAGAAGTGACAACCGCTCTTCAAAGATGTTCAGATCATCATTAAAAAAAAAAGTTCAGACAAAAAGCATTAATATGAGGCAAGAGAAACAGAAGAAAGAACAATTGTCTCCAACACATGATGTCAAGAACTTGTTAAAGATCTTGATTCAAATAATCAGCACTTTATCAAATACAAAAAAAAAATACCCTAGAATATCCAGTTTCCATGTCTCTTGGCTACAACCACCCCCATTTTGTGGTCTGGCAAATATGGAGACCTCTGCCTCACGCTTGCTCTGCATTTCTTTGCTGGTGATGGTGAATCCATCTAATAAAACGTTGCAGAGTTAAAATTAGATCTACTGATGGTGATCATCCCACTCAACCTCAGGCAGGTTTTCACTCCTTATTCACTCACCTTTTTAATTAACTACATTGGTCAATATGTAAATATCCACAAGGTTTCATGAGCCCTCATCATTTAACAATACCAGGGTAGGGTTCTTTTATCTCATCTTGTACTCCCTTTGAAACATATATCCCAAGCCCATAGGTTGAAATTTGTTAAATGACATGCAGTGGTTGGCATCCCTTACCTATTTCCACTTAATAAATCCATAACTGTGTTAATACACCTATACATTGGTCAGGAATTCAACAAATTCTAGGCTTTTGTAGCAGAAGGCTTTCTGTCTCAACTGGCTCTGAATACAACATCAGCCCATAGTCAGAGATTTTCTATGGTGTTATGGAAAGGCTGGTGTCTCTCTAAGTTATACCCATACATTACAACTATCTGGTATATCTGACCACTGTACTTTCAATCTATGTTCACCTCTAGCTCCCAATTTCTTCCAGGGAGTTCTTTTTAGAATGCCTTGTTTAAATGACAAGCTAAAGAAAAAGCATGCCTTCATGTTGAAAGTATAATAGATTAATTATTCCTATGTGTGTGATGTTGTAACACTCTAATGTGGTACTTATTCCACATTGTATAAACAATGTTAACTGGTTGATATATGTAAGACAATTGAAATGCTGATTGTATCCAAGAAGTCACCTAACAAGACCCATCTTCTGCTATTGACTTTTTCTCACATGTTAATGAAGTTCAAGCTATATTTTGGTGTATATCAAATAAAGTATCTGAGACACATGCAAATATTGGTCCCACTTATGTTGTATTGATAACTCACAGACCTTTAAAAAATAAGTAACTTTGCATTGAGTTATTTGTCATCTTGGTTCTTTTAAATGGATTTTAATTATTGCTATTATAATTCAGTCATAGACATAAAATTATATTGATTCCTGGACTTACTCGCTTATAGATTATTTGAGGTAGAAGAGACCTTATTTATATTTTTAGATGTTTGAACTTTCCAAAGAGAAAAATGAGGACCAAAGATGTTGAGTAACTTGGCCAAGATCACAAAGACAGTCAATTTAAGAGGTAGGTGTGTTTGAGCTCAAGGAACTGAAATGCAAGAAGAATATGCTTCGTTAACATATAATTTCAACCAGGTCTTTGGAAGTGCTTATAAATATGAGCCCAAAGACAAAGCCTAACACTTATTTTTTAACCATTCATTGATATTTTAAGCTGTTTAAAAAGGAAAAATATCTGTAAGTGATAATAAAGAATTGCCCTCAAATTAATATATTATATTTAAAGTTGAAGCCATCAGTTCTCTGAAACATGACTGTATTATTAGAAAGGAAGGGTGACTCATCAGGCAAAATGGTGGGAACTACAATATCTCACTATACCTGCATTCATCTTTAAGGCGTCTGTACAGCCTCTATGGAGCCAAGGAATAAAGGACATACATTCAAAGTAAAGCTGTGGCAAAATTGTTCTAATTATCAGAAAACTAAGTAATGCAAAATAAATATTGGGAATCATAATAAATATAACATTTTGAACACTGCTTCTTTTAGTTGGCATTTTTATTTGATTAACCACAAAGACTTTTGTTTTGCTGAGTGGGATCTGTAAGTTTGGAAACTGAGCTGATTTGCCTGAGCCAACAGAGGATGCTTAACATGGGAACTTTCCAAAATACTTGCATATGAAAGAGACTACAAACAAATTGACAAGCTTAATATGTACATATAGGCAGCAATATTTGGGGGTGGCAGGATGGCAGATGACAAGAAGTTAGTTTAGTTTAGTGTTTAGTTTTACTTAAATGAGATGCTACTATACCATCTTCTCTTAGACATGCTTGTCTTATTTTAAAATATGCCTTGGCTTATTTTGACATTAAAAATGTTCATAAATGCCTCATGCTTTTTAGTTGCTACAGTGTATTCCATGATACTGATGTATTATTATTGCCGAAGAAATTTGCTTTTGATTTCTTTTTTAGATTGTGTCCAAATTCTACTATTACAAAGATATATGGACGTATTTATGTAAGACAATTTCTTTGAAGTAGTATTGCTTAGTCCAACAGTACACAAATTGAGAATTTCAATACATACTGCTAAACTGTCATCAAAAAATTAACTTGTTACAATCCAATTGTCAGTTTTTCCACAATATTACCCACACTTGACATTAATCTTTCGTTTTGTTCATTCTTCTTATGGGGAAATAAAAAGAAGCTATTTTATTTTGTATTTTCCTGATTGTCAATGGGACTGAGTGTCTTCTCATGTATGTCTTAGTTATTTGTATTTCTTCTTCTGAAAATTGCATTTTATTTCCTTTCTTTCTACTTCTTTAGTGATTAATGGGAGATTTGTATATATTCAAGGTATGTTATCACATTGATTTTTTGCTTGGTTTTGAATTTGGAGGTGTCTTTTTCACGAAGAGGATGTTCAGTTATATTTAGTCAAAACAGGAAGTCTTCTTTGAGAGATTTCCAAGTTTTATGTCCTACTTAGAAAGATCTTCCTAATATAGAATAATTGTAACACTTCATAATCTTTCAAATGTAGTTATTTGGTCTATATGGAATTTATTTTACAAACATTTTGTAATGTCTAATGTTATTTATATCATAGAGATGGAAA
This sequence comes from Homo sapiens, assembly GCF_000001405.40. NCBI lineage: Eukaryota > Metazoa > Chordata > Mammalia > Primates > Hominidae > Homo > Homo sapiens. The sequence goes on from NC_000015.10 coordinate 97,638,504, forward strand.
CTGGCACAGCAGCCACTGTGAATTGTTCACCTTTCCCCACTCTTGAGATTGCAACAAAAACTAAATTTCCTATTTTATCTCATTGACAAAATTGTCCCTTCTCTTCCAACATCACCTATTTGACTATAGTTTTTCAAAATTTGTACTGCTTTCAAAATAGTACTGTATGTATTAGCACCATTTTTATTTAAGATAAATTTAAGATGCAACATTTTATTAAAATATTCTATTGGGAGCTGGATTTAAAACCAAGTACCAACAGGGTGCCGTGGCTCAGGCCTGTAATCCCAGCACTTTGGGAGGCAAAGGCGGGCGGATCGTAATGTCAGGACATGGTGAAACCCCGTCTCTACTAAAGATACAAAAAATTAGCCGGCCGTGGTAGCAGGTGCCTGTAATCCCAGCTACTCGGGAGGCTGAGGCAGGAGAATTACTTGAACCCGGGAGGCGGAGGTTGCAGTGAGCCAAGATCGCGACATTGCACTCCAGCCTGGGTGACAGGGCGAGATTCCATCTCAAAAAAAAAAAAAAAAGAAAAGCACCTTGCAGGAGTGGCTCAGCCCACGCAGGTTACTCTTTCTCAACTTTATATGCATAAAATGGTGAAATTAATAGCCCAAGCCTCATGGAAAATGTTATAAGTATAAAATGAGTGCTATATGACCACTCTTAAAGGTGCCTAGTATATAGTTAACTAACATTATTTTCATTATTATTACAATTTTCTCTCATTAAAAAACATGAAAAATATATCTCCATTTGCTTAGCTATTTAGTAATTTGTTAACATTTATTTCATATCTAGGTCCTGAACACTTTCATTAGTTTCATTTCTAGAGACTTACGTATGTAGATGTGATTGTCCTCCCATTTTCCTACTGTACGTTGGTACAATACAGAAAGGACTATTGATATGTTTATCTTGTAAAGAGCACCAAACTCTCTTCTTGCTTTTTTCTTTGTTTCTGTTGTATTAAATTTGGTTCCAATTTTATGTAGCTATCAGATAATCTACAAATATTTTTTCACTCTTTCTTTATAATATTTAAACATCATCTTTCTTTTCCTTTTCTTATTTTATTGTGTAAGGTATCCATAACAGTGCTGAGTAATAGTGGAGCTAGCAAGCATCCTTATCTAATTTCTGAATCTAGGGGCTATGCCCCATGTGTACATTAGAACATTTAAAAATATACCGTCAAATTAATGAAACAAGAAATCACATAAAACTGAAAATAAAGATTACTTTCCAATTACAAATCTAACATATCCTTATTGTGGAAGAAAGAAAGAAATAATTGTTAAAATAATTGCTACTTTTCATACTAGTCTTCAAAGACAGGTACTTTTGTGAACTCTCATCTAGTTATTATCTATACATATTGTTTTTCATATTGTTATCTCATATTCTATATATAGAATTTGAATTTTACTTTGCTCACTTTTTCTTAAAATAGAAGCATTTTTCAACTATTGAAGTAATTTTGTCAAAATTGTTATTAATTTCTGCATTTTTTCATATTAATTAGCTCAATGTCCCTATAATATTATGTTGAGGTTTGTTTTCCATATTTAATGGAATTAAACAATTATTATTATTTTTAAATGTTTTCCACAAAATGTTGTACAAAGGATTGTTTTCTTAAGATTGATTCCAGGAAGTGGAACTAGGTCAAAGAGAATAAATATTGTAAGACTTGTAACATATTTTGCTAAAGTTCTTTACAAAGGATATTTTGGATACCCATCAGTGATTCATAAGAATCCCTGTCTCATTACACATTTTCCAAATTGAAGATTTTCATTTTAATTGTCCACTTAATGAGTACAGAAATTCTATTTTTTAAAATTTGTTTTTACATGAGATGTAATATGTAACTATTCTGTTTTTTTCCAGTATGCATTTTCTAGTCTATGTTCACATTCTTTGGCTAGTTATCAGGCTTTAAAGAGGTTCATATTGATTAAATGGTATGAAAACTAAATACGTGAATTTTTGTAAAATTGGCAGCAATTTTATTTTTCACTATTCTTTTGCTTATTTATTGAAACATGATCATATTTTGCATGTTAGAAAAAATTCTCTTCAATTTTGTTTAAATATTATTAGTTTGTCCACATAAAGGTATCTACTGCTATGTAACTTATAATTGAGGAAAATTTAAAACAACCTGAACAAGCAATGATCAGAGAATTAATAGGTAAATTATGATAGTATATCTGCATTTACTGACAACAAAAAAATGTTGAAAACACTTTTAAAAGGTTGATAAAACATATTAAAAAATATATATGATATATATAAATAATATATATAAAACTAAATCCCATATTTGTTTAAAAATATGTTCTTTATCCCATATATTTTATATATTATATTTATGTATATCCTATATAATATATTTCCCATATATATTATCATGTATTACATTATATTATATATTATATATAATTATATTACATATTATATATTGTATATTATATAATATATAATTATATTACACAGTATATATTATATAATTATATATAATAATTATATATTATATGTAATAATATATTATATATAATAATTATATATAATTATATATAATATATAGTTAAATATTATATATATTTATATATAACTATAGAAATATATGTAATTATATAATATATAATTATAGAAATATATGTAATTATATAATATATATAATTATATAATATATAATATGTAATTATATAATATATATAATTATATAATATATAATATGTAATTATATAATATATATAATTATATAATATATAATATGTAATTATATATAATAATAATATTAGAAATACAATGTGAAGTATGTTCCTTCTATACCCAGTTTTTTGAGAGTTTGTATCATGAAGAGATTTATATACATACTTCAACACAATAAAAACCATATATGACAGACCCATATTGAATGGGGAAAAACTGAAAGCCTTTTCTGTAAGATCTGGAACAAGACTAGGATGCCTACTTTCACCACCATTATTCAACACAGTACTTGAGCAATCAGACAAAAGAAAGAAATAAAGGATATCTAAGTTGCAAGTGAAGAAGTCAAATTATCCTTGTCTGCAGATGATATAATCTCATATTTGGGAAAACCTAAAGACTCCACCAAAAAACTATTAGAATTGATTAAAAAAAAGTAAAGTTTCAGCATACAAAATCAACATACAAAAATTAGTAGCATTTCTATCTGACGACAGCAAACAATCTGAAAATGAAAGCAAGAAAGAAATCTCATTTACTATAGCTCCAAATAAAATAAAATACCCAAGAATAAACTTGACCAAAGAAGTGAAAGGTCTCTGTAATGAAAATTATAACATATTGATGCATGAAATTGATGAGGACACAAAAAATGGAAAGATATTCCCTGTTCATGAATTCGAAGAATCAATGTTGTTAAAATGGTCATACTACCCAAAGCAATCTACAAATTCAATGCAATTTCTATAAAAATACCAATGACCTTCTTCACAAAAATAGAAAAAACAATCCTAAAATTTATATGAAATCACAAAAGACCCAGAATAGCCAAAGCTGTCCTGAACAAAAAGAACAAAACTGGAGAAATCACATTTACTGACTTCAAATTGTACCATTAAGCCATAAAAAAGAATGAAATCCTGTCATTCGCAACAAGGATGGAGTTGATGAACATTACGTTATGTGAAATAAGCCAGGCCAGAAAGACAAACTTCACATCTTCTCACTCATTTGTGGGAATTAAAAATTAAAAGAATCGAACTCATGGAAATACTGCGTAGAATGATTGTTACCAGAGGCTGAGAAGGGTAGTGGGAAAGGAGGGTGTGGGCATGGTTAATGAGTACAGAGATACAATTAGATAGAATAAATAAGATCTAGTATTTGATAGCACAATACGGTGACTACAGTCAACAATAATTTATTATAAATTTAAAAATAAGCTAAAATGCATAATTGGAATGATTTATCGTTACGCAAAGAAATGGTAAATACTTGAGGTGATAAGATACCCCATTTACTTTGAAGTGATTATTACACATTGTATGCATAGTGTATGATACAGATAAAGATATCTCATGTACCCCATAAACATTTATACCTACTATTTACCCATAAAAATTAAAAATTAAAAAAAATTTAAAAAGAATTATACTAAGTATCCTGTTATTAAAAGGCAAGAAGAAGAAACAAAAGGAATAGAGATTGGAAAGGAAGAAATAAAACTCTTATTTGAAGATGACATAATTGTTTACACAAAAATCCTAAGAATTCTACAAAACAACAAAGTAAATTTAGAAAACTCTTAAAGGTAAATATAGAAAAATCAAATGTATTTTTGTATACTAACAAGAATTAGAAACTAAAACACATTGATTTTGTACCCTGAGACGTTGCTGAAATGCTTATCAGCTTAAGGAGAATTTGGGGTGAGACGATGGGGTTTTCTAAATATATAATAATGTCATAGGCAAACACGACAAGCATTCCTATACACCAATAATAGACAGAGAGCCAAATCATGAGTGAACTCCCATTCACAATTGCTACAAAGAGAATAAAATACCTAGGAATCCAACTTACAAGGGATGCGAAGGACCTCTTCAAGGAGAACTACAAACCACTGCTCAATGAAGTAAAAGAGGACACAAACAAATGGAAGAACATGCCATGCTCATGGATAGGAAGAATCAATATCGTGAAAATGGCCATACTGCCCAAGGTAATTTATAGATTCAATGCTATCCCCATCAAGCTATCATTGACTTTCTTCACAGAATTGGAAAAAACTACTTTAAAGTTCATATGGAACCAAAAAAGAGCCCACATTGCCAAGTCAATCCTAAGCAAATAGAACAAAGCTGGAGGCATCACACTACCTGACTTCAAACTACACTACAAGCCTACAGTAACCAAAATGACACGGTTCTGGTACCAAAACAGAGACATAGATGAATGGAACAGAACAGAGGCCTCAGAAATAACACCACACATCTACAACCATCTGATCTTTGACAAACCTGATAAAATCAAGCAATGGGGAAAGGATTCACTGTTTAATACATGGTGCTGGGAAAACTGGCTAGCCATATGTAGAAAGCTGAAACTGGATCCCTTCTTTACACCATATACAAAAATTAACTCAAGATGGATTAAAGACTTAAATGTAAGACCTAACACCATAAAAACCCTAGAAGAAAACCTAAGCAATGCCATTCTGGACATAGGCATGGGCAAAGACTTCATGACTAAAACACAAAAAGCAATGGCAGCAAAAGCCAAAACAGACAAATGGGATCTAATTAAACTAAAGAGCTTCTGCACAGAAAAAGAAACTATCATTAGAGTGACCAGGCAGCCTACAGAATGGGAGAAAATTTTTGCAATCTACCCATCTGACAAAGGGCTAATATCCAGAATCTACAAAGAACTTAAACAAATTTACAAGAGAAAAACAAACAACCCCATCAAAAAGTGGGCAAAGATTATGAACAGACACTTCTTAAAAGAAGACATTTTTGCAGTCAACAGACATATGAAAAAAAATGCTCATCATCACTGGTCATCAGAGAAATGCAAAACAAAACCACAATGAGATACCATCTCATGCTAGTTAGAATGGCAAACATTAAAAAGTCAGAAAACAACAGGTGCTAGAGAGGATGTGGAGAAATAGGAATGCTTTTATATTGTTGGTGGGAGTTTAAATTAGTTCAACCATTGTGGAAGACAGTGTGGCGATTCCTCAGGGATCTAGAACTAGAAATACCATTTGACCCAGCCTTCCCATTACTGGGTATATACCCAAAGGATTATGAATCATGCTACTGTAAAGACACACGCACATGTATGTTTATTGTGGCACTATTCACAATAGCAAAGACTTGGAACCAACCCAAATGTCCATCAATGATAGACTGGATTAAGAAAATGTGGCACTTATACACCATGGAATACTATGCAGCCATATAAAAGGATGAGTTCATGTCCTTTGCAGGGACATGGATGAAGCTGGAAACCATCATTCTAAGCAAACTATCACAAGGACAGAAAACCAAACACTGCATGTTCTCACTCATGGGTGGGAGTTGAACAATGAGAACACATGGACACAGGGTGGGAAACATCACACACCGGGGCCTATCACAGGGGTGGAAGGCTGGGGGAGGCATAGCATTAGGAGAAATATCTAATGTAAATGACGAGTTGATGGGTGCAGCAAACCAACATGGCACATGTATACCTATGTAACAAACCTGCGCATTGTGCACATGTACCCTAGAACTTAAAGTATAACAACAAAAAAAAGAAACTAAAACAAAAATTGCCATTTGCAATAACATCAAAAAACACAAAATACTTAGAAATATTTAAGAAGAGCTGTATATAATTTACACTAAAAACTACAAAATATTGTTACAAGATATGAAAGATGTCCTAAATAGATACAGAGAAATACTGGTTTCCTGAATTAAAAAACAGTGTTTCTTCCCAAATTAATCTAAATGTTCAACTTCATGCTAATTAAAAATTTACCAGGCTTTTTTTTGTAGAAAAAAAATGTTAGCACTTTGTGAAGGCAGTTTTAAAATTTGTGTGGAAGTTCAAACAAGCTCTAAGAGTAAAGAATCAAGATAGAAAATGAAGATCGAAAATTTACACTACCTGATTTCAAGACCACGTGGTATTGGAGAAAGAACAAACATACAGATAAATAGAACAAAATAAAGTTTAGAAGTAGCCTCACACATATGTTGCCAGTTGATTCTTGGCAATAAGAAATGAGAATCCTCTACAACATATCACGCCGAAACAACTAGACTTCCAAATGAAAAACAAAGTGACCCGTACATCACATGATATACAGCATTTATAAGAGATGACGCATAGATATAATGTCAAAGATGAAACCTTTTTTAAAAAAAAGTAGAAAAAATTTCTGCAACTTTGGGATAGACAAATATTTTTTAGCTTGGGCATTTAACACACAAACCATTTAAAATGATAAATATGATTGTAATGAAGTAAAAAAGTTTGCATTTTAAACAATTAAAAGCAGAGCATAGAATGATAAAAATATTTGTAATACATATATCCCGAATACATAAAGAACTCATATAATCCACCAATATAAAAAACAATATTTTAGAAGGCAAAAATTTGAACATACTCATCTTAAAAGAAATAATAATGCCAATAATCCCATTAAAAGATGCTCAACTTTATGAATCATGAGATACATCCAAATTAAAATCACCAAGTGATACCAGTACATATCCATTATAACAGTCAAAATATAGAAGACTGCCAACACCACACATTGATGAAAGATGCAACAACTGGAACTTTGGTGGAATGTAAAATGGAACATTAACCTTAAAAAACGGTTTGCAGTTTTAAAAAAATTCAACAGACACCTACTACATGACTCAGCATTCCACTTCTAAGTATCTACCTAAGGTTGGAAAGTATATGTTCACAAAGCATCGTACAGAAATGTTTATAGCAGTTTCATTTTTAAGAGCCAAGTGGAACCCCCCAAATGTCCATGAACAGGTGAATGGATAAAGTGTAGTTTACTCATATAATATGAAATTCTACTTGATCACAAAAGGAATAAACTACTGACACATAATATGACTCTGAAAATAATTATGCTGAGTCAAAGAAGTGATATATAAAAGAATAAATACGGCATGTTTCCATTTACTTTAAAGTCTACAAAATGCAAACTAATCTACATTGACATAAAGCAGATCATTCATTTACTAGGAGCAGAATGAACTTCAAAGGGGCAACAGGAAATGTACGCTGGTTTTGGAAATTATTGGCATTGTGATGGTAGCAGTGGTTTCACAGTGAATACACTTATCAAAGTACTTTGAATTGTACAATTTACATGAATGAAGTTTATTGCACATAAATTATATCTTAATAATTGATAAAAATATTCTTCTGCAGCAATACTGGGAAATATTTATTACCAGATATTAAAATATTATAAATGAACTATAAAGAAAATGGTATGTTTTGATGCCTGCATAAATGAACAGGTGGACAGAACAATTACAAAACCCAGAAAGAGTCTACAATTCCAAATAGAAATTTGGCTTATATAAAAATGACATCTGAAATATCAGTGGGAAAAAAGTCGAGCTTTTAATAAATGATGTTAGGATCATGGATCACCATATGGAATAACATAAAATTTGATCTTTCTTTCACAGTTTACAGCAGAAAACATTCCAAAATGGATCAGAGATTTTAAAAAGTAGATGAATTCTTCCATAACCTCAGAAGAGAAATGTTTTTCTAACTATAATTCAAAATCAGTAAGTTATAAGGGAAAGAATTATAAATTTGACTACAATAAAGACAATGTGTCATAGTAAAAAAAAAAAAGTAAAGTAAAAAGACAAATGTCAAATTTGGGAAAATATTTCTAATTTATACCACGGATGGAAGATTTACACCCTTAGTATACATAGACCTGTTAAAAATAGAGGCCAAAAAACCCACTAAGAACCTGATTGAAATATGAGCATGAGATATGAATTGCCAGTTCACAGAAATAGAAAACCAAGTAACCCTCAAACACGTGAAACATGCCAAGATCTCACACAAAGAGAACCATAAATGAAAACTACCCTGGAATACAATTTCTCACCTAGCAGAATGGCAAAAATCTGAAAGTTTGGCAACAGGTTCCATTGAGGGAACTGTAAAAAAAGAGGCACTTTCATAATTGGTGAGCCATATAGTTAAACTTTTAAGAGTAAAAAAGTAAATTAACACAGCCATTTTCAAAGACAGTTTGGTGTCTTTTACAAAGCTATATGTAGGCTTACCATACCTTCCAGCAATTGCACTGCTGGTTTTTTATGCAAATAAATTGGAAATGTATATCCAAAAGAAAATCTGCACATCATGTTTATAGTAACTTTATTCACAATTTCCAGTAGTTGGAAGCAACCAAGACATCCTTTCAATAGGTGAATGGATAAAGAAAAATATCCATATAGTGGAGTATTATTCAATGATAAAAAGAAATGAGCTATCAAGCATTAAAAGTGATGGAGGAAGCTTAAATACATATCACTAAATGAAAGAAGCTAGTCTGAAAAGGCTGTATGTTGTATGATTCCAGCTATTTGAAATTCTGTGAAGAGACCGTAAAAAGGTCAGTGGTTGACAGAGGTTTGGGATAAAGGAGGGAGAAATGTGTAGATGGAATACAGGGTTTGTGTGTGGGTTTTTTTTTTTTGGCAAAGGGATTATTCTATATGATACTGTAATGAAAGATACATATCATTATATATTTGTTAAAATCCATAGAATGCACAACTTAAAGATTGAACCCTAATGTAAACTATGGGATTTAGTAGACCATAATGTATCAACATTGACTCATTAATTCTGACAAATGGACCACACTATTGCAAGATGTTAATAATAGGGGAAACTGAGGGAGGGGGGATGGGGAGGAAGGGTTATAGGGGAACTTTATTTTTTGTGCAATCTTTCATAAATGTAAAACTGCTCTAAAAATAAAGTTTTAAAAAAGTAAAATAGGCTAAACAATGATACACGCTTTGGCATAAAGAAGTGAGGCTGCAGATATCTGAGGGAAGGGGAACATGATAGAAGGAGCCTTGGAAGCAGAGGCATGAGGACTCCTACAGGGTTTGAGAAAGAGCAAGATGCCAGGGTCACTGGGGTGGGTTCGCTATATGGATTACAAAACTCCAAATCCAGAAGAAAGAAGTGGCTTGCTTGAGGTCGCACAACTATCCACTTTCAGATAGGTCAGATAGAAACTCAATTGTTCTCTTGACGATGAGCAGTCTCATGTCATCCAAAGGAGGCCCTCCACTCAGTTTTGAGGCTGCAGTGTGCACTGTTTAATGGGACAGACAAGAAACCATGCAGCAGGATGTTCATAGCTGTTGTGATTCCCCACAAGTTCTCTTTATACTCTAGCATGGGTATTTGCCTTCTCCCCTCAACCTGCAGACCATGTGGTTTTACTTTATTTCTGAACCAAACTCAGGATTGAAATCCCAACCTCCTGTTATTAAACCAAAGGAGATAAATCATCTTAAACTACAAACCCCTTAGTAATAATAAAAAAAAGAGTGGTAGAAATTTTAGCTCTTGGTGGAAAATCAGAAAGCAGGGGTAATAATTGATTTCATTTACAACATGACTGGAGGCACAAGCAGATCTAAAACAAGACAGAGTTGAGAGAACAAATGTAGTCTTTTTAAAAGTTTCATCTAAATGTCTTCCCTGTATTTCAGATGTGAGTGTCAGAGGCCCTTCCCTAATTACAACAAGGCAAGTGCATCTTAGAAGAATTTGGATTGGCAAATGTCCTGATGTGTGCCAAACTTTTAAAATAGTCCTTGGGTGCAAACAGAACGCCAAAATAGGTCTGCCTGCTTGAAAATGGCATCAACCCAATTTCCATTTATATCCCAGCTCAACTAGCCTACCTAACTGCTTAGAAGAGTTATCCAGCCTCTTTTTCACTCTGGAAAATAATATTAATAGCTGTTTCCTAATAGGGGTTGAGAAAGATTAAAGCAATATGGTACATGTAAAATACCTAACACAGTGCCCGCCATAGAGTAAATGCTCATTAAACGTGAGCCTAAAAATGGACCTACTGACAATGTTTCTCTTTACTGTCATCAACAAAGTAATAATGGAAGAGGAAGAAATGCTTCCATGAAGCCAAACAAAAAGCTTTATATCATAGTTCTTCTTTATCTGTAGTTACTCTTTCCACATTTTCAGTTATCTGAGGTCAATGGTGGTCTGAAAATATTAAATAAACAATTCTAGAAATAAATAATTCACAAGTGTTAAACACTGTACCACAATGCTTAAGTCATTCACCTCACCTCAACTCATTACTTGGCATTTTGTCATCTCACATCATCACAAGAAGAAGGGTGAGTACAACACAATCAGATATTTTGAGAGAGAGAGAAAAAAAGAGAGAGACCACATTGGTAACTTGTATTACAGTATATTGTTATAATTCTGCTACTTTGTTATTAGTTTTCTTGTTACTCTCTTGCTGTGCCTAATTTATAAATTAAATTTATCATAGCTAGGTATACACAGGAAAAATCAGTATATATGGGGCTTAATGCTACCCTTTGCAGATAAGGGGGAGGCTACCGTGTAGCTTTTTGATTCTCAAATTGTGATTCTTGTATTTCTAATACTCCATAAACTGTTAATAGTTACCCCATCATCAAATATACTTGAGTAAAAATCAGTAAAAACACACAAACAAAAAAACTGGGCTTCTTTACTTTTTGAAGATTTGAAGAAGTCAGTATTGAATAAATAAAATGGAATGACATGGCTTGGCCTAAATTTCAGAAGGACAAGTCCGCCAGCATTGGGAAAGGTGGCTGGAAGGTCGGAAAAAACACAGAAAGTGAGAAAGGCCATGGGAATGGCCACAAGGCTGCGAGAAACACCAAAAATGCGGAAGAGACAGGAGGTTGTTCAGTGAAATGCCAGCGGTGTAAGAAAGGGAGAAGTCAGCTTCCATTGTCTTTGGAATGCAGTAGTAAAATCTAAGATATAGAATAAGTAAGGAAAGAAGACAATGAAGAGAAAAAGAAGGAAGAAGAGGAAGATTTGCCTTGAGTTCCTATTCTGTACCAGAAGCTATTAGATCCCCATTTTACTTTGTCCTTGTATTTCCAAAAAATAGATGTGTATTTATTATCTCCACTTTGCAAAAGAGAAAACTGAGCCTCAGAGGAATTGGTAACTTGCCTGTTCCCTTGAGCTAGTGAAGAGTGGAGCTAGCTTTCAAATCATGCCCTTTACTCTACTACAACTCTCTGCCCCTCTGTTTGCTCATGATATGGCAGCTTCATCCCAGAACGACTGGGCTAACTATGAAAAAGGCTAATACCTTTTATTGAACCATGTTAACTTCAGAGAGTCTTAGCATTAGCCTGAAATTTTGCTCTGATTACTGTCAAATGTCTTTTGAGTATGATTCCCTGCTTGGAGCAGCAGAGACTAACTCTGTTTTTTAATAGAAGTTATACCCCTGAACTGACATAACAGAAAAGGTACTGCACTCGTGTCTTGCTACTCCTGAACCTCCATTCCTGAGAATGTGTCATACAGTTCTATAGCACTCAAAAGTATCCAATAAAAGCAAGAGCTAGTTTGGAACACTGAATTTTAGTGATCAAGTTGGTAGAACAACAACAAATTTTAAAATGTGCTAGAGGTAACGTGTGCTTTGTTGGACAAAGGGCCGATGGGAGTTTCTGGCAATCTGGCCCATGGCAGATTGCCTGTTCACCTCGAACCTGTGGAATGACCTGCAATGTTGCATGAGCAACAGGTCTGACCTACTGTGTATGGTGTTTGTGAAGATCAGTTAATCAAATATTATATCAGGCTGGGTGTGGTGGCTTATGCCTATAAACCCAGCACTTTGGAAGACAGAGGCAGGAGGACCACTTGAGGCCAGGAATTAGAGAGACCAGCCTGGACAACATAGCAAGACCCTGTTCTTATTTTTAAAAATAAAATAAATTTAAAATTGGCCAGGCATGGTGGCTTATGCCTATAGTCCCAGCACTTTGGGAGGCCAAGGTGGGTGGATCACTTGAGGTCAGAAGTTCAAGACTACCCTGGCCAACATGGCAAAACCCCATCTCTACTAAAAATTAAAAAATTAGGCCCAGCCTGGTGGCTCACTCCTGTAATCCCAAAATTTGGGGAGGCTGAGGTAGGCAGACCACCTGACATTGGGAGTTTGAGACCAGCCTGACCAACATGGAGAAACCCCATATCTACTCAAAATACAAAATTAGCCAAGAGTGGTAGCACATGCCTGTAATCTCAGCTACTCGGGAGGCTGAGGCAGGAGAATCGCTGGAACCCGGGAGGCAGAGGTTGTGGTGAGCCGAGATCACGCCATTACACTCCAGCCTGGGCAACAGGAGCGAAACTCTGTCTTAAAAAAAAAAAATTAGCCAGGCCAGGTGGTGCACGCTTGTAGTCCAAGCTACTCGAGAGCCTGAGGCAGGAGAATCACTTGAACCCAGGTGGTGAAGGTTGCAGTGAGCTGAGATCACACCACTGCACTCCAGCCTGGGTGACAGAGCGAGACTCCATCTCAAAAAAATAAATAAATAAAAATTATATCAATGAAGATACATCTGCATAATACATATAAACACACCTCAACCCTACAACAATGTAACTCTTTTGGTTTTCCAATGTATCACCTAATCCTATGGTGTAGGGGTGCACACTAGTACTTAGGAGACTCAGAGACCAGGATTCACATTCGGGCCTTGCACCCACTCTCTGAGAGGATGGTCTTGAGAGAATTTGCTTCATAAAGCTGAGTAGTACCATTTTCCTTGCAGTGAAACGAGAATAATGACGCCCAGTTCATGGGGTGCTGTAGAAATAAATGTAAATCGCCGAACTAGCATTTCATAAACACGTAATCTCTCACCAGAACAGAAAGAATGCAAAAACACTTACCTTGCAATGGTCAGTGAGGAAGGGGCTACTAATTACTCCAGAGCCAACTGATTTGCCCAGCTTCATCAGGAGTAAGACTAGTAGGACCTGAATCCACACCTCTTGCCTAGAGGATCTGGCCACACCTGCGGCAACCCTTCTTCCTGCAAGCACCGTTAGGGGGAAAACAAAGTGTAATGTCAAAATACACTTGGCTGTGTCATAACCCCAGTGTAATATGACACAATGTAAATTTAAATTACACAGTGTGCTTTAGTGGAGAAGACCAGAGACATTAGGGAGACCTCAGAGTAATTAGCAGCTAATGCAATTCAGGCAGGCACAGAGTAACTAACTCCTATGGTCGTCAGCATTTATGCCCACTCAGAGGGCAGCCCCTTTATGTAAATATAAAAGGATAATTACCACGGGGAAAAAAAAATGAAGCAGGTATTGCTTATTGCAGGGATGCAGAGGAGCGGGGCTTTGGATGTACAAAGCAGCCCGGGAACCTGCAGCCACTTCAAAGAGGGGCAGAGTGTGAAACCGGGGGATCGAACCCCTCCATGCCCAGCACGCAACAGTAAGAAACGGACACACGCAGCGACGATGTTGCTTGAGCTTATTTATAGACGCTTTCCTTCGTCTCTTCTTTAAACATAAACAAAAGGGGAGAGTCACAGCACTGATTGGCTTCATCAACAGCATGTGGAATAAATTTTGCCTGATGACAGGCTTTCAGCTATTTTGCCACCACTGGGCGCGGACGCTGCGCTTAGCAGAGCCTGTTTGCCAGCGGCGGGCTCCCTGAGACCCCGGCAACTGCACAGGTGAACGGGGAAGTGGAAGGAGCAGCCCTGCTAACTGAGAAGGGGGAGCACTTTACAAACACCATTACGAGAAACGTGAGAAGTGCAGCGTGGCAAGAACCGGGCAGCACCTGGTGTCAGCGGCTAATTGTGTTTTAAGGTGGCGTGTTAGACCAGCGCGCGAAGGGCAACCCGAGCCACCGCACTTGCCTTGCAGGCGCCGCGTCCTCTGACACGGGCTCGGATTACAGGAGGGACCGGCGCGGTGGCAGCAGCCCCCGGGACACACGTTCCACTCAGATGGACGCACGCACAGATGACGAGCCTTTATCTTCCCCTTGCAGTGCTGGGACAGGACTCTTTTTGCCACTTGCACACCAATGTCTGGTGAAAAGAAGAAAAATGAATTCAAAGGCTATATTAGATTTTAACATGTTCGAAAAATATTTAAAAAGGAAGAAGGCAAAAGAAGAAAGGGAGGGAGGAAAGGAGGAAAGGGAAAAGGACAGAAAAAGAAGAAAGAGGGAAAATGAGTTTTGTATACATACGTTTTTTTAAATTACAATCACTTCTATTTTCTATAAGGCATGGTAATTTTCATAAATGTCCCCCTTCCCACAATTATTATTATTTTGTAAAAATAATATTATTTCTTAAAATAATATTTTTACAGAATAATAGTGGGGAGGGGGGCATTTATGAAAATTTCAATTGGATATAAACTTCTGTAGTAGAAATTAATTCAAATCTCAGAGAACATTGGGCCTTGAATGCTCTAATATTCCATTCCAAACTCTAATATAATATGCATATGCCCCTGGAAAATTAGCATTCCACCAAAAATTTATATTTACAGAGGCAATTATCAGACACACACAAAAAACTGAATAAGGTGGAATATTTCATCTAGTCTTTAATGAGTAACAGCTCGTGGTCTGTGATAGACATACTGTGTTAAACTAACAAAAGTCAAAAACAATTGTAAAAATAGATTAAATTTTACATGAATAACAATGTAATATATTTTGACTGGTCCTAATTTTCTAACTACTAGTATCCTGGAAATGTTCTTGAAAAACCTATGAATTCTTAGGAGTTTAGTTTTGAATGTAAGTCTAAGGATATATAGGTAAACCTAAAGCAGTTTCATTGAATGTGATAGACACTGTGGTTGAAAGATGAGAGGTTTAGAAGCAAGGCAGTTCAAGACTTTTGTCTCATTTGCAATACTTGTAAGCTGTGTGACTTTAAGCCGCTAACCTAACCTCTCTGAGATTGTCTTCATCTGTAGTTTATGAAAAATATGTCCATTTTGTAAGGTTAGAAGGATAGAAAAAAGATGTATAAAGCTCTAAGCACAGTGCCTTGTATTCAACTCTTCCCTTTTTTAATTCCTAGGAGTAGTAGTATTATTTAGGAGAAAAGTAAATATCTTTGACTTTTAAAATAGACATTCAAAAATACCTCAAAAAAGGACTAAGTGCATTAATATATTCTTCTAAGTTCAAGCAACAAATATAAATGACAGTATCTCTCTCATTTGCCTCAAGATAATGTAAATTCCATAAGCAGACATGAGACTTACCCCAAAGTGGATCTATATAAGTGCTTATCCCCAGGGATATAGTGTATATGTAACTTGATGCCTCTGTTACTGTTGTAATTGGGGAAAAGGAAAGCCATCGTTGTGTGGAAAGAAGCTGAGGCTCTCTGCAATGTCAATGAGGTAGAATCAGAATGACATTTCCAGCATAATGTTGGCCAATTACATGTTGGAAATATGTATGCACTGCTCTGAACCACCTGTCATGTGCCTAGGTTCCTAATAGGGAACAGGAGGCAGTCGCCAAAAAGAATAGTGAAAATGAGGAAAAAATTGTGAACAAAAATGCAAGATTGGCTGAAAACAGCAGCATTCAGAAAGAAAGTTCCAAGAAAACTGGCTGCTGAACAGTTTTACAGAGAATCGCCATGCTTGCTCATGCTCTCCATCCGGGTCCCTATTTTGGAGAGAATTTTACGGATGCCCTGCTGACAGCTTAATGAAGGAACACTACAAATCATGTCAGAGGCAACAAGGGGTGCGAAACTAGCCTCTTCCTGTGCTGCCACCAAAAAAAAAAAAAAAAAGTCTATGTTCTCCCAATGAGGTTTTTCAAAAATGAATTATGCCATTAAGTGCCAAGAAGAAAATTAGCTACGAGCTTTTAAATTTAAAATGATCCCCTTTTTAATTGTAAAACAGTGGCACTTAACTGCTATTGATCCTGCTGAGACACATTAGGGAACAGGGTCACCATAACTGTTAATATTCACTGCTTAGCGAAAGAGCATCAAAGGACATTTTAATGTCACAGACTTTCTCGGGGAGTTTTTAAAGAAGGTTTGAATCAGCCAGCCTATGAATGAAAAGGACATGAGGTAGACAAATGTAGAAACAAATGTGATAGCAATTTTCTGCTAATCAAATCATAACTCAAGATTGATTTTTTTGGCAAAAGTTTATGTCATATAGATTTCCAAGGCTGGTCGACATTTAAAAGTCAGAGTATATATTTTCTATAGACTGGGACTTTTTAGATGATCATCCAATAGGGAATTTTTGTTTATTTTTAAACATAAATATAAGAGAGAGCTTTCCTTTTGGGGAAGACCATTTCACTTTTTTTGTACTTCAGAAGTAAGGAATATGAAATGTCAATCGCATTTTATTCAGGATGCAAAGTCTTTTCTACTTTTTAAAAACTTTTGGACAATAAACCACAGGTGAGTATTCAGTTTTTTTAAAAGTAGAAATCATATTTTTAGAGCATACATAGTGGATGTTTTCTGTTTTTGCTAGGATTTGAAAATACTGAATGTGTGGCATTGTCGACTTCTAGAATGTTGAACTTTACCATATATGACCAAGATAGGGAGCTGAACAAAAGTGCTTGCTATTAAAATGCAAAGCCTCCTGCTAAACCTCAACAGCCAATGAGGTTTAATTGGCTCATGTTTCTGCAAACTGCATAAGCATCATGGCACTAGTTTTAACATTTCTTAGAAAAGAAATGTTTTAAAATCCAAAGCCCCCTGTTAGAAACAAAAGAAATGTTTAAAAAATAAATGTACATTTTATTGGACTTAGAAACGAATTGTGTTAATCTATATTTCTCACTAGATCAATTATTTGCCATTTTCCAATACCTATTGCTCACTCTGCCAAGTAATTGTTATCAAAACAGTATTATCCTATTAGTCCTTAATTCAAAAATTTGTCATTATTACCTGCAAAAATATTTTTTAGAGTGTAACTTTTTTTGGCAAATATATTATAGGAATTGAGAAATAGGAAATTGCCAATTAGACATGAATAATTTCTTTGGATGGTTTAAATTTTTGTTTCTAAGAAAACATTTCATGTCTGTGCCATCATGGAAGTGTTCTCTGGAGCACCTGGGAACAGTTTGAAAACCGCTGGCCTAC
The DNA here is from genome assembly GCF_000001405.40 of Homo sapiens. NCBI lineage: Eukaryota > Metazoa > Chordata > Mammalia > Primates > Hominidae > Homo > Homo sapiens. Next base: position 97,656,308 of record NC_000015.10, read on the forward strand.
AGCATTTATTCATTCTGATATTCATGCGGGGACACTGCACCGGAAACTAATGAACCGCCCCAAGTTTCAGAGGAGTCACAACTTTAGGAAGAGACAGACAGGAAACAGGAAATTCTGATGTTAAAAATTGTCCTAATAGATTTAAGACCAGAGCACTATGGTTATGCAGAGGACCGGCACCTTTCTGGGATTTGAGAGGTGAGAAAAGGGTGCACAACAGCATGATTCAGGGGCTGCATCTCTGAGGATGAATTGGTATTGGCCAGGGAAAGAAGACAATCTTAGCACATTTTCAGCAGGAGAAAACATACAGCAACGCACAGATGTGAAGCTAAGAGTGGGCATGTGAAAGGCACGAGGCCAGCAAAGAAAATAGAGGCTGAACCTCGTCCTACTGAGGAGGATGTATTAGGCCATTCTTGTTTGCTATAAAGAAATACTCAAGACTAGGTAATTTATAAAGAAAAGAGGTTTAATTGGCTCATGTTTCTGCAAACTGTATAAGCATCATGGCACCAGTTTCTGTTTAGCTTCTAGGAGGTCTCAGGGAGCTTTTGCTCATGGCAGAAAATGAAGTAAGAACAGGCATGTCACATAGTGCGAGCAAGACAAAGGGGAGGTGCCACACATTTTAAATGACCAGATCTCCTGTGAAGTGAACTCACTCACTGTGGCAAGGACAGCACCAAGCCATGAAGGATCTGCCCTCATAACGCAAACACCTCCCATCAGGCCCCACCTCCAACACTGGGGATTACATTTCAACAAGAGATTTGGACAGGGACAAATATCTGTACGATATCAGAGTATCAATTGTATTATTTAAGACATTGGGGGAATCATTGAAGAATCTTCAGCAGGTGAAGGATGTGATCAGATTTCTTATTAGTGTTACTAAAGTTACTCCTCTAACAATAGGGAGAATAAACTGGAAGGGAGAAGCAAGACTGGAGGCAGAGACCATAGTTAAAAGGCTGTTGTGACAATCCAGGGTAGAAATGATAAAACCCATAAATAGCGAAAGAGCTTATTGGGTGGGAAGAAGCATTGTCTGAGAAATTAACAAGTGGTAAGAAAGGAGGAGGTAGGGCCAAGAGTGTCTCCTGAATTTCTGGCTTCGGTGCCTATGTGTAGGATCTACCATTCTGCCATTTACTGTAGGTAGGGGTACTGAATTATTCTGTCATGAAATATCAGATAAATTGATTATTTAAGATACATAATTAGTTGCATTTGGGGCATCAGAATGTAGGTAACTGAATATGTAGATCTGGAGTTTAGGAAAGAGATTTAGGTTCTAGTTAGAGTGTGCAGGAAGATTTTCTAACCCTAGAAGTCTTCAGATCAGCCTCAGGGGCATTTAAGGTCCTTAACCTCATAAAATTATGCATTCTTATATATACATTAATAAGGCAAAATTTGTTATGTAAAACAAATTCTCAAAGGATCAATAACCCTCTAAAAACTATCTTTGTAGACAATAAGAGAGTCAATGGTGGAACTATGAGCATTATCAATAGTTAAGAAATTGATGTTCATGTTGAATATGAGGTTTCCACAATTTGTGCCCATTTCTGTATGCAAATACATACTATTTTACCAAATCCTTCTTCTCTGAGCAGTCAAATAGCTTCACCAGTGCCCACGGTACTCTTGTTCTTTCTTGCCTCCAGACTTCTTCCCCTTAATGACCTGTCATCTTCTCTCTGCCTATCCTCGTCTCACTCTCCTTAAAGATCCATGAAGATTCATAAGGATTCAGGAAGGTTATGTTTTTCTCTTTGACCAACCCAAATGTCCCTTTCCCTCTAAATGTCAGCAAGAGCTTTTATCAGAAGCTTTCATTTGGTTCTTACACAGTAGGGCCCTAAATAAATTTTCAAAATAAATATATAAATCACATCTTGAGACAGCTGTTGATATGCCATTTTGTATGATTCTTAAAATAATTAGTGTCTGTATATGCATATATTTGTAATAGTATCTATATACGCATATATATGTAAATTTGTGCACACACACATACATGCATATATAGGTGTATATATATATGTATGTGTGTACATATGTATATATCCTGCCAACTAAACTTTAATCTCATTGAAGTCAATGTCCATATAACTTTTCTAATTTTGAGCACACAGTAAGCAGGTACATACCAATTGGTCAGGCAGATAAAGAGGAGGATAAAGAAAGGAAGAGGCGGCATACAAAATTCAGTAGAAAGAGTTCCAAGATACACGTTATAAATCTACGTACCAACTTTGTGTCTGCTTTTAAGATATTTGACCTCTAAAATAAAGAAAAAATTACCTGCTCAGCTTGTGTCATAAGAGTGTTATAAAGATTAAATGATATATAAAAATACATTTTATAAAGTAGAATAAAGAAGTGTATATAAGTAAATCATAAGAAAAAAATTTAATGATATTCCAAGATATTTTCTACTTTGTTTCCTAAGTACTAAGCATAGTTTAAAATAATTATAGATTAGTGGAATGATTTGCAGGTATGTGTGTGAAACAAACAGAATCAGAATCACAGTAAAGCTTTTAGCAAAATTTAAACAACTAAGCTACTAAACTTCTGTAATTATCTAATAGTTCTAGCCAGAACAAGGTAAAATGTATAATTCTCTAATTCTGGTGATAATAAATCAAACATTTTTAGAGGGGCTAAATGTAAGTACATTACTATTTACTCATAAAGACTGTTCTAGAAATTTATCAGAAATAGATTTATAATCAACCAGAATAATCTGTTAAAAGAACTAAGGGAGCTCAATTTAGAGACTCTGCCAAATGTCATTCAAGAATTTACTTCTTTAAGAGATTTTTTAAGTTTAGATTTTACATAACAGTTTGTATTAGATACAATATTAAATATTCATAAAGTAGGACATAACTTTACATATTTTTGTACATCAATCGTTGCTGTTTTGTTCTTTAGTTAATAAACACTCAGAATGTACTAGCCTTTGCAATACTGCATTAATGGGAGTAGATCAAAATTTTTATTTCATGTGTTTTTTATTCAAAATCAAGCCTATGCAGCCTTACTTTTGCATTGCTTTTACAGAAACAAAGTAACTTTGGTTCACAAGTATGTGAACTAAATTACTGCCTTGGAGGGTGGTTAAAAATGTGTTGGGAAGGAAAAGAATATGCATGAGCAGAGCAGGGCAGAAAGAGGTACTCTTGGAATGCTCTCTTCAGAGAGATTACAGAAGCAAATTATAACTAAATCCTGGTCTCAGAGCTGTTGTCCGGTGTAGATTACTGGGGACTGGCCTGAAGGTTGTGAGACAGATAGATGAGCCAAGAGAGGGACCACCATGTCCATGGGCCATGAATTTCCAATCTGCACATCCCTGTCTTTGCCCTCATAGCAATGAGAAGGGTAAGCTTCAGGCTTTGTGGAGCCTAAAACTCACACCTTTTGGGAGATCTTCTTAAAAATAGAAAAACAAATTAATTAAAAATACAAAATTTGTAATTAATCAAAGGAGGGCCTTGTGTTTCACTGGCTTTGCAGGAAATTTGCCTCTGTCACCAAGAATCCATAATGAGGCTTTAGCTTGTTACCGTCTGTGATTCTGCATTTGATTCATCTCATCTTAGAGAGTCAGGCAATACTTCACGATAAGACAACATCTGCACTTTTAAAATCCTTGTCTCCTGGTAAGGAAAGAAAGTGTTACTGCGGAACAGGCTGTGGGCTTGTGATCTTCCCTCCATGCCTGCCCTCCTCACTTTGCATCTCTCACAATCTCTATGGAGAGTTCCACAGTCTTCCCACTCCATGGCTGAGGGTTGTAATGCCTGTGTGCAGGTTAGGGGAGGTGTGTTCTCAGCGGCTCACAAATTGATCCTCATGGTGTCATAATCACAGATTAAATTTCCCCAAAGTCTGATAGTTTGGCACTGTCTAGTAGTCAAAGGTGGCAGCTGGAGTCCTAGTACCGAGCTTCAGGTGTAAGGATATGAGTTGATTGACCTAAACCCACTCCCACTGCTGACGAGAGTCAGGAAGTCATAACACCTCTCTGTCTGTTCTGACAGGTCAATAACATCGAATTTGCACCTCAGAAGTGGAACATTATTTTAAAAATAATCAAGTTTCTTTGGTAGCTGACAGCCAAGAGAGTCGAAGATTGTGATAAGAGTGTGAATTGTCCATTCCAGCTTTCCAGACAGGAGAACTAAGACATCAGAGTGAAGAGGTTTGGAAAGCCTCATCTTGCAGGTAGTTGGAAAGATGAGATAGGAGAAGGTCAGACAAAAGGCAGTGACAAGATGCAGAACATCAGAATTCAGTAAGTCAGGTGGAAGTAGGCTTTTCAGATACAATACATGATGCCCATTTGTATTAGATGCAATATTAAATATTCACAAAGTAGGGGATATTCAGTTATACATTAATACTTTTTTAGTACAAGTATGTCCCATATATTTTGTGGAATATATTTATTAAAAATTGTTGTATACATGAAATTCATATTTAACTTGGTATCTGCTCTGGTTTGAATGCCCCCTCCAAAACTCATGTTGAAATTTAATTGCCATTGTAATCATACTAAGAGATGGGGCCTTTAAGACATGATTAGGTCAAGAAGGCTCTGCCCTCATGAATGGATTAGTGTCATTATTACCAGAACAGGTTAGTTATTGTGGGTGTTAGATCCACTTTTTCTCAATGTCTCTTGCACTGATTTGCCCTTCCACCTTCCATCATGGAATTATGTGGCAAGAAGGTCCTCACCAGATGTAGTGCCATTCTCTTGGACGTCCCATTCTCCAGAGCCATGAGCCAAATAAACTCTCTTTTTTATAAATGACCCAGTCTGTGGTGATATAGCAGCAGAAAACAGAATAAGGCAGTGTCCTACATTTTATTTGCTAAATCTAGCAGCCCTAGTGGAAAGCCAAATAAAAAGGATACCTTAAATTAGCCAGGACTTTTCAGTCCAAAAAATAGAAACCCATTCCAAACTAGTTAAAATGAAAATGAAAATAAATGTTGCAGAAGTATGTGGTCAACTGATTGTTTACAATGGTGATAATACAATTATTTAGGGAAAAAAATGTGCTGGAACACCTGAATGTTTTTAAGAAAAAATAAAAATAAAACTTGATTCTTATGTCATGCACAAAAACTAATTAAAAATAGATCCTCAGCCGAAATAAATATAAATAGTAAGATGATAAAGCTCCTCAAGGCAAACAAAAGAATAGCTTCATGACATGGGGTAGGCAGAGATTTCTTAGGCTGTAAACAAGAAACTAAGCATAAAAAAACAAACAAACAACAAAAAAAAAAAAACTGGAGGCCAGGCATGGTGGCTCACACCTATAATCCCAGGACTTTGGGAAGCTGAGGTGGGTGGATCATATGAGCTCAGGAGTTTGAGACCAGCCTGGGCAACATGGCAATCCCCATCTCTACAAAAAAATCCAAAAATTAGCTGGGTGCAGTGGTGTGTGCCTGTAGTCCCAGCTACTTGGGAAACTGAGGCAGGAGAATTGCTTGAGCTCAGAAGGTGGAGGTTACAGTGAGCCAAGACTACACCATTGCATTCCAGCCTGGGTGACAGAACAAGATCCTGTCTCAAGAGAAAAAAATAAAAGAAAAAAAAATTGATGAGTTGGTGTTTTAGAGTAAGCTCTCTAGAGGCAGAAAAATCGATGAGTTGGCGTTTTAGAGTCAGTTCTCTAGAGACAGAAATTCTTGTATGCGACATTTACTGAGTGACTGCAAGAGAAATCTGTGAAAGTAAGGGAAGCAGATAGGGCAGAGGAAGAAGCTCAGGAAAGAAGTGGGGTCAGCTGGCATCCAGCCTCTGTTTAATCCCATAGAGAGTTCCAGAACAAAAATGACACCTCATAGTCATTCCACATGGAGGTCAGTGGACATGCCGTTTATACCCTCATATTATGCAGTCATTTGTCTAAGCCACACCAGAAGAGCACATGGACTCCCAGCTGTTTCTAGATGAGATGGCTCCCATTGACTGAGGCCGGTTCTCCTGAGAAGGCTATTGCAATAAGCCTTTTACAGCCAAAGTCACATTACCCGAGGAATGGGAGAACCATTAACAAAGAAGACCTGAGTTAGGCACCAACAGTGTCTACTACCATTGTCCTTCATCAAATGTAAAAGCTTCCAACGATCAAAAGACTTCATTAAGAAAATGAACAGAGAGGTCACATACTAAAAAAAAATGTTTGTAACTCATGTGTCTGACCAAGTGCTTATATCTATCACATATAAGAGTTTCACAAAACATTGCAAAAATACAAAAAATGAAAAATTTTTAAATAGGCAAATAACTTTTATAGACAGAATACCTAAAATTATAAAAACCGACTCTATCAGTCCATTATCATGCCCCCGATAAAGACATACCTGAGACTGGGTAATTTACAGAGAAAAACAGGTTCAATGCACTCACAGTACCACGTGGCTGGGGAGGCCTCACAATCATGGCAGAAGTCAAAAGGCATGTCTTACATGACGGCACACAAGACAGAAATGTGAGCCAAGCAAAAGGAGAAACCCCTTATAAAATCATCACATCTCATGAGACTTGTTCACTGTGAGAACAGTATGGGAGAAATCACCCATACTTCAATTATCCCACCTGGTCCCTCCCACAACTCGTGGGAATTATGAGAGCTACAATTCAAGATGAGATTTGGGTGGGGACACAGCCAAACCACATCATTGACAATACCAAATTTTGGCAAGTATGTGTTGCTGGAAGTTACAGGTGAAGCCAGCTGGACTTCCTGGGTGGAGTGGGGACTCAGAGAACTTTTCTGTCTAGCTAAAGGTTTGTAAACGCACCAATCAGCACTCTGTAAAAAACGCACCAGTCAGTGCTCTGTGTCTAGCTAAAGGTTTGTAAACACACCAATCAGCACTCTGTAAAAACGCACCAGTCAGTACTCTGTGTCTAGCTAAAGATTTGTAAAAGCACCAATCAGCACTCTGTAAAAACGGGCCAATCAGCACTCTGTAAAATGGACCAATCAGTCCTCTGCAAAATGGACCAATCAGGACTCTGTAAAATGGACCAATCAGCAGTATGTGGGTGGGGCCAAATAAGGGAATAAAAGCTGGCCACCCAGCAACCTGCTAAGGGTTTCCTTCTATGCTGTGGAAGCTTTGTTCCTTTGCTCTTCACGATAAATCTTGCTGTTGCTCACTCTTTGGGTCCACACTACCCTTATGAGCTGTTAACACTCACCTCGAGGGTCTGTGGCTTCACTCCTGAAGTTGGTGAAACCAAAAACCCACCGGAGGAACAAACAACTCCGGACGCACCACCTTTAAGAGCTGTAACACTTACTGCAAAGGTGTGCGGCTTCACGCCTGAGGTCAGCAAGACCACGAACCCACTGGAAGGAAGAAACTCCAGATACAGCTGAACATCTGAAGGAACAAACTCTGGACACACCATCTTTGAGAACTGTAACACTCCCCATGAGGGTCTGCGGCTTTATTCTTGAAGTCAGTGGGACCAAGAACCCACCAGAAGGAGCTAATTCCGGACACAGAGACGTGTAAGATAGTACAACTCATTTGAAAACTGACACTTTCTAATAAATCTATATACTTACCCATGAAACAGAAATTATACCACTAGGTATTTACGTTCCTCACAAATAAAAATAGCATGTCCACCAAAAGTCTTGTACAGGGATATTAGAATGTTTACATCAACTTCATTTAAAATCATGAAAACTCAGAAGTAGCTCCATGTCAGTCAACAGGTAAACAAATAAATGAATTGCAGCATATTCATACTATAAGTTAAAATTCATTAATAAAAATAACTACTGCTATATGCAACAACATATATGAACCTCAAAAACATGTTGAGTGAAAGAAGATAGACACAAAAGAAAATAGAAACAGAACCATTCAATGATTCTATTATTTGAAGTTAAAGAATAGTCAAAAATAACCCAAGAACATAGAAATAAGAACAATGGTTGCTTCTGGGGCATAGCAGGAGGATTGTTGTTCATGGAGGAACTCTACAAGATGATAGAAATATTTTGTGTCTTAAAAGAGGTTGTGGGTTACAAGAGTGTATACATTTGCCAAAATGCATCAAATCGTGCCTTTAATATCTGGGTGTTTTGTGTTGTAATGTCAGCTATACCTCAATAACTGGTGTTAGTGCATATAACTAGAATACCAAGGCTTAAATTGGTTTTAGGGATATCCAAGTCTAGGACTTCAAATAAGGTCATCAGACCTGTCCTTTTCTCTCTCCCTTTCGCAGCGTCCCTCCAGCTTGCCTCTTCTTGCCTTTGTTGACTTTATTCTGAATCTGCATTCAGTATGTACCACATAGTCATATGAAAGTTCCTGCAGGGATTTTAGCAATCATGAGATGATTCTCAGTGCCAAAATTATGCAAGGACAAAAATGCTATATTGACTGAACTTGTTCACATAAGAGAAAAAACTAAACAGACTGTAATTCTCATTTTAATTGTGCATCATAACTCTCTAGTCTGCTGAAGCTGTTCTTGGTAAACTAAGACTTAGAGTTGATATTAGTCACGATCTATCTGATCCACAGAGGTAAATGACCGAATAGGGGGTTGCCCTCAGCCAGTTTAAGAAAATATCCTTATGTTATTTAGAATTGCACATTTATTAGGACATTTATTGCTGTTTTTATGAAAGTCATGATAAGCCTTAAAAGTAAGTATCACAACCAGAGCTTTTGAGACAGACACATTATTGATTTTGCTCTCTGAAGAGGTCACATTGTGAAAATGGAACAGGTCTGAGTGGGAAAGGTGATGGCTCCAAGTTTCATCTCAGATGGAATCCTGTTGCATGACAAAAAAGTAAAGCTCTGTCTTTCACTCTACTCCTTTTACAAATACGATTTGACTTCTACGTGCTTCTCTTCCTGCAAATGTTCAATGAGTCCTTCTAGAAACCATTTGTGCTGCAGTTCCCAAATAACATTGTCAGATAATTTTCTTCCCAGGCCTTCAGCCAGCTGGAGATAGGCTCTTTTATTTCTGCGTCCTTTTTTAAAACTAAAAGCTAATTTTATACAATTTCTCTTTACATTCCCTAACTCAGAAAAATTGCTTTTCTTAAGTTTTGTGATAGTTGACTTAAGTGTCAACTTGACGGAATTAAGGGATACCCAGGTAGCTGGGAAAACATTCATTATTCTCAGTGCTTCAGTAGGCACTGACCTTGTTCCTCTTCTGCTGTAAGGAAAATCCAGGTGGTTTAGCTTTCAATTAGAATGATTCGGCTACTCAGGTGTGTCTGTGAGGGTGTTTCTGGAGGAAATTGGCATGGCAGTTGGTAGACTGGGTGAGGAAGATCCTCCCCCAATATGGTGGGCATCATCCAATCAGCTGAGGTCCTGAATGGAACAAAAAGTCAAACAAAGAGCAAATTCACTCCCTCCTTCAGAGCCTGGATGCCCCCAAATGACCCAAGACTTAAAATATTTACTATCTGGCCCTTCACAATGGAAGTTTGCCCATCCCTGACCTATGCCATCACCTTCCTCTGTTTCCCTTCATAGTGGTAAATCTCCAGTCTTCTCTTTGAAATGGAAGTATCATACCAGGAGCTTAACAGAGAAACTAAGTCATGTGTGGCTGGCCATATCTATTTATCATGTACGTTATTGATACAGAAAAGTGTGTTACGGGAAGGTAAACTCCATATCAGCTAGACTTGGACTTTTCTTCTACCAACACCTTAATGATGCTCAAGATCAAAGCATGCTGGCAGTACTCTCCACCTTCCTACCCATTCACTCTTCCCCTCTCCATGAGGCCCCAGTGGAATTTAAGTATATACATATAAGCATGTTCTAATTTATAGATGATCTCTCTCAGAAAAGTTATTTTTTAATCTCCCATGATGGTTAACCATAAAAATGGTATAGAAAATTCCTGAAAAAATACAAAAATATATTTTTGATCATTGGAAAATCCTTGAGAAGTCAATAAACAGGTTGTCAGTGGAAGCCTGATATAGGGAGAAGATTGCTCATGTAGGTTCCAAAGAGATGAGGGACTCACAGCTGATATTCAGAGAATTCAAGAAAATTGTCTCACTTTAGATTCATGGTGTGTTTGAGTAAGAACTATGTCTAGGGTGAATTCCCACCCAGCCATCTAGAATGAAGCTTCTAAGATGAGGTGGAGAACAAAAAGCACCACCATCTGAATGCACCATCTGAATGCACCCGTCTGATGTCCTAGGACCACCCATCCTCTCTCCCCCTGATTTGGAGGATCCCTGAAAAACAGGCAAAGGTATGCATGGGCTGAACCACTGATATGAGTAATTGGACACGCTCCTTCAATTATCTCCTACATCAAAGTCAAAGCAAGAAGAGGCCCCACCCTGTTCTTAGTCCTCTTTTTCTCCACAAAAGTAATGTGATATTTATCTTGCCCATGTATTTTTAAAAATATTTTAATACATCTGAATTTACATTAATATTGGTTATGTATTTTAATATAAATAAGTTTACTATATTGCATGTTTCATTCTACAGGTTGGCATTTCTAGTCAATACTATGTTTTTGTTTGTTTAGGTTGTTAATGTATCGATTTGCTTTTTAAGATGTTAAAGTTGACATATATATGCATGATCTATTTGTTTTGATTGCTGTGTATTATACCATCCATTTGAGAGATATTCAGCTTACTTGCAATTTTCCACAGTTACAAGCATTGTTCTGCAGATATCTTTATAACCTTATATTATTTTGCTTATTTTTTATTGTTTTTTTCTTCAATACTAAGTATTCTCATGCACCTGACCCCACTAATCATTTACTTGTGATTGGTGTTGCAAATAGATATTGCCAACATAATGCTTTTTTCAACTTTTATTAATGGTTTTGTTACATTGAATTTTATACTTTTTGTGAGTTGAACTTATCCTAATTTCTCTTTGTAATTTTTGTATCTTATTTTAAAAATGATTTCTATCCAAATATTATCAATAGATTCTTCTATATTTTCTGAAGGCTTGGAAGATTTGCTTTCTTTAGTTATAACTGCAATCCATCTGAAAGTATTGTTGCATCTAATTACTTTTCCAATGTGAATATCCAGTGGTCCCAATGCTACATATGATATAGTCCATCATTTCTGTACTAGTTTGCAGGGCTACCTCTGTCATATATCAAGGTCATATGTATACCTGAGTCTGCTCCTGGGATTTCTATTGTTGGTTTATTTATTCTAATATTTTAGAATCAATTTGTCCAATCCAATAAAAAAATCCTTTGAGGATTTTAGCTGTCATATAATTTATTTTATAAACCTAATTAGATAGGATTATCTATTTATACTGCTAATACTTCCCGTTCAAACATAATAATTTTTCTTAATTTAGAATTTTTCTTTTGTTAGATTTGGGACTAAGGAACTCATTGGTAATTTGGGGTATATAGGACACTTACAAGGTTTTGTATTATTGTTATGATGGTCTTATAGCTAGCAAACTTGCTGAACTTCCTTAATAATCTTAATAGTTTGACTAGATTGTTTTGTATTTTTCTGTATTAGAAAATCATATTGTTGGCCAGATGTGGTGGCTCATGCCTATATTCCCAACATTTTGGGAGGAAAAGGAAGGAGGATCACTTGAGCCCAGGGGTTTGAGACCAACCTAGACAACAAAGTGAGACCCCATCACTACAAAACAATTTTTAAAAATTAGCCAGGCATAGTGGTGCACGTGTATAGTTCCAGCTATTCGGGAGGCTAAGGTGGGAGGATTGTTTGAGCCTGAGAGTTCAAGGCTGCACTGAGCCATGGTAATGCCACTGTACTCCCACCTAGGCAACAGAGAGACCTTGTCTCAAAAAATATATACTGTATTTCCGAATAATGTCAACTCTTCCATTCTAACATTAATATCTATTTCTTCTATTAGTCTTATTGCATTATCTAGAACATCCAACACTATGATGACTAGTAGCAGTAATAGCAGGGATCCTTGTCTTGTTCCTGATTTCAAGTAGTTGAATCTTAAGAATTTTACTTGTTTTATGGTATTAATAGAAACCATTTAACCAAGTTAGGAAGTCCCTTTCCATTTATAGTGAACTTAAAGTTTTTATCATCAATAGGGTTGAATATTATATGATGACTTTTTTCTTTATCTATGGAGCTTTTAATGTTTTTCCTTAATCTGGTAATTTAGTAATCACATCAATAGACATTCTAGCATTGCACCATTCTTTCATGCCTGGGTTAAACTCTACTTGTTTGTGATAAATTATTTTTAATACATTGCTAGATTTGGCTATCTTTCTAATTTAGTTTCTGAATTATTGCAAATATAAAGATTACATTTTTCCCTTAAGCTTTGGTAAACCATCTGAGCCTGATACCTTCAGAGAATCTACTGTTTGTTTTTTTATTCCTTTTGTTTGTTTGTTTAGTTTTTGTTTTCATTTACCCTTTTTTAAAAAAATCATTCTTGATGTAAGAAATTTTTAGCTTGTATTTACTCACTCATTTTTAGCCCTTTGTTTTCTAATATAAGCATATACCATTTAGATTTCATTCAAAAGATACTCTTACAGCTACATTTGCAAGTTTTATTATATAAAACAATTATTGTTGCTTAGTTTGCTGCTTATTGCTAAATCACTAAGTCCCATTAAGATTTCTCCTGTAACTCATGAATTATTAAATGTATTTTGTCTTTACATTTACATAAAGGAGAATTCACGATTACATTCATAAACGTGAATATAAACACTTCAAAGATAGCCTTCACTGACTAGTGTTCATGCCTTTGTGCAGTCCCCTTCCTTTGAATGTGACTAGAACAAATGAATCTCTTCATTTTTACTCATTAATTGTTTTATTTAAACTTGATACAAAATAATTGTACATGTTTATGGAGTAGAGTGGGAGGTTTCAATGCATATATTCATTGTACGATGGTCAAGTTAGGGTAATTACCATTTACATCACCTTGAAGTAATTCTTCTAAAACTCCCTTTTTTTTTTTTTTCCAGTCAGGGTCTTGCTCTGTTGCCTAGGCTGGAGTGTAGTGGTGCAATCAAGGCTCACTGCAACCTCTGCCTCCTGGGCTTAATGGATACCCCAACCTTCCGACTCCCCAGTAGCCTGGACCCCAGGCATGCGCTACTACGCTCAGATAATGTGTGTGTGTGTGTGTGTGTGTGTGTGTGTGTGTGTGTATTTTGGTAAATACAGGGTTTCACCATGTAACCCAATCGAGTCTTGAACTCCTGAGCTCAACTGATCCACCCTCCTTGGCTTCCCAAAGTGCTATGATTATAGGCATGAGCCACCACGCCTGGTCTTAAAACTCCCTTCTCATGAACATACTGTGGCAAAGGTAAAAGGATGTCACTTCCAAGGTTAGTTACAATGAGACTGGCTTCTGGCTTGGGCACTCATTGTCTCTTGCTCTCTTGCTCGCTCTGAAAGAAGCCAACTGCCGTGTTGTATTGTGAGTTGCCTTTTGGTGAGGCTCACATGGCAAGCAACAGAAAGAGACTTCTAGCCAACAACCTGGAAACAACGGAATCTTGTCAAACCCATGAGTGAGTTTCTAGGCAAATACCCCCCGATCCTCTGGTGCGTAGCTCTCAGTTAGATACAGTCCTGGGAGTTTGACCACAGCTTCATAAGAGAACTTAAGTCACAGTAACCCAGCAAAGCTTGCATTTCTGAACCACAGAAACTGTGAGGTAATAAATGTTTGTTGCCTTAAGTACTAAATTTTGGTGTCATTCATTATATGGGAAGAGATTAATACAGATTTTGTTTGTGAAAGTATAATTAAATACATTGGTGCCATTATTATTTTGAACAAGCTCTTATATGATAGATTAGTTAAGAATTAAAAAATTAAAAGTTTCATTTTACCTGCACTTATTCCGTCTTTGATGCTTTTGTCTTCTTTATGTAGATCCAAGTTTCTGATCTGTATTATTTTATTTCTCTCTAAAGAATGTCTTGTAACATTTCCTGCAAGGCAAGTTACTGGCAATAAATTCCCTCAGTTTCTGTTGGTCAGAGAAAGCATTTATTTCTCCTTCACTATTAAATGATAATTTTGCAGTTTATAGAATTCTAGGTTGGTGGGTTTTTTTTTTCTCTCTCTCTCTCAACACTTTAAATATTTCACGACATTCTCTTCCTGCTTACATAGTTTCTGAGAACTCAAATGTAATTCTTATTTTTGTTCCTCTATAGGCAAGTTTTTCTTTTTCTTCTATTTTTCTTCTAAATTTTAAAAAAATTTTGGCTCGGTGCAGTGGCTCACGCCTGTAATCCCAGCACTTTGGGAGGCTGAGGCCGGTGGATCACGAGGTCAGGAGTTCAAGACCAGCCTGACCAACATGGTGAAACCCCATTTCTACCAAAAATGCAAAAATTAGCTGGACATGGTGGCACATGTCTGTAATCCCAGCTACTCAGGAGTCTGAGGGATGAGAATCGCTTGAACCTGGGAGGCGGAAGTTGCAGTGAGCCTAGATTGCACCATTGCACTCCAGCCTGGGCGACAGAGTGAGACTCAGTCTCAAAAAAAAAAAAAAGCAAATTATTTTAAATATTTGTGGGTACATAATAGGTGCATATATTTAAGGGGTACATGAGATGTTTTGATGCAGGCATGTTTTGTGAAATAATCATATCATGGAGAATGTGGTATTCATTCCCTCAAGCATTTATCCTTTGAGTTGCAAACAATCCAGTTCCAGTTTCTAAGTTACTTTAAAATACATAACTAAATTGTTATTGACTATAGTCACCCTGTTGTGCTGTCAAATAGTAGTTCTTATTCATTCTTTCTATTTTTTTATACCCATTAACCATCCCGACCCACCCCCTCAAAACCCCCCACTACCCTTCCCAGGCTCTGGTAACCATCATTCTACTCTCTATGTCCATGAGTTCAACTGGTTTGATTTTTAGATCCCACAAATAAGTAAGAACATGTGATGTTTGTCTTTCTGTGCCTGGATTATTTCACTTAACATAATGATCTCCAATTCCAACCATGTTGTTGCAAATGACTGGGTCTCATTCTTCTTTATGGCTGAATAGTACTCCATTGTGTATATGTATTTTCTTTATCCATTCATCTGTTGATGGATACTTGGGTTGCTTCCAAATCTTAGCTGTTGTAAGCAGTGCTGCAACAAACAGGAGTGTAGATATATTTTTGATACACTCATTTCCTTTCTTTGAGGCATATACCCAGCAGTCGGCTTGCTGGATCACATGGTAGCTAAATTTTTAGTGTTTTGAGGAACCTCCAAACTGTTCTCCACAGTAGGTGTATTCCTCTATAGCTAAGGTTTTTTCCTTCAATTTTTCTTCTATTTTTTTTTTAATTTTTAAAATTTTTATGGGTACATAGTAGGTGCATATATTTAAGGGGTACATGAAATGTTTTGACACAGTCATGTGATATGAAATAATCACATCATGGAGAATGGGATATCCATCCCCTCAAGCATTTATCCTTTGAGTTACAAACAATCTAGTTACACTTTTCGAGTTGTTTAAAGGTATATAACTAAGTTATTATTGACTATAGTCAACCATGATGTGCTGTCAAATAGTAAGTTGTATTCGTTCTTTCTATTTTTTCTGCACCCATTAACCACCCTACCTCTGCCACAGTCCCCTACTACCCTTCCCAGGCTCTGGTAACCATCCTTCTACTCTCTATGTCCACAATTTCTGCTTGATTCTTTTTCAGTATTTCAATCTCTTTGTTAAATTTATCTGATAAAATTCCAAATTCTTCCTCTGTGTTATCTCAAATTTCTTTGAGTTTCCTCAACGCAGCTATTTTGCATTTTCTGTCTGAAAAGGTCACATATCTCTGTTTCTCCAGGATTGGTTCCTGCTGGCTTATTTAGTTCGCTTGGGGAGGTCATGCTTTCTGGATGGTGTTGATGCTAGTAGATGTTCTCTGGTGTCTGGGCATTGAAGAGTTAGATATTTATTTCAGTCTTCACTGTCCGGGCTTATTTGTAGGCAACCTTCTTGGTAAGGCTTTCTAGTTATTTGAAAATACTGGAGTATTGCGATCTAAGCTTTATCTGTTATAGGGGGCATCCCAAGCCCCCTATAATCTGCAAGAACACTGTGGTTCTTGCAGATTCATAGAGGTACAGCCTTGATGATCTTAGACATGATCTATAAGAATTCTCTGGATTACCAGGCAGAGACTCTTGTTCTCTTCCTTTACTTTCTCCTAAACATACAGAATCTCACTGTTTGTTCTGAGCCAAGTAAAGCTGGAGGATGAAGTGACACAAACACCTCTGTGGCCACCACTAATATGACTATGCTGAGTCAGATCTGAAGCCAGCACAGAACTAGGTCTCGCCCAAGACCTGCTTTAACCACTACCTGGTTACTCTCTGTGTTCACCTAAGGTCCTGGGGACTCTACAGTCAGCAGGTGGCAAAGGCAGCCAGGCCCATGTCTTTCCTTTCAGGGTGGTGAGGTCACCCAGGCCCCAGGTGGCTCTAGAAGTGCTATCCAGGAGTCAGGGACTACAGTCATAGACCTTAGAAGTCTACCTGGTGTTCTATTGCCTTGTGGCTGAGATGGCACTCAAATCATAAGATGTAGCCCTCGGCACTTTTCCCTCCTCTCTCCAAAGGCAGAGGAACCTCACTCTGTAGCTGCCACCACCCCAGGCCACAGGAAGTACTGTCAGACTACTGCTGATGTTCACTTAAGGCCCAAGGTCTCTTAAGTCAGATTCTTCTGAATGCTGCCTGGCCCAGGACTCACCCTTCAGTGCAGTGGACTCCCCTCTGGCCCAAGGCAGGTCCAGGGATGCCATCTAAGAGTCAAGTCCTAGAATCAGGGACTCCAAAAGCCTGCTTGGTGCTCTACTCCTCTGTGGCTGTGCTGGTACCTAAGATGTAAGAAAAAGACCCTTTTACTTTTCCATATGCTTTTCTCAAGCAAAAGGAGTTTGGCCCCATAGCCACCACAGCTGGTAATGTGCTGAGTCTCTCCTGAAGCCAGCGAGTCTCAGAGGCTCACCCAAGTCCCTCAATGTAGAACCTGGGTATCGCTGCTGGTTATTTAGGGCCCAAGGGCCCTTCAGTTAGCAGGTGATGAATGCTGCCAGGACTAGGTCCTTCCCTTCAAGGCAGTGGGTTCTCCTCTTGCCCAGGGTGTGTCTAGAAATGCCATCTGGAAGCTAGGGCATGGAATGGGGGACTCACGATTCTGACTGGCGCCCTATCCTACTGTGGCTGAGCTGGTATCTTAGACGCAAGACAAATTCCTCCGCACTCTCCCTCTCCTCTCTTCAAGCAGAAGGAAGAGGTTTCCTTTGAAGCCTCAAGCTGTGCAGCCTGGGTTTGGATCAGGGGGTGGTGTGATGCCGACACTCCTTTGGCTGTCCCAGCTGGTGTCTTAACACGTTGTATGCACCCTCAGTCCACTGTCTCGGCCCAGTTCACCACTAGGTCTTGCCTAAGAGTTGCAGTCCTTATGGACTCGATTGCCTTTCAACTTTATGTGGAGACACAGGCTGCTGTAGCCGTCAGTGGCAAGATTTGCAGGCACTCAAGTTTGGACAAGTGGGATCAGTGATCCCCTTCTGGCTAGAGCTGGTTTAAATTCTCCCTCCATGAGTGGCTGACAGCAGAGTTTGGTCCATTTTTTCTTTCTATTCTAACAGGACAGAACTGGGTTTAATGCCTCACAATTGCTGTGTTTTCCCTCCCCCAGTGCCCTGAGATACTCTGCACACCAACCTGCTGCTACTGGGGATGCAAGAAGGGTGGGGTCAGTAATTCAATACTGTTTTTTTCTATCTCTTCAGTGCCCCTTTTAGCAATATGAGGCTAAAACCAGGCACTGTCAGTGCTCACCTGATTCTTGGTTCTTATGAGGTGTTCTTTTCTGTGTAGATAGTAGTTAACTTGGTATCCCTCCGGGGGGATGATTGATAGAGCTTTCTATGCTGCCATCTTGCTCTGCCTCGGTAAGGTGTTTTTTATCCAGCTTCTTTATGAGAATTTTTCTTTATCTTGGATTTTCTGTAGTTTGAAAATGATCCATCTAAGTAGTTTTTTGGGACATTTTTCTGGCTTGTTGTTCTCTGAGTTTCCTAGATCTGTGGTTTGGTGTCTGACATTAATTTGGGGGAAATTCTCAGTCACTGTTTCTCAAGATATGTCTCTATTCCTTTGTCTTTCTTTTCCTTCTGATCTTCCCATTGCAGATATATACACCTTTGGTAGCTGTCCCACAGTGCTTGGATGTTCTAGGGCTGTTTTTCAGTCTCTGTTCTCTTTACTTTTCCATTTTGAAGGTTTCTATGGATATTCTCAAGCTCAGAGATTCTTTCCTCAGCTGTGTCCAGTCTAGTAATAAGCCTATCAAAAGCATTCTTCATTCCTATTACAGTGTTATAGTTGGTTTTTAATCTCTAGCATTTCTTTTTTTCTCATAGAAGTTCCATTCTCTGCTTGTATTGCCCAGCTGTTCTCGCATGCTATCTACTTAGCCATTAGAACCCTTAGCACATTGATCAAAGCTGTTTTAAATTCTAGGTATGATAATTCCAACATCCCTGCCATGTCTGGCTCTGTGCTTGCTCTGTCTCTTCAAATTGTGTTTTTTGCCTTTTAGTATGCCTTGTAAATTTTTTTTTAAACCAGACATGATGTACTGGGTAAAGGAACATTAAAGTTTGGAGGAGAGGAAGCATTTATGTCTGGCTCTGTGCTTGCTATGTATCTTCAAATTGTGTTTTTTTGCCTTTTAGTATGCCTTCTAATTTTTTTTCAAGCCAAACATGATGTACTGGGTGAGGGACATTAAAGTTTGGGAGAGGGGAAGGATTCTATAGTGCCGTGATTAGGTCCCAGGTTTTTGGTGAACCTGTGCCTCTGGACTTTGAATTTCACAAATATTTCTTTCTGTTTGTTTGTTTTTCTAATTTTATTTTCTCCCTCCTTAGATAGGACAAGATATCCAGAGTTGGCTACAACTGATATTTTCCTTTTCCCAGGTCAATTAGGATCTAGTAAAACCCCAGCAGTTTAAGCTCTGGTTAAATAGTTCCTCTCTGGTGTATTTCAAAATAGTTATTTTTTCCCTTTCCCTGTTGGAAACATGAGGGGAATTTTCCCTGATATATTATTGTGGGAACTTGGTTGTGCTCCTGGAGGTAGGGGTCACAAAAGCGTGCACCCCACCCCAAAACGGGGTCCCCCTGGAGTTTTTAACTCAGACTTGTCCACATTGAGTCCCCAAGAAACAATTCGTCAATTACAGTTAAGCCTTTCCTACCCCAGTACTGTTTCCCAAGGAGGTTTCTGCTCCAGCACGTTGTGATTCTCTTCACCTGCCTGCATGTTTCTCCAATTGGGAGAGCAGGAGTTTGCCCTCTGAGCTCACTTCTCTTAAGACCTAAGAAGATACATGATTTTTCAGTTTGTTCAGCTTTTTACTTGTTAGGATACAGTGGCCACTTCCAAGCTCCTTGCATGTGGTATGGAAAAATCAAATTCAATATATGTCTTTTTAATATTTAATACTAAAAAATGACAAAATGGGACATACTCCAAAGCACTTCTACATATTAAATACAACGTGTGGCCGGGCGCGGTGGTTCACGCCTGCAATCCCAACACTTTGGGAGGCTGAGGTGGACTGATCACAAGGCCAAGAAATCGAGACCATCCTGGCCAACATGGTGAAACCCCGTCTCTACTAAAATACAAAAATTAGCTGGTGGTACCTGCCTGTAGTCCCAGCTACTCGGGAGGCTGAGGCAGGAGAATCGCTTGAACCCTGGAGGTGGAGGTTGCAGTGAGCCGAGATCACACCACTACACTCCAGCCTGTTGACAGAGCGAGACCCTGTCTTAAAAAAAAAAAAAAAAAAAAATTGAGGTCCCAATCCAAACTCCAAGAGAGGGTAGTTTATTGAAAGCTATTCCATTACATAGTAGCACATCCTCAGGAAACAAGTGAAGGAATGCACTGTCTTTGCTTTACGTTTTTTGTACATAGGGGTCTTGTCTATATAAAGACTAAACTAGGCTGTGAGATTAAACTACATGTGGGTGGGCTGACAGCATGACAAAATTTGTTATTCTATTGATTTAAAGAAAACTATCCTTGACATTTTATCATGTAAGTACATCAAAGCATAACTGTAATTTTCTTGAAAGCATATATTGTTATGTGTATTGGGATATCTGGACTTTCCTTTGTTGCAGGAGTTTGTTTTTGCAAGCATTACAAAGCTGATCCTTTAGCTGTAAACATCTTGGATCCATGGGTCATGACTGGCAGGAATGTACCTTGTCAGTTTTAAGATGGACTTGATTTTCAAATAGCGTTACTGTGGCTTTCCTAGCTTCCTGCTTCCCTAACATTTTGTTGTTATTGTTATTGTTTGCTTTTAAGGAAAATCACTTGTGGAACTGTTTGATTCGCAAGCTGAATTAACCATTTTTTAAATGGAACATCAGTTTTTCATAAACAAAAGATAGAAAAACTACTGGTAATTCACCATGGATATTTGGCAGATACTTTCTTGATGATAAAATAAGTGAGCCTGTAGTTTTCAAGGACAACTAATAGTGCAATAATTTTGCTCCTGAAAAAACATAAGTTTGCAAACCTTGTTTCTTGATCTTGACAGCTTCTCAATTTTTAAAAAGTTTTTGATGAGACTGGTGTTGATATTAAGAAATATAAGTGTTTGATATTGTATACTCAAATGTGTTAATATTTGGATGATCTATATAACTTAGTAACACAATATTTTTTCAAACAACCAACACATAATGTTTCAAAACCATGCATGTGTAAAACAACCATTGAAAGTGCAAGATAAAATAATAGATTTTAATAGTATAGAATATGAATATTACATTGATTTTTTAAAAAATTCTACATTGCAACTAATTTTTAAGAAACCATGACTTATAAAGTTTTAGTATATTATTTAAAAATCATATCTGAAATTATCTTCTAAGCCTATTAAAATGGTTTGTCTTGTCCAAACTACATTTAGGTGTGAGGCTAGATTTTCTTCATATATTTTAACTAAAATAATATATTTTAACTGGTTATACACAGAAACATATATGAAAATATAGCTGATTTATTTATTTATTTATTTGAGACAGAATCTTGCTCTGTCACCCAGACTGGAGTGGAGTGATGCCATTTTGGCTCACTACAACCTCCGCCTTCCAGGCCCAAGGGATTCTCTTGCCTCAGCCTCCCGAGTAGCTGGGATTACAGGCAGCTGCCACTGTGCCCGGCTGATTTATGTATTTTTAGTAGAGACAGGGTTTCTCCATGTTGGCCAGTCTGGTCTCAAACTCCTGGCCTCAAGTGGTCCACCTGCCTCGGCATCCCAAGTGCTGGGGTTACAGGTGTGAGCCACCACGCCTGGCCCTAGCTGATTTCTACTCGTTTAAACACTATGTAATTTTTTAAAATAGAAAGCAATATAACTGTTCTTACTAATTTTTGTTTGTTTTGGAAAACAGTTACTTTCATAAGAATAAATTATTTATGTTAACATTAATGTGTTTATTTTTACTTTTAGATGAATTAATAACTAAATAAATATAAAACTTCTTAGTTTAATTTCTATTATGATAAATATCAACAGATAAAACCTACCTAAACAAAAGTTCTCTGGAGTTGTCAATAATTCTTAAGAATGTACAGTGTCCTAAGACCAAAAATTTGAGAACTGCTATATTAACATATTAAAGACCATGGGGAGTCCAGTGGTATAGAGACTGGCTTAACTTTGGTAAAGCCCAGTCTTTTTCAAATATATTTGATCAAACTTTACTTTCACATGCAGTGTCCTTATCTCTAGAAATATGTATTCTGTAAGGCAGAGTTGGGAAAATTCTTGCACAGAGAATGATCTTACCTCTTGTAATTCTTAAATTACTAAATCTTCAAATCCCTAGATCTTGAAAAAAAGTCATCCCATTCAGTTTTATCATTTCCCCCAGTGTTCCTGAATGTTTTAGCCAAAATTGTCTTTGTGATGAATACTATCTTTTGTCCACATATGTAGGAAAGAAATTAACCTTGCCCAAAGAAAGGTCTGACCTTTACTCTTGGCTCCTGAGAAGTAACCTCTAAGTCCTTGAAATGTCCTACCTGATGGAAATATCTTTGTTTCCTTGTAGGTCTTGGGACACACTAGATTGTTTAACCGTGTGATTTCAAATGAGGCTGGCCATACCCCATAGTCTTAGGAAGGGAGCTAGCCAAATGAGAAACTCAAAAAATATGATTTATGGTGAGGACTTTGGGTCCCACCCAGAGAGGCTGGAAACTAGACACTAGGAACAGCCATTTGAGTTAACAATGATGCCTACATAATGGAACCCAAATAAAACCTGTAGTGATGGGGCTCAGGTGAGCTTCTCTGGTTGGCAATCCTGTGTGCATGCTGTCACACGTCAATACCAGGAGAGTAATACTGTCCTGACTCCACAGAGATAGGGCAATGAGGACACTTCACATTAGGTGCTTCCCTAGACTTTGCCCTGTGTGCTTCCTCCTTTGTCTAATTTTAACTTTTATTGGTTTCAGTGTAATAAATCTTTGCAAGAAGTACAACAGTTCTCGGTGATTTCTGTGAGTTTTCTAGTTAGTGTATGATCAAACATGAGCATGCTTTATGGGGAGCCCCCAAATTGCAATTTGTGTGAGAAATAAAAGGGAAATTGTGTGGACTGCTCCCTTTAACTTTGCAGTTGGCTAAACTCTTCATACCACCTACACTTATCCCTCAACTTCATTACAAAGTAAAAAATAATAAAATAAATCAAAACAAAACTATTTTGTTCAGGTAGCCATGGAAATCTCTTGATCTTGGAGAAGGCCGGTATCTACTTCAGTGGCTGCCGAGAGTATCTGGACTAAACGTGGGTAATTTATTTTCCCTTGGCGAGTGATAGGTCTCATGGTAGCCATGGGGCCTAGATATGGTTGACGAGGGATAAGGGAATTCTCCTAAATGGAGCTTAACGAAAAGCCTTTATTCTGTTCTGTCTGGAATGTAGACATATTATCTGGAGTTGTAGTAGCCTTCCTGCAACCTCTGGGCAATAAGCATAGAGATAAAAGCTAACATAAGAATAACCCAGCAGAGATATAAAAGCAGACTTATAAACAGTCACATAAGAAGGATGAATGGATAGAAAAAAATTGTTTGAATTGGAGATTAGCATGCATTGTAAATGTTCTTACAACCTACTTCAATAAACACACCTTTTTCTTTTGTTATGGAATGTTGTGTCTCCTACATTTTTAAAATAAAAATATTAGCTTCAAAAAAATGTGAGGTGAAAACAGTATTTATATCAGTATTTGGCCTACCAAAATACCATTGTACATCTACTATCATATCAAAAATACAGTGCCAGAAATGTAAAACAATATTAATCAATGAAGAGAAAATGTGAGGTCTTAGCAAACAAGCTATAAGAGAACAGAAAAGGAGCAACATATTATTAGTATCAAAGAATAATTTATGTCTTTTTTCTAAGTTAGTAAACTGCAAAATTAATCTACAAATGAAACTTTACTGGAGAGACTACTCAAGTGTATTCAGATTTACTTGAGTATCTCTTAATCTTAAGCATAGTTTCTTCGAGTTTACACTGTTCTTTTCTCTCTCCCAAATTGCACCTCATTTAACTCCCACTTAAACCAGCTATTCCCAAAATAATTGTTTTCCTTCACTTACATACTCTTAAAAATCTTCTAACTGAATTTCATATCTCCAGAACTAAACACTTTAACATTACGAATATTTTGGTTCCAAAGGGGGGAAATACGATGAAAATGAATTTACCCGAACTTCAGACTTAAACATCTCACCCTTACCAGTCAGTATCAATAAACATTTATTGAGTAGCTACAGTGGCCAAGTCACTATGGCATACAGAAATGAAGAGTCAATGCACATAGCAGTGAGGAGATACATGCCAAACGAAAAATCTGGAACATAAGTGACAAAAGCTATGTTTCTGATTTAAAACAATTTGCACATCTCTACCTATCCTTCACATTAATTTATAAGCATAGACAGATAGATACAGTATGTAATATTGTTTTATGTTACACCAGCAAGAAAATTAGTGCCATTAAAGAGATGGAAAAAGAGATATTTTTAAGCTGCAAAATAGTAGGAGAGAAGAAGGATAGAGTGTATGTGGCCAGGGAGAATGTCGTCATCCAAGCAGGAAATTTTATTAATTCTGAGCAGAAACCATGAGCTTATGAGTTGGACCCATATGGAATGTAACTATGTCCTGGGGCAGCAAGAAAGAGCCAGAGGGTAACTTCAAGCCTTGGCCTAAGGAATAACATGGTTCAAAATGAGGAAGTCAAAATCAGTCTCGGGTGCAGGAGGCAACCACAGGCACTCAGCAAATGCAAATATGGAGGTAGAGCTGGGAGCAGAGGGTGAGGAGGAGAAAAGTTTCACCTCTAACATGACTCCCAGAGGCCTGTCAGAGTCAAGGTCCTGCATTCTTAGATGCAAGCTGAATGCTGAATGTGTGGGAAGCACAGAAGGGAGTGGGTAGGGAGGATGTTGAGTGGTGGAACTACAGATAATACAGAGCCCAGAAACAGCCCTGGGCTACCGCAGGAGTAATAGAAGTAAGTGGGATCAGCAGGTGACGTCATCCACCTGCACAGCTAGGTTCCCGCCCAGACTAATGATGGGGCTGAGGCAGTGCGCATTCCATCTGTTACACAGGTGGACAATTCCTAAGTCAACAGATGATAAGAAAAAGCACCTATAATACAATTTTCATTTGATAACTGAGAATAAGCTACAAGGTAAATTTGAACTGGGAAAACCCATGCATGTGTTGGTGGGACAAACTATTTCTTAAATTGGATTTGAATATTTGAAGCAGACATACCATCCCTATTTGTAACTTTTACCAAAGTTCATGGTAATACAGTAGAAAGATGGACACAGTGACAGTTACTAGTTTATCACCTTACAGGAAGTTACTAGTCTATCACCTTACAGGAACTTCTTTAAATTAAATATATTTTTACGTAAATTAAATATGCAATGCACAGGCAATATATTTCTATCTCTTTTCTTCCTGAACTAGGCTGCATTGGTCAGGGAAACTAAATTTGGAAACTAGAACACTGGCCTGACTGGCTCCGAACTGTCTCAGTTCCCTATGCGTGATCTGGTGGAGCCTCCAGAATTGGAAGACTTGGACTCTCTACTCACTCTGCCTCATCAAGCGATGTGGCTTTGGGTGACTCTTGGCCCATTCCTGAGATTCTACTTATGCTTTGAGAAATGGAATGGCTGTTGACAAAATCCCATCTCCCTACAAGAATAAATGCTAACCTGCTACGAAAATTCTCAAGAACTCTGTAAATATAGCCAATATTCTTAATAGTGGTCAAGGAGATATAGACATCTGTCTTAAGGTTTTGGGGCTCATGCACAATTCTGAAAGCCATATGTATTTGAGATTGTCCTAAGCTCTAGTGTCTCCATTCTTGCAATTTGCCTGCCATCCAAGTACACCCTCTAAGAAAAATAACTCTATATCACCTGACTTCACAATGAACAGAAAAAGAGAGAAATATGCTGCTGAAGCCAATTACTGAATAGCAGAATTAAGTCCAAGAGGATGCCACATTGAGCTGGAATAGAATGTCCAAATTTGAAGGTCCAAAAAGAGGTTAGAAAATCGGGAAACCATAAGGGCACGGAAGAAGATTGTAAAGGCTGAAATGAGAGAAGATGGTCTTGATGAAGAATGGCTGAATTTTTACATCATTCCACCACAGACTTAAAACAGTTGAGGTACATTTGCAAATTCTGTCTTAGCTTAGTCTCAGGACATGAGCTCTATATTATAATTATTTCTGTTCTATCAGGATTTAACAATCCGTGTTTAAGTTCTCAAGAAAAACAATGTATCTAAGGATTGTTAGGAAAATGTACTGTATAAAGACATATGTTTTTCTTTTTTTTTTCTTTTTTTTTTTTTTTTTGTAGAAATATGGTATCACTATGTTGCCCAGGCTGGTCTGGAAGTCCTGGACTCAAGTGATGCTCCTGCCTTGGCCTCCTAAGATGCTGAGGATATAGGCATGAGCCACAATTCCCAACCAAAAGACACATTTTATAAGAAGAAGATATGCATAGTTTCTGAATAAGAAGCATGGTCTTGGCCGGGCGTGGTGGCTCACGCCTGCAATCCCAGCACTTTGGGAGGCTAAGACAGGGGGATCACCTGAGGTCAGGAGTTTGAGACCAGCCTGACCAACGTGGAGAAACCCTGTCTCTACTAAAAATACAAAATTAGCTGGGCATGGTGGCGCTTGCCTGTAATCCCAGCTACTCGGGAGGCTGAGGCAGGAGAATCGCTTGAACCCAGGAGGTGGAGGTTGCGGTGAGCAGAGATTGCACCACTGCACTCCAGCCTGGATGACAGAGCAAAACTCCGTCTCAAAAAACAAACAAACAAACAAACAAACAAACATGGTGTTCAAGGGATCTGACCCTTCAAATGCTGGAGCAGAAGCGCAGCCAGAGGCACAGGAGGAGCAGAATGGGATGAGGAGAGTGGATGAAAGAACAGCTCTGTGCTCTAGATCGGATTAAAGCCTTTGAATTTGGAGCTCTTGGCCAACTGTCCCCATCCAACCCTCACTACCAAAAATCTAATTATAATGCCAGGGACATATTTAGGTAAAGAGGAGAAGGGAACCATGCCCATCTATGATTCAAGTATGTTTCCTTAAATCTGGGGTACAAAGTCACACTTCTGGTTTCAACTCAAGTTAATACATCTTATTACAAGGCCAGTCTCCAGGCTGCCCATGAGAAACTCAGGAGGAGCTTATCAAATACAGAAGTTCATAGGAATACTCTACCCCACCCCTACTGAATCTGGACCTCCACTGATAAATCTGTAAATCAATTGAGATACCACTGAATGAAAGTAAAAGAAGACCAATTGCAGAATAGTTTATATAAGAAGGTGATTTACAGCCAGGCACGTTGGCTCAAGCCTGTAATCCCAGCACTTTGGGAGACCGAGGCAGGTGGATCACCTGAGGTTAGGAGTTTAAGACCATCTTGGCCAACATGGTGAAACCTCGTCTCTACTAAAAATACAAAAAAAAATTAGCCGGGCATGGTGGTGGTTTCCTGTAATCCCAGCTACTCGGGAGGCTGAGGCAGGAGAACCACGAGAACCAGTTGAACCCAGGAGCAGGAGGTTGCAGTGAGCCAAGACCACGCCACTGCACTCCAGCCTGGGCAACAAAAGCAAAACTCCATCTAAAAAAAAAAAGAGAAGGGGGAGGGGGAGGGGGAGGGGGAGGGGGAGGGGGAGGGGGGAGGGGGAGGAGGAGGAGGAGGAGGAGGAGGAGGAGGAGGAGGAGAAGGAGAAGGAGAAGGAGAAGGAGAAGAAGAAGAAGAAGAAGAAGAAGAAGAAGAAGAAGAAGAAGAAGAAGAAGAAGAAGGTGATTTACTATCACAGGACATATCCAGAAAAGCATTTCTGCAGAAGCAACCAATCAGAGGTATTTTCAATTTTCCAGCTGCCATGCAGAAAAAGTTGGGGTGGGGCTGGAGGGGGTGGTGTGGTTTGCAAAGGGAGTAGCTTCCCCCTTGTCACTTAGGTGTGGAAAGCTGAGGTTCCCCTTTAGATTCAGTTCCTGGAAGTCAGTGTGAATCGGCCTTAGGTTCCCTGCCTCCACACCCTATTCTCCTGCCTCAAAAGGAAGTTTTTTTCTCCCCTACATCTCCCAGCGCCTCCACACTATCAGGAATATACGAACTTGTTGTCTGCCAGTGTCCAGAATTTAATATATAAGGAACAGACATTATGAGTGCTGGGCTGCTTAAAGAACAAAAAGACAGCACCAAGTTAAATAACCCAAAGATCATACCTGGAGGAATAAAAGGGAAGTGGTTGTGGTTATCAGATCTTGGGAGCAAAGAGGAGGAACTTCGTGGTGCTTGGGCTCAGACCTCCAATGAGGAAACATTTCTAGGCTGCTACTCAAACTTCTGAAAGGACACAATTAGGCTGTTCTGTGAGTCGAGAATGAACGAGGGGCAGGAAACAGCTGCCATAGTTGGAACGATGCTGAAAGGGACAGGAAGCAAACAGGCAAGACTGGGTGGTGCCTTCCTCCTCCTTTAGCCTCACTCTCTATCGCCCGCTATTTGCAGAGCCTATAACATGGGCAGCTGGCAAAGCAGAAGTGTGGTTTCAGAGTCTCCCTCTCAATACCACAAAAGGTGTGTTGGAAGCTGGGAACCAATACGCGTATGACTGGCATTGCATTCGCCTCTTTCTCCTCAGCCTCCAATTAAAAAGTGCCTAGGGAAATGATGATTTTAGTTAGCATTTACTCAAGAAGCATCGGGGGAAAGTAATTTATATACGCTCTCCTCTGACCATATTTAGCACTGATTGTTTCAAAAACTAGAGGAAAAGCTAATACAAACACCACTTTAAGAAAAAAACTGTGTTGGTTTAATGATTATTCTCATGCAGTCAGTTCTAAATTATTATCTCTTCATTGACTCAGAAACACAGTATATTCATTTCAGATCTTTATGATATTAGTTTATAGATCACTAGAAAAAACAAACAAACATAGAAAGATCACAGTGTATCTACCCTTTTCCCTGTATGTCTCACACCAGCCTGTAACCAGAAGCTAAAAAATTCTAACCTGAAACATAAGAAAATAGAATAAGGACACATCATATTTCAGAGAATTCTAGTAATAAGTATATTTATCAAAAATTTTAACCACTGTTTCTATGTGAGCGCTCGAAATCTTTTTGTCAATGAGAAAATAAGTACTTTCTAATAAGTAAAAATATCGACAAGAGCTCTTGTCCCATTAGGCTGTTAAAAATACACTTGGAAATAAGTGAAGAAATTTGTTGCTAAAGTATATAATCTTTATTGGCAATAACTAAAAGATTGGTTATGTTTTGTCAGCAATTGAGACAAAATTTGAGTCTGAAGTCAATAGAGGATTTCATTTTCCAACTCTACTGCTTACTTATCAGCTTTCATAGAGGAAATTTGCAAAATAATACTGAATACATTGCTGCACATCAGGTTCTTTGTGATTGGATGCTTACTCTCCTCTTTTAAGTATCCATAAAGATCACCTTTCAAAGGGTGTACAATAGAAGCGAGATGCAAATAACTAAAAGAGGAAATAACTGGACTGTGTCTTTTTACCCTATGAATTAATTTCCGACTCATATTTATCACAATGCTATGAAAGAAAAGGAACCCTAAATATTGGTAGAAAAAGAGAGAAAAAAAAAAACTAATTTATCCGCCTCTTTAGCACTGTTGAGGCAGGCATTCATTTTTCTGAAGTATTAAACTAAAAGAAGAAAAGATGTTTATTTGTAACCCACCCATTCCC
Organism: Homo sapiens; assembly: GCF_000001405.40. Classification (NCBI taxonomy): domain Eukaryota; kingdom Metazoa; phylum Chordata; class Mammalia; order Primates; family Hominidae; genus Homo; species Homo sapiens. The sequence continues at coordinate 97,685,823 of NC_000015.10, forward strand.
ATCCCCAGATTCAGATTCCACTACACCACAAAAACTCTTAACATGATTTGGGAGATTCCCTCATTTCATACACACACACACACACACACAAACGCACACACACACACAGAGCAGAGGCAAATTATATCGCGCTGGAGGTGATTCCCTGCCCTCCAGGGCTGGATGGTAAAGAAGTTTTATTTTATTTTATTTATTTTATTTTGAAACAGGGTCTTGCTCTGTCACTCAGGCTTGGTTTGCAGTGGTGCAATCGTGGCTCACTGCAGCCTCAACATCCTGGGCTCAAGTGATTCTCTCACCTCTTCCTCCCAAGTAGCTGGGACTACAGGCATACATCACCACATCCAGCTAACTTTTAAATTTTTTGTAGAGACTTGGTCTCACAATGTTGCCCCAGCTGGTCTCAAACTCCTGAGCTCAGGTGATCCTCCCACCTTGGCCTCCCAAATTGCTGGGATTACACACCTGACCAGTAAGTTTTATCCACGAACACCCTGAAGAAGCAGTTGAAATGAAGATGCTCTTTGCCAACAGAATGGGGTTTGATAATTGGGTCTGACTCAATCTTTCTCATGTAGAACATGAGGTCTTTCTTCACTCTTGGAATATGTAAAGTGTGTTGTATGTGACGGGGAAGTTAGTTCCTTCCTCTATCCCGATGATAACTCAATTAAAACTCTCTGATGAATCAACAAATGCCAAGTAAGCAAAATAGAAGTCTATCCTGGAGATAAAACAGGGAAGCATGTTGTCTAGTGAAAATGTCATCCATTATTTATTACAAAAGAGATGGAAGTCAAAGAAACCTTAGACCTATGAAAGGTAAAGGTAGTTTTCTTGTGGGTCTTTCTTCTGTACTATTTTAATTCTCTCTATATATTTTTCTAGCCCTCATTCTTGAAAAGAGTCATTCTAGGAACATAAAATTAGGTTGAAAAGGAAGAACAATATACTCTTTTTCCCAAAGTTCATTTGCAGTTCATTTCTAGCAAGTCCAAATAGATAAGATTCTTTGAGGTCTGCATGAAGACTATTTCTTTTATGTTAGCGATGCTGGGGCATGTTATTGGGCTGTGTGGACCTGTTTTTCCAAGGGCTTCTACCACCAGAGCTATCTGAAACCATCAGACTCCTTTCTTGCCTTCATGAGATAACTCATTGTTATGAACCTGCCGTCAAGGTCATTCTGGTTTCAGGGGCAAAAGGTAAATGGACTGTTAGTGCATGGAGGGAGAATGAAGCATAAAGTTCAGTTCCAATGATCATATATCCAATCCAGAGTCCAGGAGGGAGCAGTCATTCTCAGATATGGGCTACACAGTCCAGGGTGCAATCTATTTTAAATATTTAAATATATGGTATGTGATCCTCCGTCTGTGCTCTTTCCCTGGGCCTCCCAAATGTTACCGGTGGGTTTGGGAAAGTGCTTCATAATTTTTAGTTGGACTGACGGTAATTGACTCTGGATCACAATTAGTCATAGTCTCCAAATTGCTTGTAAATCCATAATTTAAAAGCATATGTTTTTAGTAATTGTCTAAGCTATATATGCAAATAATATATCAGTGTTTAGATGGAAAACACATCTAAATGGTTGAGGCAGGCAATGTCAATATTACTTATCTCCAGTTGACTGTTTTCAATTCAACCCAAACTTGGTGAGATACATTTTAGCCAGGATTGTGTGATATAATGATGATGGTGGTGGTGGTGGTGATGATGATGATGATGATGATTTTAAAACTGCTAATATTTACTAAGAATTTATTAGGCTGTAATTCTACGGACCATATGCATGGTAACAATACCTATAACCACTCTCTAACATTGATACTATTTATCTCTATTTTATAAAAGATGAAACATAAGCACAGAAAGGTAAAGTAACTCACCCAATGGCACACAGTTAGGAATTGCAGAGCAAGCCATCAACTGCAGGCAGTTTTACTTCAGAACATGGACTCTTAAATACTATGCTGTCAAGTAACTCCCCAAGGAACACTCCATTTAGAAGCATCTGATGAATTTTGAAATGTGACTCCTGACTACATCACCCTAAGCTCAGTGGGGACATATGGTCACACTAGAAAATAAATTTCAGAGACCTAAGTCCTAGCAGTGACTATCTAGATAATGTTTGAAAACATTTATCTAATGATGAAGTCATTCTATCATGATTGGGTCAGGAATTTTATCCCATGAGGAAGAAAATTTAAGGAAATAGGGGATATTATATAATCAGTGCGGTAAATAAAAATAAAGAACTTACTGGGGATGGGGACCCCAGTTTTATAAAGGTACACAAAGCCATCCAGGCAAAGTCGTTTTTTGTTGTTCTTAACTAGAGGCTGTGAACTAAGCATAACATCAGAATCATTCCATCCCGGTTCTCGTAAACAAGAAGCTGCCACAGAAATAGAAAAGGGGATGGCTGACGGCAAGTAATGACTGAAAAATCAAGCCAACATTGAGAATTAGCTCCCAGTTTTACACTCCCCTTGGCATCTAGAAGAGCAGTGATGAAATTCTAGGGCACTGGTCACACAGTCTCAGGTTTCCACCTGTGTCTGTCACTGCTCGTCTAACATGACCTTGGCAAGTCACTTCAATTCTGTAGCATGGTGAAGATCTTAGTTATGCCTAACTCACTAAGGTTTCATGATTCAATGAGTGAAATAATAAATGAAAAGTGCTGAACACAGAGTCTGGTGCAGAGCAGAAACTCAGGAACCTTAGCCAAAAGCCTTGTAGTGGTTCTTGACTCTTCCCTTTCATACTCTACGTGAGATTCCTCAGACAATCCTTGGGCTCTGCCTTCAACGTGCATCCGGATTCTACCCTCGCTCACTTCCATGGCCACCTGGTCCAAGCCAGAGGCATCTCTTACATGGCTATAGCAATAGCCTTCTAACAGGTCTTATTTCTTCCTCCTGTTTTTTACAAACAATTTTCAGAGCAGTCAACATATTCTGCTAAAATTGTAGTCAGAATATATCACTCTTGTTAAAAGAGAACCTTAGACAAATTAAATTTAAAATAGTTTAATTGAGCAAAGGACAATTCCCAAATTGGGCAGCCCCCAAACCAGAATAAGTTCAGGCAGATCCTGGAGCTGTGCACAGTCAGATAAAATTATGGGCAGAAAAAGGAGAATGACATGCAGAAAACCGAAGTGAGATATAGAAACAGCTGGATTGGTTACAGCTCAGTGTTCGCCTTATTTAAACCCGGTTTGAACAGTTGGCCACCTGTGATTGGCAGAAACTCAGTGATTGACACGAGAGTAGGTTATAGTCTGTTTACACATCCAGTTAGTTTACAGCTCACTATGTAAGAAGAGTCCTTCAGGCTGAACTTGAAATATGTAAGGAGGCAGCTTTAGGATAAGCTTAATTTAACACTCTGCTGCTTGAAACTCTCCAGTAGTTTACCATCTCATCTAGAAAAAACATAAATACTGCAAAGATTTACAGCATCCGTGCCCCCATTCATCACCCCTTTCTCTCCGGTTTTAACTTCGACAGCTCATCCCCTGCCCCTGCCTCCAGCTACCCTGAGTACCTGGTGCTCTCCAACCCACAGAGCACAACTCCTGCCTTGAGAGCTGCTTCTCCCACTGGAAGGCTCTTCCCAGTCCTGTTCACCTGACTCTTGCCCGCTCTTCTCTCAAGTCATTGCTCAGATGTCCACCCCTCAGTGATAATCTGAGGGCTTGACACCCAATCATGGCCACTCCTCCTCCATGTTTATTCTTTTTTCCCCCAGTACTCACCACCATTGGGCATACTATACTATACTATACATATGCATGTGTGTGTGTGTATATATGATGTGTGTGTGTATTTTACTTATTCATTTCTTCTTTGTCTCCCATTTGTCTCCCATCACTAGATTGCAAACTCCATGAAGATGCTGGGGCTCAGGCTGATACCCCACAACTGGGTGCCTTGACATGCTGAACTGAGAAAGAAGCATCAAGTTCTCTCTGACCTTCTCCATCCCCTCTGTCTCTCCCAAAGCACAGGATGAAGTTGCTCTCTGAAGTTTCCTTATCTGCCTGAAGTCCAGATTCACCAAAGAAGGAAATTACCTTTGGCCCCTTTTTGGAATTTTCATTAACTGAACTCATATCTCAGGAAGAAAGACTGCAGTCGGTCAACACACCAGGACAGAGTTTTGTCACAAGCATTGTCTGCTGCATGGGCCAAACAGACTTTGTCCCTGGCCATTGTATGTGTTTCAAGCCCATTGACTTCCCATATAAATTGTTTACTATCCCTCTAAAATCATCCACACTTCCCCACCTCCCTTCCCTTTAAGAAAAAGGGTATGTAACCATCTGTACCCCATTGCATGGTGGGATAATCACTCTTTGATTCCCCACCCCTTCCGTGCATGTTATTAAGTTTGTGTGCCTTTTCTCCTATTAATCTGCCTTTTGTCAGCTGACTTTCAGCAAACCTTCGGAGGGAAAAGGGACATTTTCCCTTGGGCTCTACAAGGACAAGAATTTGTTCACAATGACATCCCCAGTGGCTATACCACAGTACCTAGCACACAGTGGGCACTGAATACATATTTGACAAATAAATGCATTAATAAAAATAAATTAGTAAATATGAGCAATTGTTACTTTGCAATAAATACTATTATTTATGCATGGTGGTAAGTAATTATCTACCCCATAAAGCATGCAGCCAAAGTGGAATAAATATGAAATATGGACAAGAACACAGAACATGCACTAAAGAAGAAGACACGCCCATTGGGCTAAAGAATCCTCTTAAAGGAATATCTGAGGGGGAAGAATGCAAAAAAAACAGAACAAAACAAAACAAAACAACAATAACAACAACAATAACCTATTGTATTAGTCTGTTCTCATGCTGCTAATAAAGACATACCTGAGACAAGTAAGTTATAAAGGAAAAGAGGTTTAATGGACTCACAGGTCCACATGGCTGGAGAGGCCTCACAATCAAGGCAGAAAGTGAAGGGGAAGCAAGACATATCTTACACGGTGGCAGACAAGAGAGAGCTTGTGCAGGGGATCTCCCATTTATAAAACCATCAGATCTCGTGAGACTTATCCACTACCAGGAGAACAGTATGGGGGAAACAGCACCCATGATTCAATTGTCTCCACCAGGCCTTGTCCTTGACACAAGGTGATTATTATAAATCAAGGTGAGATTTGGATGAGGACACAGCCAAACCACATCACCTACTGTTGGTAAAACTAACCTCTACTTTAAAAGTCAACCCAACATAATAACAATTACAATGGGAAGGGTTTGAAAATATATCAGAACATATTTTTCTGTACCTTTGACCACGTTTCTGCAAGTAGCTATTCCGGCAAAAACTGCTATTCTGTTATATTTTCCAGAAGGATTTCACTCCTCCCCTTCACGCCCTAAGCAAAAGTGCCAGAAAACAACAGTCATCACAATGACCTCAACACTGATGAGAAAGATTAGCAACAATCTGAATAACTGTCTCATGTTGCAAGGGTTATTTATTATTCCTTTTTTGTTAGTTATCACATAGAACAGGTTGGCAGAGGTGAACAACAGTGGGGAGAAAGTCAAAACATTCTCCAAAGAAGCAAGTAGAATCAACTCACACTGACACCAGGAAGAAGTCTGCAGGGCCTGTGCAGTGGAGACAAGAGCTTCTATTGCAGGAAAGCCTTCTCCTTATGGAACTCAAGATGAAGTTAGTGATTTATTTGACATGCTGAATTGAAAAAGAAGCATCAAGTTCTCTCTGACCTCTCCATCCCCTCTGTCTCTTCCAAAGCACAGGATGAAGTTATTCTCTGAAGTCTTCTTATCTGTCTGAAGTCCAGACTTACCAATGAAGAAAACACTTATCTCAGAGTAATTGACAATGACTCTAATAGCAGCTAATTTTTTTTGTTCAAATCTAACTCATTATGTAAACTTCCATTTCTCAAAGAACTGAAATCCCCAAGTCTGGACTGCCTCTCTGCCCTCAGGGGTTAGTGACAGGGGCATGCAGACCCACCCTGTGCTTGTACCCCTACCACTCAGGATGAGTCTCTGACACCTCTGGGATGACACATCACCCCTGCCACTCCCTGCCCAGATGCACTGCACCACCTACATGGGTCACCGTCAGGCATAACGATGAGCCATCTGAATAATGACATCAGTTCTGGAATGTAAATAAGACAGCCGCCTATTCCATCCCACAGTGTGGAAGTTGAGTCAACACAGTCCTTTGAAGCTACAGCAGCGTGTGTTTTAATCAATGTCTGTGTCAGAGGTGAGACAGCTACCCTTTACCTGCGAGATGGCCTGTGACCTTTCACCTGTCAACAAGGCTCATTTGCAACAACTAACTCTTAGTCATTACCTGAAAATTCCATGTCATAAATAGAAGGCGCATCCCTGAGAGGTCAGTGGACAGATGGAAGGCAAATCCTGCCCAAACCATGCATGGCACCTTGCAGAAGAGAGGCAGAGCTGCCTGTGCTCCCCCACCCAAGTCAGGTGCTGTTCCCCTTTCTCAAGCAGGCCCCCAATTACTGTGGTTTTTCTGGGCTTCATGGCTAGCCAGCTCACCACGACAGCACAATACCGTGTTCTCACTCTCCACGCAACCAGCTATTTATAACTGCAGGATGCCAGGCTTGCATAGAGCAGTGTGACACTTCCAGAAAGTCGCACTGCTATTTTAGCAATCTCCTAACGAGGAGCACCAACAGACACAGCCTGTCCTCGCCAGGCAGAGGGAGTGAAAGTGTTCTGGAAGAGGAAGACTGCAATTTGTGCTTGTGTGTGTGTTTTATTTTTTAACCTGGGATGCCATTTAGCAATCTTAAAGGGACTGTCCTTCTCAGCCACCTCCCCCAACCCCCCAGCTGTCTTGATTAGTGGCTCTGTGTATGCTGGTCAGATCTGGGGATTAATGATGGCTAATTTGCCCGAGGTTGGTGCAGCCCAGGCAGCAGACGTTGCACAACCAGCTTTTGCTGCCATATGGGCGGAAGCAGCTGTTTCAATTACTTTCTGTGCCCAGATGTGTCAGACGAGCCACCAGTCCTCTGCGGGGTACATCAGCCGCACGGCAGCTAATTGCTTCAATCGCATGTGGAAGCGTGGTGCTGGGTACTGTGAAAGGGGGTTTTGGGGACAGCCAAGTGCCAGCTGTCGTCACGGCTCACAATGCCAGCAAGCTGAGAGGCTGAGACTAGACTTCAGTCTTCACTTGCTGGCCTACCTCGATGATACCTGGTCTGGCTGTGTCTTTGTGAGTTGTACACAATGGCGGCACAGAGACAGGTAACTTAACATGCGCTAGGCTGGGGTGTGTTTACGTCTCTGTGTCAGGAGCAGATGAAATTTGGGGCCCATGCTCTGTGGATACCAAAGACACCAAAATTACATGATTTCAATTAACATGCAGTTCAGGCTGGCCATTTGAATTTAAAGCTTCCAGGCACATTTTTAAAGGTTATAATCCCTCCTCCTGGAGCCCAGACGGTGATCAATGAATCAAAGTGTGTGTTACGTTTTCTTGTGTATCACTGAGCCAAAGGGGGATGGGAATGAAAGGTAGGCTAGCACCCATTCCCCTCTGCACTGTCCTAGGCTCTTTAGAAAAGAATCAGAAACATACCTTAAATATATACAATAAAATTTATTTAAGGAAAAAAAGAAATGGAAACAAATATCATGCAAAGATGTCATCTTTCCATTGTTTGGAGTAGGAGTGGTGATGGGAAAACCTGGGGTAAATAGGAAGCTGTTATCATCATCATAATACATCTATTTAGGAAAAGAACAAACATTTGTTTTGTGCTAATTCTATGGTAATCAGGGTGATTGTACTGTACATAGCTACTGGTTGTTGCCATGGTTATTTCAAGCAGTTTGTGGTTATTAATGGCCTAGAATAATCCACAGTACTCAGTTTGAGACCTTTCATCAGAAACATGAGTACTAATTTCAGTCTCACATCCCAACATTTTTGGAGCCCAAAATAAGTTTCCTTTCTCTTAGCTTTGTATATTATGTGGCATCTAATCTGTGTTATGAAATGGTTTGCTCCCTTTTTCACATTACTTCTCCTCAAAAACACCTTTAAAAAAAAAACACCTTTTGACTACAGATCTATAGTATGATTAACAGAGCTCAGCGTTTTTCTACTGATCTATTGATGAATATGTATTAATGCAACCTAGCCAAAAACTGCATTGAGAGAATGAACATGTAATCTGTGTTCATGGACTCCTCTTTCATAGTCAAACCATGCATGGAGTCTGTGAACTACCCATCTCCGGCCCAGTAAACCAGTGCTTCAACACTGGCCTGCCTGCCTGCCTAATGTTACATCTCGAGTTGAATCTTCCTTGAGTCTGGAAAACAGTTATTCATTTCCCTCCTGAAGCTGGCCACTCCAAGCAAATCACAATATACTAGTTTTGTTGTCGTTGTTGTTATTATTATTATTAATGAATGTGGTAGTGGTGCGTGTCTATGTCTTCAAGAAGATAGTCATCAAGAACTATGTTTCTTAAGAAAAATATCAATAGAATTTTTAGAGACTGAGTACCAATGAGCATTGTTTGAGATATTTGTGATCCTGAGCACCAGACAAATTGGATCAACTCTTCCTAAAATCAGGAAGCTGGCATGAGTTTCATCTATCAATTGAGATATAACAAATGACCCCCAGATTAAGTGGCATAAAACCATAAGGACTTTCTATTTCCCATGCTTTTGCGTTGGCCTGGACAGTTCCGCTATACACACCATTCACAAGGAGGCTGGGTTCAGCGGGCAGCCGGGCTGGGCTGGGCCGGATGTTCTCCAGGCAGGCATCCTGCATCCAGGCCTTGGTGCTCACTGTCAGCGGGAGGCTGGCTCTCCTACCCTTGCCTCTCCCTCTAGGGGCGGGAGGCTGGCTCTCCTACCCTTGCCTCTCCCTCTAGGGGGTATGTCCTCCTGCAGGGCCTCTGGACATGGCCTGTCTCTAGCTGAGGAGCTTGGTCACCCTTGTTGGCAACTGATTCCCAAGACAGCAAAGTCAGAACCTTCCAAACACACGCTCCAGGCCTGTGACAACCCAGTTCTGCTCCAGAAGAGGATCTGCACACACAGAGAGTCCAGGGGAGGACCATGGTGGAAGGTTAGAGGCCCCACGGTGTGAGCTGGAGGGCGTGCAGACATGGAATAAAGAGATTGTATCTGAAACAAGTAAATAAGTTGGAATGCCTTTATATTAATTTCATACAACTTTTTTTAAATGAAAGAAAAACAAAAAAAAAACCTTTTAATTCAATAGTATGGTCCTCTCTTTTATTAAGACACATAGAATATTGAAAAACCAAACAAATTTTCTTCTTTTTAAATCTTTCTTCTCCTGAAAACTACCAAAGTGGTATCGATTAGAATATTTCCCATGTCTTTTATCTGCTATTGAATAACAAGAATTGAAAAGCATAATTTGCTCTAAAAGAGAGGCCCAAAATTGTCATTCATAGGTGACTAGAAAAAGAAATTCTTCTCCAAATGTTCCCATTCATGCCTGTGCTGGGTCTTAGCTGAGCCGAATTTACGTATTGATGCTCCAGTGCCTGCTGATTCCTTGAGGCATTCCAAGATTCTCCTGGGAAAATGCTGCCTCCATCTGACTGTGGACTATCTATAGATTAGTAATCACTCCATTATTAAGCATCCAGGGGAGTTGTAATCCTTTCGGTGAGCTATCCTCTAATAAATGATGCCCTTTGCCAGAGCAGGGAGAGCAAAACTGGCAATGTCACCAAGTTTTGAACTAAATCAGCTTGGTACTTTTAAACGACAGAATAAGAAAATAACACATACACTGTAGTGATGCCTAACCGAGGCTGCACATTAGAATTTCTTGAAAAGCATTAAAAATAATTGCTGGACCGCACCCCAGGCTATTAAATTGGAATCTCTAGGGACATGAGCGCTCAGTATTGATACTGTTTAAAGGCTCTTTGGGTGATTCTAGTACTTTGAAACGAATTTAGAGAAAAAAATACTCAGCTGGCCTATCGTTTTAATTTTGAATGAAATAATAAAATTTATACTAGACAGGTTAGTGTTTAACTCTCAGCATTCTCTTACAATTAACAATGATAAATAACAATGATTGATTGCTGACTCTGTGCTAGGCACTATGCTGACTTCATATATGTATATACTTATAACTATTTAATCAATAAGTCTGAGTTAAATGTTAGGGTAGTCCCATTTTCCAAACGAGCACACTGCCGCCATGAAAGGTTAGGCAGAATGCCCAATGTCACCTAAAAAGTAAACAGAGATTCTCAGATGGGAACACAGAGAATTTACTCCACAGTGCCTGTTTTGTTTTTTGTTTGTTTGTTTGTTTGTTGAGACAGAGTCTCGCTCTGTACCCAGGCTGAAGGGCAGTGGTGCCATCTCGGCTCACTGCAGCCTCCACCTCCCAGGTTCAAGTGATTCTCTGTCTCAGCCTCCTGAGTAGCTGGGATTACAGGCACACACCACCATGCCCAGCTAATTTTTGTAACTCTTTTTAGTAGAAGCAAGGTTTCACCATGTTGGCCAGGCTGGTCTTGAACTCCTGACCTCAAGTGATCTGCCTGCCTCAGACTCCCAAAGTGCTGGGATTACAGGCATAAGCCACCATGCCCGAACACACGGATTTGTAAATTTTTATTTTGAGGAAATTGCAGATTCACTTGCAGCTGTAAGAAATAATACAGAGAGATTTCATGTGCCCTTTATCCAGTTTCTCTCACTGATAACATCTTGCATAATTATAGTAAAAAAATCATAACCAGGAAATTTATACAACAAGTTGACACCAATGAAACCCAGCAAACCATGCTGATATTTCAGCAGAGGTTGTCTGTGAGTTTGGTGCAATATTATCCATGTATAGTCACATACATGTGACCCCAATACAGATACAGAGCAGGTGCATCACATGAATCCTTTATGCTACCCTCTGTAGCGATAATCGCCTTCTCTTTTTCCCTGTGCCTTACACCCTGACAACCACAAGCACTAATCTCATCTCCATCTTTCTAATTTTTCACTGTAAAAGTGTCACACAAACAGAATCATGTGGTACGTAATATCTTGGGACTGGCTGTTTTCACTCCATGCATTTCCGTTGTGATACGTCCAATTCTTTGCACATATCAGTGATGTTTCACATTGGGCAGGTCTATGAAACCTTGCCCGAAAACCTGAGGAAGCTGAAAGGCCAAAGAAAGAGGCTGACACTTCCAGTTTCTTAAAAAGAAACATTTAACAGGGACTCGGGAACAGAAGCCACGTCTATGACTCTGGCAGTGGCAAGACAAGATAGTGCATCCTAACCCCTGCGTCAAACACCCCAGAACCAGGAATCATGTACATGAGGAAGCGTTTTACATGATTCAGAAGGCATGTGCAGGACAGTTGAGGTAGGGTAACATCAAGATTATTTGACATAAGGGTAGGATTTATAGGATTTACAGTAAGTACCCGCTGTTACACAAGGAGCAATAGATAAACTGGAAACTTAGAGGACTTCCTGGAACAAGGATTAATCCGAAGTCAACATGGCAGATTAGAATCCAAGATGGAGTTGCTCTGGACCTCACAAATGGTGTTACATTTTCAATGTTTGATTTCTCTCAAACTCATGTTGAAATCAAATTACCATTGTAGCAGTATTAAGAGGTGGGGTCTTTAAGAGGTGTTTAGGTCAAGAGTGCTCCGCTCTCATAAATAGATTAATGTCATTATCTCGGGAGTGGGTTTATCCCCTCCTTCTCTCTCTCTTAGCCTCTCTTCACCTTTCTGCCATATCATGCCCTCTGCCATGTTACAACTTCGCAAGAAGGCCCTTGCAAGATCCCAGCAGCTTGATCTTGGACTTCCCAGACTCCAGAACTCTGAGAAATAAATTTCTGTTTATTATAAGTTGCCGAGTCTGTGGTGTTCTGTTATAGCGGCACAGCATGAACAAAGACAAGTGGTTTGCTCCTTTTTATTCCTCAGTAGTATTCCATGATATGGATGTGCCAGAGTTTGCTCATTCACCATCAAAAAGGATTGCATTGCTTCCAGGTTTGGGCTATTATAAATAAAGCTGCTATGAACATTCACATACAGGCTTTTGTATGACATAACTTTTAACTACCTGGGATTAACACCCAAAATGCAACTGCTGAGTTGTATGGCAATCACATGTTTAGTTTTGTAAGAAACTACCAAACTTTTTCCAGAATGACTGTACCATTTTACATTTCCACTAGCAATGTGTGAGTGATTAAGTTTCTCTGCATTCAGTCCAGCATTTGATGTTATCATTATTTTGCTGTTTTAGCCATTCTGACAAGTATGTAGTATTAACTTACTGTGGTTTGAATTTGCATTCTCTAATGGCTAATGTTGTTAAATGTATTTTCATGAGTTTATTTGCCATCTGTATATCCCCTTCAATGAATTGTCTGTTCATATCTTTTGTGCATTTCTAATCGGAGGTTTTTTATAGTTGAGTTTGAGACTATATGTTATTTGAAAATATTTTCTCCCAGTCTGTAGCTTGTCTTTTTATCCTTTTCACAGAGCAGAAATTTTTAGTTTTGATGAGTCAAATTTATCAACAAATCAGAATTTTTTCACAGAGGAAAAACTTTTTGTTTTCATGAGTCAAATTTATCAGCATTTCTTTTTATGGAATATTTTTTGGTGTTAATCCTAGGCACAAACCTTAAGGTGTGATTTTGTTCAGACTACTCAAATTCTCTAGACCTCATGTATTTTATCCTTACAGTTTGGGTAATATGAGGTAGGCTACAGGGTAAAAGTGAGGTTAAATGAAATAAATAATATACATAAAGTGTATGGTATGGTTCTTGGCATATTAAATGTGGGGTAAATCATAGCTGTTTTTCTGAGACAGAACTGCCAAAAATATTTTCCTCACCCTATTCATTTTATATTTTTATTCATTCTATTTGTAGCATGATTTTCAATTTACAAAGCTCTTTTATTAATTTAGTAGAGCTTCAGAACAACTTTTAAGTAAATTTTTATTTTATATAGATGAGACCCTCAACACACAGGGAGCTAAAATGATTTGTCCACGTTCACTCAAACAGTAGGTCATGGATGCGTGGCACACACCCAGTGCCTCTGACCCAAAGCTGGCATTATTATTGTTACACACATTCTATGTTTTAACTTGCCTTTTAATTGAATAATTAACCACATTTTAACAGAGTCATTTTCTCAGTAAAGAATAGTCTCAAGTCCAAAGGATAGGTAATGGAATATAATCAATCTCTCTGACTCTTTTCCTCCATCACCAATAAATACTATGATACTATCAAACCCTGCGTTTAACAACTGACATCTTTCAACTCTGGGAGAGATTGCCTGATTCATTTTTTAATATATTTTTTTTAATATCAAGGAAATATTCTATTTACCTGAATAATTTGTGTGGCTTCATTTGAATATTTTCCCATGGATCAAATTACTGTGCCTAGAAGTATATCTACAATACACATACTGTGAATCGACAATGAGAAACTTATTGTTAGAATTGGGGGATATGCAGCCACCAGAAGGAAACAAATAATGTACCTGAAGAAGATGAGGACATAAATTAACTAATTAATTGATTCATTAAATTAACTTAAATATTTCTATTACAGTCCACCCCTTGACTTCCCAGTAGACAAGTGTCCTTCTTCTCATATATATGATTTTATTAGAATGTTATAGATTTCTTTAGTATGACTTCAACATTATATTCAAGAGTATTTATCCTTCAAGTATTGGATTTTTAAAAATTATCATGTATTACCATGAATGTATTTCTTTCCAGCCCTTCCAAATAGGAATAAGCTAATTAATTTATCCAGAGATAATGTCATAGGTCCACTCTTTCCTCTTCAATGTATTTCTGTTCCTTGTAGAGTTGAGAACTACATGTAGCCCCTTATACATCTGAAATATATTATCTAAATTTTAAATTCAGTAAGCCTAAAACATTTGAATAATGGTAGGTGAAAGGCAGAAAAAGCCTCAGTAAAATCCCCATTTGAAAAAGAGAAAAGTAGAAAGATCAAATGGTGTTCAGTGTCCCATTGTGTGTCATTTTCTTCTAATCAGGCATGTAAAGAGAAATGATAGGCTCAAAAAAGCATTCGGGTGTCCATTAGTTTATTCACTTTTTTAAATTTTGAAGTGAATTCACTCCTCAGCCACTCTGGATTACCCATACTTTGCCCCATGTGATATTTTTATATCTGATTCAATACCTTTCATAGATAGGCAACAAAAAGAAAATGAAAAAAATCCTCTAACAATAAGTATACACTTTTAACTTCGCATTTACAGTTAATGTGAGGCCATGTGTCTAGTATAGATTTGAAGGACCCTTTCAGAGTGGTATTCCCAGACAGCCAGCATTTGAATCCATGACATTTAAAAATTATTTAAAAACTAGATTACTGGGCTTTAACACTGACCTACTAAATCTCTAAGTATGGAGCTTAGCAACTGATCTTTTAACACAATTCCTGGTCAATTCTTATACACAGTAACATCTGAGTACTACTACTAAAGGGTTATTCAATCAAAGCCCTTCTTCTGATTAAACCTTAGTCATCTGTGTATCAATCTGAATATGGTATCTTTCTAAGCTTGCCAATAATCAACACTTTATATAAAAATGTATGTAAAATAAACATAAATATATACACGTTTGTATAGGTTTATAATATTTATATATAATTACAAATATATTTAAAAATAAATATACTTATATACATATATATTTGTATATATACTCTAGCCATGGCCTTTGAATCTGGACTTTGCATTTACATTTCAGTTTCTTAGTCCAAGACTTAAGGACTCTGCTTTGGAGTACAAATGAGAAACTATATTTTAGGTTAGCCAGAAGAGAGCTGATGCCAGTCCTCTGGAATCTTTGTCAGAGAGGGGTTTAGCAGGAATAGGCATTTCTACGGGACATGATTGTCTGTGATTCTGATGATTCTTCTGGGATATCCCCATTCAAAATTAAAGGTTTCAGGTTTCCAAATTAGTGCTCTAATATTAGGGTAAGGCAAAAATGTGTTGCTCTATAAAGACCATGAATTACACACAGAAAGTGCTTCACTTCATAGACATCTTATGTAAGATTTTTTTAAAAAGTCAAATACTTGCAAGTAAGGCAAACAGAAAGGATGGAGTAATCTTCATTATTAAGTTATGGCATTCTGCAAGTTTTCCTAAGGATCATTTGACTACTTACTATTGCTTAGGGCCCAAACACTTTACAAACTTCAAGATTGATGTTAGTTTGTAGAAAACTGACGAATTTAAAAACTGTAAAAATTTCGATTACCAGCTGCAAGCAGTTCTCACTTTTTACATATTACCATTCCCCCACCAGAGAAGGATGACCTCTCTCTCAAAGTACCAGTTTAAAAAAAAAACTCCCAGGGAACCCTATATGTGGCCTATGTAAAGATTCCACCCCTGTCTAAATCCCATATAGCAAAGTTCACGGAGTCTCACATGCTCCTACAGTAACTTTCTGATTAGAATGTGGGGACCAGCCATTCACAAGGAAGCCAGGGGCAGGGCAGAAAAAACCAAGAGTTATACACTGCAGGAGGTTTCACTGAGAACAGGATAATATAGGGTCTGGGATATGAAGGGAAGATTAAAGGCATGGTGGGCATTTAGCCATGGGAGTTAATCTGCATAAAAGAAACATCCGCTCTGCAGTGAGTCGTTTGGGGCTCCAGCCTCAGCTTTAACACAGCTGGGGGACCTTGAGGCCATTTCCTTTCTGAACCTCAATTCTCTCATCTGAAAGTGTCAATAATGATGTCTCTCTGGTGATGCTCTTGACAAGATTCATGAGACGATGTGGGTAACACATCAAGGATGTACCTTGCACAGCTCACATCCACTAAATAGAAGTAGTTACTTCATCTGGGAAAGAAAAAGCACTGGGAGGGAGACATGAGGACTGTCTTCCCATTTTTAAAAGCCTGTCATATGCACACAGGTTTCAACTTTTCTGTGTACTCTGGAGCATAGAGCTGCTGTCAAGAAGTTATGAGGCAGTGAGTTTTACTTCAATAAAAGAAAAATACTGGATTGAAAGCATAAATGGACCAGGGAGGACTGGGTACATTTTCTCGAAGAAGTTTCAAGCAAATCTTGGCTTTTTCCTTCCAGGGTGTGATGTGAGTGATTTGAGGTCAGCTTAGAAGGCATCATCACTGCCTTCCACCTCTGGGAGTCTGGGTTGCCATCAGCAGAGACTGAAGGGCATTCCAGACCAAAAGCCAGAACTGCAGCCTCAAAATCCAGGTGATGTGGCACATCCACTTGCATCCTAGTCCACGTGCAGCTGGCCAGGGGAAGTCTAATAACTGCAACTCCATTGCACAATGCTGTTTTAAGTATCAAAATATTATTTTAATTTATATATCAGTTGTGTCCAGAGACTTATATTCTACCTTACCGTTTCAAAAGAAACAAAGGTCTATCGTTCAGAAACAATTATTCAGTATCCTTCCCTGACCGAGATTATTTATCATTCCAAAGCATCATACTTTTGGTTTAAATTCCCATTTCCCAGGTCATTAATAAGATTAAGTATCTTTTGTAATGTTTATTAATGAGAAGTGTTTCCCAGAGAAACACTAGTATTACTCTATCTACTTTTTGTGGGGTGAGCAATAGAAGTGTTAAATGAAAGAGGAGCAGAGTGTGGATGTGGTGGGATCTAGGGTCAGAGACCAACAAAGTGATCAGACAGGCTCCCTGACACCATTTTCAGCTCTTCCAGTACAGCCTAATCCCGTCTTCTTTCTCAACACTCTCCTCCAGCACCATATCTATCCTTATGCAGTCACTCCTAGGAAAACTTTAATTTTACCTCCAGGCTTCTTCATTTATCCTTCTTGGGAGGAGAATTCCAATAGGAAGCACAGGGGAACCTTGGCCCTGGACTTTGACTCTCTATCAGGTGGGAGTATACAACACAATAATGACCCCACCACGCTTTCAATAATATATCACTGTCAATACTAGTATTCCAGCATGGTATTCCAGCATGGTACCTTAGTACTCCATAGCATTAACATGGTCATTTTCTCCTTATTTGTAATCACTACCAGCTGAGTCATTAACCACATCTAGTTTCCATGTCGATATGGGAAGAAGAAACAATTGATATTATATATTTTTCAAATGAACGAAATGTACAGTATTTCTAAGACTATTCTGTTCCAAATGAATTTATTCTTTCTAAATGTTCATCTAGTTATTCCAGCTCACTGGTCACTGATCAGGTGTCCAGGGAGCTAGGTATTCGTGCATTGGTTCTATGTGTTAGGTGTTCAAAGCAATTGATGCAACACCTTTTCTAGATCAACTCAGTCTCGAGAATTGTGACTAGATTGTCTTCTAGCCTTACACCATGTAGAACTGCCACTTAGTGATCTTGTTATTAAGATCAAAAAGCCCAACTAAACAGATTGTTGTATACTTTAAACTACTCAGAAGACCTCTAATGACATCAGTATAATAAAGCCATATTTTTCAGGGTTCCATTTGACACAGGCTTGCTTAAATACGTTTTGACGGAATGCAAAACAAGAACAAGGCGTTATTGTCCTCAAACTGTTTTGCACGCTGACTGTGTTAGTAGTCATGAAAGTCTACACAGGTAATAAAATTATATTGAACTAAATACACCTCCCCCCCCACACACACACACAAATGAGGGTATATAAAACTGGAGAAATGTTTTAGGTGAATTATAACAATGTTGATTTTCTGGTTAAGATACCATACTGTAGTTATGCAAACATTACCATTGTGGGAGGCTTGGTGAAGGGTACATGGAATCCCTCTGCATCATTTCTTACAACTGCATGTGAATCTGCAATCGTCTCAAAATATAACATTAAAAATGCGTAAAGAAATGAACAGTAGCTGCGTGTACACCAGTATGTGCTTCATAAACAGACTGAAGATACCTGGAACTGTCACTTACCTGTTTGGCGCCTGTGAGCCAAACTTACCCCCTCATAGCACGTTAGCATGTTATGTTCCCTCTGCCTAAGAACACTCTTCCCTGGGGTCTCTTGCTTCCAGTTTAAAGTGTCTCCATGAGTCTTCCTCCCACAGGAGCTTCTCCAGGTGTAGCGGGATGAAATGGAGGCTCATCTGGTGTTACAATCTCAGCTCAGCCTGGCATAAGCCTGGACACAAAATGGCACACTTCTGCATTATATGCTTAATGCACAGTCATGATTTCAAAGCCCACCCCATTGGCTTGGATAGGAAAGGACTCCGGTCTCGGCTCCATTCTGTTTCTAACAGCTACATCTCCAAAACCAGTTCAGTCTTGGGACTGAGCTTTGGTTATCTATCTTAAACTTCCTCCTGGGAGGTGGCTGGGCCCAGTCACATTTCCCATAGGGTTTCACTATCATTGGAGATGTTCTATCATGTTATTTTCAAAAGGGCAGGGTGCCTGAATATTTATTTTTCTCTTCCAGAAGATTACTTGGTCCCTGTACACACTTGCCTCTCCTCCCCAGTTGTCTTCAAGAGGTGGGATACACAGCATTTTTAAGACAACGACATACTCTGTCATTGAAACCACCTTCGGGAGTGGCAGCATGGTTTATCTTAGAAATAGAAGGCCTCAGACAACCAAGGGTTTTTTTTTTTTTCTCAAAGTATCTATAACATGGGAGTGCCCGGAACAGCTAGCAGGCTCCTAGCTGAAGAACAAGTGGAAGTTCCAACACCAACTCGGATCTCCAACAGCTCTTTTAAACCTGAACAAAGAGAAACTTCGTGTTCCTCTCCAAGGTGGCAAGCAAAAACACTGCTATTTACCCAGATGCAATTATTCTGTATTACCCTGGCCCCAGACCACTTGAACTATTTGCCCAAGCCAATCTATTAATAGGGCCTTCCTGGGAAGACCACTTGCTTTGCTTGCTCCTAACCTCCTTCAAATTTTCCAAGGGTAGATACTTCCAGAAAGGCTCTGGGAATCTTCACAACTTGAACTTTGGACCAATTTGTCCCCATTCTGAGAGAGGTACATATTTGTTCCTCTCCTTGTCTCTTGCTCCTTTCCCAGGAGCAATTTCTTTCTCAGGTGAGTTTTACTGGGGACAACCATTCCCTTCAGAGAAAACAAAAAACAAAACAAAACAAAAACACAGAATTTCCTAATGCCTAGGATAGGTAGGTAAGCCATGGTGTTATTACATTTGCTGAATTAAGAGTTAATGTAATTCCCACAGGTAGATAAAAGCCATTAGGTAGAGAGGACATTAGGAGCAAAGTTCCAGACAAGGAGTATTGCATGGGCCACAGGCATCTAATGTGTGCACAGAACTAAAAGGAGACAAATGTCCAAAAGGTAGCTTGGGGCAGAGACGGAAGACCTTCAATGCCAAGACAAGGAGCTGGGACCTTATTGGTAAGCTTTCCTGGGAAGGATGCGAAAGAAATATGTCAAATTGTGGAAAGCCCATTGCTTTAACTGCTGTAGTGACACTCTCAGGGCCCAGCTGTTAGAACTGATACTCACCTCTTAATTAGTGGAGATAAATGCGCTTCAATCATGTCTGCTTTTCTCGATTCAGATATGCTTGAGCCTGTCGGAAAAGTGAAAGTGGCCTTGAGGAGAAACTTAGACCAAGGACAGAATGATAAATAGGGAAAACGCACACTCTAAGCTTAGAAATATGATTTAACAAAAAATTCTGTCAAGCGCACTGAAAACCATGTGGTAAAGGGAGATTGTCAGTAAAAAGGATTCAAATGACAGTAGATCGTTTTCTAGAGCTGCTGCCTGGGGATAGGGAAGAACTGCTTTTGTTGGCAAACGAGAGCTTTGTCCATATGGGGCCCCAGCTCCGGGCGTCTCCTAGGCAGCTCGTAAAATGTTCTTATCTTTATAAATGGATCTTCATCAAATATCCGATTAAATGTAATTTTCCTTAAAATTTCTTAGAAAACCTCTCACATGAATAAGCTTACAAAATAGGGGTGGGGGAACCCTACTTTGTCAGTTCACGTGTGCTAAAGGTGGGCTGGCAGTCCCAGGCCCCATGCTGATGTCTCAGAGGGGCTCAGTGTGGTCGAGATGGTAAATAAGATGACACAGGTGAGCAAACTTTGTCAGTGGAACCCTCTGTAGAAAAACAAGATTATAATAAAATCATATATTTGTTTATTCAGTCAAGAAACATATTCAGTGCCTCTCATGTGGTATGCACTGGGACAGACAAACAGGACAAACCCTGTCCCTGCACAGGTGGAGCTTACAGCCTAGGAAGGGAGGGACCAGAGGTACACCCAAAGGAACAGTCACAGGTCAAAAGGGTAAGTGCTAAGGACAGGAGGCAGGTCCCAAAGGATCACATGGTGGCACCTAGGCCAGGGGAGGTTTTCCAAGGGAAGTAGCACATGACACTTAGAACTGAGATTACTCTGTTTAGCAGCATCATCCGCAGAGGGAAGGGTGAGTCCAAAGGCCTGAGGGGAGTAAGTGCTCAGAAAAACTGGAGGAACTTTGAGGAGCCCAGCAAACAAGCATGGGCATAGCAAGAAAGCATGATGGAGGGTGAGCAGGGCCAGATTAGGTGGGCACTGAAGAGTCACGGTTGGGAAATTTGGACTTGAAAAGAGCTAATCCCAGCACTTTGGGAGGCCGAGGCAGGCAGATCATGAGGTCAAGAGATCAAGACCATCCTGGCCAACATGGTGAAACCCCATCTCTACTAAAAATACAAAAATTGTATTGCATGGTGGTGCACACCTGTAGTCCCAGCTACTAGGGAGGCTGAGGAAGGAGAATCATGTGAACCCGGGAGGCAGAGGTTGCAGTGAGCTGAGATCCCACCACTGCACTCCAGCCTGGCAACAGAGTGAGAGACTCCATCTCAATAAAAAAAAGAAAAAAGAAAAGAAAAGCACAAGAATACGAATAAAGTCTGTTTCGTTTTACTCAACATAAGCTTTCTGGCAGGAGATCTTGTATATTACACTGATCTCCAATCCTTGCTGTATACTGAATAAATTATCAAGAATTTATGTGTTTCTTGTGAGTTTATATTTCTTAACTATTTTAGTCCTTAGAATTCACAAATGGATTTCCTATTGTCTAGGTAGGAGACTCGAAACCCAGTTCCATGAGTATCTGAATCTGTAGTAGGTCCCCAAAAGCACTGAACTGTGGTTTCTTTAACTCTTCTTTTAAGATGTAAAGTGTGCACCCATAGGATTCTTAGTATTTGGCTTCTCTTTGTATTCCTTACGTAGGATGTTTGCTTCACTTACAGTGTCTAAAATGTTATTTTATTAAATCATGTATTCATTTGTGAAAGCTGATTCGATCGCCAAAGCTGTATAGGATTAGACAGTGTACAATATAACAAATTGGGTGTTTACACTAAAATTTCATAGCACATATTTATTTTTATTTTTAGGTTTTTAGTAAAATTATAGATTGCTAATATTATGCCACTTATCTTTTTCCCCATTGGAACTCACTGGGAGTCCCTGAGATCATGGAACCTTGGAACTTGACTGCCCTGAGACCTGAGAGGTGACATGGTGTAGGGCTTCTACCTCAGGCATACAGGTTTGAATGTTGTCTTCACTGTGTGATGCTGGGCAAGATGCATACCCTCTCTGTGCCTCAATGCCCTCATGAAGATGACAGTAGTTGCTACTTCACAGGTTATTGTAAGAATTATGTGAGACCATCATGCAACGTCTTTCAAACAAAGCCTGGCAGGGAGGTGGTTAATTATTACTACCTTTATTATTAATGATTATTCCTTTGCCATTCTTATGAAGCATTGAGGATAATATATGTCTCATAAGTGAATTTTCCAGTGATTAAGGCTTAATACTTTGAGCAGTCACACATACCCGTTTTTTTATATTTTTGGATGGAACTCTTGCTAACAGTGAGATCTGTTATTAACACATACTTACATATTAGAAGAATTGGAATTGCCTCTAAGGTATCATTATACTGAATATTAAATTTAGCCTTAGGGTGCAATAGGAGTGTCTCCAGGAAGACAACTTATCCCTATCCTAAGTGGCCCCAAAGAACTCTTTTTCTATAATTGTTACTTTCAATAACGCTGTTGTTACTATTTTTCGATCCTCTATTTTGAGGATCTCAGTTGGCAGTCCATGTGGCCGTGAGTTTACCTGCCTCTAGGAACTTCTCAAAACTTCTATTTTTATTGTTAAAATGTTGCGAATTAGAAAAGCGGGAGATAACCCTGTCGTTTATTAAAGGAATAGTAAAGATTTCAAGGATAACCTTCGCCATGAGTAAAGTCTCTGTATTTTCTGCTATGTATTTTATATAGCTTTTATTCCCACTTTCCCCAAATTCCTATCAGTACAATTTCTCTTTTAAAGACATTTTATACTGGAAGAACATGTTTAGCTTATAATAAGAGAAATGTGGCCCCCTCATTCACTCTTGAGAAAAGTCTGACACACCATGTACTCAGAAAAACAATGAAAATGAAACAGCCAGCTGCTTAGCTCATTTGAACCTAATCCAGACTTAGGGTGTGGAGACTTTTACGATGTTTAAGTTAAATTTGAGATCCCACTTAGAACTGGAATAGCTATATCAGTATTACGACTTATTTAAGTACATTTATAAAAAGCAAACAGTTTTGTCTGTTTAGTCAGAAATCCAATTGTACTGATACATACGCAAATGCAAGAAAAACACTTTAATTTTTTTCCATTTGATTTTCTTTTGAAGTGTTTGGGCCACATTTGATGATTCACATTGAATGACGGCTATATGTGCCTTTGAGAGATCAGAGATATAATTAACATATATAACCATTCCTATCTCTAAGAAAAGATCTGTTTCACTAAAAGGTCAATTTTTATGGCCAGTTTATTGAGGCACAAGGAGGTCACAATGCCAAGTGTCTGGAGTGTGGACGGTAACTCCAGGTTGTAATGTTTTGCTGTCTGTAAATGACTGGTTGCCTGATGCCATGTAGGTTTGCACCTGTCTTAATAACAACAGCAGGCGAAAAACGTGTTTTAGATGAGTTACTTGTTCCTAGGGTTGGTCTAATAACAATAACTGCCAAAGTAATAAATTGTCAAGTCAAGTGTTTAAAGGTTTGGCTTAGAGGTCACACTTTCATGTTAACTTCACTGATTAAAAGTGAGACTTCCCAAATATTGTTTCTGCTTTCAAAAACTGAAAAAAAATTAAGTTTACAGAGAGACCACAAACACACCAGAAGAAAGCTGGACTTGTATGCTACCAGGTCAGCTGCTAGAACTTTCTTGTAACAAAAAAAAATCGATTCAAATAAAAAGTGAGCTAAATAAGCTCTAAGGAAGGAGTGCAATGGTGTCCAGAAGCAATTGCACAGTTAAAACAGTAAAGAGATGGCATGAAATTCATGGATCACAAATGCTAAGGGAAGTTTTAAAGGATTGGTGAGGAAGTGAAGGTCAGAGAAGACAGGGGCTGCAGAGTCCCGGATGTCAGGTTGACCTTAAAAGATGCAACAGTTCATTTTATTAATTCTTTTTTTTTCTGCATTGCACATCTATCATGAGTGAAACGCCGTGCTATGTGCAAGGACTACCAGCAGACCAAAAGTGAAGCCAGTGAGGCCCAGGAACCACCAATACCCCCGGTACTGAGCAAGAAGGGTGAGCAAGAAGAGTTAGGGAAGAGGATTTTTGATGAAGCTTAACACCATGGCAGTGATAAGCCGCCAAAAGCCTATCACCTTCTAGGAAAAGGGTAATATTTTATTTACAAGTATATTTATTTGCTGGTATTTACATAGCAGTTACTTTACATGAAACACTAAGAAATTACAAACATACATTCATTAAATCTACAAAACAGCCCTATGAGGTAGGTACTATTATTTTCTTCCACTCAGCATATGAAGAAACTAAGGCAAGCACAGATTAAATATCTTCTCAACATTACACAGCTAGTAAGAGGTGGAGCTGGGATTTAAACCCAGGCATCCCAGTTGCTGCATTCATCTTCTTATCCACTGCACCACACTGGGGGAAGACTACACTTTCATGTCTATGTCTAGTACTTCAACTAATGGCTGGTACGGAACAGGCACTAACCACATGTCTGTTGTATGAAAGCTGCATGATAACAAAAGTAAGCATCAACTCCAGGGGTTTAAGGGAGGCATTCTGCCTTAGAGAGGGAGCATTGCACAGATGGTTCTGTTTTCTGTTAGAGCAGGAGCCAATCTCAGGCCCTAGCAAGGCAAAGCCTGCAGGTGGATTCAACAAAGAACAATTGGCAAGAATAGGGACAGGTTCCAAGTGAGCTCACAGGTTCATTATTCTCCTCAGTTACAATGTTTAGAGCAACTCACTCAGGCTTATGCATCCATTAAATAGATATTTCTGCTGCAACTCCTTGGTGCCACGCACTGTTCTCAGTGCTAGAACGACAGCAGAACACTAGCAGACAGAGTATTTTAATAAGAACAAGATGATATAATCAAGTTAATTGCAGATTGTCAATAGCGCTATTAAGACTCGTTGGGGCGTAGGGTACTGGGCGGGTGGTCAATTTCACTAGGAAACTCGGCTCTCCTTAAGGAGTTGTTATTTGAGCAAGGACCTGAGGATTAAGAAGGATCCATCTATGCAGCGGAGCTAGGGAGGGAAGAGAACTTCCAGCAGACGCAACCTCCAGTGTCAAGGCCCAGATGTGGGAAGGCTCTGGCGTACTCACCAACCAGGGAGGGGCAGCAGAGGAAGAGCCTCCTGGGCAAGGGGCAAGCGATGTGGGATGAGGTGGAGAGAGATGAGGCCAGACAGTGCAGGAGCTAGTGCGCATGGCAAAGATTCTGGAGATTATGCTAAGAGAAATGAGAAATCCTGGGAGAGTTCAAAGCAGTGGATCATCTATGTTTGAAAAAGGTTGGCACAAATTGCATGTGGAAGATAAATCGATTAGGGTAACAGTAGAAGCAGGAAAGGTGTTGCCATAGGGTCGATGATGCTTATTTATATGTGTCAACTTGCCTGGGCTAAGAGATGCCCAGAGAACTGGAATAACAATCTTTCCGGGCATATCTGTGAGGATGTTTCCCGAAGAGATTAGTATTTGAATCAGGAGACTGGTAAAGAAGATCCAGCCTCACTAATGTGCGTGGTCATCATGTAACCCACGGAGGGCCCAAATGGAAAAAAAAATGGCAGAGGAAGGGTGAGTTCTCTCTCTTCTTGAGCTGTGACTTCCATCTTCTCCTGCCCTAGGACATCAGAGCTCCTGGTTCTCGGGTCTTTGGACTGCATGGTTTAACACTGGTGAACCCCACAGGGTTAAGCCTTTGGCCTCAGACTGAATTGCAATATGGACTTTCCCTCGTTCTCCTCCGGCATATCTCCTATGCATCTATATCTACATCTATCCTATTAGATCTACTTCTCTGGGGAACGCTAATACAAAGCCTATGGAGGAAAGATAATGTCTGGGAACTGGGTAGAGCCAGAGGAGAGGAAGCAGCAGCAACAAGAAGTTGACAGATACTATAAATACAGACAAGGTTTGGCAATGCATCACAGTGGGGGAACAGGGAAAGGAAGGAGTCAGAGGTGGTTTGTAGCATTTTGTTTTGAGCTACAGGGTGTGAAATGGTGCTATGGTTTAAGATGGGGAATGCTAAAGAGAGAGGAAGTATGGGAGAATAAGTCACAACCTAGAGCTTTAACAACACATACATAAGGTATTTCACCCGATGGAAAAACTGTCTTCAGAATCAAGGCTTGTGCTAAGTTTAATATGACATTAATACTAGCCATCTATAAATATGATACAGTAAATTAGATGTTTGGTAAGATGATAATAAAACATCTATTTTAATTAAAAAAATCTCAAAATGCCCTGAGGTCAGGGATAATGATTGATTCATACTAGGTGTTTAGTAAATCTTTGTTTGTTGAAATAAATCAAAATGAAGGTAAGAGGTGAAAAGGACCCAGACAAGACATAATAGGGTTTTTCCAGGCTCCACCATATCTCACCTGAGTGACTTGAGGGAAAGTTAAACTCCTGGAATTTCAATATTCTTATGTGTGGAATGTGGATTGTAAAGGAGACCATAATGGTTAAATAAAATATTACATGCAAATGTACAACCATCTGCACATGGGACCGGCAAACTTCTGTTCCTCTTCCTTCCTACAGCTTCAGCTCTAGTTTGCTCCCAAGCTTGAGTGTGTAAGCGTTTTTGCACAACCTCTGCATCTACTTAGATTACATCTTGTATTAGCATCTAAGACAGTATCATGCATAGAGAAAGAACTGTTTCTGTTTGCTGGTTAACAACTTATTTTAATCAAATATAAACCCTCAGAAACACATATAAGTACCACAATGGACCTCAGTCTACAGGAATCTGTCGCCTATCTTTGCACTGAAGATCAATCCTCTGCTCTCTTCTTATTGACAGGCAGCCAAAGAATGAGAATTTGCCTTTCAGTCTATTGTGAGCAAAGTGAAATGATTTTCTCCCAGCATAACAAAACCTATAGGCAGCTATAAAATATAATTTCCTTTCAGCTTCTTGACAGACTTGTTATAAATTTCAGAGCACAGGAAAAAAAGGAGGGGCCACTTTAAGAGATAAATTTCATCATGTATGTCTGACAAACATATATACATTCACAGGCCCCCTTTTTTTAAGAGAGAGGAAAAAAAACTATGCTTTTAAACAGTCAAAGGTTAAGGTTCACTCCGTCATTCATGTGGTCTCATTCTCTTACGCATATTGAAATAGCTCAGAAAGATTTATAACCGTGTTTCGTACAGTCAAAGTTCCAGTAAACGAGTCCCCTTTTGAAGGTTAAATATTTATGCTCTCATTTTCCTGCCTGACACAGAAAGCAAGAGTAAACCCATGTTAGTCAAAAAGCCATGGTGACAGACTGGCTTAGAACAAGAAAAGCCAGTGGGCACAATATTCAGATCATCCCCCATGCTCTTATACTCTTATTTATCGGGGAAATGAATGAGTGAAAGAATGAATGAAAACTCTTACATGGCCTGTCTCCGGAAGCAGAATTAAATCACTTTGGCAAATGTGATTTTAAGTCAATCTAAAATTTCCCACATATTTAGCCTATTGAGTCAGATCTTTGAAATAATAATCATTATCCATCAAGGAACAGCAATTATAGCTAGTGAAATACTTTCACATGTACTTGAGCTTCATACCACTCTATAGAGTGAGCAGGCAGAAATTAGGTTATTTTATAAATGAACAAGTTGATGTTTTGAGCTGATGAATGATTTGTCCTGTTTCACACAGGCAGTGAGTGACAGGATTGTGATAAGGTCTCCATTTTCTTGATACCTATTATAGTGATCTATCCATGTTGTCTTCTATGATGGTGACAATAATAACAAATATTTATATAGCAAATTACAGTTTAACAGGGGTATGTCATGTTATCACGTTTGATTTTCAGGGCAGCCCCATGAGTCTTCTCTATATTGTTCTATTTTTTCCTAATATTTGTATAAAAGCAAAATGGACACATTTTGTAATGTACAATAAAATGAAAAACAGCCATTCCTTGACCTTTCACCCTCGAGATCCTCATCCCTCGAAACAAACCATTTTCAACTCTTTTATTTATTGCTTCTGGTATTTATCCCCATGTTTATAAATAATAACTTTGCATTGCTATTTCCCAATTGTTCAGTTTTAGATATTACCTGTTGACTTCTACTGTGGGGCTCTTAACCCCACCCCTCACACACACAAATACATACTTTCTTAGTCAATTTCTCACTAGAGTTATAAAACAATAGTCAATATTTAGTGTTTACATTACCATGACCACTTAAATATTGTTTACAGTTACAGCAGAAAGTACTAAATTTCCTGTCTGTATTTCACGGTTTTGTTCAACTTCTTGTTTTTATTTCTCCCCTGAAGTTAATAAATGTAATATTTTTTCTTAGTTTCCTAGGTACCTGTCAAGAATCTTATCCCAAACTCCTCTCAATTTGATCTTATATTTTAGGTAATGGTATTTAAAAAAAAAAAACACACAAACATACATTCTTCTAAATACTCAGGCCGCCTCTTGTCCCAGATTGGACAGTTTTGTCTCCAGGCCCAGTGCACAGCTGTCATCTAGGCATGTCCTGCCCTAGTCTGGTGGCACACATCCCTGCTTTCTCTTTCACTCCCTTGACTTAATTTCCTTATTTAGACGGAGCATATCCTCTGGTAGCTTTCTGAGAAAGAAGCATGAAAGAATAACACTTTGAGAACTTTTAGAAGAAAATGTCTTTATTTCTCCTCACAACGGATCCATAGTTTAGGCCTGTCTTAGGTTGAAAAAAAAAATTCAGAATTATAAAAACATTCTTTCACTTTCTTCTCTTCCATATTGTTTTTGAAGTGGCCAAAGACATTCTGATTCTTCCTACTCTGTATGTATATGTGATCTGTTCTTCCTTTTGAGAGCTTTAAAACTTTTATTCCTGAATTCCTGAAATGGCATGATATGTTACCTGGATGCTGGTCTTTTCTCATTCATTACTTTGAATTCTTAGTGGGGGCATTTGAATCTGGGAATCCATAGCCTTGGATTCTTAGAAGTAACTTGTTTAATTTATAATTTCATTCTGTTGGTTTACTCTGAAAATCCTATCAGTTCAATATTGAATCTCCTGGATTTTATATTGAATTTCTTATTTTTTAAAATAATTATCTCTCACTTTTTGTTTCCATTTTTTCAGGATTTTTTAAATCAAAGTAAAAGGTATATGGAGTGAAATGCAAAGATTCTACATGTACAGTTGAATGAGTTTTGAAGGGTGTATACCATAGTTACCACTTATTTGTAGTTTCACATTCCATAGTCTTAGTTACCCAAGGTACAGTACAATAAGACATTTTGAGAGAGAGGACATAGTCATATAACATTTATTACAGTATATTGTTATAATTGTTCTATTTTATTATTAGTTATTATTATCTCTTATTGTGCCTCATTCATAAATTTATGATAGGCATCTACATGTAGGATAAAATATATTATATATAGAATTTGGTTCTGTCCATGGTTTCAGGCATCCACCAGGAGCCTTGGAACTTACTTCCTGAGAATAAGCGAGGGAAGCCTGTAGGCCTATGTGACCATCCTGTGTGGCCCATGTGACCACACAGTTACAATATAGAGCATTTCCATGACCCCATCTGGACAGTTCCACCCATACTCTGTAGAATAATCACTGCTCTGATTTCTATCACCATAGATTGGTTTTGCCTATTCTTGAATTTTATATAATTGAATCGTGTAATATGTACTCTATTAATATTTTTTGTTTAACATCTAACCTGATTACTGAGATTTTATTTTGGCTGAAACATTTTTTAGTTTCCACGAGTCCCTTCTTATTCTCAACTCAATTATTTTCATCTCAAATTGTTCTTTCATGAGTGAGATATCTATTCTTAACTGTCTTAGGATACGAATTCTTTGTTTACTTTTTTTGCGGAATGAAGAGGAGTTTTCTTCTACTTTCCTTTTTCTCTGGATTCCTTTTCTATATTTATTTCAGTTTGCCTTCATTCTGGATGTGTTCCTTAAATGTCCTGTGATTTTTGGCTTTCCAGTCCTATTTAATACGGAATACAGTCTGATTAAAATATCAAAGATCTATCTGGGGTTAAAGACATTGTTGACTGGTAAGACTTACTCATGAAATAACTGAGGATTCAAAAATTATGTTGTGGAACATCCTTCTTCATCCAATTGGTAATGCCAGTTGGCATTCTGGAAGCTAAATTAGAAGAATCCTGATGGTCTCTATAAGTCAGGGTTCAACCAGAGAATTAGAACTAGTAGGAGATATAGGTATCTAGATGGAAATAAATATATAGATATAGGTCTATATCTTTATCTATATATGTCTATATGTACATAAATAAAGAGATTTATTTCAAGGCATTGGTTCATGCAATTGTTGGGGCTAGCTAGAGAAATTCAAAGTTCATAGACGAGGCAATTGGGAAGGGCAGATCACAAGCAGACTGGAACCCTAGGCATACAGGCTGAATTTTTTGTCCACATGCCTCAGTCAAGAAGGAAAACCCAGAGGGTAGGGAGAGCAATTGCATAGCCAACAGCTGTTTGAAGTTTCTGGACCCAAGAAAGACCTATGCCCTTTCTTAAAGAGCTTGCCTTATTGGGCACGGCTACTCAGAATGATCTATTTTTTGATTAACTTAAAGTCAATGTATTAAATATTTCATTCACATCTTCAGAATACATTCGCAGTAGCACCTAGATTCATGTTTGACAGAATAACTGAGAGAGGGTGTGTACTACTACTATATGGCTGCTGCCTTGCTCTATCCTCCAACCATTCTGTGTAGCCCACCCTAACAAGAAACACGCATTGCAGGTATTCAATCTGCAGCGGCAACTAGGATTATTTGTTTCTATTTTGTAAGTAACAAAGAATACCACCGAGAAATTAACTGACACAAAGTGATATATCCAACACACAGACTGGGCCTCAAACGTTAAGTTCTAATGCATCACCTAATTTTGGTGAAACGTTAAGGGCATCATTTGCAGGAAACAAAGCAATTTTTAAGTGTGCTGGAAATAGTCCCACTCTTATTGCAGTTGCCTAGGGAGGTTGAAATGGTATTTCCTGGTCACACCATGTACTTATCATCCATAAGCAGTGGACATAATAGAATACTGGAATGCTGATATGGTTTGGCTTTGTGTCCCCAACCACATCTCATCTTGAACTGTAATCCTATAATCCCCACGTGTCATGGGAGAGACCCGGTGGGAGGTAATTGAATCACAGGGGCAGTTTCCTCCCATGCTGTCCTCTTGATAGTGAGTGAGTTCTCATGAGATCTGATGGTTTTATAAGGGGCTTCCCCCCTTGCTCAGCACTCATTCTGTCTCCTGCTGCCCAGTGAAGAGGTGCCTTCCACCATGATTGTAAGTTTCCTGAGGCCTCCCCAGCCATGTGGAACGGTAGGGCAATTAAACCTCTTTTCTTTATAAATTACCCAGTCTCAGGTATTTCTTCACAGCAGTGTGAGAACAAACTAATACAAATGCCCAGTTGAATATTCAGCTGTAGATTTAATTATTGAATATCATTGTCACAATATTGTCTTGTAGTATATGGCATATGAAACAAATCAGTTACTGACATATAGAGATGATTCTCCCACAGTCAAAAGCATAAAAAGATATAAAAACAAATGTGCCACCATGCAGAATTACAACACATGATTTGCAAGCAAAATGTCAGCTATTCTAATAAAGACTCTAGTTCTGTATATCTCATGGTTTTAAATGTAAGAGTGAGATGCTTCCATCATGGTATCAAATAGTAGTTCCCCTAAATTGAAAGCTGTTACTGCCACGTGGCCATTGTGGATTCTTTCAAGTTTTAGTGCAGCAGAAGAGGCATGGGATCATGTCACTGACTACAGTCTTAATGACCTCGACTGTCAAGGACACTACAAAGAGGGGAGCATGACATGTTAAACTCCTGAGATAGTAATCTCAAATTAAAGGAACAAAATTCTTTGCTAAGAACCTCAGAATAGCCTTAAGTCCCATGTCAGCCTCCAAGAAAGCTGTGGGAGATTGAATTATGGGTCCCAATACCCGAATCCAGTGAATAATAAGGATATATTCACACGCATTGTCATGGAACTTTGCGATACCCTCCCACTTTGAGTGGAATCTAATTCTCCATCCCGCTGCTATTGGTCTCGGCCACGTGAATCATTTTGGCCGGTAGAATGTCAGCAGTCAAGATGGTAGCAAAGCCATTGATGTGCTTATGTCACCTCCTTGGTCTCTTATGCTGCAAAGGTCACCTTGAGAAAAGCATGCCATTGGTAGTTACTGCTCCTTCAGTCTGTCCCCAGAATGAGATCTGGTAGAGCACACTTGAATCCTCTGATAGCCTGGAGAGTCTGTACTGTCCCTGTAGAGTTACAGCTAGACAATAGACCTGGGAGTGAGAAATAATTGTTTGCTATTTTAAGCCACTGAGCCTGGGGCAGTTTGTTACACAGCACTCTGCAGCAATAGCTACAAAAGATAGAGGCTCAGTGCTGTAATTCTGGTATAACTCCATTTCTTGGATTTTTCACAAGATTCCATTCATCATCCCTTTTCATAAACCCCTCCACCTAAGAAAGTTTTAGTGTATTTCTCTTCTTTGCAACAAAATTATCTTAAATTAAACACAGATGAAATCATACTTCTTCTTTACAAAGTTTACTGACCTAGAAGGAGTAAAATCAAAAGAAATAATTGAGATCATTATTAATACAATAAAATAATATTAAATCTCAACTCTCGTAATATTAATTAGCCCTTTCTTGACAGAAAAATAAGTTTTAAATTTAGAACAATTTTATCTCTTAGGAAATATGGAAGATGTCATAAAACAACATTTAGAATGAAAATTAAGAGTAATATATGTGAGATAATTTTTATTTTTATTTATTAATTATTTTATTTATTAATTATTATTGCACTCCTGCCAATCAGGCTGGAGTGCAATGGCACAATCACAGCTCACTGTAATCTTGAACTCCTGGGCTCAAGCAGTCTTCCCACTTCAACCTCTGAAGTAGTTAGGACTGCAGGTGCATGTCACCATGCCTGGATAATTATTTTTTATATTTTGTAGATAGGGATCTTTCTGCATTACCTAGGCTGGTCTCAACTCCTGGCCTCAAGTGATCCTCCTACCTTGGCCTTTCAAAGTGCTGGAATTATAGGCATGAGTCACCATGCCCAGCCAAGGTGCTTTCAAAATAACACCTTATCACCCTTTCTTTGCTCCCTTCTCAAACATATGCTGTGTTTGCCTGACATCCCTATATTTGTCAGTGATACTTGTAGCAGGTATCTACAGCTTTTACCTCCAAAATACAGTTTTTACATAGAGATATGCTGAAGGCAGGTATTTAGATGATTAGAAAGGAATAGATGATATGAAATATATAAAAGCTTATTGAATTGATTATAATAATTTGTTTATTAGTCAAAATAAGAAAACATTTTCCATAATAGAGCAAAGAAGG
This sequence comes from Homo sapiens, assembly GCF_000001405.40. Classification (NCBI taxonomy): domain Eukaryota; kingdom Metazoa; phylum Chordata; class Mammalia; order Primates; family Hominidae; genus Homo; species Homo sapiens. The sequence continues at coordinate 97,719,037 of NC_000015.10, forward strand.
TAGTCAACCCTTCAACAAAACGATGAGCCATCAGATTTTTCAAAAGTATTTATTTTGACAATGCAAATACAAGAAGAAACTGATAACATTAAGCTGGAGTTTTAGAGATGTTTTGATACCCGGAATCAGTATATACAAGCCAGATAAATATTCACAGTTGATGAGCAGTTATTTGCATTAAAAACATTGCTTGTTTGGGGCATAATATTTATATTTATAAATATGTTAATATGTGTTTATACTTAAAGAAAATCTGGAATAAAACTTGGAATTTATTATGTTTATACTCTTACTAAAATTTCCAATAAACTTGTTTTTCACTATCCTTTCTCTCTTAATTCTATTATTCTATTAATTATTTGTAAAATAACATAAATACATAAGACTAAAATTAAAATGGTCAATACAACCCCAAGTAAATGACAATGACTGATTTTTTCTGTTTTTTTTGTTTTTCTTAATGCTCTGAATTGCCTCTTTAGCACACTGTTTAATAGAATTAAAGAAAGAAAAAGAAAACAGAATAAGAAACAGAAACATAGCATATAGGAATACAAGTGAAAGTTGTTTCTTTGGAGAAAGAAATAAACAATAAAATTTGCCACTTCAAAGGGCATGCACAAGGATGCTCATGGTATTAGTATCATAGATGAAAAAAAAAGCAAGAAAGTATCAATATAACCGTTGAAAAGAAAATAGATTGATCCATTTTAAGAGGGGACTTTTAAAAGTTTGGGGAAAAATGGAATTAAAAGATTTTTTAAGAAACTCTTTATTTCTCACTGTAAGCCTTATGAAGGTTAAAACATATTCATAAGAGATTATACAGTCATTTAGTTCATCTCTAATGAACTGAGCATCCAAGGAATTCAACCATGTCAAGGCAATCATTTTTACATTGTTATTTGCAGAAAAAAAATGGGTGCCCTTTAAAGACATTTTAAGATTAGGAAACAAAAAGAAGTTAGAAGGAGCCAAATCAGAACCTTCAGGTGAGGGCCTAATGATTTCCTACTAACACTCTCACAAAATTGCCCTTGTTTAATGAGAGGAATGAACTAGAGTGTTGTCATGGTAAAGAAAAACTGATGAGGTTTTCCTGGGTTGTTTTTCTGTTAAAGCTCTTGTTAGCTTTTTCAAAACACTTTCATAATGAGCAGATGTTATCATTCTTAGGCCCTTCAGAAAGACAACAGGTAAAATACGTTCAGCATCTAAAACACTGTTGCCGTGATCTTTGCTGTTGACTGGTCTGCTTTTGTTTTGGCTGGACCACTTCCACCTCCTGGTAGCCATTGCTTTGGTTGTGCTTTGGCTTCAAGATCATACTGTTAAAACTATATTGCATCACTTGTTTCAATTCTTCAAAGAAATGCTTCAGGATCTTGATTCCACTTGTTTAAAATTTCCATTGAAAGTTCTGCTCTTGTCTGCAGCTGATCTGGTCATAACAGTATCAGTATCCATGGAATAGAAAGCTTGCTCAACTCTAATTTTTCAGTCAGCATTGTGTAAGCTGAATCAATTGAGATGTGTAAGCTGAATCAATTGAGATGTCTATAGTGTTGGCTATTGTTTCTGCTTTTAACCATAGGATCATCTTCGATTACAGCATGAACAAGATGAAATTTTTTCTCACAAATTGATGTAGATGATCTGTTGCTACAGGCTTCATCTTCAACATTGTCTTATGCCTTCTTAAAATGAGTTATTCATTTGTAAATACTGATTTACTTTGGGCATAGTATCCATGAACTTTTCATAAAGTATCAATGATTTCACCCTTCTCCACCCAAGCTTCACCAAAAATTTGTTGTTTGTTCTTGTTTCAGAACTTATGTTGCTCTGATAGAGGCTCTTTTCAAACTGATGTCTTATCCTTCTTAGTACCTCAAACTAGATCCCCTTCAGACATGTTATAACAAGTTAGTACAAGTTTATTTTGGTGCAAAAAAATGAAATCCATGCACAGTTTCTTCATAATACACATTTTCTGTGAATTTTTTGAAGTTCCTTTGTATTTACACAATGAAATGTTCACAGCAGTGGGGAAAGAACTGATTTAGAGTTGCATGCCTCAATGGGGATTAATTTTACAAATATAATGTCTGTGTTAATTTACTCTAATCAGAATCTACCCAAGTTGGAGGAAGGAAGTCAGGTGAACATCTAAACAAAATCAGATCTCTGCCAGTAAGAAAGGATGTAAAGGGCTACCAAATAAGCAATCCACAGTGTCTATTTAAATGGCAACTTGAAAGGTGTGATCACACAAAGAATCAGTAAATGTAGATACACTATATTGTACTTGTGTAGACGGTAGTCTATAAAAATCTGCCACGCCACAATGCAGAGAAAGAGAACCTGTCAGTCTACTGGTCTCCAGGAGCTGAGGAGACAATACTAGAATTCTAGAGAGATAAAATCAGCTAAAGTATACTGGGCAGCAGACCAGACAAGAAAGAGCTGCATAGATAGCTCCAGACATTAGCAAAGGGTCACACTTGATGCTTCAGCTAAGTACTCCTGGGTACATGTTTGTGAAAAAAAAAGAGACAAAGATCAGAGAAGGAACCACCTAAAAGGAGCAATAGGAATAATCCCTGAAGCTTACACAGTTATTGCTCTCACTGCCACACAAAAAAATATCATAATTCAAAAATAATCAGGCAGACAACTGAGAAGCATATTGCCTCACTAGTGGCGCAAGTTTAGCCTTAGAATAATGATGCCCTGAATCCAGTTAATAAAGTTTAAAAGCAAGATGTACTGGATCAAAATTTTTCTGAATAACTAGGATGAATAATCATCAAACTATTCCCTGGATAGAAAGGTTCCTGGGATGCAGGATGTTTAGTTTTTTAAAAAAGACACTTCCAGGTAAATTGAATGAGATAATCACACTACGAAGCAAAAGGATAGTTACCAAAACATAAAAACATCCAGGAATGAATAAGGAAAATTCCACAAACTTTGAAATTCAATAAAAAATTAACAGGTATATAAATAATTAGGTATATGTGACCCATAATTAAGAGAAACATAAATCAATAGAAATAGACCCAGAAATGACAAAGATAATAGAACACTTTAAAAGTTATTATATTATACTCTATATATTCAAGAAAGTAAAGATTGTCCATACTAACAAGAAACATACAAATAAATGTTTTAATAGATCATTGAACTTACAGCAATAAAAAGTATAATATACAAGGTGATAAATACAATGGATTGAACCAACAGTAGATTAGATATGGAAAAGGAAAAGATTATTGAACTAAATACACAAAACAATCCACGATAAAAAGAACATACACACAGAGACTGAATATAGTAAACATAGCATCAGTGAGGCATAGGACAACTTTAAGCAATTTAGACTTAGTATACATGTAACTGCAGTCCCTGAGAGAGTAAAGGAAAGGGAAAGAGAAAAATTATTTAAAGAAATAGTGGCTGAAATTTTTCCAAGTTTGATAAAAACTATAAACCCACAGATCCAAGAATCTCAAAAAACTCCAGGCATAAAGAAAAGTGATGAAAACTTCACCAAAATATATCATGATGAAATTGTTAAAGGAAGTAATGAAAATAAATCTTAAACGCAGCCAGAGATGGGGAGAAAGAGATTATTTGTAGAACAATCATCTAAATGACAGCAGATTTCTCAGAAATAATTCAAGCTAGACCACAGTGAAGAAATTTCTTTACAGTACTAAACATGGAGAAAGTCTCTCAACCTAGAATTATATACCCAGCAAAACATAAGGGCTTTCTCAGACACACAAAAGCTGAGAGAATTCAGCAGCAGCAGAGTAATGCTACAATAAATGTTAAAAGTTGTTCAGGTAGAAGGAAAATTATACCAGAGAGAAATACAGACATAAACTAATGAAGAGCCCAGAAATAGCAACTACATGGGTAAATACATAATTTTTCTCTTTCATTTAAATAAGCTTGATCATAATTTCTAATCTTCTGCACAGAAATGTGATTATTTAAAACATAATAATGTTTTAAAAGGGTTTGTAACACATGTAGAAGTAATAATAATAAAGAAAAGGTAATATGGACATGGAAGAGTAACACAGTAAGGTTTCCGTAATATGTATCAATTTATGTGCTACTGTTTGAAGGTCAACACTGATAATTCAAAAATGCATGCTATGAACCCTAAAGCAACCACTAACAAACAGTACTGCGACAGCTAATAAACTAATGATGGAGTTAAAGGGAACCATACAAAAATTTTAATCCCAAAGAACGTAGAAAAAAGAGGGAAAAGGGAACCAAGAAGAGATGTAGCTTATCAAAACATATAGAAGCATGGTATATGTAAATCCAATCATATTGATAATCATTAAACTTAAATAGTCTAAAAAGTTGATTAAGAAGCTAGAAATTATTATGTGAATAAAGTAGCAAGATCCAATTTTATGCTGCCTATAGGAAATGAATTTCAAATATAAAGACACAAATAGGTTAAAAGAAAAAAACAGGGAAAGTTACACACCGCTAATAATAGTCAAATAAAGTCAGAGTGGCTATTTTATATCAGATAGAGTATGTTTCATAGAAAATATATCACTATGGATAGAGGTGGACATTTCCTGATGATAAATGGATATATTTCAATCCTAGGATATTTAGGATAACAATCCTAAATGTTTATGTACCTAATAACAGAGCTTCAAAATACGAAAATAAAAACTGATAGAACTTCAAGGAGAAATATTCAAAACTCCCAATTATACTTGGAGATTGAATCAACCTTCCTTAATAGGTGATAAAACAATTAGACAAAAAACCAGTAAGGATATAGAAGATGTCCAATACTCTCAAAATATTCGACCTAATTGAAACTTATAAAACCTCTACTCAACAATAGAAGAATGCATATAAAAAGTGCACAGAGAACATTTACTAAGCCAGACTGTATTACGGGCCATAAAATGCGGATAAAATTTAAAAATCAAATGGTACAAAGTATATTCTCTAACTAGAAAGGAAACAAATTAGAATTTACTAACACAAAGATATCCAGACAATCTCCAAAGATTTGCAAACAAAATAACACACATAAAAATAACCCACAACCCAATAACTGAGTTTAAAAGGAAAAGTAGGAAGCACTTTGAACTGGATGGAAACAAAAATGCAACATGCCAAAATAGGTGGGATGCTTCTAAAGCAAGAGTTACCAAAAAATGGATAGCAAGAAACTTCTTAAATTAGAAAAGCAGAAAGTTATCAAATTAATATCAGCTTCCATCTTAAGAAAAAGAAGGAAAACAAGAGCAAAATAAAACGAAAGTAAAAAGACGAAAGAAAATTAGAAAGGTCAAAGTAGAAATAAAATAGATAACATAAAAACAATAGAAAAATCAATGAAGCAAAATCTGCTTCTTTGAGGAGATCTGCAAAACTGACAAACCTCTAACTAGCCTTATCAGTAAAGAAAAAGACAGAATTCATAAATTATAAATACCATGAATGTGAGACGGTAGCATCATTTTAAACTCTGCAGATGTTACGGATCTAATACAGAAATATTAAGGACATGATGTCAATACACTCCACAACTTAGATAAAATGGATCAATCACTTGAAAGATACAAACTACCAGTGCTCATTCAAAAAGAAACAGATAATCTGAATGGCCCTATATTTGCTGAAGAAATTAAATATATGGCTAAATATTTGTTAAATAATAAAACCCCAGGCTGAGATGACTCCATGAGTGAATATTAACAAACATTTAAAGAAGATAAAATACTAATTCTATGTAAGCTCTTTCAGAAAATTAAGCGTGAGAAAATACTTCCCAATGTAATCTACGAGGCTAATATTACATGCATACCAAATTCAGGCACATAAATTATAATAACAAATAAAGAAAATATTCTTCTAGGCCAGGCACGGTGGCTCACACCTGTAATCACAGCACTTTGGGAGGCTGAGGCGGGCAGATCACAAGGTCAGGAGTTCGAGAATCAGACTGGTCAACATGGTGAAACCCCATCTCTACTAAAAATACAAAAAATTAGCTGGGCGTGGTGGTGCATGCCTGTAATCCCAGCTACTCAGGAGGCTGAGGCAGGAGAATCCCTTGAACCAGGGAGGCCGGGGTTGCAGTGAGCCAAGATGGAACCACTGCACTCCAGCCTAGGCGATAGAGCTAGACTTCGTCTCAAAAAAAAAAAAAAAAGAAAAAAAAGAAAAAAGAAAATATCCATCGTGAACATAGAAGCCTAAATGCTAGACAATGTTTTAGTAGGTTGAATCCAACAATTTATCCAAATGATATTATAATATATTATAAAAAAGTGGAGTTTATCATAAGAAAGCAAGGTTGGTTTACATTCAAAGATTAAGCAGGATAATCCACCACATTAACAAACCAAAATTGATCAACTCTATAGTTATTTCATTATATGCAAACGTAAACATTGGTAAAATCCATCTATTTAATATTTCTGATAAAAATTTTCAGCAAACCAGGAATAGAAGGAAATTTTTTAATCTGATAATGGAAATTTATGAAAAATTTACAGCTAACATCATATTTAATGATAAAGAACTGAATGTCCCCTCCTATCAGATTAGGAGTAAGATAGGAATGTCTGTTCTCACAATCTCTATTCAATATTATATGGGAGTTCTAACCAATGGAATAGGCAAGAAGAACAAACAAAAGCCATCCATATTGGAAATAAATAAATAAAACTGAGTTTATTTATAGATCATATATTGTCTATTTAGAAATCTGTCATTTTCTGCAAAAAAGATACAGAATAAATGAGTTTAAAAAGGTTGCAGATACAATACTAATATAAAAAGGATATTATTAGAAATTATATACAGAAAAATATACTAGCAATGACTAATTAGAAACTGAAGCTTACCAAATAATACCACTACAACTACCTGCAAAAGATCTTACACTGAAAACAGTATTGACAGGTGTATAGCGATGTCAAAATTGATCAAGTTATGCACTGTTAATATGTTCAGCTTAATGAACATTATATAGACTTCAATGAACTTACAAAGTTAGGGTGAAACCATCTTTTGTATAGTATTTCATCATATCATTTAGCCTTCAGAGGTTACAGACATATGCTTATTTCTATATTAAAACCTTTCCTGTTATTTGTTTCATTGCCCCATGAAAATTAAAGGAACATTCAATTTCAAAAAAATAAAAATAAAAAATAAAAAAGGGTACATTAGTTTTAAAGACAGTTGATCTTACTGTTCAATAAAGTCAGCTTACCAGCACTTCAGAGTGCTGGTAAGAGCCCAGGCATCTATACCTGGGCTTCTTATCTTGTGGTTACAAGACAGCTAGAGAAGCTCCAAGCATCACATTCTAACAGAACAGTGGCCAAAGGCAAACAAGTGCTATTTCTTCCAGTGTGCCTTTCTTTACAAGTTCCTCTCAGAACCTCCTCCCTTTCTCATGGGCACATACCCAGCAGATTTCCACTGATGTTTTATACCTGTCTTGAGTTGGGTTATAAGTAGAATTTAGCTCACAGATCAAGAAGTCTGCAGATAGTGCAGTTCCAACTTGGCTTTTTCAGAGCTCAACAACCTCATCAGAGAAGCAGATTTTCTCTATCTTTTTGCAATGCTGCACTCAGCATGCTATTATTTTCCCCTCAGCCTTGTCCTATCATGGATAGAACAGCTCTAATCATTACCTTCTCACAAAACAAAGACCAGAAGATAATGCTCTCTTCTTTCGAATCCCTCATTAAAGCTAATAAAATTGAGCAAATTGTGACTTAGGGAAGAGACTTTCTTGATCTGAATTGCCTTGCATGCCCTTTTTCAAAACACTGCCAGGATAATAGATCTACCACCAACACATTAAGCAAAATGAACTCCCTCTCCACAAAAACTGGGCAGAACGTAGCTTTCTCCTAAGCAGATAAAGTCAACGAAGATAGGACCAGCGGTGTTTGCTATACCGAGGCTGAATCACAAGAGCCACCTTATTATTAATTACAAGATAAAATAGAAGTCAATAATAGCCCTGTAGTATCTGGGATCTCAGGGAATGAAAGAATTCTTTATATAACCCAATCCAGGAATAAAAAAAATGCAGTGTGCATGCCACTATCCCTGTCAATATGCAAACATAGGCACACAGAGCAGATGTCAATAATCTAACATCACGTCTTTGCCATTGAGTCCAGGTGCAATCTTAGCATTCCCTTTAACCTTGTACGCTAGGTAACCCCCATTGATCAATCAGTGGTCACGTGCAATAAAAAATATTTTTTCATTCTTCTTGCCTTCAAGGAAAGAACACATCTGAACTGTTGAGAGCTAACGATACTGTCTCTAAATTCAGATTTCCAGTGAAGATATTCTCCAAGTCCAGAATTCCAACTCAGCTCTCATTCTTACCTGTAGACAAGAGGCTGCCCCCAGCCATGAGTGGTTGGATTTCTCTGTTGTTTTCCCAAGGATGTGACTTTGTGTAGGATCTCAGTAACAGTCATAAGACCACCAAGTATCTAAATTCTGAGAACTTAGGAAAATATGCCAATATGAAAGTGAACAAAAGGACTGTCTAAAATGGAAGACCAGACATATTCCAAAACCAATGTCTGGGTTCATTTTATTTCTCCTTAAAACATATTTCATATCCAAAATGCCAGAAGAGATTTTCTTCCATGGCATAATTCTACCTCACCTACCTTATAAAAAACTGGAATATTGTTTTAAGAAAACATTACTCTCCCCCTACCATGCAGAATTTTCCACTTTACATTTCTTCCTCTCCTTCATTATTGAGAAATTAATAAGCCTTCTCAGCAGAGTTTTGGAATCATCTGACAATAAGACTTAACCAGCCTGGCTGTGGTGGCTCACACCTGTAATCCCAGCACTTTGGGAGGCCGAGGCAGGTAGATCACTTAACATCGGGAGTTTAAAACCAGCCTGGCCAACATAGCGAAACCCTGTCTCTACTAAAAATACAAAAATTAGTTAAGTGTGGTGGTGCGTGCCTGTAATCCCAGCTACTCTGGTGGCTGAGGCATAAGAATCACCTGAAGGAGGCAGAGGCTGCAGTGAACAGAGATCGTGCCACTGCACTCCAGCCTGAGCAACAGAGCGAGACTCCGACTCAAAAACAAAACAAAACAAACAAAAAAGACTTAACAATCATCTAGCCTTGAAGCTGCCGTCCATTTCCTCCCCACCTATCTGAGCTTATCACATTTGAAAAACCTGATGGCAGTACCTCTGGTGCATATTGTGAGCAGTCTGGACTCAGAGGATCGGTACCTGTCATGGTGCTGGAAACTGAGAAGTTTTCAAAAAATTATCTGTTATCTGAAGCTTTCTCTCTATCAGTGACCCTAATTGCATCCCCTCATATTGCCATGAGACATAATTAAGAGAAAGGAGGCATTTGATCACATACTACAAGTATTTGCTGCATTGCTTGTGAAAAAGCTAGTTAGAGTGACAATAAGATCTGCTTAATATTTTTATATAGTGCTCGAAACTAGCAGTCCTTAATTTATTTTTTTAAGTCTGGAAATTAAGGATGAATAATGATCTCCCAATTGCCCTTCACAATCATCATTCAGCCTCAAGAATTAATAAGCCACCTCAATACCACCCCCACCCTGAACAGACATTTTTTCCACATGGATGAGTACAAAGAAATAATCAGATAGGAGATTTTTCTTCTAAATTAGGCCTCTTGTTTGTAAACTGAAAGAGTGCTAATGCAGTTCAAACCCGGCTGTGCACCACACATGCCCATTCTGCCCCAGAGTCTTACAAAGAGCGGGAGAATGGAGGGTTTTGTTCTATTCTTCAGGCTCCTTCTGTGTGAGAGGCCATTCAAGCGATCCAGTACTTCTCCCTCACTCTCTCCCTTGGCCCCTCTCTCTCTCTCACACTCACTCTCCGTGTCTCTCTGTAATGCCAGCATTAGAGGCGAGCCGCTGGCTGGGAACGAGCTTTGATGTCGACCTCTCGCTGCCACTGACAGACCTGCATTGGGGGGTGAGTGGCGGAGCCACGAGGGCATGTGTGGGAGAGAGAAGGATGAAAGGAGGCACGGCCGGGGCTCAGAATGTGGACAGATTCCTGCCTGTTCCCTTAGATTCTTCAGGAAGAAAAATGCCAAGCCTTGTGATTACAGAGGTTATGAACCAGCTAAACTTCAGAAATGACCATTAAAAGTACTGCCGAACATAAAGAATCAAATTATTGTTCAGGCTTTTGGCCTCAAAAAGAAAAAAGAAAATGAAACAAGCCACAGACAGGGCCGAAGAGATAAGGACATTCAGATTACATTCTAACGAGGCTGGTTAATCAAGGGTGTGGGGAGCCCAGCACATAGACAGGGTTTGAGTGACAGCCATAGGCACACTTGCTGCCTTTCAACTTTGGGCTGTATTGTCTTGATGACTTGTGCCAGATGTCAGAAATAAATCTCAGGCCCTGGTGTTAAGGTTACAGCTGCGACACAGGCAGGCGACACATGAGAATGTCAGATCAGCAGTCTACTCTGATCTGCTGCGAACCAGAATGGCCAGGGACATCCCGAAAGGGTGAACCCACAAGGGAACTTACACCCTGCGTGAATTCTTAGCATTCAAGGACTACCTTCAGTTAGATCGTGGGATTTCATGGCTCCCTCTGAATTAAAAGGCTTTCCATTGCCAGGTTGTCAGAATAGATCTAACCTTATTCTCCCGTAACGGACACCTGCTTCCTCCTCCCTCATCTATCTGTTTTGTTAATCCGACCATATAAAGGAATAAGGGCCTGTCCACATCACCAATTTCCCAATACCACAGTCTCAACTCTTTGCAGAAGATACGCAAGAGTAGAATACAGCAGAGAAATTAAACACTAAATCCCCTTCTCTTTTTCCTTCCTTATTTCACTGACTCCCAGAGAATGTAATTTATGATCAGCCAGCAAAAACTTACTGAGGTCCTACTGTGTGTAAGATCCACATTCAAGAACATACAGAAGTTTAAAGAAAAATCCTTTCACTCTGTATATTCAATCTGGAACTGCTCTTTAGTACTAAAATGAGTCTTCTACTATTAAAATTAGGTCTCTTTCTAAAAAATCTAATTTTAGGAGGTTATAAAAAGAAAAGAAGTCCTACATTTTCTCCATGTCTACTTCTTGAATTTTGGCTTGCATGACTGCACCTTACCTATGATCAGATGGCTTGGTGTGGTTTTTATACTGGTCAGAGCATTCGTGGGAACTATTTGCTAATGGAAAACTCTGGATGGAGTCAGGAGCCTCATAAACTGCTTGTTGCCAGTAAAAGCAATATTCATAGAAGACCCCATTCTCCTTTGACAAGACTGCCCTAAGATGAATTGGCACCTAGCTTGCTTCCAAGAAGCCTTCAAAACTAAGCCTGCCTCTCCCTTGCTCCCCCATTCACAGCCCAGAAAAATACTCCCAGAAGTCCACTTGGCTCTATCCTGGGTCCTGAAGGAGAAGCAAGAAGAAGGTCTTCGCAGGGAAGTCTCTGCTCAAAGCAAAATCTCTTTATGGAATGGCATGAGCTATCTCATTATTAAATTCACCAGCAGCCAAGAGCTTCTGGCTGTGAATTGAGTTCAGCATAGTAAAAATTGTTTGCTCTCCATTTCTTTTAAATGACCAAACACAGAGGGCTCTGGCTTAAATGGAACCATTTGCTGTACAGGAGAAATATATCCCCAGTGATAGAATATGTGTTTGAATTTAAGTATATGTATTTTGTACATCTGAATGTTTTTGCTTTTTAAAAACAATATCCTGACGTAGAACCTTTCAAGTGTGAAAATCACCAAAGAATAAAAGTAAAATAAAATAAAGCAGGGAAATTGCATGGAGGAGAGAGCGGCAACCCCCAGCACCCCCACCAACCACACACACAGCGGGTCATCTCTGGTAACTTCCCCAGCCTTCACTCCACCCTCCAATTATGAAATCAGCAAAATTCTCAGGGGAAGAAGACCCAGAAAGAACAAATGTGGCAGCAAGAGACAGAAGGATCAATACCTTCAGAGTCTGAGAATGTAATGGGCCCTGTAGGTCTGTTAATTATCCAACAAAAATTCTGTTTCAAGAAAGGGAAAAACGCATTTTAATAGCAGCTCTATAATTAGCCATTTCTGTTCTTGGTTTCTTAGTAGTTTTTATGTTTGTCTGCCTCCACCTTTATTTCCTTTAACAATGTTCACATAAAATGGATCAGAATTGCTTTGCCTCTAATTATTTACTGTAACAACCAACAAGCTGAGAGAAAGACGACAAAGTAGTAGAGAAAGATCTTTGTACGGGATGTATTGACTCACCACTGTTTCCTTCTTACTCCTTGATATTTTATTCTTCTTTTCTAGTATATAATTCGTAACTATGCATACACAACTCCCCTGAGTTTCATTTTCTGATAGAGTTATACTTTTGGTCTGTGAGTTTGCTTTTCATGTAGATGCACAGTTTGCCCAGCTTTTGGTAAAAAACAGTTTTATTCCAACCCTAAAATCACCCTTTACTGAGATGGAGTGATGTGACCAAGGTGTTTTTTGGGGATTAGAAAAAAGGAAGGTGTTCAGAAACGTAAATGTGACAACCCAGGGAGAGCAGGAGCTTGGATGTCACGATGGAACTGTAAGGCAGAGAATGGTTCAGGGAAAATCATCAATGCCAGATTCTGGTAAGGCAAATGAGAAATTAAATCCTTAGCGGGCCAAACACAAGAGACAAAAATCTCTAGGCTGAATCATGATCAAAGCCACTACAATCTGAAGAAGGTAGGAGATTCACAGTGTCTGGGGCAGTCACCCAGGGATCATTTTCTCAAATCTGAAATTGTTTGCATCCATCTTTCTGAAAGCCCATCTTAAAAATGTAAGACTCTGAGTTCAGCGCCAGAAACTATGAGCCTTATTATGTGAATAGCAGTGACTCTGCACTCAAGAGACATGTGATATATGGAAGAAGAATGAATTTAAGGGTCAGAATGTGGGCCTGGGAGGCAGCAGGTCCAGCCGCTATTCATTGTTCTACTGTGGGCAACATGAAATGACCATTCCCGGCAAGTTGTCATTATTAAGTGATTGAAATATTATGGCTGAGATATGACTTGGAACTTGAAGAAATTAGAGGCTGCTAAAAATAAATTTCTGAAAGATGACTATTGCATGACTTTTAAAGTAATCCATCCAAGCAGCACCAGGGTGAAGAAAAAGACATAGAAGACCAAGAAATGAAAAGCATTGTTAGTAATCTCTCAAGAGGTTCTCTTCAAAATCATTCATAAATAACAATCTATAGGCCTTTTCTATATTATCCCAATTTAAATTTCTTCAGAGATGAGTTAAATCTCACTGTGAGGTCATACGAATGGGATGTTAGGGGAAGAAACCTTCTCTCAGAATCTAGGGCTTCTCTCTGGGCTAAGCATGAGATTTCCCTGCATTATGAAGAAAAGTCCCAAATCACCTGGGTTATGCTAGAGACCTCAAGCAAGATAAAGAGCAAAATAAATTTTGCTCTGTTCTCTGAGCAGTTATGGTTCTTGGTAATAGGCTATTGCTGTAGTTTATTGGTCCATCTTATAGGTTATTAGAGCAAAGCTTGTGTCAGAACTTCCATTACAAACCCATATTTTCTGAGTTGAGAAATCAACAACAAAATTGGGCTAGTATTGAGCCTCAATTTTGATATTTAGTCCCTGCTCAAGAACTTAAGAAAAGAAATTAAAGAGAGGTGGGTGGAGAGATAGAGAGATAAAAAGAAAAGTTACAGATCTGGCACTGCAATTTCAACATGCATATATGTGTGTATGTATGTATGTGTGTATCTATCTATCTACCATCTTAGCCATTTTCCTAATGTAAGACTCGCTTTTGTTTTATTTTGCTTACATTTTTCATGGGACCTATTTGACAGAGGAGAAAGTATTTGACAGAGGAAATATTAAAGAAAAAATCAAATCCATTTTTCACTCTACATATTCACCATACTTATATGTCTACGGAATAACCACATCTTTACTTTTTGCTACTCAAGTCACCTAAAGAACGTGAAGATTAACACTGTGTAAAAGCCAGGAGAGAAGAAGGTAGAGATGTTCTTGTTCATTTTTTTCCTTTTTCCTCTGGATAATAATGAGCTTTGGGCAGACTTCCTTCAAGGTGAACTTCTTTTGATTTTCTTCATTTAAATAGAAAACAAATAGTACAAATGTTTTCGTTTTACTCACACCATAGTTAAGAAAATTATTTAAACTTGTTTAAAATGCTTCCCAGGGCAATGATATCTAAGAAAAGATCATTTGTAAAGGATCCATTTTAAAATGCACAGTCTCAGTATAATGTCCACTATAGAGAAAGACCTTAGCTTAAATTATACCACAGCTATTTTAAATGGATTTTTAAATTATCTACCTTTGCATTTCATCATGAATGTTTCAGGGAAATTATCCTGAGATAATGCCAACAAATGGCTGCAGACTTTAGGTTTATAATTGCTCTTGTTCATTTAAGGTTCCCAGCAGACCATATCAGGAAATTCAATGCCTGGCAAGTCGGGGTTGATAATATACCGTAACTGGCATTTTCTTATTAGATGAGCACCCAAATCGGTTTTCATTTGTAGCAATGACCCTAATTAAGAGAGTTATGATTTAAAGCAAGTCTTTGCATTTTAAGAGTCAGATTTGGATATGGGAGAGTTAGCCAAAGGGTTGTATTTTTTTAAAAAAAAAACATTGGCATAATCTGGCCTTAATTTTAATTTTTCAAATGTATATCAAATACATTTTTTTCAGTGACTCCCTCTCTCAAAATGAGAGACTCCCTTCTAGCTACTGAGAAAATATATGAATAAGCAAAGTTGTTCATATACACATACATTCACATGTACCTAAGTATACTCACCTCAGTCTTCACTAAATTATTTGGTTTTTGATCTGCAGGAGGTCTTAGAAAAAAGAACATCTAATTCAGCTAGCTCCCGACACCCCCACTATCTGAAGTGGAAGAACCCACGGCATGGCAGGTAAAGCATTTTGCTTTAGATCATAAGCTGTTAAGAGGTAGAGCCCAAACTACATGAGTCTCTGGGATCCTAATCCAGGGATTTTGATGGTAAATGTACAAAAAGATCCCCCTCCAAAAAATACCTATTTAAAGATGCTATCTGTGCCATATATTGAAGTGTCTGACTTCCTAAAAACTCATTGAGTTGACAGAAATTATTAATTGCTGTGTACCACAAAAATGTCCTCACTGAAACTTTATGACAACATTGCTGTAAGGGGTCATTACCAAAAAGTAATTTTATTGTAAGGAACTTTAAGTATTCCATCTGAATGTATAGCCAAAATTTGATAACTTACGGAGCTGGATGCAAAGTAAATTCACCTCACCTAACATATCAGTAAAAGGAGGTACAGCAAGAACAATAAGCAACTTTTGGAGATCATTTTACAATTTATGAAGAATATTTACCTAGATTATTTCTTTACTTACAGTTGTCTTCACGGCCACACTGTAAAGGGGCAGGGCAAGACAAACATCAGACATTGGACCATTATCGTTCACATTTCATCGTTTGGAAGATAAGACTCATCAGGCTTTCAAACAACAGATCCTTTTACTTTCCACTATACTATTCTAACTTCCTGAGAGCACAAAATATTATTGGTAATCTATTATAAATTGAAAAAAGCAATATGATTGATGAATTGTTGTTATAATTACAGAAGTGATAACAATAGCCATGATTATTTAGCACTTTGCTTCAGATGATGCCCTGAGCAGCCTCTTGGACATCCACAGACGTGAACATCCCTATGGTAGATGTTATCACGCCAATTCACAGAGAAGCAAACGGAGGTCAGAAGCGTTATCTGATTTCTCTAAAATCATGTAGCCTGTAAATGGCAGAACCAAGATTTGAACCAGGTTAACTTCACCCCAAACCAAGTGTTTTTAACCATCTTCTACACTTCCTTCATGAAAGATAATGCATGTGTTTGACAAGATCCCAGTGCATTGGTAATACAGAAGTATAAACAGACATCAGTGTAAAGACCACCCCAAGCCAAGTTTCAACTAGTATAGGATAAAACTTTGAAAGAACAAAGAAAAGTTTATATGACAAACGGCTTTCTAAGAGCTGTATGTGTGTATGTGTATATGTTTGAGGGATTGGATTCTCAAATATATATATATATATATATATATATACATATAATATACCTATATTTTCATTTATACATGAGTGCATATACATACATAGAAAATACATATTTTAAAAACTAAAATTATACGGCCAAAAGGAATAACATATTATTAAGCTCTTTCACAAAATCCTAAAAAGTTCTAACAGTTATTAAGTAGAATTTAGTTCCTAAGTTTGGTGCAGGAGACAGAATTGCTACCAGTGTTATAGGCAACTATTCATCAAGATCTAATTGTTAGAATTGCTTCATTTCAAGGAAAATGATTTAGCCCCCAGGATATGCATATCACTATTCTAATAAGCCACATTTTTTAACAACGGGAGGGCCTTCAGCTACTCTTGCAAGCGTGAAAATTTCCAGGAATTATCCTTACTGCTATTATAAATGAATAAGTTTTAGTAGTGCCACACTGCAAATCTTTGGCACTGACCTATATAGAAACATTAATATCTTATGATATTGATTTCAAAGATAAAGTCCAGAACCTTATGGTAAATCTAGAGGAAGTTTGTCTCTCATGATAGATGCTGCCATAAGATTCACCTAATAATATCTGAGTAAATCATAATCTCCAATAAGCTCAAGACGGGATCACTGAGCATGTATATCCTCTCCAGGGGACTCTGGGCCCTCATGTGCTCTGGGCACATTTCCTATAAATGGCCACCTAAAACATTGCTAGTTCCTTGTTCTTTGTGACTGTCACTGGTAGATTGAGTTATAATCCAGTCAAGCTATATTCACACCATTCATTCCATTTTAAGGGTTTCAGATGTGTCCCCCAAAACAAGGACATTTGCAATGAGATAAAGTTAGTCAAGAACTATTAGAAAGAGATTGGGAAAAACCCAGACAGGGCCATGAAACAAGTGTGCCTTGGGCTTTGGTAGGTGGACAGGCTGAGCTCTGTTCTTCCAGATTCCCTGTTCCTTAAACAGGAATGACCAGCCCTTCAACAAATAAATAAACTGTGGAATACACCAGTAGTTGGGGAAAGCAATGCTTCCTCTCCTAGCCCCTGTACCAAGTTTACTACTTTGAAATTTTATTATAATTTACAAGTTGCTAATATATTTTCCAAGCATGGTCCCTTTTAAGTATTAAAACTAGATAGCAGCATATATAAATAATAGAACCGTTGACAGGAACCATCAGTAAGTAAGCCAGACTCTAAAAAGTCCCCTTAATGTCTGGGGGTAGGGAGAAGAGGGCAGGGAACCTCACCTTCCAGCATCTCTAGCTATCAGCCCTATAGGCCATTATTCCAAAATTGCCAGCCTGGGTAAACACTGGAGACAGATGTTTTCCAGTTTGTTTATCTTCTTCCTGTCATTTTCACTAATACTCTCTGCTCTTCTTGGCAGGTGACCTTTCACAAATGGTGGCTTTGTTTTAAAAATGTCCTATTGTAAAAAAGAGGGCAGAATTCACAGAGCAAAGGCCAATGTAGCTGGAAGGCTTTGTGGGGGCCATGGAGGCTTGTTTCCTCTGCCAAAGGCCAGCGTTAACCTGCTCCCAGCCATGAGGAGGAAGGGGGTCAGCCCTCACTTCCCAATGCTTCATCCCATTCAAGCTTCGTTTCTTAACATTTCCAAGGAGAACATACTTAACAGTATGGAACTGTTGGTTGGCTAATCTATTTGCTGTGGTGGTATCTTAGGAAAATAAGAGTCAGCAAATATCTGGGTGACTTTTATAAGGAGATAGAGAAACAAATCAATATTCAACAGTACAAGTGAGGACTGGAAAATGTCCTAGTGAAGACATATTTTCAGTATTGGTTAGTTCTTTCTACTCAGAATCTCTAGAGGAAAAGAACTAATCTTACATGTAATACAGATCGTTGGACTAGAAATCATAGATAACCTGGATTTATGCCCCAACTCTATTTCTATGAGAGCTGGGATTCTTGTTGGTGGATCAAATGACTTCTTTGGGCAATTCCCTCTTTGGCAATAAAATAAGGATAACAGTCCCTCTCCACCTGCCTCGAAAGAGTGCTAAATCTCAAGTAAGATTATGCATATAAAAGCATACTGTAAGAAGCAAACACTCACAAAGGATACTGAGTACTTGGTACTTGGGCCACGGAGCTTGGGCTAACATCATTCACCAATTGTCTTTTAAAAAAAGAAATTTCAGATGATCAAAAACATGGGGCATTTCTAAATTAGAAGAGCTTGAATAATGATCCCTTTCTGGTTCCTGATACTGTGGAGAGAGGTTAATAAGTAAGACAACAGTTTCCCATCAGGAGATGGAGAACTCAGTGGTCGAGGTATAATGATAACACT
This sequence comes from Homo sapiens, assembly GCF_000001405.40. NCBI lineage: Eukaryota > Metazoa > Chordata > Mammalia > Primates > Hominidae > Homo > Homo sapiens. The sequence continues at coordinate 97,737,580 of NC_000015.10, forward strand.
GAAGTTACTAAGCAGCAATTCCTTCTTGCTCATATCTCAGAAGCAAAGAATCCTCAGGGTTAAGGGACACAAAGCCCACATAGGCCTTCCTGAGGCTTTCCAGGTGTTGGCATACTCAGGCCTTACTCAACAGACAAGACAAAGTGATGCTAATGCCCCCATGATAGGAAATAAACTTCTATTGTTTCTTGAAAGCATCTCTGGATAAGAGCAAGGACCAGAGGGCTTTTTCCCATGGTATCAAAAACTGGAACAGAGAGAAAGAGAATTTCTCATCACAATGTTAAAACATCCATCTCATGCTCTGAAGTGCATGTAGCTCTGAATGCTTCCTTCATAGTAGGGAGGCAGGCCTGAGGTTGCTCTTGGAAGGAGTCTCTGGCACAGAAAGCTTTGTAGAAACTCCATCAGATCTCCACTCTCTGCCTCCTGATTAGCTGCTGCCTTCACCTCCTCTTTTGCTTTTCTACTGCAGTTGTTGGATTTGTGATCTTTGCCATTTCAGGAAAGTTTCAGCATGTGTTGTACTGTAATTTTAGCTTTATACTGTTTTTCATTTGTAAAAGAACCTCTTTAAAGAACAGAATGGAAACAAGCAGTTCTTCAAAGGGTTTCAAATGAGAAATGTTCAAGTGTGTGTGAGTGCGGGCACTGTGGTAAACCCAGCAGTTGCTGGGCAGAGGTTATTCATTTATACACTCAGTCATTTGACTTGGATTCTAGACCTCTATAATAGAGGCTGGCAATGTAAAGATGAATGAGAACAACTGGCTTTATCCCTAGAAAGATGTGGCCCAAGGAAACTAAAACTCACTTCTCCCTCACTGCCATCACCATCAGCAGCATAAGCAACCTCAATACCATAATGCATTTTTATTCACGGGTAACCCATTTAATATAAATTCTTCAGTCAATTTCTTTGTTTGTTTTGTTGTTGTTGTCTTTTGTTTTACTTTTATTTTGGGTTCTGGGGTACACGTGTAGATTTGTTATATAAGTAAACTTGTGTCATGAGGATTTGGTGTACAAATTATTTAGTCACCCAGGTAATAAGTACAGTATTCCATAGGTGGATTTTGATCTTCACCCTCCTCCCACCCTCCACCCTCAAGTAGGCCCTGGTGTCTGTTTTTCCCTTATTCATGTCCATATGTACTCAATGTTTAGCTCCCCCTTAGAAGTGAGACTATGTGATATTTGGCTTTCTGTTACTGTTAGTTCACTTAAAATAATGGGCCTCCAACTCCATCCATGTTGCTGCAAAGGACATGATCTTGTTCTTTTTTATGGCTGCATGGTGTATATGTACCACATTTTCTTTATCCAGTCTACCATTAGTGGGCATTTACATGGATTCCATGTCTTTGCTATTGTGAATATTGCTGCAATGAACATACATGGGCATGTCTTCAATCAATTTCTAATTCATCTCTAAATCTTCTGTATCACTTTCAACTACTTTGAACACATAGAACTTAGTAGGCATCTAATATTTGTGGAAAGATGATCTTGAAGAATAAAATAAACATCTAAAGTGGGTTAATACCATTTGAGCAGGAAGAGTGAGGGTGGGTGCATCAGTTGGAGAGCATTGGGGACAACTGAGGAATAATGGAGTAATTAATTGTACATGACCCTAGGCCCTTTGCACTCACCAGATACCGACTTCCTCCTGCATTCTTAGTCACAGCCAGATTCAGCTTTAATTGATCTCCACTGAGCACCTAAAGTGAACCAGGAATTATGTAGGTATTCTTGTATGGCATAGTTTACCTAATATCACAAAACAACCCCTTACATCCAATTAATCCCTCATTACTGGCGTGGGAAATGTGGCTCAAAGATATTAAATAAGTTGCCTAGGTTCCACAGCCTAGTTATGTTAGACCCAGGATCCCGTGTCAGGTCTGCTGCCTCTGACGAGGGTTGCATTATTCTTAAGCATCAGAAATGGATCTCGGAACATGAATAATAAATGAGAAAGACCCACCTAGTTAAAATGACTGTAATTTTTTAATCCATTTGGATGATCAGAACAAAGGCTATAAAAGCATCCTTTGAAAGATCAGGCCAGCCAGAGTCACCTCCCCTTTGCAAGGAGGAAGTCACATAGGTCTAGCTCATCCTCTTAGGAGCGGAGCCCCTGTGAGTTTAGTTCCTAACCAGCTCATCCCAGCCTGGCCTCTCTCTACTGCCTCAATGCAAATGACTACCTGAACCCAGGGTAACCTTATAGATTTTTTAATTCAGTAGTTATTTAAAGTCACTGAACAACTTATTAAGCAGGTAAGATAAAGTTCACAGGATAAAATGTGTAGGCATGCAAATGTGAAGCATTAGTCCATGTGGCACACCGAAGTCTGGCATTGCGTGTTTTAAAAGCCTTCAAAGTGCCGTGCATGTCCTTGTACTTTTCTATATTCCAATGTAGGATTGTGGAGATCTAGTTTCCCTCAATTAAGTTCTCATTGCTGATGAAACCTGAAGAGAATGTGAAATGGTTTGAAGTGAGGAGTGTGTCCTTCAATGTGGATCGATGGGCAAGAACAGTGTGACCAGAGCAGCCATGGGGCAATGCTCTATATCCTCACCAAAGAAGATGGATGCTTTGGGAGTTGAAGAGGATGATCAATAGCATGCTGACTGACATTGATACAAGAAAAGGTCACTCAAGAGTCCAAGCCATAGGGTGTTACCCAGCCCCTGAGGGTGTCATTCACATTGCAGCCTGTAAACAGCACCTCCTGGACTTGGTAGACATGGTGGCCCTATAGACCCCTTATCTTCCCTATTCTCTAGTACTATTATCCTCCATTTACGACCAAGATGGCGGAGCAGGCAGAAGGAAGAGAAACCACCATATGTCACCTTGGCCCCAGCTCATGACAATATCCCCAAAGTCAATAGCCTTTGAGTGCCCCCAGGAAAGAGGATGTGGGAGTGAGGAATACCATGTGCCTGTTCTGTATCAATGTCTGCATTTTATTGATCCGTCCACAATCCCTCCCAAGAGGGATGGATCATTACGCCCTGTCTTTACAGCCAGTGCCTCCTCTGTATGAAAGCCACAGCAGAACAATCCCTCTTTGCCATTCTCAACTTTGCTTTTGTCAATAAGTGCTGAAGACATAAAAAGGGAAGATGGGCTTTGCTCCTGAATGAGAGCTATTTGACTTTCAATATACAGACCGTGGCAAATACCTTTAGATGTTGTGTCCCGTGGAGCCTTTTCAGAGGTAGGTTTTGTTTGCAGAGGGCTCTTTTCTCCTTAAACTAGACCCAGAGAGCCATCCTCTCTTAATTTGGCCTTGTGGATGCATCGTGGCATAGGTATGCCAAACCATGCCCTGGTCCCTTGGTGGAAATGATGGGCTCACAGTATTTTTTCCAGGCAGCATCAGCCATGCCATAGTGAGCAAACATCGAGTTAAACAGAGCTTGCCTTTCTCTTGTGTTTAGGCTGCTGCCCCTTCTCTCTCTGCACAGCCCCAGACTGGCAACATTTTAAGGCAGAGTTTTAAAGTAAGCAGGAAATTGCCACGTTTAGCTGTTATGCTTTTCCCAAGCTTTAGGGCACACACAGAAAATTTAAATGCATCCCCAAATAGTACTTGGTATCAAGAATGGGCATCTTTAAGGTACTATACAATGGAAGATTGAGGATGTAGCAGGACCACAAACATAAAAATTAACATATCCAACTCATGGCTCCTCCCAACTCAGTATTAGAAGAAGCAATGGGGAATAAGAACACATTCTCTCTTGGGAATCTTCAGAGTAGTAAAAAGCACTTTATATTTATGCATAATGAGCTACTTTTGTGCTTTACAGACCGTCTTGTGCATGGTTTGTACCCCATATTAAATTTGATGATGGATATGAAAGTATTTTATAAACAGAAAATTGTTATGCACATTTTAGCTATTATGAAAATAATGATGAGTAAATAACTTCAGTTAGTGAGGCTGTCATTGGACCAATTTGGAAGCCTCTCTCTCCTGTTTCCTCAGTCCTACCCTTGGATGCAGAAGAAAGAAAAACACACAAGAAAGGAATTTTAGGAGATGGAAATTTTTTAAGTTACTGACATTTACTAATAGTCATAGAACTGCAAATTAAAAAGTAAAATTCCATTTCAAGTTATAAGAGATTGGTAAATAAATAAAAGATTGAAAACAATCAATGTTGACAACACTATAGTGAAATAGGCAGTGTGAAGTGTTAAAATGTTAAAGATCCTAATTATGTGATATAACAATTCCACTTTTGTGAATCATCCTACCAAAAATGAAAACACTAGTCATTATATCCCATTACATCCATATATGTATAGATAGGTAACTAGATAAATAGATATAAATAGATATCTATTGATGTTCAATATGGGATTGTTTGTAGTGCAGAAAACTGAAAATAAAAATCCAAATAATCATTCATAAGTCAACAGTTTGTTTTGTTTTGCTTTGTTTAGTTTTTTGAGGCAGAGTCTCGCTCCATCTCCCAGGCTCGTGTGCAGTGGTGCTATCTCAGCTCACTGCAACCTCCACCTCCCGGGTTCAGGTGATTCTTGTGACTTCAGCCTCCCAAGTAGCTGGGAACACAGGCATGCACCACCACAGCTGGCTAATTTTTTTTTTTTTTTGTATTTTTACTAGAGATGGAATTTCGCCATGTTGGCCAGGCTGGTCTTGAACTCCTGGCTTCAAGTGATCCACCCACCTTGGCCTCCCAAAGTACTGGGATTAATTATAGGCATGAGCCACTGTGCCCCACAATCATTCGTGAACAACAAAATTTTAATGTCTTTGCACTAATGCTCTTCCCTCAAGATATGCTGTAATTTACTGAGCCTTACACATATTTGTCAATGTTTAAGCTGATTCTAATATTTCGCCATTATAAAAACACAGACATAGGCAGCCTTGTATACAAATCTCATTCTACAACTCTGATTATTCCTGTGATGTTTATTCCCAGAAAGGGAAATGAATAATATTTCGGATTGTGATGTCAACTGAGTGACCATAGGACAGAGAACAGGGTGGTTTCGAGCAGGGTTTGGCAGTGCGCACTGGAGGGGAAGGGTGGGGGAGAAACGTTCTCTGAAGAGGGGGTACTTGACCAGAAGACCTACATGATGGGAAGGAACCAGGCATGCATAATGCTGAGCAATCAGCCTCTCTGGCAAAAGACATAGCATGTGCAAAGGCCCTGACTCAGGAAAGCTCCAAAGCCTTAGGAAGCCTGGAAAACTCTCAAGAGGTAGTCAGCACTCTGTCAAAACGGACCAATCAGCTCTCTGTAAAACAGACCAATTGGCTCTCTGTAAAATGGACCAATCAGCAGGATGTGGGTGGGGCCAGATAAGGGAATAAAAGCAGGCTGCAAGCCGGCAGTGGCAACCCGCTCGGGTCACCTTCCACACTGTGGAAGCTTTGTTCTTTTGCTCTTTGCAATAAATCTTGCTGCTGCTCACTCTTTGGGTCCACACTGCCTTTATGAGCTGTAACACTCACCGCAAAGGTCTGCAGCTTCACTCCTGAAGCCAGCGAGACCACGAACCCACCGAGAGGAAGGAACAACTCCAGACGCACCACCTTAAGAGCTGTAACACTCACTGCGAAGGTCTGCAGCTTCACTCCTGAGCCAGCGAGACCACGAACCCACCAGAAGGAAGAAACTCCGAACACATCTGAACATCAGAAGGAGCAAACTCCGGACACACCGCCTTTAAGAACTGTAACACTCACTGCGAGGGTCCGCGGCTTCATTCTTGAAGTCAGTGAGACCAAGAACCCACCAATTCTGGACACGAAAGGTAGAGGTGTCCTCAGGGAATAGCCCAGCAGAATTTTCCACATCGCAGGGAATGCTCTACAAAATGTTGAAGATGTAGAGTTCTTGCTGAAAACAAGATTAGAAAAATTAGCAAAGGTTGAAGGAAAGAATAAGAGTGGTAGACTAGGTCCTTTTAGGGTACACACAAAACAGACTGCAGATGATGAGAATTCAGGGTGCACAGTAGCCAGGGAAGCCTGGACCCCTGCAACATCTGCAGCAAGTACAGATGTGAAGTGTTCTGCCATAAATTCAAGCACAGTGGTTCTGTATTCCTACCTTGATGCCACTTCAGGAGGACTCCTCACTCCTCCAGGGCTGTTGAAATGATATATTGATGTGATCTTCATTTTTGTCAATACCGATTGTCTCAACCTCATTTGTTTGGAAAAAAATTACTAATTTGTGATGCCACCTTAAACATTTGCTGAAATACATCTGCATTGGAGGGTCTAGCTCAAGGTGCTCTATTCTTTTTCATTGATCTCTTCTACTAATGCTCATACCAATGTACCTTCCTAAATTATGTCCAGTTTTCTTTTAACAAAATTACTATTTACTAGGGCAGGTCTTCCTTACTTAGTCTTTTTGTTCAGGGGTTGGGGTTATTCCAACCCTCCATTCAGCCACTGAACTTTCTAATAACAAAAAAAAAGTGCCAAAACAATGACACTAGGATTTCGATGACTTTGTTAAAACTGTAAATAAATCAGTATGGAACTGCAACAGCCATACTGTCTTTTGAAAATATCTCCTAATTAACACAGGATTTCATGTGTCCCTCAATTAATTCTCTCCTCTGAATTAGTTGTTTCCATTATACTTCTAAATGTTTATTGCTTATACAGTATATAGGAAACATATGAGAGTTTCATATTTATTTCTGTTGTATTCAGCCACCTTAATAAAATATCTTATTAATGTTCAGTTATTTTATCTTTTGATTGTTTAATTTTTATCACATTCTCCATTATAACAAGGACATCATCAATATTCATGTCTTGTTTCTGATTCTTATGTGAATACAGGGGATGTATTGTTGATAAGTGTATTAGTCACTCAAGATGTATATTCCCTACTTTATAAAACAATTGCATGTGAGATTGAATTTATTCCTTTTGCATTCCTGGAATAAGCTCTATGCTGCATTATTTTAAATATTGATTAAATTTATTTGTATTCTAGCCTTTTAAAATTTACAAGAATTCATTTATGCTTTTAAAAATGGTATTAGCGCACTCAGAGTATTTTTTCATCTGGAATTAATATCAGTATTTTATATTTTCCAAAAAAGAAAATGATTTATTTTACTGAGTGCTTCAATATTCTGGCATAGATTTAGAGGATTTATAATTTCTATCTCCTTTATATTTGTTGTTTCATCATTTCTAACTTCTAATTTTGTTTATTTGAGCTAGCCATTTTATTATCTTACGGAGAATTCCAGACATAGGTCTTGAAATTGTTTTCCTTATAAAAATAGTGTCTTAGATGTACCTCTCCATTTACTTGTCAATTATATTCCCTACCAATATTGCTTCTTTATATTTACAGTTTTTTTCCTAATTTCTTGAGTATAATGATTAACTCATTTCATTTTATTTTTCTTTAATAATGCTATGAATGTGCTTTTTACTACTGTTTTGGAAGCATCCAATGTCTTTATGAGTTGTATTCCATTTTTTTCTTTTTAAAATAATTGTATTCATAATTTCTTTCTAGGCCTGCTAGATATTTGCAATAGTATATTTAAATTGCTGAAAAGGTTAATTTAAAATTTCTTTAGCCCATGTTAAATTTTGGAATTTTGGGGAGGTCTTTTTCATGGCTTAGAATATCATTTTTTCTGATTTTTTTCTTTTAATTTCTCAATAGATGCCTACAAAAGGAATCTTTTTTTATTAGCAGAGTAAAAAATGTGTGCTTTAGTAACTTTTCATTGTTATCCCTGATGGTAACATAAGCCTAGCAGGACTAAATGATTAGCAACTAAGACAGCCGAAGTTTGTCTTGGATGGGCACTTCCTTTGTACATACCTAGATGGCTTTTTTTCTCCTTCTCAGATTGTACTTCTTTTTAGATTCAGATAAAACACTGGAAATTTTTAATTAATGGAATATTTTATTTATTGCTTTAACAAATAGCTCTATTTTGTGGGAAGCCATATTCATAGATGGAAATCACACAATCTCTGGATCCCACCTAGTTCATTTAAGAGACCGGAACTACCCTTGTTGGCACCACTCCCACCTAGCGGCTCTTTTCAGAATTACATAGAGAGCGTCTCAGCATGACGCTCATGACGCTGAAAGTCATCATCTTCAAAAGTAACCTGTTCACACAAGGAAAGCATCACAATTAACGCATTAGGAAAATATTTATTAGACTGAAGCACCTTCTAACATTTAAATTCCAAACACAGTTTGTTTGGATTTTTTTTCTTTGCAGGGTTGAGGGAGGTAAAATTATCTATTTGAAACTAGATGTAGCATGTTTTCTACATAGACAATAAAATATCCAAGAGTAACTCAAATATTTTATTAGAAATGTTTAGAAATAACCTTTTGGAATTTGTTATTATTATTCATCTAAATTTCGATAAACTTCTCTATTCAGTTTCTCCTGATTCCAGGTTATGTTCAATAACATGACGCAGTCACTGATGCACGTGACAGCTGAAGGGGCTCAATGATGTGAAACTCATGTGAGAAATCATGACGGGAGATGCAGCTTTTATAACCCTGCATTGTCTACTAAAGCACAATAATCAAGCCACTTTATGAGACTGGTGATGATACTATAATGACATCAATCTGAGGACAATTTAAAGGAATATTCCATTTTCAAAAAATATTCTGGAATACAACTGAAGAGATAAGCCAATAGAAGAAGTAATTTAAGTATTTGTCCCTAGTTAATTTGTGTAATCAGCTTGACAACTTGCAAAGTCAGTTTAATTCTTTACCTAGCCCTGTAAGATCTGTCTACCAATAACAGCATTACTTAGCATATACTAAAACCATTTTTTCTTGTACTATAATGCTTATAAGAAGAAAATCATCAAATATTTTCATACTTTATACTCTACGGATTCCCAAATAACCAGGTTTGTATTTTAAGGTCCTACAACATTAGAAAATATTCTGTCAAAATAACACTTTAGATATTTGCCAAAAAAGCATATTCTCAGCTGACCTATGGCTTGCCTTCTGTCCTTCAAGGAAGGGTAATAACCTATCTTAATTGTTTCATAAATTCCTAAATAAGGGCAAGAATTTAGAGTACCACTCTTGGCAAAGTTATGGTCCTAAAATTAAAAGGCTGAAACTCAAATAATTTTAAAAATTGGTTTGCATGTTATGTACGAATGGGTAGTGGGCCTTTCATTTGTCCTTTGATTATTTTAGGTGTGCTTTGTATCAGGGGAAATGTAATCTGGAGCTAAGCAAAGCAAAATTGTGACACATACCAGAGGGATCTGTTTTAAATGAGAATCAACAGAAATAAGGGGGGGAAAGTCCTGAGACAGGGTCATCAGAAAGATGAAGAGACAAAATCCGTCCATTCAAGAGGCTGCCCTCACTCTCACTCAGCCACCCCATCCCACCCAGTTCTAAGGCATTCTCAGAACCACCCAGATCCCAGTTGTGACAAATTGTTCCAAATAAAGATATTCACTCACTCAGCCATGTAACTATAGAGAATGGCAGTTATCATATTAACTGTCTTCATGAAAACATTTAATAACATAAAGCAATGATAAAGAATTTTGATGAATGCAGATATATGCACACATACCCAAATTTATAAAGCATTAAGTAGAACTCAAAAGTTGCTGCTGGCATTTTTAGCTCATGGGATTTTTCCTTAGAAATCTGGGAAGTTCATTGCCAGGCCCATAGGCTCTGCAATCCGAGAAAAGGCTGAATTTTCTTGTGCATGGAGGCATCCCTGCATCTTTGCAGAGATTTTTGACAGGGTCTCTGATCTGCAGGCTGCAGAGCCACCTTTTCGGGGCCACCTGCACACAGAGGGAAACACATTGCATGCCGAACTGCAGATGCAACAAGAGCTCCTGAAGAATCACACACAACTTCCTGGCGTCCCGTGGCTCTTCCAATAGGAAGGCAGGAAAGGAACATCCTCTAGACCTGAGTCAGACCTAGGAGGCTGCCCTCAGCTGACCCCGCCTTCCCCCAAGCTCCCAATGAGAAATTGCTCCAAAGTCCTCTACTTTAATATTATTATTTTATTATTAGCTCTCTAATATCTCCAACTTACCACATTTCAAGCATATGAAAATTGAAAACAAAACAACATATGGAGAGAAGATTTTTGTGGAATTGTCAACCGGTCTCCAGGAGCACAGAGCAACCATTTCTTAAGCAGTCTTATCCCTGGTATTTCTCAGTTCAAGTGGGAAGACTTTCAAATAATTTAGTATTGCATTAGGTAATATATTTGAGGACTAAGATGATAAATCGGCTATAATATTCCTTTAAAGTATTAAAGGTTCAAGGAAAAAAAAGATATTAAAGACAGATGCCAGTCAGGGAGCACATTCAGGGAAGAGAGGGAGGAGGCAGGATGTCCCTCTGCCTTCGCTGCTCCCTGAAACACAGTGCTGTCCTGAAGAGCCCCCACGGTGTCCTCCTTCGGCCCCCATCCTGCTGCATCCCTCCCCCTCCTCCCAGGACTGAAAACAAATTGTTTTGGGCTACAATACCCCGGGCTGTGCCTTGACCTGCATGGTACAGTGACACTGTGCGGCTTGAATTTTTACATACAGCTGCATAAAGCAATTTTCATGTAAATTTCTAGGTAAATCAGCCTGCAGTTGGTCTATTACAGGGACACATACACAAAAACCGTTAAGTTTGACAGAAGATTAGAAGTTGCCCTTGTTCCTTCCTACGCCTCTCTCTGTGCCTTCGACGATGTGTCTGAAATGGGAAAATGAGAATGCCTAAGCACCCCAAAGAAGCAGGACTCTTATCTTGGGACTGTGCCTCCCCAAGGCTGGGATGTGCTGAAATCAGAAAGGGCTTCTCTGGGAAAGAGAGAAAACTTGGTATGAAAATCAACCCTCAAAAGAGCAGCGAGAGCTGGGTAATTCTCTCTCTCTGCCTGGGAAAGACTGGGCCACCTTCCATTACCTGGCTTCTTCTCGATGAGGCGATGGACACAAATAAACAGCCACTGTGGGCCCCCAGTGGCCCCACCCACTCCTATGGATGCGGACAGGCCAGCTCAATTAGCTCACAGCAGGTGGAGAAGTTTCCAGGGTCAGAAGAGCAAATCAGTCCTTCAGAGGCACCTTTCCCTGGGAGCTGGGAGCCACCTCCCCTCCCTGCACAGCCAGCAACAGGAGTTAGGCAGGCGACCCAGCCATCTGGCAGCAGCCTATCTGGGCCCTCCATCTAAATGCGTTCCTGCCCAAAGGAGGCTCATTTCTTGAACATGTTCTTTTAAGGCAACAGCATACACAGAGCACAAAGTGGAAGATGTAACCAAAACCTGGCCCAGGATGTTTGTTTATGCAATCCTTAAATAATTCATCTTTATCCCTATTGAGCCCATCACAGCATGTCAAAAATAAATGTGTCGCCTTGGCCTATTGTTTGCAGCTCAGGATTGTCAAGCGAGAAGAAAATATTACAGAGACGGAGGGAGATACACGCAGGAGTGTGACCTTTAACTGCACTACCTATAACCAATCTCATCAAATTAAAGCACTGTATATTTTCCTTAATAACCTCTGATTAGGCTGGGGCTATGAGTGGACACGAACACCCGCCATTGCTATGCAGCGGGATGTCTGCTTAGCACCAGCAAAGCGTTTGGGAATAAGTGAGCAAAATGCTTTAATTTGATAGGGTTAGAATCCTGCAGGCTCTGGGGTGAAAGGTCTCCAACAGCTCCGCTCACACTGAATATGCAGAAATAAAAAAGTAAATTGCTTACATCTGCTGCAGGCGGCAGGGAAAATGATCTGATTGGATGGTCCGAGGGCTCTCCATCTCTTTTGGGTTAGAGAGAGGGTTTTAGAGCATCAAAAGCTTGTAATTGGAGTAATTCTGAATTAATGGACACACACACACACACACACACACACACACACACACACACACACACACACAACATTTTGAGGCAGCTGTTTGCAGAAGCCTGCCTGTTTAGGAATGCTTACAGATTGCAAAGAAGCAACTTCAAAAATAATCTTTTCTTCTCTCCAAATGAATCCTAACCATGGGTTTGAATTTGACAACAGGTAACAAGCACAACATTCTTATCTGTCTCATCCTCCTGCCACAGAGCCTGGGAGCTATCAGACCTACGTATCTGCTTGCCCACCATGTATATCTTCCTGAAATACATGTGCACTCCAGCTCTCCTTCATGCATAAGAAGATAATTCAGAAAGGGCTTCACCGGGATTCCTAGAAGTTGACAGAGAAAGCTTGGGTTTTGCCTTGCTTTGTGATGTGGGATTTAATCTGCGTATTTGATCAATAAGAATCAAAGGCAGGACTCAAGGTCTTTTGGGCACAAGCTGGTTCAGTTTCATGCAGGATGCCAGGAGGCAGTCTGCCGTGTCAACCCAATGCGTTCAGAGGACAGTATGAGGGAACCTGCCTCGCAGATGACATTAGGCCTGGCTCGATCTGCTATTCTCTGTGGGGTATGATGGCGACAATGAGGCTGAGGTTGCATTTTAACTGTTTGTATTTTATTTTATTATTTTATTAAGCTTACACCAGCTTGCAGATCTAAATGAGATCACCTAGTCCCATTGTCAGCAGGCTCCTGTCACATACTGAAAGCAACTGTGGCCTCCTGTGGTTGAGAGTGAGCCCCCAAGGAGGGAGATTTACTGAAACTGAACGGGCCGAGAGAATGCATCCTGTGAGGCAAACTTTCAAGAGCTATTTCTCAGCCAGGCATTGATCTGGGAAGGCAGGCTTGGCCAGACAAGCCGCGGAGGCTGAGATGGAGGTTCCCGAATACTCTTGGATGCATCAGCCTTATAGGGACATCTCCAAGCTCCTCTGACACTTCAGTTGTAAATGGGCTGATGTCTAAAATCAATTTTTTCCATAATTCTTGTTACTGTCCAAGACTCTTTGAAATTATCTGAATAGCCTATTGTGTTTTTACAAGGATCAGATTGATAGGTTTTACAATCCATAAACAAGCTAAATATTCTAGGTATCAAATCTCATACACACACACACCCCTCTCTCCCTATCAATAATTTTTTAAACATGGACAAAGTAATAGATTGGATACAAAACTGCACAAAACAGTCTGTGTTCATCCCTCTCCAGCAAACTCTATGATACATAGAAACAATGAGTCTTTTTAAATTTCTCGATTTTGGCACGATTGCCCAGGATTGGCCACAGAGATGCCCTGACCTGGTTTCTCTTAGTAGGTTCACTATGTGCAAAGTCCTTTCCTCTGTAAGGCACTGCCTCTACCAAATGGCTCAGCTCTGGTCTCTATCATTCTGAAATCTCCTTTGTCTGCCTGGGCGCTGCCACAGTCTATTGGAAGGTATTTGTCAACAATTATATGTCTATTAAAGAGTAGTCAATCAGTGTGGGCCCAAACAGCCAGGCCTCTAGGGTCTAGCTTTTGATAGGAAACTGTCAATATCCCATCCAGTCCATTTCTCAACAAACACACAGTCACCTACCCGAAATCATTGTCGGAGAAACAGGGAAGGCCTGCTTTCATTGCTAGGTCTCCGACTTCTTCACTTTCTGATCTAATGTTCAGTTTGAATAAAGAGAAGCCTTTAGACTTCTGCTGAATAAAAGATGTATATTAAAATGCTATGTAAACTGAGTGCGGGTAGATATTTAATACAATTAAGAATATTATGTGAAGACTGTACGTGTAGGTGGCTGCAATTATTCCTGAAAATCATAAAACCAGAAGAACGTTAATAAAGGATACTTTAAATTAGCTTGACTGTAATTAATATCTATAAATACCTTCCATTCCACAAGCACAAAGTTGAGAGTTATTTACCCAATTTAAGACAAAAGGTTGTGATAGTAGCCAATATAGCTTCATGTATGTTCAATTTACAGAACTTACTGCAGATTTTGTAATTATTATTATAAAGGGCTTGTCTTTTCTTGAAAGAAGAAAGACTGGGAGTTCCATGTGAATGTTTAAAACTAAAGCCCCCCCAAGCAAAAACCACAATGTAGAGGACGGGGAGGGGAGAAGAAAAGAAAGAAAGGAAGAAAGAGAGAAAAGAAACCCGAAGTAAGGCTGTATCCTTTGAACTAGCAACTCCCCTGCATCACAGAGTACACTAGTTGTCCTACAACAAAAGACGGCATCAAACTCTCTCCACAAAGGCCTGAGACACCCAACAATATTTAAAGCAGATGTAGTATTTAGCATCTCTGCACTATGTAAGACGCCCTTTTAAGATCTGTTAGAGCCAGGGTTTATAAAATTTATGAAAACAAACGTTTTCTCCTTTCCTTCGAATGTTTCCCTGGGATTTTTGGACTTTCAATGAGAGAGATATATAAACGCCAAGCTGGCTGTCCCAGAGTTCAGGTAGCACACGATTAAATCCGGAATTAATGCAGGAATAGGTGTGCCCCTCGGACTGAGCTTCTTTTTATTGTACTCCTTCCATTTTCACTAAAGCCAAATAATTCAGATCTAGGGAAAGAGCATGGAAAGGTCAAAATGAAGCCCAAATGTCCAGTAGAAGTTTTATAAGTTGCCATAAAGATATAAAATAAAAATTAAAAGTACTGAAATAAACTGAGATGCCTCCGGTTTCATGTAGAGTTTTTGCCCATTTTATTTCTGCTCTTCAGAATCAAAACAAAGTAGATTCAAGGTGCATGTTAATCAAATTACCTATGTCCTATCTGAAGAGTGTCCCCAATCCCCCAAGAACTTGGAAATCCTTTTTGCATTTTATGACCAGAACTTCATGGCATTTAATGCATATTTAGTTTTGCAGGTACTGTTGGTGTTCAAATCCACTTATAGATACTCAAATCTAATCTACCATGTAGATGTAACGTAGACCTGCAGTTCATTTTAGATGCTCGGAGCAGGGAAATTATAAATGGACTTCACAAAATGTTCCAAGAGCATTAATAGTGAAATGGACTGGGTCAGGAACCCAAGTCACAAAGGGTCTCTGAGTAGTTACTTCCCCAGCAGACGGCCATCGTTGCAAGGGGCAGCTGATCTCCTTTTTTGAAAGCTCCATTATGTGTATTTACAAAATAAACAATGCATGCAAGTTCATGATTGTCATCATTAATAATAAGCATTATAGCAAACCGTTAAATAAATATACATGCCATAGATGTCTGCCAGACCCATCACTCCTTTTTCTCCTACATCAGATCCAAGGCATTGTCTTTGTTGAATTAAAAAAAAAAAATCACTCTTCATGAAACAGCAGCAACAACAAAATAGAATCATTATTTAAAATAACTCACCAATGTTCAAATGCTCGGATTTTAAATCAGATAAGTCAGCAAGTTCAGAGTTGGGGTGAGAACTTGCTCTCATTAGTCTCACGTTTGCAAGACGCAACCACAAGCCAGGAATGTAAAATGTTCTCAGTGCTTCAATAATTAACTATTTTTCAAAGGAAAAGACAAGTAAATAATATGATGTTTTATGAGTTCAAGTTGAACAACTTGTGTGCTGTGCAATACTTCTATCATGATACTCTCCAAAAAATTGTTTTATGAGCATAATATTTGCTTACTGACAAATTCTGTCACATCAAGAGATTTTTTTAAAAAAACGCAACGTACCTTTGAGTTTCAATTTGATAATCTAGAAATCAGTATACAACTGTTCAGATATCTTAGCAAGTTTCTTATTTAAAGCAAGTCTCTAAAAGTTTTACATTACATGTTCATTAAAGAAGTACATATGATTCCAGCCTCTCATTAAATAATATTCAATTTTAAAAAAAAGAAAGCAAGAAAAAGTATTCCTTAAAGCAGTACTTAACTGATAAAAATTTATATATTAAAGAACTAATGCTTGCATGAAAGAGCTTAAATTTTACTTTGTTACATTTTTAACCCATGCAGAAACACTGAAGCAAGAAAAAAATGTACAACATATTTTTATACGTTGTTTCTACACATATAGGAAGAATAATATATGTGTCTGTGTGTGCTTGCGGCCTGTGTGTGTGTGTGTACATATGTATATAAAATAGAAAAAGAACATTAGCGTTATTTGCTAAAATAAAAAAGAACATTTAGTCCTGTCTGAGTTTTTCCTTTAAAGGGTGATATAAAGATTTTGTAGGGAAAATTCATAGATGACCATTAGTTATGATTATTTTACTAGCTAAAGAAGAAATTCTTTGATAGTTCTAGATACCAGCACGTTACTTTCTTTTTACATAGAGCTTTTTGTTATGGGAGTAACAAGAAAAATTTTCAGACATTCGTTTCATAATTCTTGGCCAAATTTCCATCAGCAGAAGAGCAAATTTGTTGATGACTAAGCAGAGATTCAGAAAGCCCAGGGACCTGGCGAGGGTCACACAGCCTTTCTGTGATAGGGCGTTGATCTCCCAGCTTCCATTCACTCCATAGGGGAGTACAACTCTGTTCATGGATCCCATCAATTGAAATAAAAACGAGAGCGAGAAAGAGAGAGAAAGAGGGAGAGAAAATGAATGGGAAAAAGAACGTGCTTGAATGGACTGTATGGTTTGCATGAGACTCGTGCAGAAATTGATATTTTGCCTGTTTTTTTTGTCTCAGAGATAATCTTAGAAAATGTCTGCCTAAGCTTCTATCAGGGGTGTCCCAAAACTTGGAAATTAGCTTCTCACAGTCCTGGAGAGTCCCAAAATGTTAGCAAATTAAAACAATTTGTCTCCCTGGAAGCCCGGGGTATATTCACTGCTTAGAATTGAAGAGGAATAAGGGACCCACATGTGCTTTTGTGACTAACTGCTCTCCACAAACAACTTTTTAGACAGGCAGCCAGCCTAAATACGCTGCTCAGAGTTAGATGGGAAAAAGGTGTTGCTATGCTAGATACTTAAGAACCTAACACACAAGAATATCATGCTACACTTTCTGAAAAACAAAAAAAAGTGGGGAAGGGGTGGCATCAGCATTATCTTCCTCTTTCCAAATTAAACATCAACATGTTTTATTTTCCACATGTTTTGGACATACATCCACTTTTAAAGAATATTTATTAAGGCTTGTGTGTCTAAAAATACAGGCCCTTCCTCTATTACAAAATTCCCCAAAAAATTCAAAGGGAGAGAAAAATCTCACACAGATAAAAATCTCCCAAGCTGACCATTCCTGAACAAACTTTATTTTACAAACTACTAGGAAAAAATAATTAATTCAGCGCATTTATGAAGAATGCACACTTTTATTTTAAAATTCATAATGTCTAAGTACAAAAAGGTGCTAGTATAAAGAAGAAAATAAGATTTTTCAATGCAATGCTTCATAGAAATATTTTCTATTCAATTCAGTCATGTATTTTTAAAATTTTACACAAAATTAGTATATCACATTTTGGAATTATTTAAAACAAACCAGACCTTTCATTTACACACACACACACACACACACACACACACACACACACACACACTTCCTACCACAAATTTCTAGAGGCCAATAAAGAAACAGCATGGTAGCATTCAGGCAACATAAAAGTATTTGTTACTCATTATCGTCTATTTAATTAGGAAGTATTATTTCCTGTTTTTCAAATCAGCAATTTCTCTCTGAACAATAGATTAGGATACACCTTCCAATAATAATTAGAAAAAAATCATCTACTTCCAGCATATTGAAGGGTGAAAGTCCAGCTGCCACTGGTAAAATCTATGGTATCCTACCGCCATCTACTGACCATTGCTCAAATATTATGATTTAAAGGTACAGGTTTAAATTTATAAAATTAAGGAATTTTCAAAAGAAAACACTTTGAAAGCTCTACTGGAACAACTCATTACTCTGGCAGTTGTTCCAAATGTTTGAAAATACTTCCCTAATCTGAACCGAACTCGATCTACCTGTAAATACCACCTCCTGGGCTTTGCCTTGGCCTCCACTGGTATAAAGAGGATGCTGATTTTCTCTTAAACTCTTCAGAATTCGGAGGGCAATGCTCAAGCCCTTCCTATCTCTTCCCACCCACCCACCCAACACACACACACACACACACACACACACACACTGTCTCTCTCTCTCTCTCTCTCTCTCTCTGTTTCTGTTTCTCTCTCCCTCTCATTCGCTCAGTCCCTTCTTCAATCTAAGCAGCCTACCTTTCTTTATTAGCTCCACATCTGATGTGGTTTGAAGTCCCATCAAAAGCCAGATAGCTGTCCTCTGAACAAACTCTTTCACATACTTTTCTCATTAAATGCTGCATCTGAAAGAAAATACTCCGCAGAATAGATAGAGCACCTCCCTTTGCATGCTCTACCTTTGTCAATGCAACCAAAGGTCACAGTCAATATTTTGGCAGCTATACACACCATGTAATAACTTGCACTCAGGAAATCTCCTAGATCTTTCTATCTGTGCTACTGGCTGCTAAGCTATGCTCCCCTAATAGACATATGCAGTTGTATTTTTGAAACTAAGAAAATATCCATACATTCATTCAGTGATCTAAGATATATTCTTATTGGTGATGGTTCATGGTTCCAGCCTGTCATACATTTGTATCCTAATTCTGCTATCTTTTCCAATTTCATAGTGGTCTTGTATCTGTTATTGATCAATATTATTTGTGTAGTTATTTATTTTTCAGACAGAGTCTCACTCTGTTGCTCAGGGTGGAGTGCAGTGGCAGGATCACAGCTCACTGAAGCCTTGACCTCTCAGGTCCAAGCAATCTTCCCACCTCAGCCTCCGAAGTGGCTGAGACCACAGGCATGCACCACCACGTCTGGCTAATTTTATTATTATTTATTTAACTTACCATCAGCTACTCCCCTCCAAACCACTTTTCTGTATTTCTCTGGACATCCTCCAGTATGATCAGTATGGGAAAAGTTTCAAGGATGTCATTCAAGTGCTTTGTGCAGTGCCTAGCACATGACAAAACCTTGATGTGACAGCTCTTCCTATGATTATCATCAATAAAAATAATTAGTACAAATATATGATACAAATTAAATCTATGACATAAATAACCACGAAACAAGTATCAGTTCTAATAATACAATCATTCAATCAATTGTCATTTGCAACTGAAGCTCATCTTCTGCCCTTTCTGCTCTTCACGTAGGCAAAGGAGATCCTCTCCTCCAGCAGGACCCTCAGCTCCCAGAGGACATCATCTTAGCAGGAGTCTCAGTGCTTTTGGACAATTAGGAATCCTCTTGCAAAATGTCCCTTCCCACTGCCCCCATCTTGGCTTCAGATCTTCTCCTAAGAGACATTCTTCCTATTGAGGAGGAAGCCACATTCTGAATCAAAGAGAAGGTGGAAGCAGAAGAGAAGAGAAAGAGCCTGCGTCTTCCGCCCAAGCTCTGCAGCAACTTTTGGAGCCACTGAGCTGAGCCAGGACCTCTGTCTGCTGCTGGCTCCACCCTTTGCCGTGAAGGCATCAAGCAGGTGACACCATGTCCCTGAGCCTGTCTCAGCGCATCCTGGGACTGGCACAGACTGACACAGCTCCGGTATACAGTCCACGTTTTCTGTTCCTTGGCACAACCCAGAATGAAGATGTTTAGGTCAGAGTTATTTAGTTTTAATAAAACCCTGTATGTACTGGGATCAAATAACTCATTTTTAACTCCTGAAAATTGGACCAATATTGACAGCTTTTGCTTAATCCAGAACAGCTCATTGAGAAAGGGGTCAATATCTCTCCCACTAGGAAAAAAAGACAAATTGAACATTCACCAAAATTTCAATATTTCGTTAAAATAAATGAGTTTTTAAATACTAAAAACAAAATTCAATGGTTTAAAAAGTCCATTGATGTAGGAAAACCCAAAAGTCACCTAACAAGTAAAACAATCCTCTTCTGATACATGTCATAAGAACCAGCTAAGACTTCCAACCTCTGGCTAAATGTTAGGGCCTGGAACAGCACATTTTTATAACAAAGTTATAAAATAGATGGGAACCAGAAATAAGAGAAACAGGCACTAATGAAGGCTGATTTCAAAAAATACCTTATTTGGGCACTCTGGCAGGGGCAGCCAGAGAGTGGAGCTCTCTCAGACGGCTGGTCTCCTCGCCTGATTTCCAGAGGTCTCTAAGGCGCTGGGACTGGCAGTCTGGACCTAACTGCAGACCGCAGCCAATGCAGATCCTCCAAGGCCAGCACCAGCAGCCATACCTGACACACAGGAAGACTTGCAAAAATGCAATGGAAACAGCAGGTGGAAGTTTCCATGTTTTCTGCTATATGCCCCTCTCTCCTGCTTCAGTCTCCTATCATGAGCCTGCACTAATGAAACCAAGTAATAGGTCATTGTTCTCCTTATACTGTACTACTTCTTCCCCCTTCATCCAAGTTCCTCCAAACTCCTAGGCTCATTCATTCACCTTTCCGAGCCTCTCTCTTTCTCTCTCTTACTCTTGCTCTATCTCTCATTCTCTTTCATTGAAGTTTTGTTTTGAAATCCATATTTCATGTTATAGAATTATAAATGAAAACACATTTTAAGAAAGAAAGACCTGAGCTTCCTGCTTTACCACACCCGGTTTTTCCCTAGAACTCTTAACTCCATTGATTTTTCCCTTTCAGCAGTTACTTCTATAATCTCTAAAGATGTTGTTTGCACAGGTACTGCTATTTCTTGATGTATCTACTTTAGACATTATGTATTTCTTTTATGCCCTTGCTTTCATTAAACATAAACTTGGTTTAGTAGGGCTTTTGTCTATTATATTTTGTGCTCTATCTGAGGATGTATTTGGAGCGACTACAAGTTTTGCTATTTCTGTCTTCCATTTTTTCCCAAAGAAGTAGCAGATGGAAAGCATAGATATAGGTGCTTCCTCATCTGGGAATCTATTAAAGTATGCATCTTCATCCTGAAGTGCTTACCAAACAAATCCTCTCCACTTAAACAGCCATCAGGATCATCCCATTTATTCTGAGGAAGAAAAACTGAGGAAAACTCCATTTTTCTATTACAGCTATCATAGCTGAGATTGCTTCATTTTTTCCAGCTTTAAGTTCACTTTTCAGCTTTAAGTTCATCTTTCTATGTCCTCATCTATAAGAGAAAAAAATAGATTACCATGACACTAAGATGCCACAATATTTAAGGTTTCAAAAGAATTAACTTAGATTAATAGGAATTCAAGTAGCACAGAGAACAATTTTTAACAATAGTGCTTGAAATCAAAAGGGGATCCTGATTAACTGTGCATCATTGTGGAAGTTTGTTACTGAGGAGTCGCCACTCACTTTGGGGCCTACTGTTTATGCCTGACTTGCGGGGACACAGCCCAGAGACAAAACACTCAGAAAAGCAGACAAAGGGCTGCTCATTCTTTAATGTCTCCCGAATCTTGCTTCCTCCAAGACAGGCACCACATGGCATGAAAACCACTCCTCCGGCTGGGCGCGGTGGCTCATGCCTGTTATCCCATCACTTTGGGAGGCCAAGGCGGGTGGATCACGAGGTCAGGAGATCGAGACCATCCTGGCTAACATGGTGAAACCCCCGTCTCTACTAAAAAATACAAAAAATTAGCCGGGCGTGGTGGCAGGTGCCTGTAGTCCCAGCTACTCGGGAGGCTGAGGCAGAAGAATGGCGTGAGCCCGGGAGGCGGAGCTTGCAGTGAGCTGAGATCGCGCCACTGCACTCCAGCCTGGGTGACAGAGCAAGACTCCGTCTCAAAAAAAAAAAAAAAGAAAACCACTCTTCCACACCCCACACACATTCCCAGATACACAGGGCGCCCAAAATGTGTACAAGTACACCACACGGCTTCCATTAGAAAATCAAATTTGTCTTGTTTTGTTTTAGTGAGAATGAAAAGAACCAAAAAGCCAATAAACAAGCACACACACACACACACACACGGGCTCACACATATGCACAAATGCAAGCAAACATGCACACACACACATCTATGTATACACTGTGACTCAGCAGCAATTGTGGCTTTAATGGAGGAAACCACAATCTGTGAGACATATTTGAAAAAAAAGGAAGCAGTTGAATTGGAATGGGGTTATTTTCCTTGGGAAGATGCCTAGCAGAGTGTTTGACAAATGATTGGCATCCTATGTACGGCTTCTCTCCATATCACTTTTTCTAAGAAGCCTAGTTTTTTTAACTCATGCAAACAAGAATCCCTCATATTTTGAATAAGAGGTTGTCTATAAGAGGCCGCCCAAAATTTTGGCATAACAAGCTAAAGTTGAGAACCTCCTAACTTTCAACAACAAATAAATAAAACAGAGCTAAAAAAAAATCCATCCATTTTGCTTATCTGTTAAATGTTGGAAAAATTTTATGTGCTAAATAAAATTTGATTTTATTTTTTATTTCCAAAGCAGTAACACTCAATGTTCATGAGGGTTCAGGAAATTTTCTAGAAAATTATTCAGTCTCATAGAACATCAGTGGAAGGGAAATGCTACGGCTTTTCCAAAAAGCGGTTTGGTGATACGCTTCAAAGGTGCCCAAAATGTGCTTCTCCTTGATCTATAAAATTCCATTGTTCAAATTGTATACTAAAACACGCCAATCGGCTCTATAGAAAGATTTGTATTCAAAAATGTTTGCTATGGAATTATTCACAGTGATTTCAACAGTAAGAAAAACTATATACATATGCAAATAGGACAAGGAATGTATAATAAAGACCTGAGCTTCATGCCTCACTGCAGCCCAGTTTTTCCCCCAGGACTCTTAATTCCCTTCATTTTTTTCTTTTTAATAAAAAAATGAGAAAAAATATGTATGTATAATCATTGTTGGATATAACAACAAGGGGTATTTGTGGTGCATCTTTATGATGACACACTCCACAGCCAAAGATGGCATTATGGATATTTTATTTAATAAAAAGAATGTTATGGTATATAGTTAAGCAAAGAAGGTCATTTACAAAATAGCATATTTCACATGATTTCTGTTTTGTTAAAAATAACATGCATAGTATTTCTAGAACTTCCAAAAGGTAATGCCTTTATAGTAGGATTCAAGACATTCTTCTTTCTCTTTTTGTATAGGTGTATGTTCCAAATCTCCTCTGATGAATTTATACAATTTTATTATGAAAATATTACTAAAGAAAAAATAAAAATATACATAATAACAGCTGATTAAGTCAATGAGAGCCAGTGTAAGTGCTGCATGGGGAAACGTCAGTGATAGGAAAAAAAACTAGGGGAAGACAGCTCCTTAGAGTTTTGGAATAAAGCCAACAGAGTCCTCTAGTTACAATTATGGCCAAATTTTAAAAGCACCTTATTCTTTTCAATCTCTCTTCCTTCCTAGACTGCAGCTGTCTTCAGGCAACCTATGAGTAATTAAAATGCGGCCCATGGACAAGCTTCCATATTTTGATAAATACATGTTGATAAAGGCAGACAGAGAAATGAATACGTGTTTCTTGTGAAAATAATCCTCTCCAAACATGCTGTACTGCTTCCTTGTAACTCTGCAGTTGTGGTAGATTGCTAATATACTTTTGATTAAGAACAATATTTGTATCATATATCATCCACTTAAAAGAAAAAAAAAAAAAGCTCTGGCCCCATAAGACAATCGTATGTAGAAATCTTGGCCTTAGTTCCCTGTGAATTAGACGCCCTGTTCTCCAATACTGGGCAGGAGCCAGTTGTGCTGCAGAAGTGGAATCAAGCGCAGTGATTTCTAACACATTAGGAATCCCGACACCTCCGAATGAGTTGCTATTCCAGCATAAGCATTGCCTGTGAAATCTGTCTCCAAATTATGAAGGTAAAGATGTCTTTGGTATAATGGCTAAGTTAAACTTGAACCAACATGTCCTAAATATGCAGGTTTCCTGAGGGCTGGGGAGGTTTGGGTGCTGAGAATGGTGAGCAAGAGCATTTTCTTAAAACTGCAGTGGGATATTTCAACAGAAATTTCAGCCATAGCCTGACACCATAAATACCAGCTTCCAAAGCGATATCTCAGAATGGATGGAACATTTTCAAAAAGTTTGCTAAAAATTGGTCGCAAAATATTTAATACTTCACGTAGATCGTGGACATAAAAGGACCTGGAGTATTTCTGAATCTGACCACCATAGATTTGGCAGATAAGACACAAAACGTCCAATTCACTTTGAATTTCAGATAAAGAATGATTTTGTTTTAGTATCAGTATGTCCCAAATATTGCATGGGACACATTTATACTATTTTTTTCTTATTTATCTGAAATTGAAAAATAATGGGCATGTTTCCCCAACTCCAATCCTGGCAACCCTTTATCACTACCTCCTGGAGAAAGAGGCTTGAGTAACCCAATGCATATAGCTGAAATGTGAGTCTGGATAGCTTAAATGTGTGTCTCTGTTGTTTGGGGCCACAGTGCCTAGGCTGGTTTCTCTGATGGCGGAACATGGGAGTGGCTGATGCTATGTGGGCACAGACTTGCACCCCAGAGTTTGTTAGGAGAATGAATCCTTGATATTTCCTGTTGTCCAGCTGTGATCCACACAGGATAAAGGTCTAGGCTTGCCTTAGATACATGACAGAGGGTCACCAGGAAAGAAGAGAACTTCAGTAGAAAGTGGTCGGAAGCAGCGAGGAAGTCACAAGTGATCAGTTGAAGCAGGGGGTTATTAAACCCACCAAGAGAGAACAATTGGTGAGAGGGGCTCAGAGATGTGTGTGTGTGTGCGTGTGTGTGTCACTGTGTGTGTGTGAGATAGATAGATAGATAGATAGATAGATAGATAGATAGATAGATAGATAGAGGATAATCTCAGAATAGAATATTTTAAATATATGCCAAGATCAGAGAGTACAGAGCTGGGTGACCAGGTCAGTAACAGTCAGGTAAGAAGTCACCTGTAAAACTAGCCAGGTGTGGTGGTGTGCACCTGTATTCCCAACTACTCAGGAAGCTGAAAAGTATCCCTTGATCCCAGGAGGTAGAGGCTGCAGTGAGTCACGACTGCACCAGTGCACACTAGCCTGGGTGACAGAATGAGACCCCAGCTCTTAAAAAAAACCCACCGGTTTTTCTGTTGGTCTTAATTCTTTTCCTTGCTATGACTCCAATCCTGTCAGCCTCATAACCATTCTGAGCTACAGGGAGGAGGAAGCACAGAGAATCTCGTGGGATGAGAAGGAAGTCGGCCCGACCTCCCGGCCATCTGGTCAGTGGTCAGCATGAAGTGAGACAGAGATAGAAGAGGAGAGGAATGCTGAAGAAAGAATATTTTCTCATGATTAACAGGACTGGACATTTAAATAATTAAATTGACGTAGTGCTTTTGTGACTCTAGTGGTTGCAGAAACTAACAGCGATAAGCAAAATCATGGATGAACCACAGATGAACTATGCAGAGTGGATTTAAAGGTAAATGGGAGACAAAAATACAGCACCCATGAGCCCTGCTTGTTGAAGGTCAAGACTACATTTATTTTTTAAGGTTCGGGTGCATCATAAGAAAACTATGATTATTTGAGGATTATATTTTGTCATTATTTTTAATTTAAGGTTTCAACTACAGTAGCCGTGATTTCTTGACTTTTCCTGGATTTGGATGACATAGGTAACATACAAAAGAAAAAAATGGTGGCATGATAACATATAAAAGAAAAAATGGCCGCGTGCGTCTCAAATTGGTAAGACTGAAGTCTTTGCTATTGGTTGTAACCATTTGTTACTAGAATAGATTTCATTTTACTTCAGAAAGGGTTCCCACTATAATCTACACCCAGGAAGTTGAGGAGAAAGGAACCGAATATTATTTGGCCCCATGTAGTGTATGCTTTATCTCGGTTTATCCTCACAATAACTGGTTGAGTCCATTATTCCCAACGGACGGATACAGAAACTGAGGCTGGAGTAGCTTACCTGGCTAGATTCAAGGTCAGAGTGATCCTCTGAGGGCTCTATCCACCAGTGTTGCCATTATCTGCCACAAGAACAGACGGCCACAGTCTGAGCACCGTTGTCTTTGACCAGTGGGAAAGACTCCACCTATACATCTCCATCAGCTGTCCTGGGAGGACTGGCCCTCAGAAGCGCTACTGCCTGAAACTCCTCTCCGGCTCCCTTGGTCCATGTGTTTACTGCACCCCACTCCACCTCAGCCCACAAAGAAGTCCATAAATGGGGTATAGAGTTAGTCTGAGTTCTGAACCCTGAAACTCAAGAAGGCAGAGTGACAGCAGGACAGCAGCCCAGGACTGACTAGGGCTAACCTACAACCAAGAGTGTGTGGGAGCGGACAAGGCCCAAATGCTGTGCAGCCGCAGATTGCATGTCTGAGAATGAGGTAGTCGGACTCTATGCTCTCAAAGTCTCTTTCTGCCAGAAAACCCAAGACTTTTCCTCTCCCTAGAGAACTGGAAAGATCAACTCACATTACAGCAGAAATAACCCAAAACCCAAAACCGAACATCTTTGCCCAGTGACCTTTCTGCAGGGGTCAGGCCAAGAGCAAGACTTCCCTAGACTCCCTCCTCAGGGCTTCTTAGTGGTCAAGTAAGACCTAGGACACTTTAATTCTTTTTAATTTTTTAATTGAGAAATGCCAAAATAGATTTATAAAAATTATAACAAATATTAATAGTTTACATTTAAAAATTAAGTAAAATGATAACATTTCTCATGAACCTTATCAATATATCTGTGACTGTAGGTATGATCTTATATGGAAATCACCCCACAAGTCTAAAGTTAAGGCCCCACCTGAATTAGGGACTGTCCTGTACTTGCCTTATGATGGGTCTTGTTCCTGAGGTTCTAACAGACACTAAAATATTGAAGTTTATTTCGCCACTTTTCAAAATGAAAATGCCAGCAGTTATCCAGCAGTTTCTTATCCCAAATCATATATCCTAGAGTTGAAACATCTGAATTGTCCACAGACGAGACTCTTCCCATCATTAGCCATAATTTGTTCTAGAGAACTGTCAAAGGTATGGCCTCTGGTTTTCACTCCCTCATGAGGGATAATTATTCCTGAAATCATTGTGAAATTAAAGTAATGGGTCACAAGAAATATATCAAAGTAAACTCGGAGAGCTGCAGGGAGGTAAAAGTAATAGTAAGAATTATAAGAACAGCTGTACCAATTGATGTTACTAGTGGCCAGCGAGCATGTATGAAGGTTAACCACATGGACTTTGGAATCAGACAGATTTGAGCTCAATTCTTACTTGGGAGTTATATGTAAATACTTCCATTTCACTAATGTCCTTTTGTCAATCATGAAGAGTTTTGTCAGGGTTAAAGATAATCTGGCATGGTGTCTGGTGTCCTGAAAATATGCAACAAATATTAGTCATTGCTATTCTTGCCATTGACAGTATTGGTGGTGGTGGTAGCAGTAGTAATAGAAGGAGTAGGAGCAGGAAGAGAAGGAGTGGTGGTAGTAATAGTGATGAGAAAATATAAGAAAACCAGTGTCTTCTATCAGCTCATGCCTAAATAAGCACGCAAGAGTCTCACACAAAATAATTAGGAATAAAAGAGAGCACACAGAAGGACTATAAGTAGTTGAAGACATTTTAAGACCGATGACAGAGCCTTAAGGGTGAAGAGGAATTGGTTGAGCACAAAAGAGTTGGGAAGTATACTGAGCATCGGATACTCCTGGCACAAGGAGAGTTTGGAAGATTGGAAGGAGCCCAGGGTGCCTGGTTGAAACAGCACCATGGGAAATAAATTCATGAACCAATATCACCCCTTTCCTCAGTGCCAGCTTCAGGACCAGGAACTTAGTGGCCAAGGCAGCAGGGAGCCCCACTGGCTGCCAGTGATATCTGTTATTATTCATTTATTTGCTCATTCAATAGACATGGGTCTCTAGAATGTGCCAGGCCCTGCAATGTTGCAACCAAGCAGTGAAAAAAGGCCTCCTGCATTTGCTCCAACACCAGCACTAGTTTAGCATCCACTGAGTTCCTATAAGCTACCCTTGCCTTGAATTTCTCCAATACCCCAGCCATCTCAAGTCCTTTGAGGCCTCCTCTTGATGTGGTATTGTCTCAAGCCCTCTACAGCAGTGTTATGGGTTAAATTGTACCTTCTCAAAAAGATGTATTGGAGTCATAGCTCCCAGGATCCCAGAATGTCACCTTATTTAGAGACAGGGCCTTAGCAGATGTAACTAAGTAAAAATGAGGTCATTAGGATGGCTTCCAATCCAATATAACTATTGCCCTTATAAGGGAAATTTGGACAGAGACATACATAGAGGGAAAACAATATGACAATACACAGTGTAAGGACAGCCCTCTACAAGCCAAGGAGAGACAGCTGGAACAGACCTCACAGCCCTCAGATCGAACCAGCTTCTCATAATCTTGGACTTCCGGCCTCCAGAACTACGCAACAGATTTTTGTGGTCCAAGCCACCAGTTTGTGGTACTTTGTAACGGTAGCCCTAGAAAACTAATACAAATGGGAATCTTCCTCTAAAAGACTTATTAAAATATCTGTTTTTAATTTTACTTTTAAAGAGCCATCAGAGCTGTGACATTGGTGCAACCACCCTTGGATTTAGCCCGTAAGTTCTCTATGTTTCCCCACCTGGAATATTCTTCTGGTTTCTGACTTCTCAGTGATCTTCTCTTCTTCAAAACCCAAGTCAGACATCACATGCCCTGAGAGACATCCCTGGTTCCCCATATCCCGTAAGAACATTCCTTTTTCTGCTGTCCTCTGCAGAACTTGTACTCAGCTTCTCTGTTATCTTTTTTGTTCATAAGTCTTCCTTCTCCACCAGATTAGGGATTTATTGAGATCATAGTCTCTTCATCGACTTTGTTCCCCCAACAGAGGAGCTGATACACAGTAGGCACTGACGATGTTGTAACAGCACACATGTAAATGGATCATTAGCGACTGCCGTCACTGTGAGGCAACTGTGACTTCCAGATAGGCATAAATTATAAAAGAATCATTAGGGCTGGAGAAAGAAGCATAAACTCTTGTCAACAAATCCTTGGACAACAGACCTAGAAAGACACCATCTATCCCTTAACAGGGGTGTAGAGAATAAATAAAAATACGTGCTTCTTGATTTTGTGTTTAATGTGATATTGTATTAGCAGCCCCTGTCACAGTTGTTTCTGACTGAAATAGGAGGACTCAGAAGTAAAAAAATGTTCCTAGATCACTCAGTGATCATCCCTTTCCTGTGTGCTTGTGGTGGCCTCTAGAGTCAATTCTTCTTCTGAGTCCATCACCACTAATGCTATTCCCATATCAATCAAAAACTAAAACGTAATAAAAGAATTGCTTTCTAGGGAGTATAGTTTGACCAAATAAAAATGGGGGCTGGGCGTGGTGGGTCATGCCTGTAATCCCAGCACTTTGGGAGGCCAAGGAGGGCGGATCACGAGGTCAGGAGATCAAGACCATCCTGGCCAACACGGTGAAACCCCGTCTCTACTAAAAATATAAAAAATTAGCCGGGCGTGGTGGTTGAGTACCTGTAGTCCCAGCTACTCAGGAGGCTGAGGCAGGAGAATGGCGTGAACCCGGAAGTCGGAGGTTGCAGTGAGCTGAGATCGCGCCACTGCACTCTAGCCTGGGCGATGGGGCAAGACTCCGTCTCAAAAAAAATAAATAAATAAAAATAAATAAATAAATAAAAATAAAAATGGGATAGAAAAGGACAGAGAAAGAGAGAGAACATGAACTTTATCTATTCAGAATGACAGATAACCAGGCAGTTGTGGTAGAGTGACTTCCAGGTCAGTCAAAGAGCTAAGACAGACTGGTCATTCCGTGAATCATGGGTTTAAGGTGACCTCCCAAAGGGTCATGCCTTTTTATATTCCTCTTTCCTAGAGTGCAGGTGGAACCTATGACTTGCTTCTATCCAATACGGCAAAGGTGAAAGAAAAGATGTCATTCCTCAGATTAACTTATGAGATTGTCTGGTGTGTATGGCTGGGGGCAGCAGGGGGTACGCTCTGAGAAGAATAGAGTTGAGAGAGAAAGATGCTGCTGGTGACCTTGAAGAAGCAAAAAGTCATGTTTTGAACTACGGAGAGGGTCACATGGCAAGAAACCACAGGGTAGTAGGTAGAGACGAGGAGGCAGGCTCTAGAACCTACGGGCAGTTTTTAGCCTCTAGTCAGTAAAAAGGCAGGGATCTCAGCCATACGAGAAATAGACTCTGCCACCAACCTGGATGAGCTTGGAAATGAATTCCTCCCTATGAGACTGCAGCCCAGCCATCACCTTGACTGCGACCTTCTGAGACACTGAACAGAGGACACAGCTAAGCTGTATCCAGATTCATGGCAATTGTGAGATAGTAAATGTGCATTGTTTTGAGCCACGAATTTGGTAGTAAGTTGTTGTGCAGAAATAGAAACTAATTTGTCATAGTACATGTCAACTCATTCTTGAAATATAGATCTGAAAAGGACAATGATTGGCACCCAAATTGCTAAGAGTAGGATCAACTACAATCACAATCTTTTACAAAGCATAATACTAAGAACCTAAAAATCTTTCTTCATTCTATACTAGAAACCAAAACAAAACACAAAATCCTTATCAGTGCTACAGGAAATGATTCAGAACAAAAGAAATAAACTAGGGGGAAAAAATCACAAAGCTCTGAAAATATTTTGCTGTAAGATCAGGAAAATAAATTTCAAGCTACTTGGCAATCCTAAATATAATTTAAAAACAAAGTGGCCTCTATAAAGTCAGATTTACGCAATCATGGGAGGCAGAGAAAATAAAAAAGGGTTGCAGGAAGAGTAAGCATGCGAACACATAGATAACATCCACATCAGAGGCAGTAAAGAGAGGGACTAAGCCTTTTAATTAGCACTTATTTATTATCTTCTCTATAATAGATGCTAGGAAAACACAAAGAGTAAAACCGAGAAGGTACTTGAACTCATGAAGCTCACTTCCTAATGTGGGGATAGACATTAAGCAAATAAACAAGTAAGTAAATGAAGTAATGATATTTGTGATTATTAAAAAAAAAAACACCTTCTGTGATAGAAAATGAAGGTGAAGAGCTACTTTCAACAGGATATTAGGGGAGGATTTATTTAAAAGTAAATACCTTTACCTTGCAAGGAGCCAGTCCTGTAAAGAGCCTAGTGAAGAACATCATAGACAGATGGAACAAGGGCAAATGTCCTGTGGCAGAAAGGAGAGTGAGATGGTTTAGGAACTAACCGAAGCCTTGTTTCTAGAACAGAATGGGACTAAATACTTCAAGGTCTTGTAAGCTAAGAAATGGAGTTTGAATCTAATTCAAAATGTGATGGGTGCCCAGATTGTGACTTTGTATAGTATTTCCCAGCAAAATGACGCAGGGTGGTTTGGAGAAATGACTCATTCCAGGGCTGGAGCAGGGACCGTACAAGATGACCCTAGAGCATTTGCAGTCCCATAAATAAAGAAGTTCTCAAAAAAGAAAATGATGAGGGTGTGTCAAAGGGACATAGGAGCCAAATGAAAGGGTTCTCAGTAATGCTAGAATAATTTGAGCAACAAGATTAAAAATGTAGATTACTTGAAGATTATAATCTAAAAAGGTATGAAATAAACATCCAAGAATCCACATGTATATAAATAAATGATTAAGTAAATAAACAAAAGGGAGAGAAGTAACAAACCTTCCATATAGAAGAATTTCAAATAATCTATGTACCTATTCCTTCCATGAAAAGGTGGAGCTTAATTTGCTGCTTGTTAAGTTTGGGTGCACTTTGTAGCTTGCTTATAAAGAGAAAAGTATGAGGGGGTAGTAGCTTTACACTGCAGAAAGTGGGAAAACACTACCTCAGCAGGGTGATCAAAGTTAACATCATTGGTGGCGTGTCATGTTAACATTAGGAACCCTTGATAAGATGTGATGATAAGATTACTTCACCTCTGTGATCTTCCTCGCAAAAAATTCATAACTCAAGACTAACCATGAGAACACATCAGATAAACTCAAATTTAACTTAAGCTCAAATTCTACAAAATATCTGGCCACTATGCCTCAAGACTGTCATCAAGGTCATCAGAAAACACTCTGGTATTCTGAGAAACTACCAGAGTCCAGAAGAGATTAAGATATAAGATGACTAAATGCAATGTGGGGTTCTGGACGGATCCTAGAACGGAAAAATGACATTGGGCAAAAAGTAATGAAATCTGAATATATCAGCATTAGTTCATTAGTTGTGAAAAATATAATTATGTAAGTTGTTAAAAATAGAGCAAACTGGGTACAGGGTATAAGGAAACTCACCAAACTATCTCTGCAACTTTTCTCATCTAGACAATCCTGTAACAAAAAAAAATTTTATTTAAAAAATGTGGCCGGGTGCGGTGGCTCACGCCTGTAATCCCAGCACTTTGGGAGGCCGAGGTAGGTGGATCACGAGGTCAGGAGTTCGAGACCAGCCTGAAAAACATGATGAAATCTCATCTCTAATAAAAATACAAAAATTAGCTGGGCATGGTGGTGGGCACCTGTAATCCTAGCTGCTCGGGAAGCTGAGGCAGGAGAATCGCTTGAACCTGGGAGGCGGAGGTTGCAATGAGCCAAGATAGCCCCATTGTACTCCAGCCTGAGTGACAGAGTGAGACTCTGTCTCAGAAAAAATTAAAAAAAAAAGTAAGGCAAAACCATTAAATGGGTTCAAGCAGTGGAAAAATAAAAACAATGGATGTGAGCAGAGAACGGTTTGGGGAAGAAGAGAGAGGACAATAAAGAGACCACTCATGAGTCTATCATATCAAGATGCACAGATGATGCAGCTGCAATTTTGCAGGTGTTAGTGGAAATGGAGATCAGTGGACAGATTCAAGAAATAGTTTAAATAAAGAAACAAAAAAGAGTTATTGATAAATGTGTCAAGAAAGACAAAGAGAGAAGTTAAGTATGACACTGAGGTTTTGAGCTTTAGATATTAGATGGAGAAAACCTGGTGCAACAAAATATTTGAAGAAATAATACCTTACAATGTCAAAATTTAATGAAAACTATAAAGCCACAAGTCCAGGAATTTCAATAAACCAAGCACAGAAAACATAATGAAAACTACCCTAGGGCATATCACAATCAAATTGTTCAAAGCCACCGATAAAGAGAAAATTTCAACAAGAAGCCACGGGAAGGAGACATGTTATATAAGGATGACATCAAATTTCTCATCAGAAACAATGCTGGCCAGAAGACAGTAGAGCAATATCTTTGAAATACTGAATTTTTAAAAGTCACCTTAGAATTAAGAAAAAATAATTTTCAAAAATAAAGGCAAAATTAAAATTTTTTCAGATGTAAAAAAGCAGAAAAATTTATCATCAGCAGATCCAGACTAACAAAATTTGTCAAAAGACATCCTTCAAGCAGAAGGAAAAACAATGCTAGATGAAAATATGAATCTACACAAAGGAAGGAAGAATACCAGAAATTTTCAAGGATTAAAAACATACAAAATATATAATTTATTTTGTTATTTAAATGTATTTAAAGTTAATTAATACTTAAACAATAGTAACAATTTAGTATTTGCTTAATAACACATTTTTAAAAACGTGTAGCATCAGTAGCCCAAAGCTGTTGAGAGAAGAAAAGGAAACAGACTATTGTAAGGTCCCATGGTGTAATATCACTTGAGGATGCACTGTGATAAAATGGAGAGTTATACTATATAAATCATAAATCAATCTCTAAGTAACAAAAGAAGTTACAGCTAATAATCCAACCTGGATATGAAATTGCAAAAATTGAATCAATTAATCCAAAAGAAGGTAGTAAAGGAGGAAAGGGAAACAAAAACCTGATGAATCTAGTGTAAATCACATAGCAAGATAGCAGAGGTAAATCTAACTGTATCAGTCATTACATCAAATGTATATCATTTAAACATCCCAACTAGAACACAGGGATTTTTTTAAAAAAAGCACAAGTCAAATATTTGTGACCTCTAGGAAGTGAACTTAGACTATATTACCAAGTTAAATAGAATTTTTAAAAATGAGAAAAAATACATCCTCTTAACCCTGATCAAAAGAAAGCTGGGATAAGCACTTCTGGAATGGCAGAGTAAGGACCTATAGAAACGTACTCCTTGATAAAAACAGGGAGAACGCTAAGAAAAAATGTCAAAACCTACTTTTCGGGACTGCAAAAAAAGAAAAGTTTTGCGGAAATTAAAGAAGCATTTCTTTAAGAAAAGCATGAATTTCAGTAAGAACAGTAAACTTTGTAAATTTTAACATGTCTCTTTTTAAAATTCTTTTTTCTTTTGTCTCCTTTTATTGTGTATTTTCAAATACCCTGTCTTTAAGCTCAGTAATTATTTCTTCTGTTTGATCAGTTCTGCTGTTAAACAACTGATGTATTCCTCCACATGCCAGTTGTATTTTTCAGCTTCAGAATTTCTGATTGTTTTTATAAGTTATTTCAATTTCTTTGTTATATTTTTCTGATAGAGTTCTGAATTCCTTCTCTGTGTTAGTTTGAACTTCTTTGAGTTTCCTCAAAATAGCTATTTGAATTCTCTTTCTGAACTGTCACATATTTCTGTTTCTCCAGGATTGGTCCCTGGTGCCTTATTTAGTTCATTTGGTGAGGTCATGTTTTCGTGGATGATCTTGATGATTGTGGATGTTCTTCTGTGTCTGGACATTGAAGAATTAGGTATTTATCGTAGTCTTCACAGTCTGGGCTTGTTTGTACACATCCTTCTTGGGAAAGCTTTCCAGATATTCAAATGGACTTAGATGTTGTGATCTAAGCTGCATCTGCCTTAAGGGGCACCCCAAGCACAGTATTGCTGTGGTTCTTATAGACTCATAGAGGTATTACTTTAATGGTCTTGGACAATGTCTGGAAGAACTCTCTGGATTACCAGGCAAAGGCTCTTGTTCTTTTCCCTTACTTTCTCCCAAACAAACAGAATCTCTCTCTCTCTGTTCTGAGCAACTTAAAGCTGGGGGTAGAGTGACACAAGCAACCCTGTGCCCACCACCACCACCAGGACTGTGCTGAGTTTGACCTGAAGCCAGCAGAGCACTGGGTCTCGCACAAGGCCTGGTGTAACCACTCCCTGGCTACTTCCTATGTTTACTCAAGGCCCTAGGGCTCCATAATCAGCAGGTAGCAGAGCCAGACAGGCCTGTGTCCTTCCCTTCAGGGCAGTGAGTTCTCCCAGGCCCTGGGCACGTCCAGAGGTGCTGTTGGGAGCCAGGTAGTAGAGTCAAAAACCTTAGAAGTCTACTTGGCGTTCTGTTGTACAATGGTTGGACTGGAACTCAAACTACAAAATACAGTCTTTCCCAGTCTTCCCTCCCCTTCCAAAGGCAGAGGATCCTTATCGTGTGGCCACTGCCAACACAGGCCTATGGGGAATACCGCCAGACTACCACTGATGTTCTTTGAAGGCCCAAGGGCTCTTCAGTCACCTTGTGGTGAATGCTTCCTGGCCTGGGACTCACCATTGAGGGCAGTGGGCTTCCCTCTGGCCCAGGGCATGTCCATAAATGCCATCCAAGAGACAAGTCCTGGAATTGGGGACCCCCAAGAGCCCACTTGATGCTCTACCGCCTGTGGCCAAGCCGGTGCCTAAGGTGCAATACAAAGTCCCTTTTACTTTTCCCTCTACTTTTTTCAAACAGAAGGGGTCTCATCTCATAGCCACTTCAGCTGGTAATGTGTTGAGGCTCACCTGAAACCACCAAGTCTCAGAGTCTTAGCCAAAGCTCATGATACATTACCTGGGTATCACTGCTGGTTATTCAAAGCCCAGTGGCTCTCCAGTTAGCAGATAATAAGTCCTGCCAGTACTGGGTTCTTCCCTTTAAGGAAGTAGGTTCCCTTCTGACCCATAGTGTCTAGAAATGTCATCCAGAAACTAGGGCCTGGAAAGGGGGCCTCATGACTCGGACTGGTACCCTATACTGCTGTGATTGAGCTGGTATCCAAGATGTAAGAGAATATTCTCCCACTAATCCTTCTCTTTCCCTCACCTCAAGTGGAAGGGAGGAGTCTTTTTTGGAGCCATGAGCAGTGCAGCCTGGGGTTAGGGAACAGATGATGTTGGCATTCCCTTAGCCACCCCAGCTGGTGTCTATAGGTTGTGTTCCTCCCACCCCCAGTCCACTAGCTCTGGGCCCAGTTCAACACTAGGACTCACCTAGGAGTTGCAGTCCTTGTGGCCTAGACTGTTAGGGCCCCAGAGCACTTTAGCCTGCGATGGAGAGTCTTGGAGGAACTAACCACTAAGATTGGCAATTCCCCTCTGGCTTGGACTGGTTTAAATGCTTCCTTCATGGGTGGATGTCAACTGATCTAGAAGCAGAAATACCATTTGACCCATTCTATCATAAAGATACATACACGTGTATGTTCATTGCAGCACTATTCACAATAGTAAAGACATGGAATCAACCCAAATGCCCATCAATGATGGACTGGATAAAGAAAACGTGGTACATATACAGCATGGAATACTATGCAGCCATAAAAAGGAATGAGAGCATGTCCTTTGCAGGAACATCGTTGAAGCTGGAAGCCATTATCCTCAGCAAACTAACACAGGAACAGAAAACCAAACAATGCATGTTCTCGCTTGTAAGTGGGAGTTGAACAATGAGAACACATGGACACAGGGAGAGGAACAACACACACTGAGGCCTGTGGGGGGAATGGGGGGGAAGGAGAGCATCAAGATAAATAGCTAATGCATGTGGGGTTAAATATCTAGCTGATGGGTTGATAGGTGCAGCAAACCACCATGGCACATGTTTGTTTACCTATGCAACAATCCTGCATGTCCTGCACATGTATCCCAGAACTTAAAATAAAATTAAACTTAATTTAAAAAATAAACAAAATAATTTTAATTATATGAAGTATATTGTCCAACCAAATAGAATTAGAAATTAATAACAAAAGGAAATGTTAGAAATTCCCAAACATGAAATTCCTACATAACCAATGAATTAAAAAGGAAATCTTAAAGAAAATTGGAAAATAATTGTAGATGGATTACAGATAACATACCAATACTTATGAATACAGCTAAAGCACTGTTTAGAGAGAAAGACTAATATTTTTTTAAAGACAGAAATATCTCAAATGAACACCTTAAGAAACTGAGGGGGGTGGGGTGGGGGAGAGCAAACTAAACCTAAAGCAAAGAGAAGAAAAGAAATAATTAAGATTAGAATGGAAAGAAATGAACTAGGGGATAGAAAAACACTATAAAAATCAATGATTACAAAAATCAGTTCTTCAGAAAGATCAATATTAACAAATCTTTAGCTAGATTGACCAAAAAAGGAAAAAAGACTCAAATTACTAAAATCAAGAATAAGAGGGGACATAACTACCAACCTTACTGAAATAAGAGGAATTATAAGGAAATAATATAAACAACTGCATACCAACAAATTAGATAACCTAGATGAAGTAGCAAAGTGCCACAAACTGCTAACACTAACTAAAAAAAAAAAAGAAAAAGAAAAAGGAAATATAAATTTATATATAACAAGTTAAAGATTAAGTTAGTAATTTAAAAAATTTCCAGAAAGTAAAGCCTAGAATTAGATGGGTTCACTAATGAATTCAAATAAACATTTAAAAGAATTTATACCAATTCTTTACAAACTTGTACAGTAAATAGAAGAGGAAGGAACACTATCTAATCTATTCTATGAGACTGATGTTGCCCTGGTTCTAAAACCAGACAAAGACATTACAAAACCAATATCCTTTCTAAATATAGACACAAAAATACCCAACAAACTTCTAGCAAATCAAACCCAACAATATAAGAAAGGATTATACCCCATAACCAAGTAAAATATCCAAGGAAAGAAGCATATGGTATTTGTTGGTAATTATTCCATATGTGTTTGAAAAGAATGCATATTCTACTATTTTAAGTGGAGTGTTCTATAAATATCACTGAGTTCTAGTTGGTTGATTGTGTTATTTAGATATTCTATATTATTACCGATGTAGTATATACTTGTTCTATAAACTATTGAGAGAGGGTACTGAAATCTCTGACCATTGCTATAAACTTGTTTATTTGTCTTTGGACTTATACTAACTTTTCTTCATGTATTTTGATGATCTCTTAGTAGGTACATAATCACTTAGGAATGTTCTGCCATGTTGATGATTTCATAGCTTTACATGATGAAATGACATTTTATATATGGAAATCCCAATTAAAAGCCCAGGAAACCTTTTTAAAAGTTGACAAGCTGATTCCAAAATGTATATGATAATGCAACATAGAATACCCAAAACAACTTTGAAAAAGAACAAAGTTGAAGGACTA
Organism: Homo sapiens; assembly: GCF_000001405.40. Taxonomy (NCBI): domain Eukaryota; kingdom Metazoa; phylum Chordata; class Mammalia; order Primates; family Hominidae; genus Homo; species Homo sapiens. The sequence goes on from NC_000015.10 coordinate 97,775,892, forward strand.
ACACTACCTAATTTAAGAACTTATTAGAAGCTACAGCAATGAAGATACTATGGTATTAGTATTAGGATAGGCAAGTCAGGCATGGTATAGAATACAGAATTCAGAAATATATAAAAACATATATAGCCAACTAATTATTTTAACAAATGTATAGAGACAACTCATCAGAGATAGAATAGGCTTTTCAAAAAATTGTGCTAGCACAATTGAATGTCCTTGTGCGGATAAATAAATAAGCATTGATCTATCTCGTACCATGTATGATTAACTCGTAATAGACTATAGAAATTAAATTTAACCATAAAATGCTTAGGAAAATAGATAACCACACAATAATAGTGGAAGACTTCAACACCACACTGACAGGATTAAACAGATCATCGAGGTGAAAAAAACAATAAAGATATTCGGGACATGAACTAGACACCTGACCAATAGATTTAACAGACATATAGAGAATGCTCCACCTAAAAACAACAAAATCAATGTTGTTCTTGTCTACACATAGTGCTTACTCTAAAATTGGCCACGCAATCAGCCATGAAACAATCCTTAGCAAATTAAAAAAAAAGTATTACAAACCACACTGACAGACCACAGCACAATAAAAACAGAAATCGATACTAAGAAAATTACTCAAAGCCATACAATTACGTGGAAATTAAGCAACCTGCTTCTGAATGACTTTTGGGTAAACAATAAAATTAAGACAGAAATCAAGAAATCCTTTGAAACTAATGAGAACAAAAATATTAGAATCTGTAGGATACACCTAAAGCAATGTCAAGAGGGAAGTTTATAGCACTAAACACCCACATCAAAAAGTATGAAAGATCTCAAATTAACAACCTACAGAAACAAGCACAAACCAACTCCAAAACTAGCAGAAGACAAGAAATAACCAAAATCAGAGCTGAACTGAAGGAAATCGAACATGAAAAACCATACACAAGATCAATGAATCCAGCAGTTGATTTTTTAAAAGAATAAGTAAGGTTGATAGATCACTAGATAGACTAGTAAAGAAAAAGAGAAGATCCAAAAACATACAATAAGAAATGACAAAGGGGACATTACCACTGACCCCACAGAAATACAAAAAAACAAACAAACAAAAACCCTCTCATTAGCTAGAAAAACTAGACAAAATGGGTACATTCTTGGAAACATACAACCTGCCTAGATAGAACCAGGAAGAAACGGAATCTCTGAACAGACCAGTAAGGAGTTCCAAAATTGAATCAGTAGTAAAAAGCCTACCAACCACAAAAAGCCCAGGATCAGATGGATTCAGAGTCCAATTCTACCAGATGTATAAAGAAGGGCTGAATCCCAGCACTTTGGGAGGCCAAGGCAGGTGAATCACAAGGTCAGGAGATCGAGACCATCCCGGCTAACACAGTGAAACCCTGTCTCTACTAAAAATACAAAAAAATTAGCTGGGCGTGGTGGTGGGCACCTGTAGTCCCAGCTACTCGGGAGGCTGAGGCAAGAGAATGGCAAGAACCCGGGAGGCAGAGCTTGCAGTGATACGAGATTGTGCCACTGCACTCCAGCCTGGGTGACAGAGCAAAACTCCATCTCAAAAAAAAAAAAAAAAAAAAGAAGAGCTGATATCATTCCTACTGAAAATATTCCAAAACCATAAGGAGGAGGGATTCCTCCCTAACTTACTGTATGAGTCCAGAATCACCCTAATACCAAAACCTGCCAGAGACACAAGAAACAGAAAACTTCAAGCCTATATCATGGATGAACATAAACGCAAACGTCTTCAACAAAATACTAGCAAACCAAATCCAGCAGCAGATCAAACAGCTAATCCACCATGATCAAATAGGCTTTATCCCTGGGATGCAAGATTGGCTCGACATATGCAAATCAGTCAATGTGATTCATTACATAAACAGAACTAAAAAGAAAAACCACATAATCATCTCAATAGATGCAGAAAAGGCTTTCAATAAAATTGAACATCATTTCTATCCACCAACAAGGTCCAAGCTGAAAGTCAATCAAGAATGCAATCCTATTTACAATAGCCATGAAAAGAATAAAATATCTAGAAATACAGCTAGTCAGGAAGGTGAAAGATCTTTGCAATGACGATTACAAAACACTGCTCAAAGAAATCAGAGATGACATAAACAAGGAGAAAAACATTCCATGCTCATAGATAGTAGGAACAAATATTGTTAAAATGGCCATACTGTTCAAAGCAATTTACAGATTCAATGCTATCCCTCTCAAACTACCAATGGCATTCTTCATGGAACTGGAAAAAAAAAGTTTTAAAATTTATATGGAACAAAAAAAAGCCCAAATAGCTAAGGCAATCCTATGCAAAAAGAACAAAGCTGGAGGCATCACATTATCCAACTTCCAACTATACTACAAGGTTACAGTAACCAAAACAGCATGGTACTACTACAAAAACAGACCAATGGAACAGAATAGAGAGCCCAGGAATAACACCACACACCTCCAACCACCTAATCTTTGACAATGTGAACAAAAACAAACAGTGGGGAAAGGACTGTCTATTCAATAAATGGTGCTGGGATAACTAGCTAGCCATTTGCAGAAGATTGAAACTAGATTCTTTCCTTAAATCATATACAAAAATCAACTCAAGATGAATTAAAGACTTAAATGTAAAACCTAAAACTATGAAAATCCTGGAAGTTAATCTAGGAAATACCATTCTTGTTATAGGCCCTGGCAAAGATTCCATGACAAAGACACCAAAAGCAACTACAACAGAAACAAAAATTGACAAATGGGATCTAATTAAATTAAAGAGCTTCTGCACAGCAAAATGTAAAGGATCAACAGAGTAAACAGACAACCTACAGAATGGGAGAAAATATCTGCAAACTATGCATCTGAAAAAAGTCTTATATCCAGCATCTATAAGGAGCTTAAACAAATTGACAAGCAAGAGCAAACAACCCCACTGAAAAGTGGGCAAAGAATATGAACAGACACTTTTCAAAAGAAGACATACACATGGCCAACAAAAAAAATGCTGAACATATTTAGTAATTAGAGAAATGCAAATCAAAACCATAATAATATACCATCTCACACCAGTCAGAATGGCTATTATTCAAAAATCAAAAAATAACAGATGCTGGTGAGGTTACAGAGAAAAGAGAATGCTTATAGACTGCTGGTGGGAATGTAAATTAATTCAGGCACTGTGGAAAGCAGTGTGGCAATTCCTCAAAGAACTTAAAACAGAATTATCATTCAACTTAGCAATGCCATTACTGGGTATATACCCAAAGGAATGTAAATTTTCTACCATAAAGACACATGCGTGCATAGTTCACTGAAGCACTATTTACAATAGCAAAGTCATGGAATCATCCTCAATCTCCACCAATGGTAGACTGGAAAAAAATGTGCTACATATAAACAATGGAGACACTATGCAGCCATAGAAAAGAACAAAATCATGTTCTTTGCAGCAACATGGATAAAATTGGAGACGATTATCTTAAGTGAATAACACAGGGACAGAAAACCAAATATTGCACAGTTTCACTTATAAGTGAGAGCTAAACATTGAGTATATGCGGACACAAAGAAGGGAACAGCCACCAAGGCGTACTTCAGGGTGGATGGTAGGAGGCTGAAGATCAAAAAACCACCTATGGGGTACTATGCTTACTACCTGGGTGGTGAAATAATCTGTACATCAAATCCCCATGACATGCAATTCAGCTATATAACAAACCTGCAGATGTACCCCTGAACCTAGTACAAAAGTTTAAAAAAAAATACTTAGATAAAATAGGACAAAGTCCTTGTGGTTTTGGGTTGAGCAAACATTTCTTTGACATGACACCCAAAGAATGATCCATAGAATAAAATTTTCATATTTTTAACTTAATCAAAATCAATAATGCACTCTCTTTGAAAGGTACAGCTGAGAGAATGTAAAGGCAAGCCACATATAAGGAGAACATATCTGCAAATCACATACCTGATAAAGGACTTGTAAGCAGAATATATAAAGACCTTTCAAAACTTGATAATAAGGAAACTACTAAAATTTTCAAATGAGCATACAGATGACAAATAAGACAAAAATAGTTGCCTAACATCAGTAGTGGTCATTGGGTAAATGCAAATTAAAACTACAGTAAGAAACCACTTACACATCCATTAGACTAGACCCTCCATGTAAAAGACTGGCCCTTCCAAGTGTTGGCATGAGGTAGAGGACTAGAACCCTCATGCAATTCTGGTGAGAAATGGAAGACAGTAGAATCACTTTGGAAAAACAGTTTGGCAATTTCTTAAAATGTTAAGCAATGACCTACTATATGATCCAGCAATTCTATTCTTTGGTATTTCTCTGAGATAAATTAAAGTCCATATAAAGACTTCTAGAAATATCCAAACCTGGAAACAACTCAAATGTCCATCAATAGATACATGAACACATTTCAGTACATCCATAAAATAGACTACTTACTCACTACTGAAAAGGAATGAAAAATTGAGAGACATAACATCAATGAATAAAAAATAAGTAAGCGGAGTAAATGATGCAAAGCAAAGAACTATGCTATGGTTCCATTTATATAAAGTTCTAGAGAATATAAAATAATTTATATTAATAGAAAATAAATTAATATAAAGTTCTAGACAATATAAAATAATTTATATTAACAGAAAATCAATTACTGTTGGCATGGGGGATGGAAGTGTGGGGAAGGACAAGAAGGAAGGGATTACAAGAGAGCATGAGCAGTCTTTTGGGGAGTGATGAATATGTGTATTATCTAGATTGTGCTGATGGTTCCACAAGTATACATGTAGGTCAAAACTTAACAAAACCGTATACTTTAAATATGTGCAATTTATTGTATGTCTATTATTCCTTAATAATCCTGCTTAAATATCTCAAGAAATGTCAGGTGCGGTGGCTCACACCTGTAATCCCAACACTTTGGGAGGCTGAGGCAGGTGGATCACCTGAGGTCAGGAGTTCAAGACCAGCCTGGCCAACATGGTGAAAACCTGTCTCTACTAAAAATACAAAAATTAGCCAGGCATGGTGGTGCATGCCTGTAATCCCAGCTACTTGGGAGGCTGAGGCAGGAGAATCGCTTGAACCCAGGAGGCAGAGGTTGCAGTGAGCAGAGATCGTGCCACTGCACTACAGCCTGGACGACAGAGTGAGACATCATCTCAAAAAAAATTAATATATAAAATAATTATTCCATTTTAGTAATTACTTCAGTGATATGACATTTCATAACATGACATGATATGAAAAATGTATGGATAGGATATAAACAGATGAAAACTCGAAGTAAATAAGCTGAAATCATAATGTAATATTGTAAGTAAATTATTTGCTTATTTTCACTTTTAAAAAATATATAGGCTGGGCACGGTGGCTCAAGCCTGTAATCCCAGCACTTTGGGAGGCCGAGGCATGCGGATCACCTGAGGTCGGAAGTTCGAGGCCAGCCTGACCAACATGGAGAAACCCTGTCTCTACTAAAAATACAAAATTAGCCGGGTGTGGTGGCACATGCCTGTAATGCCAGCTACTCAGGAGGCTGAGGCAGGAGAATCGCTTGAGCCCAGGAGGCGGAGGTTGCAGTGAGCCGAGATTGCACCACTGCACTCCAGCCTGGGCAACAAGAGCAAAACTCCATCTCAAAATATATGTATATATGAATTACCTACAATGAAAATCAATTGCTTTCCTAATACAAAACAATTTTGTTTAAGTACTACTCACACCATAGATAATAAACTTGTGGGACTGTTGTTTTTAATCATAGAGCTGTTCACTACCAAAGAGGCCATGAAAAGTGAAGATATATTTTTAAAAAGATGCATGACATGTTTAGCCCATAATTGAGGGATATTTTGGTACCATATGTCTAATTCTCTGAACTTTAAGCCCTGAACTCTATCCTGACCCTGTAGGACATAACACATTTGCATACTTGTGGAGAAGCAGCATAACTTGACCCAGAGGGTCAGTTGGGGCTATTTTATAAATACTAATTTCCCCAAACTGGATATGATAATAGATGCATGAAAAGCCAGATGGTGACAAAGTGGTGCAGCTGGGCACAAAACCCAACTCTTTTTTCCCCTTCCCCTTCAATTTAGAGGAATGTTGTATCTTAGAAAGAAGAGAAGCAAAAGATTTGGCCTTCATAGGAACTGAAGAACTGCAACTGGCTGGCTGCGTAACTCTAAGGGCATCACTTTACCTCTCAGAGCTTTGGTTCTTCTTCAGGACCGATACACCAACACTTGCGTTGGGAAGATCTGGTGGAGTCCTATGCGGAGGCACTGTGTATACTGTAGGGCCCAGTACAAAAGTGAGTTTACTCCATGACCAATGTTCACTAGTAGGCTAGATCTGAGTCTTTAACCAGAATGGAGAGAATAGATTGTCAGAACGGAGAAAGCAAGCACAGACACAGTATTCCTACTTTAGAACACAAAGGTTTGTATTCCTGGCAAGATTTTCTCCCTGTCTGACCATCAACACCTGTATCCTTCTTGCCTCTCGACCACAAGTTTTGTTTGTTCTCCTTGATGTGCTCCAGTGATTCCAACAGGCTTAAGAAAATGACGCTTCAGCATTGCAGCTTTCATTACCAATAGAACTGATATTTGCTAAATAAGGAAATGTTACATAGAGAGCAGTGTGATGAGTTGTGTCCTCAAAAAAATGCTTACAATGTTTATCAATCCTGTTTATCCACACTTTGATCTTGGGGTGATATGGAAAAGAGATGTAAGTTAACAAATGACCCAAGCGTTATAAAAATCCTTCTACCGCTGGTAATAAGTTAACTGTGGTTTTATGTAACTATCAGATGTTGTCTGTAGGGCTTAATCTACCAGTGACAGAGAAAGCTCAACTAGTTTGTAAACCTTTTGGTTAGTGATGCAAGCCTTAAAACTGAAAATAAAATCAGTTGTCCATAGTTAAAGAACTCACTCCCTGCTCTTATAGAGTGTGGGTCACTCTGTTTCTCCATTACCAAAGCCCCCTGCCTCTCTTTTTCTGAGTCTGTAACTCATCCATAAAAATTAATATAACCTGCATGTGGGATAAAAACTGAGATGAAATGGGCTTGTTGCTGCAGCTTCTGAAATACATTCTTTAGGCAAATCACCCATTTCCAGGAAGCAAAACTGCCTCTGCTTTGAATATTTCCCTTTGCTTTTTCTCAAACAATTGCTATTCACAAAAAATTAACATTGAGCTATTTGTTTAGGGATATTTATAAACATCACAACAGCTTCTAAACAGGAAGAAAAACAAAGAAAAATCAGACTTCCAGAAATGGGCTGTCTTTTTTCTTCATGAACATAAAAATATTGCCACATGTAGCTCTAAAGAGTGAAAATATATTTTGAGCCTATGCTATACATAGAGGAAGATGTCCTAAATTTTATATTTTTCCTCCCAAGCTTCAGGCTATGTTTCCAAGGTACAGTCAGCGTTGTAGATATATGAGAGAAAATAATTTCATAGCACGTGTATATCGTGAGTCATAACAAGAGGTGAACGGACTATTTGTTTCAGACTTATCCTAAAACCATCCTCAGAGGAAGGGCATCTGCCCCAGTGTGCAATTAACAAAGTCCTTTGCAATCCTGTCTCCAATGTCCCAGGTGCAATGACTACATATCAAGGCTACACACAACACTGAGTTCATTGTTTCTTATTGTTTATCTGTATGGAGGAAACCTTATGTGTGGTAAAAGAAAGACTGGAAATTTATTTTTAACAGAGATAGGGATAAATCTATGCTGCTTTAATTGGCCTCCTCCAAAGAGACTTAGATCAGACGAAACATCTGGCATGCTGGGAGATTGCTGTATTGTATTTGTAGCCAATTTTCTTGTTGGGTAGACGGACACTCAGGAAGTGTTTGAAAAATCCAAAGCCTTCCTGTATAAACTGAGTAGTCCCTAATCCAGACATCTATAACTGAAGGGCTAATCTATAAATCAGTTTTAAAACTCTGGTACAAAAATGATTTGATTTCCAGTTCACTATTTATGCAACGACATCACTAAAAACTAAACAACATGTAGCAAACCACAGAGTATAGCTCTAGGAATTGTTATTATGCTGGGATAATGCAGAGAAATGCAGCCAGGAAGTCCCAAAAAGCAAATATCAGGCTCAAGTTACCATTCTAATGACTTTCCAAATGGTTTCATCATAGGTTGATTGTTTTGAAACAACTAGAACCTTTTATATTCTACTTCCAAATGCCTGAAAGAACAAGAGACTGAGGATTCATTGCTGAAAAGCTCCAGAATATATGGGAGAAGAGATTTTTTAATTCTGCCTCTCCTATGGCCCTGTGACCATTTTGGCCTTCACTTCTGTGTTTGAGTCAATGACTTAGCTCACGGGGGTTGCTATAACAAAATACCGTAAACTGGACAGACTATAGACAACAGAAATGTATTTCTCTCAGTTCCGGAAACTGGAAATCTTAAGAGCAAGGCACTGGCAGATTCAGTCTGCGGAGGACTCCCTTCCTGGTTCATAGACAACTGTCATCCCACTGTGTCCTCACGTGGTGGAAGGGGCAAATGAGCTCTCTTAGGTCTCTGTTATTAGGGCACTAATCCCATTCATAAGAGCTCCACTCCCATGACCTAATCACCTTCCAAGGCCCCACCTCCTAATACCATCACTTTGGTGACCGATGTCAATATACAAATTTTGGAGGACACACACATTCGGAATGTAACAGTCAGGATCTCAATACACTATGCAATAGCACAGAAAAGCCATCTCCTCATACTTCCCAATTCTTCCTTTTCTGGGATCGGCCAATTAATATGCATTCAGTCTACGTTTATGGAGCATCACGGTGTTCAATGCCCATGCTAGGTTCTGGTGAAATGTATAGACAAGGAAGTCTTGATTCTTAACAGTATATAAGCCAACTAAGAAGGAAACTTTATTGCTTGCTATACAGTGATCCTTAAAAAAAAAAAAAAGGAATGGTATATTTTTATGGATGAGGTACAATGCTCAGGATCCTGTGAGATGCTGTCCACATCATACAAGGGTGGAAAAATAACTCCATTTATGGTAGCACATGACTCAGCATATGAAGTTTACTGAGTTAGGCAAGGTTTTATAGTAATGGCTGACAGTATTGGTTATTTTCTCCATTCACATAATAAGTGGAGATGCTGCCTTCCCATCCCACAAAGATCTGACTTCCACCTAAGAAGAACTAAAGATCTCTGGAGGCCAAGAGCGGTGACTCATGCCTGTAATCCCAGCACTTTTGAAGGCCGAGGTAAGTGGATCACCTGCGGTCAGGAGTTTGAGACCAGCCTGGCCAACAGGGCAAAACCCCGTCTCTACTAAAAATACAAAAATTAGCCAGGTATGGTGGCTCACACATGTAGTCCCAAGTATTTGGGAGGCTGAGGCAGGAGAATCGCTTGAACCCCAGAGGCAGAGGTTGCAGTGAGCTGAGATCTCGCCATTGCATTCCAGCCTGGGTGACAGAGAGAAACTCCATCTCAAATAAATAAATAAAGTAATAAATATCTCTGGAGCACCAACATGTGGAAAATGTCCAAATGCAAAAAGTATAAACTTATTTCACTCTTTCATTGAGGTTTGCTTTGACCCAACTATGTTTACTTGTTTTAAATATCAATAACTAAGCAATCTGTAAATTGCATTTTAAGATACACTCCTATTTCTATTCATCTGATGTGTAAAATGATGCTATTTGTGACTAAATGATAAACCCTGAAACGTAATTTTAAAATTAAATTAATATTAAGGGGATGTTAGTGTTATGGTCACTGCAGAATCACCTTGGAAAGGAGATTCTGCAAATGAAATTCTCAGATGAATGATTTGAACTAGAAACTCTATAAAAATGCCACTCTTTCTTGCAATTCTAAACTAAATGACTTTTCCAGAAGATTGGTCAGAACCCATGATGAAAAGAGAAAGCTAGGAAATATTTAAGTAAAGAGGAAATTTTCTGTATTTCAAAATATATGGAGGCTGTAATGTCAGTAAAGGAAAATAACCATGAAAATTTGATTCTGGGTAGCACAACTGTGAAGAATTTTATTGGAATTTTCCGAGGTCCTGGAGTTAAAGGATTTTTTCATTTACTATATGAAGACTGTGTAATCATATAGATTACAAGTATGAATCTTGCAGATATGGACATAGGCAAGAGATATCAGAACTTTAGCATCTGGTAGAAAGCCTTCAAAGAAGACCAAGGCAGGAGGAGTTGTGGCTCTTATACTGCTGAATGAATTTGGGAAAATAAGAAAACCTTTTTGCACTCCATTTCTTCTATCCACCATAAGAATGTAATGAAGTCATCCCCAGGAATGGTAATGTGCAGTATAATTCATTATCAACATTATTAAATCATAGCTTTACCTGAATTCAATAAATTTCAAAGACGATTATAAAGCTTTCTCGGTGAATATGACCAGCCACGAGGTGAGAAAAGACATTTGGGTGTGTTTCTCAAATGTTCATAACAACATTTTCTCTATAGTAGCCAATTTCATTTATGGGGTGGTGTAGCAAGGACCTCTCAACCAAAGATTGCCTCATCAAAACTTGAGATACTTTACAATAGCCAACACTCTCAGAATGAGACCCATTATTTGTGGAGAACAGATGCCCTTCATCACTCTAGCAACTGGGTTAATATCATCAGCTCCAACTCTTTCCAGCCAATGTAAATCCATCATCAAGCTTTGGCGACCAGAAAAGAAACAAGCAGAAAAACCATTTGCCAGGATGATTTAAGGCCTGGCATTTAGAAGTTCCTCATTCAATTGCTCTCTTGATGTGGCTCTTGGCCCTTCCTCTTCTTGAAGAAAGCCCTCATATATTCACTCACAAATGGCCTACATGTGGGGATGCACAAAAACAAAGCAGAGAGATGTTCTTTTCAAGACTGGAATTGCTTAAGGGTGATGAACCATTGCTTAAGGAACATCCAGCATGGTCCTTAAAAGGATGACACTGAGCAGGCAAAGGATCCCAGCATATCCAAATGATGAGTGCAGCTCTGTATTTAGGTCCTGCTTTCATGATGGTAAATACTTGAGCAAAAACTGTAAAGGCAGCCAGGCATTTAGATATTTGGAGTTCGTCAATGACTAAGCAGCCTAGAAAACTGATTTTTTTTTTCCACAAGTATATCTTACAACAGTGTTCCCCAACACCAGGGACCGGTTTTGTGGACAGGGGCTGGGAGGCGGAATGGATTAGAGATGAAACTGTTCCACTTCAGATCATCAAGCATTAGTTAGATCCTCATAAGGAGCACACAACCTAGACCCCTCACATGTGCAGTTCACAATAGGGTTTGCGCTCCTATGAGCATCTAATGTCACTACTGTCTGACAGGAGACGGAGCTCAGGCGGTCATGCTTACTCACCCATTGCTCACCTCCTGCTGTGTGGCCCAGTTCCTAATGGGCCATGGACCAGTACTGATCCAGGGCCTGGGGGTTATGGATCCCTGTCTTACAACATATAGACCCAAATTGAATCTAAACTTGTTCTACAGAAGCTGATGAACCAAAAGATAATGTTGTAGCAGATATTTTGGGACAGAGAAGTCAATTGACACGGAGTGTCTTCAGTGACTTACCACGGAGAATGCAGAGAGTGAGGAAGCCTCCAAGGTTATATATCTAAGTTCTTCTATTACAAAGGAAAGGACTGAAGCCGAAGAGGGCATTTGCCCTTTGATAGAGCTGGTGGGCAGGACTAGAACCCAGACCTTCCCTCAGGCTCAGTGCTCCCTTTATTTCACCTGCCACATTCAAGGTGAGTGCGGCACTTCCACTGCCCAAGTATTGTTATATTCCTGTGCTATTTTGATAACCTTCAGGCACTGTGCATTCAGAGGCCACATCTCCATTATCCAGTAGCAAATACCCAGTGCTTCACATAGTATAGGGCAGCCTATTGATAAAGTAGCTACAGGTTTTAGTTAAATGGAATTAAATTTAACTGGAAAACAGCTTTAATAACCAATAACAACAACAAAACAACCATGACACTAGCACATGCTTATAAAATGCCTACTATGAGCAAGGCATCATTGGAAGCACTTTATGTACATTAACTTGAGTTAATGTTAATAATAACCCCATGAGACAGGTTAGCACCATTACTGACATGGGAAGGGCATTGATTTTCATTATTAAGATCACGACCAATGCATTGTGCAATCAATCGTGAAAAGAGAGTTCTTAACCCTGAGCCTGCTCATTGCCACTGTGCAGCAAGACCGGTCAATCTGGGGCAGGCGGGCTCAACCCAATCTTGGACAATTGACTACACCATATTTGGGAAGTTATTTGAATAGAAAGCATTTTAATTATATACATTTTAAAAGATAATTCAGGCAAATCTGGAAACACCCTAGGTTGGGAAAGCCTCACAAGCCGCAAGGTGGCCCTGGAAAGTCCGGCTGAGCCTGCTGTTATTTGGCATTTGTAGTTTGAAGATTACTGTGGACTGAATGTTTGTGTCTCTCCAAAACCCGTATGTTGAATCCCTAATTTCCAGTGTGGCTGGATTTGAAGATGGAGCCTTTAAGGGTGAGGCCCTGATACAATAGGATTAGTGTCCTTATAAGAAGACATGCCAGAGCTCTCTCTCTCTCTCTCTCTCTGCAAACAGTGAGGAAGTCCCTTGTGAGGACACAATGAGAAGGTGGTGGCCACTTATAAGCGAGGCAGGAAGCCCTCACCAGAAACTGAATGAACTATGAGAAAAATTATTTCTGCTGTTTAAGCCACCCAGTTTACCGTATTTCCTTCTCTCAGGCTGAGCTGACTAATACAAGAGTTTTGTCTGTTTGTTGTTCTGAGAAGTGGGGGAAGAGTGAGCAACCTCTCCCTGACGTGCTTCCAGCCTGCATCATTGCCCCCGCATTGTGTTCGCAGCCACCCTGAGGCTGGCATTTGCAGCAAGATGAAGGCATCCAAATAGCCAAGTTCTGCCATCCAGGAAAGGCCAGAACAGGCTTGCTTTGCTTTCTTGCACCCATTGCCTCACAGTGTGGCTGTAAGGTTTAAATTAAGTAACACCTGCAGAGCCCTCAGCACAAAGCCTGGCATAGAACTATAAATGGCAGTGGCTGTTGGAAGAGGCTGTGGAATACGTGGCTGAGGACATATAAAGCTTTGATAGAAACTTGAAATTGAGTGCAGGCCTCTCATTCCCCCGACCTTCTCATTAAGTAAGTCATTCATCCCTCAGAACCTCGGTCTCTTCATCTGTAAAATGCCCACACTATCTATTGCTTGTGGCTCTTGGGACACTGTATCACTCCCTGGCTTCTTTAGATGGAGGTGACTTTCTAGAGGGAGAGGAGGCTTACAGGGTGGATAAGATTCCCAGACTGCGGCTGATGTTCTATATTTTTGGCTTTGGAAAGAGGTGGGGTGGAGAACACCAGATCTCCTAGGCCCTGCAAAAGGCTCAACTGTGAGGCCTAAGCTGGGCAGAGGTTGTGGCAGTTCTGAAAGAGCACACTCAGGCCTTTCTGGAGGGATCTCCCTCAATTTAGGGAGCAGAACACTGGGCTAGGACTCTGGGAACTGAGCCCTGGGAAATGCAGGTAACTAGCCCCTGCAGGTCTCCACAGCTTCACCTTTAAAGGAGGGTAAAACATGATGATTTCTCAGGGCTCCTGTATCCTGTAGTTGTAAAGAGTGCATTCTTTTTTTATTGAATTCTACATTAGTAAAATGTGAACACAGGGTGATTTTATTCTGTGCACTTAGTCAGCATGATTTGTATTCCACAGCCTAAGTCCCTCACAGCAAGGTTGATGTGTGTTTAGACTGCAATAACCAAGTGCTTTTATATTTTATAAAAGCCAAATTAATGATGAAAACTCACTAACGGTACTTTTCCTTTTTTCAATTCAAAGAAAATTGGATTCTTCACGTGTGTAGTTAAGTAGCTCACCTCCATTAGGAAGGGGGGCTTATTGGAAATCCAGAGAAAGTGTTACAATCAGGAGGAAATTTTAGTAGAAGAAACCAAAAGACCATTACCAAAGCTTGCAAACAATGCACCTAGCATAGCTCACTCAGGGTGTAGTGTTCCTCAAAGTGAAAATCCCAAAGCCAGAAAAGGCCACCTGAGGTCCCACAGTGAGAAGCTGAGCCACAAACACAATCCCAACAGGAGAAGAAAAATTACTCCCTAGACTGTAAGCTGCTTAGAGTCAGGATTTTGTCTTTCTGTTTATTGTTGAGTCCCCAACTACTAGAAGACTGAGTCATTGCACATTGAATGAATGGAAAAGTGACCCATTCATATTCTGGTGCCTATTCTTCAAGAATTAGACCAATGATAGATACATAGGTAGATGAGAGATGATAGACAGAGAGATGATAGATAGATAGATAGATAGATAGATAGATAGATAGATAGATAGATAGATAATAGATAGATATAGACAGGATAAGATACATAGAGAGATGATAAATGACAGCTACAGGCATGTTTATGTCTGTATCTATCCACCATCTATATCTATCTATCCATCTGTCTGTCTGTCTCTATCTATCTATCTATCTATCTATCTATCTATTCATCTATCTAGAGAGAAAGACAGAGGAAACATTCAATATAAGATTTAATGGCTCTGTTTCTTCCATAGCCCACTTGTTTCTTTCCTTGTAGACTGTGAGTATTTTCCTGCTGAGGACTTAGGTTCAGATTTGAAGTGGCCAATTGGTACCTTTCCCCTTAAGCTCCTTTCTGACTTCTCACAGCTTGGGGAGCTTGAATCAAAGCTTAGAGAATTTGTTTCTTCTGTAACAGAGGTCTTGTGTACAAGGTCTTGAGTCTTACTGAGGAGAGAGGCCTCTTCCCAGAAAAAGCATCTTTGCAGCATGACTCTCTGAGTGTAGGGAGTCTGTGTGGACACCAGACTGCATTGTCCATGGTGTCAATATCACGGTCAGCCTTGTCAACTGCATTCCCAACCACATTCTTCACCAATCTAGAACTCCTGCCTTCTTACAAGATTCTGGGAAGAGAAGACAGAAAAAGACCCAAGTCAGTAGCACACTCTTGCCTTGCCTATACCCTGGGAGCAAATGGACTTGTGATGTTTTTGCCTTCTGGTGCTATCTGTTGTTCTCCAAGGGATGAGAATGGGTTCCAGGTGGTCATCGAAAATTTTCACAGCCAACAATCAAATATCCTTCTTATGAGAAGACATTTTCAGGCCAGACTTATGTGCCAAGCTCATGTCAACCTGTCCAAATACCTACTCAGTAGTCAAATAAATATTTATATTCAAAATAAAACTCACCCTCTCCTCCCTGCCAGACCAATGCCTGCATATCCTATCTCATCAAATGCACCATTCACCATCCAACAATTGCCTTGGATAGAAATAGGGTGTCCTTAGAATCTCTCCTCTCTTTCACTCATCATCAGCTCCAAGCCCTGTAGCTTCAGCCTCCGAAAAACTACGTGGACCCATCTCCACTACCACCACAATGGTGTAGGTCCTCCTCTCTGCTCACCTGGAAGAATGAAACAGCACCCCACCTGCTTCCTGCCTCCATGATACCTACAACATAACTCTGGTTAGGGCCTTCAGAGGTGGCTCTTGTTTCTCAAGGCACCATTCAAACCTTTGATGTAGCTCCTGCCTTCTGCACCAGCCTCATCTTCCTCCCGTTTTTGCAATCCCTCCAACACTCACTTCCCTGGGCTTTCCCGGATGCTTACTGCTGCCTGAGCACACTTTTTCCATCCTTAGCTGGACTCCTGAGCTCAAATTTTAACCAAGCTCAAGTTTGCCAAGTGCTTCCCACTCTGGGAGGTGCTTGAGGGTCTGTGCCTCTGATTTTATTTTGAAGTGTGCCTGGCACCCAATTCTCACCAATCTCACGGTAACTACCTTGCCACACTCTCATTTCTGTGTCTCTTCCAGAGTAGGGGCACGTCTTACTCCGCATTATAATCCTGGCACCCAGCACCATGCTTGCCCTATTAAGAAGTCAGTGTTTCCTAAACATCTATTGAATAAATGAGTGACTGTATCCTGAGGAATGCATGCCGTGGGGCTTTGAATTCTCTTTGTTTCTCCTACAGTTTTACAGCTTAGAGAGTTTGTCTCTTCCCTAGCCAGAGTGGACTCTTCCCTGCAGGGTAGGTGGTTTGCCAGGCTCTCCCGGGCTGTTCCGAGGATGACATTTAGCCTCACATGGAAGAAGGTGAAAAAAAATCAGGCAGTTTCAATCCTGCAAAACATCAGTGACAACTCATGGTAGAAGTTTATAACTGTGTTGAGGTGTTATTCGGTTGCCAGGACTTGGAAAAGAAACGAGCAAACAAAGGCACCAAACGAGGTGTGGTGTGAGGAGAGGCATGTCATTCCCGAGAAACAGCCCCCACGCTGGCTGGGAAGGGGAATGCAGAAAGCAGCAACAGCTCCCACCGGAGGCCCCCTCTGACCCAGGAGAGAAGGCTTGGCCTTAAATCAAAAAGACATCCTGATGAGATGGGGTAAGTAGAACAGATGGGGGAGGGCTGTCAGGAAAAAAAAAAAATCGGTTCATCCAGGACAAGGGAGATGGAGAGGGGCCAGGAGCTGGGATGCAGCAGAACTGGAGCCCTGGGGTCCAGTGACTTGTCAGCGTCAAAGAGGCCAGAGGGAGGCACTGCTTCAGGGCAGCCCTGCTGGAGGGATACACGGTTTCTCTCCTGCATATCAGAAGCCAAGCGCGTAACCTTAAACATACACAATGAAAATTATTTGGAGAAACTCTAATTTCAGCAAAAATCTAATCTAATCTACTATACAAAACATTGCACAGGCAATGTGGAAAGGTAACAGGTAAGGTTACTGTGTTTCTTGTTAATCAAAGTAAAGAGGGACTTTAGGTCAAGGCTGGTTCATTCCCCCGCTCCATCACTGACTTCCTGTGGACTTTGGGTTCACAATAAACTGCTCAATATTTTGGCCTCAGTTTCCTCATCTGTGAAATGGTACCGTTTGCTCACATCCCAGATAATATATGTGGTGGAAGATAATATATGAGGTGGAAAGGAGGATGGATAGGTGCAAATACTTTTTGTAACCTGAAATAAACTGTACAGATGTGTTAAAAAGATAAATGCATATGTGCAATTTGGGCAAAAGTCTCCAAGCATGTATAAAACCAGCATTTGGTCAAATGTATAAGAGAGGAAGAGTGCAAAAAACAAGAAGAGGTCCAAGGGAATGATAGGCTGGGAGGAAAATGGGGAGGGACACCTCCTTCAGGCCTGGGTCCTGGAGATGGGTAGAGGAGCTTGGCTGTTCTAAAAGCATTTGACTCAAGCCCATGGGAATTCCCCCTGGTCCTAGGGTCAGCACTTCTTGAAACCATTCCAAGTCCTATGTGCCAGCAGGACAGAATAGCCCTCTTCCAAAGATGCACACCTTATTGCATGAAAATGAAGTTTCCAGCTCAGCATACCAGACAGTAATTAATCTAATTAACAATTATTCGTTTTATTCCCCCACACCATTAGACAAGCCCACCCACCCCCCACCAACTCAACAGCAATGCCAATGAATAGCTTCAAAAGAAGTCAATATACCAAGTTGATGAGAAAGGCCTTCAAGGCAACCTCAGTGCTATTGCTCGTCCCTCTGAGCCAGCTCTGAATTGATGCCGGATAAGAAGGCTGGAAAAGCCAAGCCTGCTTCCTTTTAGCCTAACACCCTCTCTTCTTTCAGTCTCTTCTTTCTGGCAAACCTAGGTCCTCACCCTAGGTCATTAACAATGTCTTAGCACGTCTTACAAAAGGAGAGATATTAGGTTCTGGCTATATTTCAACCTACGTAATTGCACTCTCCCTAGCAAGGTCGTTCCTTAAAAAGACAGTCATTACAGCAACTTGGATACTCCCTCCCACCAATTCTTCCCACCTCAAAGAAAAAGTAATGATTCTTCCTGGGATTTTGGCCAGAAGCCAGTTCTGGCCAATTTGATTTCACCCGCCCCAAAAGCTTTTCCAGGACCTTGGGCAGCAGAGCTGCTTCATGTTTCATAGGTCATGGGTTCAAATGCCACGGAGGTGGTGCTTTCAATAAGACCTCTGTTAACGTTCAGGTGGTGGGTAATGGGCCTGGGAACTCTTTCTTCACCCTCCTTTCTTTGCCTCTACAATTTTCTTGCTGGGAAAGGTAACAGGTAAGGTTAGCTTTCATTTCCCTTCCCAATATGAGCCTTGTGCCCAGAGCCAAGTTGGCGCTCTACCATCCCATAAGGCATCTGGCTGTATTTCCGAGAGCTGCAAGTCGAATCACTCTCTCAGCTGCCTGGGGGAAAAATGGACCTTCATTTCCTATTCAGGCTTATGATTTATGCAACAATATAAATTACTATGATTCAATAAAGTAAAGTTGTATAACAAGTACATTAAATTCAGGTGTTCAATATATGAAATAGGATAAAATGTCTGATCAACATTTTTTTTTGACGTGGCAACCAGTGCCTGAAAAACTCTGCCACACATAAGCATTGACATGCCTGTGCATGGAGGGAGGAAATCATAACACAAAAAATCAAATGGTGATAGCTGCAAACATCAAATACTTATTACGTGCTAGGCATCAGAGTGGGTTCTCTGAATGGATTGCCTTATATGTTCCTTTACAGTTATCACTACTGTCCCTGGGATACAGATGAGCAAACTGCCCAGGGTCACCCAGCTAGTAAATACTAGTGTCTAAATTAATGCCCCGGGCATCTGGGGTCAGAGTCTATGCTCTTGAACACTGTATGCTATTTCTTCCAAAATATAGAGGTTGAGGAGTGCAACCCCTGGGAGGTGAGGTGGAGGATCAGCTTTATTTTCTTATTTATCCTTCTCTAGGTTGCAACATTCTTTGTAATGAAAGCATATAACATTTTTAATCAGGAAAACATGATATTTTCAAGTCTTCCTCTTTTCATATTGTCTGCATTTTAGACAAAGTAAAAAATATCTCAGAACAAGGAGCCTTTTTCATGAGGTTCTTTTTGGAATTTCCAGGACCAGAGAAAAGTATTAGGATATGGCAAATTGGCAAGCTCCTTTACAGAGATGTCATCTCCCTCTAAACCTGCTTTTACTCCTATGTAAGCACCATGTTTCTTCTCTCTCACACAAATAATAGGGCCTCTTGACACCTATACCAAAGAAAGCACAAGAAATCGAGGGGCAAAAAGTCGCATCTAAATGCCCAATCCTGCCATGCTTTAGGAGGATGAACTTGGCCTCTGGGTACAACAATTGTAAAGGCTTCTGCAACTTGGCAGCATTTTAATAGCATGAGATAATTCCCCATCGTAACAGTAAGAAATATGGAGTTGAGATCAATACAGGGTGAATTAGTAGTCAACAGCAATCAAGTATGACAGAGAAAATATGATTCATTTCTTAGAAGGGCTAAGATCTCAAACAGTGTATTGAGACGCATTTGAAGATTGGAGAACTGAGCTGGAAGGAATGCTTTAATTTAATCGACAAGTGGGTTGGTGGAGCAAACACAGACACTTAAAGGCTTTTGAGACTTTATTTTCTCTATTTCTGCTGTGACTGCCGAAATCTTCTGGCTATACTTCCTCCTGCAGCTGCTTCTGAAACCCCAAGATCAGTCCCAGGCAGGCAAAGCAGCTAACCTCACACCTTATTGCGTGAAAATGAAGTTTCCAGCTCAGCATACCGGACAGTAATTAATCTAATTAACAATTATTGGGTAGCGATGAAGCTAAGAATGTCACATCTCGTGGCATCCTTTTTATTTCAGATGGGCTTTGGAACGTGATTTTTCCTGACATTTAAACTGCCTTACCGTATGTCTTTCCTCTTGCAGAGAAATGCAATTTATTCATCAAGGATGCAGGTTCATTTTCCTTGGGTGCAGGAGATATGAACAAATGTGGATTACCTTAATATGAAAAGTGCTGGCCCTTGGCGCCTGCCTGAATATGAATGTTGGAGGGAATGGAGAAGTCATTTTCCTTGGTGTATTTTGTTATTAAGTTTGAAGGGTAAAAGCGTTGAATCTAAGCTGCAGTGACACTAGATAGCATTTTTGTAAATAAAAATTGATTTTTAAATAGTTTTAAACAGTGCCTAACAAAGAAATTTCTTACGAAATATGTGTCTCTGCCCACGTATAGGGGAGGAAGGAGAGTTTATAAATTCACAGCCCCTTCTTTCCTGCCAGTTTGCGGATCCAGAGATGGGGAGATGGTGGCTTCAGTTGCTGCAAAACTTCTCCAGTGAGGCTTTTTAGATTCTAGATCCAGAAGAGAAATGCGATAGTCCGTGTGTCTCCCCTTGGTGACTGTTTCGAGTTCAGTGTCTTCCCAATCAAAGCCTGGGGGAGTCACTAAATACAGAAATAATTCTAATTCATTTTGATGCAGTATCCTCCAAATTCTACCAATCAGCGTGTGTTTCCTCAGGGCAGTGTGTTATTTTCTAAAGAGAGAAGTAGGGCTTGGAGGCTAGACGGGGAATTCTGAACTGACTTTGGGCACACAAGGGGACGGAGAGATTGATCCCAGAATAGTCAATGAAGTGTCCCCGAAGTCTGCTGCCCCAAGAGAGTTGAGCTGATCCAACCAAGTGAACTTAAGTGTAAGTAGGGCAGAGGACCTCCCAGTAATGAAGTAATGAACAGCCAATCCCAATAAACCCTGTGTTCTGTCTCATCCGGAGTTCAGTCCTTTCGTGGAAAATCTACAGGAAGAATAGCTGGTCACCGAGGTGGTTCACATCTATGGCATGTCACTCATGACTAAAAATCCAGGGACCAGGACCCTGAGCGCTTCTCCAGACCTTCATCCCCCGTGCACACCTGTCAGGAACAATGAAGCTCTGGGTATGAAGCAAATTATGTGGGGCAGTGGTGGACAGGTAGGGGGAGGTCAGGGCTTCTTAAACACCCACAAATTCTATGAAAGAAGCACGGTCCCCGCTTTGAAGAGATAGTAACTGAGTTTCTGAAAACTTAAGTGTTATTTAAATATCATCGTTAAGTCACCCAACTTGGAAGTGGTAGAGAGCAGATTCTAACCCCAGCGTGGCTGACTGCAGCAGCTACCCTTTCGACTCTACCAAGCTGCACGTAATCAACACAAAGTGCCTTGAGCAACATCTTGACCACTCCTAATCTTTGTGTTTGTTCCAGTGATAGCTCGATTATCCAAAACATTTGGGGAATGGGGTGTTCTAATAAAACTGAAATTCTACCTTAGCAATAATAGAAATAATAGAAATAATTAGATTGTCAAAATCTGTTTGGCCCACAACAAGTAACTTCTCCACTCCACCATTATTATGTGCCTGATTTGCACATAGTAATGTGCCTGCAATGGTTATGATTTTTGATCATAACTGTTAGCATACTTTATTGTGGTCTTTTTTTCTGTTGTAAGTTCAGTCCAGCAGGACAGAATCTTTCTTGTCACATTTTATACCCAGTTCATGGCACAGATTTAGTCCTCGGTATATATATGTGTGTGTATACATATGTGTATGTTATGTACTATATAGTATACATACTATTATATAATATATAGTAATAGAGTATATATGATAAAATTATAGGGAAAATTATATAATATCATGTTGCATTAATATGATACATAATGCATAATATAAAATATATTTTACTATATAATATAGCATACAGTATATGCTATAGACATATAACACATATATATAAAATATGACAGAATGAATGAATGCAAACACTGTACAGTCTGAGATGAAAGCTGCGAAGAACATTGTTCTGAACGTTCACTGATATGAGGATATCCTCAGACACAGATGACACCCAGAGTTTGAGTCCAGGTGCTATCTCTGATCAGCTCTGTTATTTATAGGCAAATCTCTTAATCACCTGAGCCTAGTTAAAAATGAGGATGATTATATGATATGACACATTGGCATCTTCTATGGACCAGACTTAAGTAACCTTCCAATAGTCCTTATTACTCAGATGTTATGATTGGCCTCATAGGTGAGAAAACTAAGGCACAGTGAGGTTAAGTAATTTGTTCAAGGTCACACAGCTCAACCATGACAGGCATTCTGAATCCAGGGTCTACTTGCTTAATTTCTTCACCTGAGAATAAATGAGACAGTATACATATGGCATCTCACACAGCACCCAGCACATACTAAACACTCACTAAATACTAACTAGCTAGCCATGGCCTTCCTTCTTTAATGAGGACATTCTCCAGCTAACCACATGTGCTGTTAAAACTTGATAATATATTTGCCTTGTAAAGAATAGAAGAAGAAGTCAGTTTGCAAAGATTTTATTTTCAAACTATCTATAAATAATATGTTAAGGGAACTTGCCTTTCTTATTTAAAGGTCTAATTTAGATTCTTTATCAAAATGATTTAAAATGCCTTTCACTGGGAAACCATATTTCAAAGACTGTATTTATTAGACTTCTTGAAAGTGTGTTTTTAATGCACAGTCTGACTTTTTGCCAAACCTCTTCTCTGAAACAGTAAAATTAGAGCAGCCCCCTCTTTAAAGAGTTATATTTATTAGATTTTTACATATTGATACAGTACAATTTATCAAAATAAATCTAACTGAGAGTTGGCACATAAATCTTCCAACATTCTTTATATCCAGAGTCTCTACTGTCATTTTCCTCTGATGAACATTCAGAGAAGTCTCATGGCAAGAAGCTTCTTTTGAAAAGAATCAAAGATGTATCTTCAAGTGTCACTTTTCTGCCACCAACTTCACTTTCCTCATTGCTGTGGTTCCACTTGGGCCGGAGTGGCTGTGTGTGTTTTATCTGACACTGATAATTTAAACGTAATTACATTTTAAACCTCAGCAGCTGTGAACTCTGTAAAACGTGTGGAGCTCTTAAGCCAAGCTCTGAAACAACGTTTAAGCTTCTTGGGGCAATGCCGGAAGAATGTCCCCATTTTGCCCCTTTTCATGCTGTAGGCCTTTCGTCTTTTTTTGTTTAGATTATGGACGATTACTTCGAAAGAAGATGCCTATTTCTAAAAATTATAGCAATCAGATTTTGAGTGATTTCAAATAGTACAAGCATTACCTAAATCACCAAAGCTATTCTGGATATGAGTCTTTCTTTTCTAGAACTCCTAGATCTCTCGGCTGATATGTACTAGACACCAATAGCAACATTCAGGGTGGCTGACATGCATCTCGTTTGATATACAGGTTACCTGCTTGACAGTGCAGAGGTAAGAAATCCTAGTAAAAAATTAAAACTCATCTCCCTTTTCCAGGACAGAATCATTTTAACCCTCAAAATATGGAGCATTGTGAGTACATGCATTGTATTTCCTTTGTTCATGGACCCATTAAATAGTCTGTGAGGTATGGGGCTCCAATGGCACCAAACAAATAATGACAAATACAAACGTGATCATTCATGCAGACTAACTTGACTCTTTGTACTGAGGGAGAAAATCGGAAGCATCAGAGTCCATTTTTGCACTACTATTAAAAACAATGCTCTTTGAAAATTGAAAGCTGAAAATGAAGATGTGCCAGCACTTGTGCCTTGATAAATGCCCAGTGCTGCTCCTTCTCCTATCCCCGTGTCCCCTCCCACTCATATAGTGTGATCTTCCCACCTCTGCCATCTCCAATAACTGTGCTCTACTGGCTGCAATGCAAACAAGTCCAAGCTTCCAAATTCAGAATCCCAAACCCTTTCTAATCAGACCCTACCAATTTCTCTCGCTGCTTCTCTTGAAAATTAAACCTCCAATTGACAAGCATTGCTTGGACCTGCCCAGCATTCCTTTCTCTTCTCTAGCTAAAAAGCATTCTGTTTTCCCACTGTTACCATCTTCACCTGCACACTCTAACTTTGACCTCTTTTCAATCCCTGTGTTTAGTGAATAGAAATTCTTCTGTACATCGAGGGCTAAAAATATCCTTCAGGCTAAACCATCAGACTGTGGCATCTCTTGTGCACAGTGATTAGTTTAGGAAAAACTTCAAAAACCAGTGAAAACCAAGCAGATGGCCCTTTGAGACCTTGTTAGGAATACTGACAGAGAGAAACTTTCTTTCTGAAGGGTGAGG
Organism: Homo sapiens; assembly: GCF_000001405.40. Taxonomy (NCBI): domain Eukaryota; kingdom Metazoa; phylum Chordata; class Mammalia; order Primates; family Hominidae; genus Homo; species Homo sapiens. Next base: position 97,800,055 of record NC_000015.10, read on the forward strand.
GGCTGCCTGGTTTTAACCCAGACTTACTGGGGACCACAACGAAAACAACCCACACCTATGGATGATGCCAAAATAAATAGAAGAAAGAAACCTAGTCTTGAATAAATTGTACCTGATTCTACTATGTCAGAATCTCCTTGGACTTTCTGAGTCTATCATGCAGGAAATTGCCTATGGGCTCCAGCTAAACTGAGTTAGTTTTTCTGTGATTTTCACCATGAGTCCTGATGAATATTGCACCCAGTGCACCAAATGACTTGCATTTCTCTACCCAGGGCTTGGAATTTTGTATGTCTTTGGTGTCTGTCTGTTTAATATGGATCTATCTGCCTAAAGATATATGGTCCACTTTTGGGGAAAATCAGGACAAAGCTATGACCAGTGTGTGAGATCTGGGCAAGTTGAGATGACAGAGCAAAGGCAATGGTGGAGAAGACTTCCCTGACAGCTCCAGGCGGGGTCTTTTGCCAATTCCCATCAAAACAAACTGTTAAGTCCTTGTACACATCAACCTGATGTCAATAAAATAGAGATAAATGTAGAGAAAATAGCTTTAGGGCCATAAACTCTATTGTGTAAGGAATTTACTTTTCCTTGTTCCCTAATTAAATTTCATCTTTATTTCAATCACCTATTTCAGCAGGGTTGTAGAAACTTACACCCCAGTCAATGTCATGGAGCCCCTCCAGATGTCCCCAAGCCCCATGTCCACCTGTATGTCTACTGAGACTTTGCTACCCTGGACCTTGAGTCCTTCTGCAGTCCAGTGAGAGGCTCTTTCTTACTTCTGAATTGCCCTGCAAGCACAGACATCTCTTGGAGATTGGGCATAGTCCCATCTACTGGGGCATACCAGACAGACCTTCTCTCTCCAAGGATTGGCAAACTCACCAGGCTCCTGCCCCAAACCTGTCTCTGGGCTCATCTATCCAGGGCTCAGGATCCACTCCCACCCCAGAAGAAATCTGCCTTTATATTAGAAGAAATCATCCCCTTTGCTCAATTTTGATGACTCTCCCAGAGGGGCACTTCCTCCTTAATGGTGTACTTAGGAATTACTTTGAAAATTCCTTTAATGGGTTTAGGACTTATGAAACCAAAACCAAGAAACTACTTTTATCTCTCTTTGTTCATTTTACAGAGTTAGCAGAAGCCCACTAATTGCTGGGGAAGGCGGGTTGGGAAGGTGGAGGGTGGAGAAATAGAAAATGGAGAGGAGCACAGGCTTTTACTCAAACTTATCTTATTCCACAAAGTACTTCTCAGCCTATCATAAAGTTCTCAGTAGGTCTTCCCAAAAGCTCTTGGAGCTCCCAGTCAACTCAGCTCCTTCCTTAGGAGAACATGGCTGCCATCTGGGAAGAAAATGAGTCTATGCCCTGAGAAGAAGATGCTTAGTCAAGCCTCAGGCATGAGCTGAGTTGCAAACAGCCCACTTGTCTTTAGCCATGAGCACCTATCCTTAAGCAAGGGACTGATTGACACAGCAAGATGAACATCAGCTATATTGCTAACAATGCTTTCTTGCATTTAAAGTATTTTAGAAAACAGGCAGATGGACTTATGATAACCAACCTATAAAGTTATGTAAGTGAGAGAGGCAAGAACTGAAAAATGGTAGGCTGACACAAGGTCTGGCTTCAAATGGGTTCAGGAGACAGCAAGGAAACCGGCAGTAGAAAGGGAAAAAAAAATAAAAGAAAACAGGTAACCAGGAACTCTACTTTTACATTCTTTTCTACTTTACTTCCTGAGCTGAGCCACTGGGTTTTGAGTGTTCACTATTATTTTCTTCACCCATCCTTCCATCAGCAGAGGGAGATTAATTGAGTCAGGGATGGCTTCTCTTGTACCTTTACACATCCAATCTGCTGCCTCCAGTCACATGCCTCTGGAGACATCGATTTACTGAACAAAAGATGTCACCAGAGCCAACCAGGATCAGAGCAGAGACGAGAGATTCTCAGCACTTTGAGTAGAAGGAGGAAGGGGAACTAAAATTTGTTATGGACCTACTGTGTGCCAGGTTCCATACTAAGCACTTTAACATATTCATTTGTCATTGCAACTCTGAAAGACAGATGTTTTTAATCCTCTTTTTTATAACTGAGGAAAAGGAGGCCCAGAAATATTAAAGCTCTTGGTCACGGAGGAATTCAGACCGTGATTTGATTCTAGACCTTCTTTCATTTAAACTACCCTTTAAAAAAATTAATTTCTAAAAAAATTTGAGTACTGTGTAAAGTACTCAATCTGGCACTGAGACACCAGAAATTTTATGAAATCATCAGCATCTTCCAATGTGAGAGAAAGGAGCACACCTATAAAGGCAATAAACCAATAAAGAATAAATGATATGGAAAAAAAGAAGTGCATATTGTTCATTTGTCTATACCACCTGAAGTACAAACATTTGTTGAGCTTCCACTAAATGCCAAGTACTACCTAGCGACTATCGTGTGTTTATACTTTTATACTCAGAAGCCTGTGGGATCAGCATTACCAGTATTATATGCATTGTGGAGAGGGGAATTTAATTAATGTGTCCATGTTTATTCAGCTGGTACAAAGAGAAAGACTTAAACCCAGATTATCCGAGGCCAAGGCATACATACTTTCCACCACGTCAGTAGCTCATTCAAAAACTGACACAATGTTAGAATGTTTCATTCATGTGTATGCATATATGTAATTTATATTTTCCATTGATATGTTAATTTATTCCAAAATCATGTGTTGAAAGCCCTATGGTCAGAGAACCAAAACAAAACTTAGATCCACGGGATGTATCCAGCGTCCTCAAGGAGCTTTACAGTGATGGAATCACTGGTCATCAGGGGTGAAAGGACTTGGGAGGAGCAAATCCAGTCACAGTGTCAGCCTTGTGTCCATGCTATGGTGGCTAGGCTCAATGGGACCGCCTTCTGCTGGGGAACCCACAACACTACATGAACAATACCGGGGCTTCACAACACCAGACATCTGCTCCACAAGCTGATTCCCTTGGTCAGTTACACACTGCCAGAGCTACCAATATGTACATTTAGCAGATCTACTTAAAGTTTCAGCACAATATTTTCCTTCTGAGACAGAAAAAGAGATCCTATTTTACAAATCTGCATTTTGAAGTTCAGAAAAACAGAGAGACCTGCAGCCCAGGAGAGCAAGCAGCACTCAAAAGGTGGGGGTTTTGAAAGCAGAAGTCCTGTGAGAACCCAACAAAATAAGAGGCAAAATCCAACCAAGAATGTTCCTTATACCTGGCAAGGTGCTGCTGAGAGACACGCAACAGAGATGTAAATGGCGGAATTCACAGGGAGAAAACTTGCCTCTGGCTCAGTACCTGGCTTCATATATTATTTATCATCTCTCAGCTTTCTTCTATTTTTAAGGGCTTGCAACTGCAGAATTCTAGTATCTCAGTCAGGCCTTTCTCTCTCTCTCTCTCTCTCTCTCTCTCTCTCTCTCTCTCTCTCTCTCCCCTCCCACCCCCCTCCACCCCAATTGATGGACAGTAGAATGAATTCTGTGCTGAAAGGTTATAATTAGCTTAGTAACAGAATGTTCCTGACGTGTTGCCATTCTATCTCTTCCCCTGCCCCTGTGATTGTACTGCAGGTAAAAAAAAAAAAAAAAAAGAAAAGAAAATAATCAATACTGGATTTTTATTATTAATATTTGGAAGCTCTATAGATGCCATTAAAGTAACATCAACCGCTGTTTCTCTGAGTGGATGATTTTGATCATAGTGATGTTTCTTCCTTGATTCTTGAGAACAATCTTATCACTCCGAAAGTACGCCTCAGGCCACATTCCCAAGCCAAAGTGCTGATTCTGGAGTCAACATGGTGTGGCCTCACTATGGGCCTTCCCAGGTTTAATAGGCTCTGACCTGGAGATTATTTATAAGGACTGATTTGTTAGAAAGGAAAGATTTATATGCGTGCTCTCCACATATGCAGCTGATTTTGTAATCTGAAAAGGAACCAGCGTTTTCTTTCTGTAACAATGCTTCCCAGAGTGCCACAAAACATGGTGCCAAGAAATTCTCTTCAGTAAGGAATTCACTACTAGAGCAAGACAGAGGGGAAAAGCCATCTACAGAGATGTAGAGCCATCTACAGAGGAAAAAATGTGGTCTCATCCTTAAAATACATCTTTGAAGCTAAATTGGTCCTTATGGTATCCACTAAGATGACCCCCCCCACAGTGATCCCCACTTCTTGTAATACACAATCTTGTATAAACACCTCCCCTTGAATGTGGCCTAGACCTATTAATTCATTTCTAACGAATAGCATGAGGCAAAGGTGGGGGGATATCACTGATGAGATTAGAGGCACTCTCGTGGCTATCACATAAAAGACATCTTCTGTTTCCCACTGGCTGCCAGCTGGGGACTTCCATTCACACGGGCTGATCACTGCCTGCTTCTCATGCAGCAAGCAATCCACTCGACAGAGAGAGACAGCACATCAAGAGAGAAGCCACAGTCATTTTATAACCTAACCTTGGAAGTGACATCTATCACTTCTACCATAGGCTATTCATGAGAAGCAAGGCACTAAGTATAGCCCACACTTAAGAGAATGTAAATAAGCTGCACCTCTTATAGGGGAAAAATATCAAAGAATTTGTGGACCTTCTTTTTAAAATTACCCTAGCCCCCATCTTGGTGGGTTGGTATGGAATTCAGGCATTATTTGGGCCACATCCCCTTTCCCAGGTTCACTCCAGAATCCATAGAACATACTTGGCTTCATGGAAACAGGAGAAAAGCTTCTAATCTCTAATACTATCCTGGGCATAGCTAATATCATCATAGCTAAAGCCTGTGCAATTCCCAGCAATGTGCCTTTGCCTGCTGTTATGCATTCGTTAGCCAGAGTAGTTACCAAGGCAAGGAACCAAGTGTCTAAGCAGACCATACCTGCATTCTTCTCTGAGCCAGAGTGCTGCCCTTAAGTGGTTCAAAGGTCTCAAGAGCTTCAGCACCAGCTTCCCTGAATCCTTACAGTCCAGGAAACCACCCTTCCTTTCCTCTCGGAGACACCAAATATCATAGCTTTAATGACCTTCTTCTCTTTGTCCTGCCTCTCTGGAAACAAGGACATACGCCACCTGGCTGCCTGGTTGTAAGGGAGGGAAATGCAGGGAGAACGGCATACATGTCTTAAGTATTCTGTCCTGTTACTAAAATGTTTAGGGCACCATTTGAAAGTTCTCTGAAGCACAGAAGAGTACATTGTAAGAAGCTGAAAATGTATGAAAAGATTTTATTTTTCTTTAATGATGAATGAAGTGTGTGGGAAACCTTGGAGCATTTTGCTTTGAAAGAGAACTTTTTAGCATAGAAGCAAAAAGCAATTATGCTTGAGTCTTATCATACCTCTCTTCAGCAGACAAGGTCTTCTGTCACTCACAGTGTTCCACAAAGGTTTTATACCCTGTTCTCAGTTCACTTTGAGCCCTGTTCACAAATACTGTCACCCCAATTCCCCTGAAAGTTGGTCCAAAAAGCATCCTGTTTTATCAGGTTTGAAGCTGGTAAAACAGGCAGTCAGATATAAAACTTCAGAAATTACTCAACCACCATAGTCACACATATTCTTTCTCCATTTCCCCAGTTAGGTAAAAAAAATCAAAATCTCTTCCATCCCATTAGATCTTGGAAGCCACCTTCTTCTCCCCTTATACTTCTTCAACCAAAACAGAAACTCAGAGGTTTACTCCTTCTTTTCATATTTCTCTATTTCTTCAAGTCCTTCCCCAAGAAAGGCCAAGGATAGGCAGTATCTATTTTAAAGGCCAAGGGCAATTTGGCCACTTATTATTTTAATATATATTCTTCTTGGAGAAACGTCAGCCTGTAGAATATCCTCTGAGAAATGAAAATGTGAAGGAAAATTCTTCTGCAACCTTGAAACTTTTGAATTCACTTTTAAATGAAGAGTAGACACGAGGTGTGAGGTGTGTGAATCAGAGCTTACTAGTCTTGTTTTGCAGATGTTCATCCGAGTCTGACGAACTTGAACTTTTCTGTGGGCAGCCACTTCATTCAGTCAGCTATGGTCATGTCTGAGCCTTAAATCTAACGTTTCTGTGGTTGACTCCTTGTAAAGTACTTTAGGACTCAGTTTGACTGGCTGAGAAAGCTACTTCAAAAATACAATGCTCAGGCTTTAATCAGGGGAGAGGTATTTTTTTAAGTATGGGTTACACTGCATAAAAAGACCAGGAAAGGACCTGAAACTTAACATGCACGGTGATGTGCCAATTTCAATTATAAATAAGGCAAACCCTATTTGGTCGATGTGCCAATATATTCCATTGACATCACATTTCTCACCCAAATGTGCACACTGGCAGAGTACATGCCTTCATCTTTATTTTGTTTTTTAATTTGCAACTCACTGTCTTTCAACTGGCTAAAAGGAGCTCAAAAATTATAAACAACCAAGAAAACGCAGTCAGGCTATCTAAAGCATAGGAGAATAATATATTTTTAGGTACTTTTAAGAATAACTGAAGCAAATGTACTAGAACTAGACTTACCACTTTTTCATAGTGGGATGGACTAAATTACCCATTATGTGGGAATCACACATAAAAACCTTTCTCCACATCAAGTGATAGATCAAAGGAAGGGAAGATGAGTGGTCCACAGGCACGAACCACACCTCCCGAATTCTGAGACCAGGATCGAGCAGTCTGCATTTTAACTACCTCTCCTTGACATGAAACACTACTCATGTGTCTCCCACTGAGGAAAGTCAGGTCGGCTCAGCTACAAAGATTTTCTTCCATTCCTCCCCCCTCCCCTTTTCCATTCCAGCCGAAAGATGACAGTTCACTGACTGGGCTCAGGTGAATCTAATTTAAAATCTGGACTCCAGGAGTCCCTCCCATCTGAGCCTTGCAGGGAGGGCATCTGTCAGCATCCCAGTGTGGGTCCGTGGCATATTTACGATTTCAGTGATGGCTTGCTCATTCCCACAGCAGCTGCAGTTGCGCCCTCACCCCACCCCCATCTGCACAGAAACTACCCAACCAGATATTCTGACGTCCATTGACAGATAAAAACACAATGTGTCCTCCTGTCATCCCTCTGCCCTCTTCCGTCCTCTTTTGGAATAGTAAAGGGCCATCGATATGTCAACTGAACAATCACCTTGCAGTTGCGCTACACGTTTATCAATATTCTAAAGAGGCCATTCCTTCATTCTCTCCTTCATTTAACAGACATTTGCCAAGGGTCTCCTTTGGGCCAGTCTCTCACCCAGTCATCAGGACACAACCATAAACATGCCAGCCCAGTGTCTGACCTCATGGAGCTCACTTCTCTCACACCTTCCACATGGGTAGCTTCTTGACCTATTAGCAATCTTCCGTTTCTATTAATTTCCTAGCAGCAGATGGGAAATGACAGCCAGGTCTCTGCTGAGGACTTCTATTTCAGAGATGTCCAAGGCCTAAAAGAAAGAAAGAGCAACCCTGCAGGATTTGCACCATCCCTGAAATGGGAAAATAATAGCAGAACCAGCAAGGCCCCTGGACTGGGAGTCAGGAGAAGCATCAGGCACGTTGCTCATGCCTCTTCATCAGGGCCCATTATGTGACAGCACTGCCCACAGCTCTGAGCACACAGACATGAACAAGACAGGCTCCAGCTCTCTGTGGGTGGTGGGGGCTTACCAGCCTAGGTGATATTGGAGTAGGCAGGAGAGCAGGTAAACAATAAACAAATCTATAGATGGTCTTTGCAGTGGACAATAAATGCTGTTAAAATAATGACAGAAAAGGAAGTCTGGGAGCTAGACTCAGCCCTTCACCCCTCCGGCCTCAGTTTCCTCCTCTATAGAATGAGTATGACTCTAGATAATCTTCAAGGTTTTTTCCTCTGCACCTAGAACACCTGGCCCAGGCCATCCCATCTGCCCAGTTCCACCTGTCCACTTCTTTTCTGCACTTCTTGGAATGTTCCAATCATCCATGGGTTTAAGCACTCATGCTCAGCCGGGAATATACATATGATCACTCACCTGTGAGGAGCACCGGGCAGGTAGCTCTGTGAAAGAGCTTTCACAGATAGTGTCTCATCTAATCCCATCGTCTTTACACAAATACAGACCAGGGCAGATGTGGTTTTTTACCTTTCACAGATAAAAACATTCTGGGCTCAGGGAAGCAAAACAATTTGACAAAAATCCGAGAAGAAGGAATGAACAATTGAGCTGAATTTAAAACCGGCCTTCTACTTCCAAATTCCATACATGCATAAACTACTAATCAGAAAATACATGTGAAGGGGAAGAACTGAAGGAGAGAGGAGGAAGGAAGAACCCTGGCGGCTATCAGAGGCAGTTCATGGGTAGGCAGTGAGACCCACCAACACAGAGCTCAATTCACCCGGACCCTTAGCCTCTGCCAGCTCCTCGGCCCATGGAATCCTTCTCCAGCCCTGGTTTTTGAACCTACCAAGGGCCACACACAGTGGGGGCTAGTTTAGAGCCACAAAGACACTGTTGGCCAGCAAGTATGTTCAGTGGCTCAGGCCTGTAATTCTAGCACCTTGGGAGGCCAAGGCGGGAGGATTGCTTGAGCCCACAAATTCGTGACCAGCCTGAGCAACATAGTGAGACCCCAACTCTTAAAAAAAAGAAAGAGAGAGAGAAAAGAAAACCCTCTGAGTAATATCTCACAGAAGCCAAACCGCCAAACCCTGCTGTCATCCGAGCGTGATGTCCCCTCCAGCTACTTCGATTAACACCAGCTGCACATCTCTGGTGACTGCTTCCAAGAAGTGGGCTCTGAGAGAGAAAGGTCAGGAAACCAGAGCAAACCTGGACTCTACATAATCAGAGTTTTCTTCTCACACAGAATAAATCTAAACTAAATTCATTCTTCAAGGAATTATCAAGCCAATCCTTTTCTTACCCCTAAATCAAGTTCAGAGATGTGGGATTATCAGAAGTTCTTCTACGGAGTTTGCAAACCAACGGGTGCTGCATATGGAGCATTTATTAACTAATAAAACAAAAAGAGAAATTGTGTATTAATTAAAAGCAATTAAGAGTTAAGTCTTAGCAATGCAGCTGACTATTAGGTATCCAGCTAAGGTACAGTTGTTTACGTTGCTCCATTTGAATCAAGTGTACATCAATACTTTTTGCATACTCCTCAGACAGGTCACATTGATCTCACAATACCATATCTTCATCATGGTCATAACCATCCTTATCATCAATGGAGCCCACACATCCACCCCTGGACTTTAGGCATACTCCCTGCATTTCATGGAGGAGACCCTTGATACTTTTCCCAGGGCACAGTGACCATCACTGCTGAGGTGGAGCCCAGATCTGTCTGCCTGCAAAACCCACACCCTTCAAAATTGTCCCTGTGAAAGTCCTACACTCTGCACTTAGCCCACTCATGGCAAAGCACAAAGTGGTCTTTGTGCAGGTACTTGCAAAGCACCGATAATCACCCTAGCCCTCACTCCACTGAAAATATTTCTCCTACCAGGTTGTGATTTCACATGAAATTTTGAAGAGGTTGACTTAAAAGTCACTCTTTTTTGGGAGAAAACCACATTAAAACATTGTTATCTTTTAATCACCATTTATTCTAAGGAGCCGGGTTACTGTCAGTCCACTCAGAGAGCCCTAACTCATGAGGCAGGGGGACATGTGTGTGGTTTCAGGAAGAATGACCCCCCAAATAAGCAGTCATTGTCCCAGTGAGCCATGCTTCTTTGGGTTGGTGTTCAGGTGATACTCTGAATCTGGGCTGGACCTGCAAAATGTAATAAATAGGGACATGGGCCCCCATGATCCCAGGCCAATTCTGGGCCTTACAAGGCATGGCAGCTTCTACTTTCTCTCTTGAAGTGGTTGCTGTGGGGAGTTGCAGTGACTTCAATGATATTGCCTACAAAGATATGTCTGTGTCCTAAGCCCTAGGACCTGTGGATGTGACTTTATTTGGAAAGAAAGGTCTTTGCATACCTTATTCAGTTAAAGATCTTGAGATCATCCAGGATTATCCAGGTGGGCTCTTAATCCAATAACAATGTCCTTATGTTTCAAAAGGTCAGTGGGCCCAGTGGCTTGCGCCTGTAATCCCATCACTTTGGGAGGCTGAGGCAGGAGGATTGCTTGAGCTCAGCAATTTGAAACCAGCCTGGGCAACATAGTGAGACCCCAGCGCTACTAAAATTAAAAAAATTAGCTTGGCATGGTAACATGCACCTGTAGTCCCGGCTACTTGGGGGGCTGAGGCGGGAGGGCCGCTTGAGCCCCGGAAGTCAAGGCTGCAGTGAACCCTGATCATGCCACTGCACTCTAGCCTGGATGACAGCGCGAGAGATTTGAGACACAGAGGAGGAGAGGGCCATGCAGAGGCAGTGGCAGAGATTGGAGTGATGCTGCCACAAGTCAAGGAACACCTGGAGCCACCAGAAGCTGGAAGATGTTTCTCCAGGGTTCTCCCCTAGAGTCGTTGGAGGGAGCACAACCCTGCGGACCCCTGGATTCCAACTTCTGGACTACAGAAATGTCAGAAAGTAAATTCCTCTTAAGCCACCCCAGTTTGTGTTAATCTTTTACACCAACCCCAGGAAATGAATACAAGCATGCAGAGAGTACACATAAGAAGTACATCTGTCCCATTTGTAGTGGAAAGACCCTGAGACTAGATAATGAGGGCAAGCCCCCCAGCATTGCCCCCATAGGAACCAAGCCTCCATGACTCCAGCCCCAGTCACTGGGTGACTACAAGCCTATGAGAGGCCACAAGCAAGACCAGCAGAAGAACTGCCCAGCTGAGCTCATGGAAACCTAGGCAATAAGAAGGTGGATGTTGCTTTAAGTCACCAAGTTTGGGAAGATGCTTTGCATAGCCATCCATCACTGAAAAGTAGACTAGGTGGCAGGTCAGGCGAATTGAGGTCAGATGTCAGAGGACCCTGAGCCCTGAAAATAAAGTACCGCAATGGAATAAAGAACATCATTGGGGAACAAGGTGTGGAAAACAACATTGTCCATGTCACAATTTTGATCTGGACTGTGAAACAGAAATAAGTCAGTCCCCAGCATTCAAAACATCGAGTCCTCCACCAGAGAAAGCACAGAAATGGTGTCTGGCAAGGCTGGGAATAGAAGAGCTAAGAGTAACTTCAGTGCCAAGGGATAAAAATGGTCCAAGTGGAAAATGAATATACAGTGATACCATGTGTGTTAGTTTCCTCTTGTCACAATAACAAATGACCACAAACTTAGTGGCTGAAAACAGCACAAAGTTATTAGCTTACAATTGTGGAGGTCACCAGTGTGATAGGAATCCACTGGAACAAAAATTAAGGTGTTAGTGGGGCTGGTTCCTTCTGCAGGCTCTAAAGATTCTCCATTTCCTTGCTTTTTCTGGCTTCTATGGCTTCTAGATGCCACCTACATTCCTTGGCTTGTGGCCTCTCCTTCTGTCTTCATAATGCATCACTCCAACCTCTTGTTTTGTCCTTACACATTCCCTCTCTAACTTTAATACACCTCTCTCTCTCATCAGGCTGCTCATGATTACATCAAACCCTCTCAGATAATCCACAATAATCTCCTCATTCTTAAGATCCTTGACATAATCCTATGGGCAAAGTCCTTCCTGTGATGTAAGGCATGTATTCACAGGTTCCAGCAGAAGACCAGAGGAAGAGCTCGCCAGCTGAGCTCACAGAAACATAGCCAGTAGGGGGATTCAAGTGTGGACATCTTTAGGGGGCCATTATTCAATCAGCCACATCATTTTGTATTTAGTGATCATTTGCTATGCATTAGGCACTGAGCTACTTCTTTTTTTAATTTTGTAATTTTATTAAAAATTTTACTAAACATGAGAAGTTTGCCTCAGATAGTGTGTAACTTTTCACTGGAAAAAATCCACAATTCGTCTCTTTCTCCAGTGTCTGTGCCACTGTTTGGAGTCTTCTCCCTTCAGGGACCTTCCCTACGCAAGCCTTGTGCAGGCCCAACCCTGTTGGCTTTGGTTCTTCCTGGACCGCCCACTGAAGCTGAAACTCCCTTCCTTACCCCCCAGAGCATTGAGCTCTGTGTAAAATGCATCAATGGCAATAGAGACTTCTACAGCTACAAAATCTATCTGCCAAGGTGATTATTTTAAAAAATGGAGAAACTATGGAAAATATATTTTATTTCTTTGTTTGATGTCTAACATTCTATATGAGTTTTTAAAATTGCATTTATTGTAGTAAGAATACTCAATATGAGATATATCATCTTAACAAAATTTTAAGTGTATAATGCATCACTGTTGGCTATAGGTACAATGTTGTACGGCAAATCTCTAGAGCAAATTTATCTTCCTTGACTCAAACTCTATGTCCATTGATTTGTAACTCTCTGTTTTCTCTCTGCCTGACTCCTGGCCACCACCATTCCACTTTTTGATTCTATTAATTTGACTATTGTAGATATCTCATATAAGTGGAATCATGCCCTTTTGTGACTGGCTTATTCACTTCATGTAATGTCTTCAAGGCTCATCCATGTTGTCACATATTGCAGAGTTTCCTTCTTTAAGGCTGCATAGTATTCTGTCATATGTATAGACCGTTTTTCTTTATATATTAATCTGTAGATAGACATTTAAATGGCCTCCATATCTTGGCTACTGTGAATAGTGTTGCAATGAATATGGGAGTGCCAATATCTCTTCAAGATCCTGATTTTAATTATTTTGGATAAATACCCAAAAATGGGTTTGTTGGATCCTATGGTTGTTCTATTTTTAACTGTCTTAGAAAACTCTATACCAAGCTTGTCCAGCCCAGAACCCAGGATGGCTTTGAATGAGGCTCAACACAAATTCGTAAACTTTCTTAAAACATTATGAGATTTTTTTGGCGATTTTTCTTTGTAGCTCATCAGCTATCATTAATGGTAGCATATTTTATGTGTGGCTCAAGACTATTCTTCTTGAAATGTGGCCCAGGGAAGCCAGAAGCTTGGACACCCCTGCTCTATACTGTTTTCCAAATCAGCTACATCACTTTACATTCCCACCAACAGTGCATGAGGCTTTCAATGTCTCCACATCTTTGTCTGTACTGGTTGCCACTGGTTTTTTGATAATAGTTATCCTGACAGGTATGAAGGAATATCTTGTTGTGGTTTTGATTTGCATTTTCCTGATATTTAGTGAAGATGAGCACTTTTTTTATACCTGTTGGACATTTGTATGTGTTTTTTGGAGAAATGTCTATTCAAGTCCTTAGCTCATTTTTTAATGGGGTTATTAGGGGTGTTTTTTTGCTAATAAGTTGCAAGAGTTTGTCATTTTGGAGATTAAACTCTTATCTGATATATGATTTGCAAATATTTTCTCCTATTACACAGGTTGCCTATTTATTCTATTGACTGTTTCGTTTGATACGCAGAAGTTTTAGTTTGGTTTAGTCCTGTATGTCTATTTTTGTTTCTCTTGCCTGTGCCTTGATGTCATATCCATTGAATCAAAATGAGCTATTTTCTAGCTTACTTCATCCTCACAACAGCTCTATGAAAGGAGTATTACCATTTTCCCTACTTTAAGGGAGAAACTGACATTCAGCAAAGTGAGAATCCACCCACTCTACACAGCATGTAAGAGGCTTTCTCCCTCTAAGAGAAAAAAATACAAAAGAAAAAGTCTTCCTGGAAGAATATTAATACTGAATTATCTGTATTTGGATTAAACAAAAACACAATGATAATTGCATATGATTACATCTCAGGCAAAAGTCCTTGGGCAGACATTGCCATAACAGGCAGAAAAGGAATGACACATTAAAATGCTGGAGAGTAGGGTTTTACACAGAGGCATTATTTTTGTCTACTTGTATTTAATAGAAATCATATAAAATTATATTTCCTTCTCTGTAAAAGCATTTAATTAGTTCCTACCAGTTTCCCAGCTTTGCAAGATACTTCAAGTGAGATTAAAATATCATATGAGATTAAAATATCATATAAGACACAGTCCCTGCCCCAAATATGGAGCACGTGCCTGTGCCCAGAAGCCACTGAAAGGTATGAGCTGCCTGGAGTTGGAAGGTATTCCGGAGAAAATGTAGTACATGGTTTGGATTCTAAAGTGGCTATATTGTAGATAAGAGGAATCTAAGGTAAATCAGGAATGGAGAGTGTTTTCTAAGTGAGAATACAGTCATGATCAAAATCATAGAAGACAAAATAATCCAGTGTGCTTTGGGAAGAGCAGTAAGATCAACCTGGCCACCCCAAGCACAAAATTGTGAAGTTAATGAGTGGGCCCCTCCTTGTGGGAAGCCTTGAGTGGCATCAGATTAGGAATGGAATGTGAGAAGAGCAGAGGTCTATGGGGCACAATGTAAAGGGAAAACTGATGGAAAAGAAAGGAAAATCAATAAGCAAAAAACGATTTGGAAACCAATGCTTTATGAAGATGACGTATTTTAAAGAAAGGCATAGTGGCTTTATAATGGCTCCACTAGGCCAGTCAAATCTGCATCTCCCCAAACCCTCTTTCTTGTATGTTTCTGGCTTGAATGGACCACAAAGAAGATTTTTAAGTGGGTTTGGAGGGTGCAAGGAAGAAACCGACATTTTGTAGCTCATACACTGTTGCTGATCTGCTGACTTGCCTCCTTTGTGTGAAGCAGCAACTGGGCCAGCAACCGCTCCACCTTCCCCTAGAGTATCCCTCAGCTTCTCTAATTCCTGGGTCAAGTTCATGCATTTAGCTTCATAACAAAGGGTCTCAGTTTCTGGGGGACAATGACACCATCAAATTCAGAGGCACTAAGAAGTGACACGTCTCCTTTAATCCTACTGGATCTTGCTGTTCTGCCCTTTACACCCATTTTTTCTTTCTGCCTGCCTGCCTTGTGGGCTTGAAACTCCAGTATCAGATGTGAAGATAACAGCACAACAGCTTTACAGAAATTCTTTAATCAGCTGCCACAATTATATAAACCAAATTCCTATAAATTATATGATGTATGTGTGTGCGTGTGTGTGTGTGTGTGTTCCAGTTCTAGGGGTCTAATTTCCTGGTTTAACCCTCACTAACAGAGAAGGGCAATGAGATATGATATTAAAGATTTATAATAATAAAAATGATTAAATAATAGAAAAACAATAACTGATATTTATTATTTCCTATTTTTCCAGTGGTATGCAAAGTATTTTACAAAATTACATTAATCCTTACAATAACCCTAGGTAGCTACTCCTGTCTCCAGTTTTCAGCAGGGGAACATTTTAATAGCTCACAAATCCAGAATCCTGCAACACTTTTGATTCAAAGCCATATCTGTCTAACTCTGGGTGATTGGCCATTAACATTCTGTCTCTATCATGGTGAGAAGGAGGAGTGAAGGCACTCCCTCATTGAAATTCTGGGGATGGAAGCATCTTGGTGCCTTGAGCAGAAACAGGACACATTAGAAAAGGGACTAGTTAAGCATTAGGTGGAGAGTAGGGAAAGGAAGGATGGAGGTGAAGATAATTTGAGACATATTGAAGATGAGATGATGAGAGATTGTTAAGAATTAGATACTTATATTCAGGTTAGAAATTACATATTTCTTTCGTTTCACAAAGAATGTTCGGTGGGTTTTAGGCTTGTACGTAAGTACGTAGTCCTATGAACAATCTGCCTGCAAATGGAAAACTGCCATCATTTTAAGTCTGTAACTTAGGTGGAAAGAAATATTTCACTTCTCTGATGGGAAAGAAAAAAAAAACTTCCTGAAGCAGTTAAGATCTCAAAATGGCTGGTGGGAGAACAGACCCAGCACTAGAGGAAGACTTTATGGCTGGGGGAGAAAGCATTTCCAGGGGCAGAGAAGGACAAGAGGCAGTGCATCCAGTCTGTAAACTCTGGGTAACCTGGAAGAAACCAGAAACCAGACAGGATCTGGGAGCTGGAAGCTGCGTGATGGCCAGGTGATACGGCTTATAAAGACAGGGGCCAGAGGCCACACCATGGGAAATGAAATGGGCTAGTGGCAGGTCAAGGAGCAGGAGTAGTAGTAAAAGTTGAGTGATTTCTTGTGTGATTAAGGGTTTATTTGGTGTTATCTGGAGTTAGAGGGAAATATGATAGGGGAGCCCAGTTTCTAGTCCTTTACCCATGCCTACCCAGGTTTATAGAATAAAGCAGCTCAAAACAGGTTGTATATGGAGATTATTATTTTAACCTCTTGACCTACCCCCTCCAAAAAATAAAGTCCTCCATTTACGTTCACTATCTGAAACATATGGCAATTTTGAGAACCGTGTTTTTGAAATCTTCTCACAGAGAGGTATCAATAACGAATTGCTGTCATTGCCTGGATACAAGCAAAACAGTCACTTATCACTGAAATGTTCTCAGATAAAATTGCGTATTTTTACAAAGTCACCTTAGGAGTCCTAAGACTTAAAAATTCTTTTTGCACTCTGATTATCCTTTTTCCATAAGCAGTCATTTATTTCTAATAATCTCTCTCTCTTTCTCTCTCTCTCACACACACACACACACACTCCAGAATCAACACATTTTTCTCCTGTGTAGAACATGTTTTGATTTGCAATTTCATTAACATGAGAAATATACTTGGTTTTAAAAATAGATAAATGTGGGAAAATAATTTCATAATGGAGGTAATTTTAGCCACTTATTTGTACTGCAATAAGTTTACCTATAATTCTTCCCCCAATGAAATTGAGTATAGTTATAATTTTTCAGTAAAATGGCAATTTTTCTATGTCCTCAGATTTTCAAAAAACGTAATAAGAATAAAAAGTCTCAATTCTGATCCTTGAAATCTTTAACTGTACAGTTTCTTAGATCATTAAATACATTTAAAATAATGCATTTTGGGGTTTTAATGTTCATGCTAGTCTTACTATATAGTCACAATTTTTTTAACATCGAAACTATTCATAAACTTATAAGTTTATTTTTTGCAAAATAATTTATATATATACAAATAATTATAGGGGATTTGGGGGATCTTTCCCTCATTATCTTCCAAAATCAAGATTTGAAACTTAAGTTTCACAGATCTCAAAAATCTATGAACCAACACATTTTTGTGTTCAAAACAACATCAACAAAAACTTGAGTAGAGAAACCTAAGATACTAACGCAATTCACAACGGAATAGAACAAAGTATCCTTTACTTCCGTGCATTCAATGGATGGCCTCAAGGCTGAGAAAAGAAAACAAAATTGATACTTGAAAAAAAAAATTCTGAGTGTTTCTAATGCATTTAGGAGCAGGTGTCGAGGTGGCCAAACGGAACTTTAGGGTCACTGGGAAGGAATGTCAGAGCTGAGTTATTAAGTTTAAGCAGAAAATATGGCCTGAAAGTTTAGCTTCGAACGAATTAAGGATGTGCCCAGGAATGAGTGAAATATTTTCTCTGCGAGTCACAGGGTTAGCAGGTTGGGATCCAGCATCTGGGGCTTATTACATGTGCTTTAGGTGACAGGTGGCTTTAGGAAATGGAGCCCTCATAGAGCTTTTAAAATATTTTCCTGGGAAGGGTAAATAATTCTGTGCCTTGCTCGTTTCCCTTCTGCAGGCTGTTTGAAATACAAAAACACATCTTAAGCCACATCAAAGTTGTTTCAAGTGCAGACAAAGGCAAACATCCTCAACTCTGACACATGGCTACATCGGTTTCACTTCCAGCATTTTGAAATCTGTTCTGTGCAAAACGGGTAGAGATCAGTTACCAAACCCTATTGTTACATTTATAAAACTAATATTTATCGGTCATCTTTTTAATGCTTGATTTTCATGAGCCTGAAAACGTTTATTGCCCAATTATTTCCTAGGGGTAGCCACAAATGTTGAGCCAGAGAAAATAACCTCAGCTTTGGCACCAAAAATCATGTGATGAGGAATCATTTCAACTTTTACAAATAAAAGAAATACTTTCTTGAGTGCCTGCCAATGGTCATGTTGCTGAGATCAAAGACGATGGATGATTTATTCATAAATATTTCCCTTGCCTTTATTTTGATTCTTTAGCTGGTTTTGTTGTTGCCATTTTTGTTTGTTTGTTCAATTTTTTGGTTCTTCTTGCATTTTAGTGCATGTTTTGTATGATGTCATGAACCACCTAGAAGCCCAAATTTGCCCTGTGGGATACATCTCAATCAAAGAGAAATCGCATTAAGAAGCATCATCGTTTCTTGATGATTAGCCAACTTTTGTCTCCCGCATTTCATGTAAAAGAATGTGTGAAAAGAGCAGGGGAAGTTGTTTTTCTTCTGCAATTCTGGAATATGATCGCACTTAGTGTCCTGGAGTCACACCAAGTAAGTCTGTTGCACTTAACAATTACTCGCTGATTTTTTTTTTGTCGTGTCTGAACATCTCCAATGCATTCTAAATTACAAGACTTTTTACATTGGGATCTTGACAAAACAATATGAATTTGATTTGTTTTGCACTCCATGAAGTTATTTTCCATTTTTGTAAGAACTGCATGAGTTTTAATCATGTCTATATGAGGAGCTTCATGATTGAGTGGATTCATTTACAGATTTTGTGTAATACATGCCTGCGCCATTTTTTGAAATTGTGATTCTTAAGGACAGGTTTTCTTCATTTTAGTGCACTGTCATTTGCATGCAGTTCTAGAACATGAAGTTAGTACGTTAATAAATATCAGTGAGAGTCAGAGATGCTGAAACATCTTGGAGGTTGACTAAACCAGAAATTTTCAAACTCAGGACCTCCTGCCTTAAAATCACCTGGGACAGTTTTAGAGTGTAGATTGCTGAGCCTTTCAATCAGACAGTATAACTTAGTAATTCTTGGTTGGTTTGGTTCCAGGAAATCTCAATTTTTTTAATTGTCTGGATGATTTTTATTTGTAGCCTTCTTTGTGTCGTTGATTTAAACGCATCTTTGCCTAATACAAGGATTGATTTCATCTAATTGTCACAAAATAAAACCTTCAATGTATCCACAATGTAGATTATGTAAATCTTAAAGGTATTTAAGAAATTATTGCATTAATTCCCCTTATTTTGCACTCAGAAAAAAATTAAGTAAATTTTTCAAAGTCATGGAGCTGGTTAGCACCAAAATCTAGAGCACAATTTTGATCTCCTGACTGAAAATTCCAGACTCTCCACCATCACTTCTTCAATGTTTCCTATTTAAAATCAGCCCAGAGCCCCCAGAATTCCTATACAGTCATGCACTGTAGAATGAAATTTAGATGAGGGTCCCATAAGATTACCATACTGTATTTTTACTGTACCTTTTCTATGTGTAGATACATGAAACAGACAATTGTGTTACAGTTGCCTGCAGTGTTCAATACTCGCTGTACAGGTTTGTAATCTAGGAGCAACAGATCATACCTTATAGCCTAGGTCTGTAGTAGGCTATACCATCTAGGTTTGTGTAAGTACACTCTATGATGCTCATCTAACAGTGAAGTCACCTAATGGTATATTTCTCAGAAGGTATCTGTGTCAGTCTGTTCTTGTGTTGCTATACAAAAGAAATACCTGGGGCAGGGTAATTTATAAAGAAAAGAGGTTTAATTAACTCATGGTTCAGCAGGCTGTACACAAAGCATGGCACAGACAACTGCATCTGGTGAGGGCCTCAGGAAGCTTACAATCATGGTGGAAGTCAATGAGGGAGCCAGCCTATCACATGTTAAGTGAGGGAATGGGGAGGTCCTACATTCTCTTTAACAACTAGATCTCACATGAAATAACTGAGCAAGAATTCACTCATCACCAAGGAGATGGTGCTAACCCATTCAAGAGAGATCTGCTCCCATGATCCAATACCTCCCATTAGGCCCAATCTCCAACATTGGAAGTCACATTTCAACATGAGATTTGGAGGGGACGAACATCCAAACCTTATCAGTGTCCTCTTTGTTAAGCCAGATATGACTATAATTGATAGTGTCTTCTAAGGGCCCATGGACAAGATCCGTTACTACCTGTAAACTCATGCCTTCTCCGAAATAATTTGTTTTTTAAATTATTACCCTGTGATTTCAGTGAATCTATTGTCACATACTCAGAAACTTAGATTATCACTGAGACTAGATAAACATAAAACATTATGTGTTGGTATGGAGGTTTATTAAATTCAAAAACACCATGTAACAAAATATGCTACAGCTGAACACATATTTAAATAAATGTTAAATAATGCTCCTTACAATTACTTGATCACCAATGGAAATCCCTATATTCATATAAACTAAGAAAAAATAAATAACATAGCTGAAGAAATGTTTATCAAATTAGAAAGTTCAGAGAATTCCATAGCAATGTAAAAGAACCCAAGGGAGAGGTTTATCCTTTATGAAAAACAGAGTTTATAATTTATGTCTTTCCCACTTGTCTCTTTTTTTTCTTCTCTGCTGTCCTAGTTTTCAGCAGCATTCATTAAGCAAAACACATTTGCATTGAGGTTACCTTGAATATTTCTATTCTCCACTAACAAACCACATCTCTTCTCACATAAATCCAGGTAGACTTCAGAGTAATTTTTTTAATACTTTTCAAAATAGACTTTATTTTTAGAGCAGTTTTAGTAACTCACAGCAAAATTGAGAGAAAGGAACAGAGCTTTCCCATAAAGCCCCTATTCCTATACATGCACAGCCTCTCCCCCTCCAGTATCAATTCCTTGCACCAGAGTGATACATTTGTTACAATTAATCAACCTACACTGACACATCATTACCACATAAAGTGCATAGTTTACATCAGAGTTCACTCTTGATTTTGTATGTTCTGTGGGTTTTGACAAACATATAATAATATGTATCCACCACTACGGTGTCATACAGAATAATTTCACAGCCCTAAAAATCCTCTGTTCTCTGCCTATTCATCTCTTTCTCTAACCCTGGCCAACCACTGATCTTTCTACTGTCTCCATAGTTTTGCCTTTTCCAGAATGTCATAGAGTTGGATCAAACAGTATGTAGCCTCTCCATATTGGCTTCTTTCACTTAGTAATAAGATAAGTACTCATTTAAGTCTCCTTTTCAAGATTTGATAGCTCATTTCTTTTCACAGCTGACCAATATGCCATTGTCTGGATGTACCACAGTTCATTTATCCATTCACTTACCGGAGGACATCTTGGTTGCTTCCAAGATGTTGGATGCATTTGCCAGTTATTAATAAAGCTGCAATAAACAACCTTGTGCATTTTTTTTGTGGATACAATTTTCAACTCCTTTGGGTAAATACCAAGAAGCATAATTGCTGGATCACATCATAAAAGTATATTTAGTTTGATAAGAAAGTGTCAAATATTCTTCCAAAGCAGCTGTACCATTTTGCATTCCCACTAGCTATGAATAAGAGCTCCTGTTGCCTTCCATTTTGCTGTCAATGAGGGTTGTCAGTGTTTCGGGTTTTGGCCATACTAACAGGCCTTCAGCAGTATCTCACTTGTTTTAATTAGCATTTCCTTAATGACATATAATGCAGAGCATCTTTTCATATGCTAATATTTCTCATTTGCATATCTCTTTGATGAGAGGTCTGTTCAGGTCTTTGGCCCATTTTTAAAATCAGGTTGTTCTTTTTTATT
The DNA here is from genome assembly GCF_000001405.40 of Homo sapiens. NCBI lineage: Eukaryota > Metazoa > Chordata > Mammalia > Primates > Hominidae > Homo > Homo sapiens. Next base: position 97,821,674 of record NC_000015.10, read on the forward strand.
GTTGAGTTTTGGTTAAGAATCCTTCATCAGTTATGTCTTTTGCAAATATTTTCTGTCTGTGGCTTGTCTTTTCATTCTCTTGATTGTGTCTCTCAGGGCAGAAATTTTTTATTTTAATTAAATATTGCTTACCAATTCTTTCTTTAGAAGATTATGTCTTTGGTGTTGTATCTAAAAAGCCTTTGCCCAAACCTACGTCATCTAAGTTTTTTTCAGTGTAATCTTGTAGGAGTTTTATAGTTTTGCATTTTACATATAGATCTATGATCTATTTTGAGTTCATTTTTTGTGACAAATGTAAGGTCTATATCTAGATTCTTTTTTTTTCAAATATGGATATTCAGTTGTTCTAGCACCATTTGTTGAAAAGATTACCTATTCCACATTGTATTACCTTTATTCCTTAGTCAAAGATCAGTTGACTATACTTAGATTATCTATTTCTGGACTGTCTATCCTGTTCCTTTGACTTATTTGTCTGTTCTTTCACTAATATCACATTATATTAATTACTGTGGCTTTATAGTAAGTCTTGAAGTAAGTTAACATCAATCCTCCAAATTTATTATTCTTCTTCCACGTTGTATTTGACTATTCTGAGCCTTTGCCATTTCAGAAAAACTTTAGGATCAGTTTGTTAACATCTACAAAGAAACTTGCTTGGATTTTGACTAGGATTTTATCGAACCTATAGACACGATGTCTTGACACTATTGAGTCTTAATATACACAAACATGAAATATCTTCCCATTTATCTAGTTTTTTTTATTTCTTTCATTAGAGTTTTGTAGTTTTCCTCATAACAATTTTGCACATATTTTGTTTGATTTACAGCTATTTAATTTGGGGAGGTGCCAATGTAAATTGTGTTATGTTTTAAATTTCAAATTTCATGTGTTCATTTATAGTATGTAGGAAAGAGATTGATGTTTCTGTGTTTACTTCATATCCTGCAAAATTGCTATAATCTTTTCTTAGTTCTAAGAATTATTTTGTCAATTCTTTCAGTTTCCCACATAGACAATCATATCACCTATGAACAGTTTTACTTCTTCTTTCCCTATGAGTATACTTTTTATTTTATTGTCTTATTGTACTATCTAAGGCTTCCAGTATGGTGTTTAAAAGGAGTGGTAAGACATCCCTGCTTTGTTCCTAATCTTCATGAGATAGTTTCTCATTTCTTATCATTAACTATGTTGTTAGCTATAGGTTTTTTCTAGACATTTTTGTCAAGTTAAGGAAGTTCTCCTTTATTCTTGTTTACTGAGTTTCTATTATGAATGGCTGTTAGATTTTGCCAAATGCTTTTTCTGTATCTACTAATATGATCATGTAATTTTTTTTTCTTTAACCTGTTGATGAAATTAAAGACATTAATTTTTGAATGTTGAACCAGCCCTGCATATCTGGGATAAATCTCATTTGATCATCATGTATAATTATTTTTATATATTTTAAAATCTGATTTGCCAATATTTTTTGAGGATTTTTACATGCATGTTTATGAAAGATACTGGTCTATAATTTTCTTTTCTTGTAATATCTTTGGTTTTGGTGTTAGGTCAATGCTGTCCTCATAGAATGAATCAGGAAGTAGCTCCTTTGCTTTTATCATATAAAAGAGACCGTAGAGAATTGGTATAATTTCTTTCTTAAATAAAATTCACCAGTGAACCCGTTGGGACCTGGTACTTTCTGTTTTAGAAGATTGTTATTTCTTCGACTTCATTATCAGTTATAAGCTGATTCATATGGTTTATTTCTTCTTGCATGAGTTTTGGCAGATTGTGTTTCTCAAGGGTTTGGTCCATTTCATCTAAGTTACCAAATTTCTGAACATAGAGATGATATCACAACTTGATGTTTAGGTTCTTTTAATGTCCATGAGATCTTTATTGATATCTTCTATTTCATTTCTGGTATTAGTAATTTGTTGTCTTCTCTACTTTTTCTTAGTTAGCCTGGTTAGAGGTTTATTGATTTTATTGATCCTTTCAAAGAATAAGCTTTTGACTTTGTTGATTTTCTCTAGCAATTTTTGGTTTTCAATTTACATTGATTTCTGCTTTAATTTTTATTATTTTTTTCTGCTTACTTTGGCTTTAATTTTTCTTCTAGTTTCTAAGGTAGAAGCTTAGATTTTCAATTTTAGATATTTCTTACTTTTCAATGCCATAAATTTTATTGTAAGCGCTGCTTTCACTGCATCTCAAAATTTTGATAACTTGTGCTTTCATTTTTAATTGGATAAAATATGTTTTAATTTCTCATATGATTTCTTCTTTGACTCATGTGTTATTAATCAGGACAGCCATTATGGAAAACAGTTTGGAGGTTCTTTAAAAATTAAAGATAGAACTAACATATAATCTAACAATCCCACTTCTGGGTATATATTCAAAGGAAATGAAATCAGTATGTTGAAAAGATATCTGCACTCTTCACGTTCACTGCAGCATTATTTACAATAGCCAAGATATGGAACCAACCTAAGTGTGTAATGATAGATGAATAGATAAAGAAAACATGGTACATACACACAAAAAAAATCAGTCCTAAACAAATCCTGTCATTTGCAACAATATGTATGAACCTGATGGGCTTATATTAAGTGAAATAAAATGGACAAAGAAAAACAAATACTGCATAATCTTACTTATATACGGAATCTTAAAGAGTTGCACTCATAGAAGCAGAAAATAGAATGATAGTTACCAGGGTCTGGGGGAAGGGGAAGGAATGCAGATGTTGGTCAAAGGATACAAAGTTTTAGTTATGCAGGATGAATAAGTTTAAGTTCTGCAGATCTATTCTACAGCATGGTGATGATAGTTAATAATAACGTATTGTATGCTTGCAAATTGCTAAGTGAATAGATCTTAAATGTTCTTACCACAAAAATAATAAACATGTAAGGTTTTGAATATGTCATTTAATTTAATAATTTACAATGCATATGGATATCAAAATATCATGTTGTACACCTTAACTATACACAATTTCTTTTTTTTTTTTTTTTTTTTGAGACGGAGTCTCCCTCTGTCGCCCAGGCTGGAGTGCAGTGGCGCGATCTCGGCTCACTGCAAGCTCCGCCTCCCTTGTTGATCATACCTTCATAAAGGTGGAAGAGAAATAGAAGTGGATTGTTTAATCTTCATATATTTTGGGATTGCCATCTATCTTTGTTATTATCTCTAATTCTAGTTTGGTAAGAGAAAATACTTTGTATGATTTCTAATCTTTCAGCTTTTTAAAAGTGTGCTTTTTAGCCCAGAGTGTAATCTATATTAGAAAACATGGGAAAACTTAAGAAGACTGTGTATACCGCTGTTGTTGGATGAAGAAGTTGATAGATGTCAATTATATTCAGTTAATCAGTGACATTATTTAGTTCAACCATGTTCTTATTTATTTTCTGTCTGCTGGATCTGTTCATTTCTAATAAAGGAGAGTTGAAATTTCCAATAATAATAGATTCATCTACTTCTCCTTCTATTTCTACCAGCTTTTCCCTCACGTATCTTAATGCTCTGTTGTTAAGCACATACACACTGAAGGCTGTTATTTCTTCTGGGAGAACTGACCCCTTTATCATTATGTAATGCCTGAAGTTATCCCTGATAACTTCTTTGCCTTGAGTATTCTCTGTCTCAAATTAATATAGCTGTATCTCCTTTCTTTTGATTAGCGTTATCATGGTATATATTCTCCATCCCTTTACTTTTAATCTATATGTGTCTTGATATTTAATTGGATTCCCTGCAGATAACATGTAGTTGACACTTTTGTTATCTACTCTGAAGATCTCTGTCTCTTAATAAAGTAGTAATTAGGATTTAAGGTGATTATTGATATACTTAGATTAATAACTACCATTTTTGTTACTGTCTTCTATTTATTGCCCTTCCCTTTGTTTCTATTTTTGTTTCCATTCTTCTTTTTTGTTGTTGACTTCAAATGGGTATTTTATATGATTCAATTTTCTCTCATTTCTTAACATATCAGTTATACTTATTTTTTTCAAAACTTTTAAAAATAGTTGTCCTAGAGTTTACAGCTTGTTCAAAATAATAGCAACAATATATTCAATTATGTATACTTTTGTATACACATAAGTTTAGATATGCTTATACATAAGAAATATTACAACCAATCCAAGCCCACCTTCAAATAATACTACACTGCTTCACAGAGAATAGAAGGACCTTATAATAACAAAGTAATCCTAAATTTTTCTCCTGTACTTTGTATCACTGCTGTCATTCATTTCTTATGCATAGGCATATCTAAGCTTATATGTATACATAAGTATACATAATTGAATATATTGTTGCTATTATTATTTTGAACAAGCTATTGTATGCTATATCAATTAAGAATAAGAAAAATAAAAGTTTATATCGTACTTTCACTTATGCCTTCTCTAACGCTCTTCCTTTCCTTACGTAGATCTTAATTCCTGACCTATATTATTTTCCTTCTCTCTAAGGAACTTCTTTTAACATTTCTTGTAAGGTAGTCTTTCAACAAAAAATAAAATAAAATAAAATAAAGTAAAATAAAATAAAATAAAATAAATCCCCAATTTCTATTTGTTTAAGAAAGTTTTTATTTATCCTATATTTTTGAAGAATAATTCTGCTTAGTAGAGAATTCTAGGTTGGTGGAGGTTTTTCCCCAACATTTAAATATTTCACCTCACTCTTTTCTTTCTTTCATAGTCTCTGAGGAGAAGTCAGATGTTATTCTTATCTTTTCTTCTCTAAAGGCAAGCTGTTTCTGCACACACACACACACGCACACCCCACCACCCACTCTGGCTTCTTTCAGGATTTTTTCTTTATCTTTGCTTTTCTATAGTTTGAAAATTATATGCTTACATGTTGTATTTTGGCATTTATCCTGCTTGGTGTTTTCTGAGCTTACTTGATCTGTGGTCTAGTGTCTAACATTAATTTGGGGAAACTCTCAGTCATTATTGCTTCAAATAATTCTTCTGTTCCTTTCTCTAGTTGTTCTCCCTCTAGTATTTTCATTATACACATGTTATACCTTTTGTAGTTATCCCACAATTCTTGGATATTCTGCTCTGTTTTTTTTTTCTTTCAACCTTTTCTGTCTTTGCTCTTCATTTTGGGAGGTTTCTACTGAGATATCCTCAAGCTCAGAAATTTTTTCCCCAGCCCTGTCTGGTCTACTAATAAGCCCATCAAAGACATTCTTCATTTCTGTTATGGTTATCATGGTATATATTCTCCATTCTTTTTTTAAAAATCTCTAGCTATTCTTTTGATTTTTTTCTTAAAAGTTTCACCTTTTTGCTTACATTGCCCATCTGTTCTTGCATCCTGTCTATTTTGTCCATTAGAGTCTTTAGCATATTAATCATAGTTATTTTTGGTTTGGGTCATAATCCTGAGAGACACAACTCCAAACACCATAATCCTGAATGTTGAAATCAAAAAAATCAAAATCCCTAAAGTCTAAAATCCCAACAATCACAATCCTCAAAGATAAAAATTCTGAAAATATTTTGAAAAAATAATTTTAAAAGTATTCCAAATATATTTATTTGCATTTTAAAGAGTAGTTAAAAACATGTTGTTTTTAACATGTTTGTCACATAAAACATGACAACGGGGCCCAGTGCGGTGGCTCAGGCCTGTAATCTCAGCACTTTGGGAGGCCGAGGTGGGCAGATCACGAGGTCAGGAGATCGAGGCCATCCTGGCTAACACAGTGAAACCCCGTCTCTACCAAAAATACAAAAAAATAAGGAACGTAAAAATTAGCCGGGCATGATGGTGGGCGCCTGTAGTCCCAGCTACTTGGGAGGCTGAGACAGGAGAATGGCATGAACCCGGGAGATGGAGCTTGCAGGATCCGAGATTGCACCACTGCACTCCAGCCTGGGTGACAGAGTGAGACACTGTCTCAAAAAAAAAAAAAAAAGGTGACAACACTTCATAGCCAGCATAATAAAATAGACCAACACAATAAAATAGGCTATAACATTTAAATATTAAAATATTTAATAAAATATTAATAAAATATTAATAAAATAAAATATTTGAATGTTAAATGCATATTTTTGCAAGCATAAACACTCAGGTATACTAACAGTCACACAGGTACAACAGCTATGAGCAGACAAACTGTTTTCATAAAACAATAGCTTCTATAGCCATAGTCATCCGAAATACAATGGACAACCTAAGTCTTTTTTGTTTATTTTATTTTAAGTTCAGGGGTACACATGCAAGTTTGTAATTCTGATAAACTTGCGTCATGGGGTTTTGTTGTACAGTTTATTTCATCACTCAGGTATTAAGCCTAGCACCCATTAGTTATTTTTCCTGATCCTCTTTCTCCTCCCACCACCACCCTCAAGTAGGCTCCAGTATCTGCTGTTGCCCTCTGTGTCCATGTGTTGTCATCCTTTTACTCCTACTTATAACAACATGCAGTTTTTGGTTTCCTGTTTCTGTGTTAGTTTGCTAAGGATAAAAGCCTCCAGTTCCATTCATGTAACTGCAAAGAACACAATCTTATTCTTTTTTATGGCTGTATGGTATTCCATTGTGTATATGTACCACATTTTCTTTATCCAGTCTACCACTGATGGAAATTTAGATTGATTCCATGTCTTTGCTATTGTGAAAGTGCTGTGATAAACACATGTGTGCAAGTGTCTTTATGACAGAATGATTTCTATTCCTTTAGGTATATACCCAGTAATGGGATTGCTGGGTCAAATGCTGTTTATGTTTCTAGTTCTTTGAGGAATCACCACACTCCTTTCCACAATGGTTGTATTACAACTTCAGCAAAGTCTTAGGATACAAAATCAATGTACAAAAATCATAGCATTCCTATATACCAACAACAGTCAAACCAGGAATTAAATCCCATTCATAATTGCCACAAAAATAGGAATACAGATAACCATGGATGTGAAATATCTTTACAAGGAGAACTACAAAACACTGCTAAAAAAAATCAGAGATGACAAAAACAAACAGAAAAACAATCCATGCACCTGGATAGGAAGAATCGATATTGTTAAAATGGCCAAATGGCCATACTGTCCAAAGCAATTTATAGATTCAATGCTATTTCTATTAAACTCCCCATGACAATCTTCACAGAACTAGAAAAGCTATTTTAAAATTCATATAGAACCATAAAAAGGCCTGAACATCCAAGGCAGTCCTAAGCAAAAAGAACAAAGCTGAAGTCATCACAGTACCAGACTTCAAACTATACTTCTGGGCTACAGTCACCAAAACAGCATGGTACTAGTACAAAAGCAGACACATAGACCAATGAAACAGAATAGAGATCCCAGAAATAGGGCTGCACACCTACAACCATCTGATCTTCAACAAAGCTAACAAAAACAAGCAATGCGGAAAGGACCCTCTATTCAGTAAATGGTACTGAGATAACTGGCTAGCCATATGCAGGAGACTGAAACTGGACACCTTCCTTACACCAAACACAAGAATTAACTCAAGATGGATTGATGACTTAAATGTAAAACCCAAAACTATAAAAACCCTAGAAGACAACCTAGGCAATACCATCCTGGACATAGGAACAGGCAAAGATTTTATGATGAAGATGCCAAAAGCAAAGGCAAACAAAAGCTAAAATTGACAAATGAGATCTAATTAAACTAAAGAGCTCTGGCATAGCAAAAAAAAAAAAAAAAAAAAAAAAAAGAAAGAAAAGAAAAAAAGAAAATCAACAGAGTGAACTGACAGCCTACAGAATGGAAGAAAATACTTGTAAACTATGCACTGACAAAAGTCTAACATCCAACATTATAAGGAACTTAAATTTATGCAAAAAACAAACAACCTCATTAAAAAGTGGGCAAAGGACATAAACAGACACTTTTCAAAAGAAGATACACATGTGGCCAGCAAGCATATGAAAAAAAGCTCAACATCACTGATCATTATAGAAATGCAAATCAAAACCACAATAAGATACCATTTCACACCAATCAGAATGGCTGTTATTAAAAGGTTAAAAAATAACAGGCGTTGGAGAGGTTGCAGAGAAAAAGGAATGCTTATATGCTGTTGGTGGCAGTGTAAATTTCAACCTAGGTCTGTTGACAAGATCAATCTCCTTCAGAGAAGGAGGCAGAAGGATAAGACAATATGGACTACAATTCTGAGATGTCACCTTTTGCTCACAGTGAATCACCCTTTTCTTACAGAGATAATAAAAATTCAAAGGATATTTGAAAGGGCAAATCAGACTAGTCATTCTGTGTGGCTTTTAGACTGACATATCCCTAGTGAGGTCATGAAGCCTAATTATCACATTTTGATCTGGTAACTATGCTTTCATAGAGGACTCTACCCTCTTTCTGTCCATCATTCTCTCATGGCAAGTCCAGATTCCACACTGGGAAGCTTCAGAGCCCATGTAGATGACCAATCAATACCTTATTTTCATCACTCCTTGACCTTCTCAACTTCAATGACCATGACCCAGATTTCACAGGTCACTCCATGTCCCCAGAACTTGCCATCGCCTCAAATAAACTGTATTTCAGGCCAGGCGTGGTGGCTTATGCCTGTAATCCCAGCACTTGGGGAGGCCGAGGCGAGTGGATCAGGAGATCAGGAGATGGAGACCATCCTAGCTAACACGGTGAAACCCCATCTCTACTAAAAATACAAAAAAAATTAGTTGGGCATGGTGGCAGGCGCCTGCAGTCCCAGCTACTCGGGACACTGAGGCAGGAGAATGGCGTGAACCTGGGAGGTGGAGCTTGCAGTGAGCCCAGATCATGCCACTGCACTCCAGCCTAGGTGACAGAGCGAGACTCTGTCTCAAAAAATAAACAAACAAACAAACAAATAAATAAAGCGTATTTCAGCTTCTGACCATAATTTCTGACTCTACCAGAACCTTCAATTACTCTTTAAACCACAGCTTCCTCCCTGGCTCCCTTCATCATAGCCCAGTTGAACTGTCCCTGACTGTCATTCCCCCTTCTTGACCCTGTCAGAAGCCCAGGGCTGATGGTCTGAACCTGTCCCTGAACACCCCTCTCCATGCCATCTGTATTAATCCATTCTTATGCTGCCCATAAAGACATACCTGAGGCTGGGTAATTTATAAAGAAAAAGAAGTTTAATGAACTCACAGTTCCACGTGGCTGGGGAGGCCTCACAATCCTGGCAGAAGGCAAGGAGGAGCAAAGGCACATCTCAGGTGGCGACAGGAAAGAGAGAGTAGGAGAACTCTCCTTTATAAAACCATCAGATCTCATGAGATTCATTCACTATCACACGAACAGCACAGGAAAGACCTGCCCCCATGATTCAATTACTTCCCACTGGGTCCCTCCCATGACACATGGGAATTATGGGAGCTACAATTCAAGATGAGATTTGGGTGGGGACAAAGCCAAACCATATCACCATCCTCCTATTGCACATGGCAAGCCAAACCAGAAGCGACATGAGCTCTTCACTGATTCTGTTCTGGCACATTAAACCCACACAACGAAAGTCACATCAAACATGCTGACTTGGTCAACACATATTCATGACCTCTTACCTACATTGATACATCAACACCAAAAATTTATGACTTTCCTTATTATTCCTACACAACCACATTGGCTTCACTCTCAGCAGACAAGCAAGTTTCCTACTTCACTGAGGCTTCCAGATTTCTTCCTGTCAGCTGAATTGTATGTTCCTCCCTCCAAAATGTTACTCAGTTTATGCCAAGCATATCTACCTGTTTTATTCTCTTGCATCCAATTCCTACCTATTTCTTTAAGACCTACCCACCTCATCACCTGCTTTTCATCACCTGACCTCAAGTCCTCTCAAGCTATCCAGTTTTTTCTTACTGTCTCAGACTTCCTCACAGAAGAGTCTGAAGAGCCTATATGCTTCCTTCACTACAAATTTATGCCTCAAATTGTGCAGGTCATGGAATTGACTTCCTAATTGCTAAATAGGTGACTTTTTACAATTCTCATCTAACTAGACTTTTGCTACATTTGACACCATTGCTTACTACCTCATTTGTTTTATTTAAATGGCACAACATTTATTTTTCACTTTTACTATTTAAATTTGTGTTAGGTAAACTTCAAATATATATAAAAATTGAGAGGCTATTGTAATAAACTTCCACATACCCATCAACAAGCTTTAAGAACTCTCAATTTGTTGTCAATATTGTTTCATCTCTTCTCTGTCCCACCATCCTCATCCCTGGTTATTTTGAAAATATCTCATACAATGTGTCACTTCATCAGTAAATATTTCAGTACGTATCTCAAGAGATAAATGGTTCTTTTGAAAGATATTTTTTAAAATATCATTGTCAAATGTAAATGTTAGTAAGTCTTTAATATCTATGCTCACAAAGATATCTTCTAATAATGTGCTTGTTTGAATCATATCCGAACAATGCCCATACATTGCAAGTGGTTGAATGTGTTTCTCTTTTTTCCTTGCAACTTAGTTAATGAAGAAACTGGGAGAGTGGGGTGGAGCATGCCTACAGTCCCAGCTACTCTGGAGAGCAAGTCAGGAGGATCTCCTGAGTTCAGGGGTTTGAGTCCAGCCTGGGCAACATAGAGAGACCCTTACTTCCAAAATATAACTAACTAATTAAATAAATAATAAAATAATAAAATACAATTTTTAAAAAGAAACTAATTTATCCTGCAGTTTTCTACAGTCTGAATTTTGCTGATTGGAAAATTTTGTGTTATTCAACATGTTTCTCTCTTTCTTATATTTATTTTAAATTCATGATTAGATCTAGAGGCTTGATTAGCCTCGAATTTTATTACACACACACACACAAACACACACACGCATGCACTCACAACCACAGAAGAATACTCCAAAAGCTGTAATGTGTTCTTCCATCAAGAGCTACATAATGCCAGGTTGTCTCTAATTTCTGATGTCAGCAGCCATCGATGGTCATTGCCAAGATCCATTATTTCTTCCAAGGCTTCAAAAGGATTACACTATAATTCTAACATTTCTTCCCTTCTTACCTGAAATACTTTCACTGCCTTGAAATTTAATTGTTAGTGTTCATCGAGGGGCTGTTCTAGATACCAGGAAGATACCACAGACAAACGTCTCTGCTTTCTTGGAGTCTATATTTCAGTGGCACTTAGTTCCCATATGTAGTAGGTGCTCAATTAACACCAGTCACTGGATTTACACATGGTTCTCTTTCTACTGAATGCCTCTTAAATGCTAATGTCCCCCATGGTCCTATTCAGAGCCTATTGCTCTTCTTACTATACTTTTCACAAGTGGTCTTATTCACTCTCATTATTTCAAAGGTTACTACTGATTATCATTCACATTTATTAATCATTTCCAATGTATCAGGTACTACTCTAAGGAGAGTACGTATACTGAATCATTTCGTTTTCAAAACAATCAAATAAGGCAGTTACTATTTGTTCCAGCTGGTATTTATGACAGCCAGGAGAATGCTCCTCCCTGATCTCTGCTATTAACTGAGAGATCTCAGCTCCTGGGATCTGAAAATCATCATAGCCTTTGTACTGAGGCCACATTTTTCAGTGCTTCAGGGATGAAGATCCTCTGACAGATGGATTTAGCTCAAGGACTCCTCAACAGTCCCACTGAACTTGCCTTATAACAGCTCAACTCTGCCCAAACTTCCACCTTCCTTCCCTGTCTCCTTCAGTAAGGGATTGGACATGCATTATCAATTGATAGCCCTCCAAGTTTCTCCTGGCTTTCTCTCAAAGTTCTCTTCCAGGTATTTTCTTTAATAAATAGCTTCCATATTTAATCTCTTCCTGGTGTTGGATACATTATCTCTGTATAACAAATTGTCCCAGAACTTGGTGGAATAAAACAATCATGTTATTATTCTGTGGATCCAGAATTCTAACAGAGCTCAGTAGGGATGGCTTGTTTCTGCTCCATGAGGTCTAGGACCTCACCTGAGAAGATAGGGCAGCTAGAGTGACTGAAAAACTGGGGGCTTTTGAAAGTATGTTCACAAATATGTGTGGCAGCTGATACTAGCTCTCAGCTGGAACCTCGCCTAGGGCAATCAATCAAGCATTTACATGTGTCTCATGTAGATTGGGCTTCCTCACAGCATGGCAGCCTCATGGTAGTTGGACTTCTTATATGTAGGCTCAGGGCTCCAAAAATGAGTGCACCTGCAGGAAACAGACACGCTGCATTGCCTTTTATGATGCAGCCCCTAAAGTCATACTGTGTCACTTTTGTCATGCTGTGTCAGTTGAAGCAGTCACAACCTTGCCCAGATTCAGAATTGGGGAAATAATATCCAACATCTCAATGGGAAAAGTGCCAAAGAATTATTAGGTCATTTTTAAAAACCACTACACTATTTTCTTTTCAGTTTCCCAGAGAAGGAGACTGAGGCACAGAGAAATTCCCCAGCCATAATCAAGTCATCTAAATCCTGAGCTGACATGTAACTTTAGAATGATGCAGCCTCTCTGTATTTGAATCGATTGTGCCCTTAGATTTAATGCCCTCAAATTGAGTGTTTCATAATCTACCTTTTCTCCTGTGTTATTCTTCTGCAGCATATTATTCCATCTAACCAGTGACTCAAGCTAAAAAACCTGGGAGTACTCTTTGAGTTTTTCTCTCACCCTCATCCATGAATTGAATCAGTCCAATTCTATTAGGCAGGAGTTGTTCACATTTGAAATAGCTGCCCAATTGTATCTCTTCTGTTTCCATAAATTAGATTAGAATCAGCTAAAACTTCCATTTGCCACATAGGCAGGAAATCCACTGCTCCCGTTGCTGTGCTGCCCATCTTCTGGGTCTTCTAGAAGACTGGAGAGAAAGTCTGCCCAGGCAATGGCAATGCTATTGAAGGACAGGCCCTAGTGGTGGTCTCCCTCCTGATCTGGTAACTGCCTTTGCAACCTCATTGCCAAATGATAGAGCAAGAAACACCAGACACCCTTACCTGAATGGGCTATGCCTTGGTAAGATCTCCCCTGCCAAGACCCTGACATATGCCAATATTGTGCCTGGGCTCTGAGTATTGAGTTATTTCAGCTTCATGCAGAGAATCCTCTCTGGGACCTCACCATCGATGAGGTCTCAGGAGTTAACTCTCATGCCACCTGAAGCCACAGCCCTTCCTCGGGTTTTGTGAAGGTCAAGTTGCTTTCTTTTTCAACTTTGTGATCAATGCTTTTATTTATCTCCCTTTCACACACGAGAAAACCTCAGCTTCTCTGAGAAGGGCTCTGAATCCAGGAGCACTAAGAAGTTTCTTCATCTTCTCTGGAAGGAAAATACCATCTATGTCTTACTAATGACACCCAATGAGTCTCCCACATGGGGTCAAGCAATAGGACTTGCTGTTTTATCAGTTGCTGAAGTAAATGAATCAAACAGGCAAAGTTTTCATAGGGCTTCCTCCTACACGTACCAGATTTTCCTTCTAAACATTTCTCAAATCATTCCCTCTCCCCTAGTCCTGCTTTTACCAGCTCAGTCCAGGTCCTAATCATCCCTCTCCTAGACATTATAAAGGAGCTGTATACAAAAGGCCTCTAGTTCCTCAGGCAGTGTCTTAGGAAGCCCCACAGCTAAGGGCCTGGAAAAGTCAATCCAGGCAGCTCATAGCCACAAGAGCTGCTACAAACAGAAAAGCACCACTTCAATCTGCTTCATGAGGCAGAAGCATTTGCCCCTTAACATGCATGAAGCAATCTCCTTTTAGGAATGAATTTGGAGAATAAGAAAGTGGTGATCTTCTGCTGCCAAAAAGAAAAGTTATAGAAAACTCCAACCTAAAACAAAAATTTGACCATGAGCGTGACTTAGGATACGCCGCTGTTTGAAACCCTATAGTGGTCCCCCACAGGCTCAAAAGGAAGCTGCTTCTTTATGTGATACAAGGACTTTCACGATCTGTACCCACTACACACACACACACACACACACACACACACACACACACACACACACACCACTCCAGCATCTTCCTTTTGCACACTATCTTCCAACAACAATGAACAACTTGTATTTCCCAGTAGACGCTGTATCACAGCCCTAAGCCTCTGTTCATCCCTCCCCTCTGCCTAGCCCTATCCACCCCACTAACCCCCATCCAAGCTTTCACAATCAATTTGACCATTATCTCAGCCAGAAAGCCCGAACCCCTACCTCTCTCAAGCCTCTGCCAATGTAGGTGTCCATCCTCCGCACTCAAAAACACACTGCAAATCATTATCACTGTTTTATAACTATCAGATCAGGAGTTGGTCCCACTCTACACTGGGGGTTGCTTAGACAAAGGGCCTGATTTTAATCTATCTTTGTGTCTCCGTGCCCAGTAGAGGGCCTGGTAGATGTACACACTCAGAAATTGTGTGCTGCGTCCATTGATTCAATCTAATTGCAGTTAGAGTACTCTTTTATTACCCTACCCTCCCAGATCAAGTATTTTTGCATACTCATAACTTTCTCCTATCTCCTTCTTGTCGGTTTACAATCTGCTTTATTCTTTACTATGACTCAGCCTTACAGTTCTCCAAGCTTAGCATTTTCCTTGTAAGAATTCAGCGTTCTTCACTTCTGCCTTCTTTGCTCCTGTTTTGATCTCATATTCCTCAACTGCCTCATAGTAGTTATTTGTGTGCTTGCTTGTGTCTTCCAGTGGATTGGTGTCTATGGAGAGAAGGAGCTTACTATGAGGCTTTGTTCTCCTCACAACACCACTTGAGGCCCTGCTCATAATAGAAAACTCAATAAACATTGGTTTTGCTCTGTTGACAGTTCCGAGTCAGATATGCCTTGGCTTTTTAAATTTTTGATTAGATTCACATAAGTAAAAATCACATATTTTGGCATATAATTCTGAGCCATGGAAAACACATAGTGATACCATCATACCACAAGTAAGATTTAGAACAGCTCCATTATCCCAAAAATGCCTATATGCTGCCCTATCATAGTACAAAACTCCACTTTCCCTGAGTTCCTAGAAACCACTGATCAGTTCTCCGTCCCTGTAGTTTATCCTTTCTTTGGTGTCATGTAATGGAAATCATGCCATATGTAGCCGTTAGCTTGTTTGACCTAGAAAAGTGCATTGAGAGTCACTTATTTTGGTGCATGTGAAATAGTTCATTCTTTATTGCTGAAGAGCATTCTATTGGATGGATACACCATTGGATGGATATACCATTCCATTGGATGGATTCACCAGTTGAAAGACATTGGGTTGTTGCCAGTCTGGGGCATTTATGGTAATGCTATTTTAAATATTTGTATGCAGGTTTTTGTGTGAACATAAATTTTCATTTCATTTGGATAAATACCTAAGGGTGGAATTGCTGGGCAATACAATAAGTATATGTTTAACTTTATAAGAAACTGCCAATATTTTCTAAGAATACAATATGACCGTACCATTTGATATTTTTATCAGCAATATGTGTTCCAGTTGCTCCACATCATCCCCAACAGCTCTTGGAATTGTCCATTTGTTTCATTCTGTTTTGTTTTGTTTTGTTTTAGTCAATCTAATAGGTGAATGGTGTTATCCCATTGTGGTTTTAATTTGCATTTTCCTAATTAATAATGATGTTGAGCATCTTTCCATGTGTTTATTTGCCATCCACATATTACCTTCTTTGACAAAGTGTCTGCTCAAGCCTTTTGCTCATTTTTTATTGAGATGTTTGTTTTCTTACTGTAAATTTTGAGAATTCTTTATATTTTTTGAATAAACAGACTTTGTCATAAAAAGAGAAAAGAAAATGTGGACTGGGTGCATGCATAAAGGATGGAGAAAAGTGAGGGAACAGCATTTCTTGGCCAAACAAGGAGGACTTCTTCTATGAAGCTCTAGCTTGTCCTGTGCTGGACACTGCTGCGACTCTCAAACTGCTACACGGTCTCAGGACAGAGACTCCCTCACTCCCACCCCTGCGAAATATAATGGAATCCTGCATGATTCAAAAGGAACCTGAATTGCTTCAGGGTCAAAATAATGAACATCAATTATCCCAATAGCAGCAAAGAACAGATACAAAAGTTAATAGAGTTTTCTGGATGACAGAATGCTGGACAGACAAATCCATGCTGCATTATATAGCAAAAGATACTGAAATGTGGAGATATGAAAAAAAAAAATGGTGCTAAGCTGCAAGTGCCACACAGTCTGGGGTGTTGTAAATGAGAGAAATCCTCCACGATTACTACATTGATCACAAGAATCGGGCAGAATTTGCCACGGAGCTGATACAAGTAAATCCAAATAAATACCCTCCTAGATGGGGATCCAAATGCTCAATTAGCATTTCAGAACATACTCAGGGAGCTTCAAAGAGCCTGGCACTCTCGTATCATTACGAGGAGGAAAATCTTATCCCAGCCAGGCTTTTTCAGTATCCAGTGTTGTGAAAAGCCCTCCATGAGGGGCTGGGAAGTACTCAACCTCCCCATGCACCAGAGTCTATTTTCAGCCAACAGTCACCATGTGCTCCTCTGGATTATTTTAAAATCTCTCTTCCCTGAGCCCTTCTTGTCTTCTATGAGACTTCATTGCACCTTCAATATATAATTTTTTCTTACATGATTTACTAGTTTAAGTTTAATTTAAAAATAGATTTTTATTGGCAAGCCTGCACATAACTGAATTGGGTCCATCTTATGGGTTTTGATCCAGCTGTTGTCTTCGGTAACTATGCAAACACTGTGAATGAAATGCAGAGCCCAGCAATGCCTCCTTATGGAAAGCACAGGAAGCCTTGCTCTAGCCTCTCCTCTGACAGACAAAGAGAATCCACCTGCAAATTTCTCGCTGATAACGGATATTTGGATATGGATAACAGGTATTTAAGCAGTGTACTTGCCAACAGAGTTATTTGGCAATAATAGTAAAACAGTGTATCTAGCTACTTAAATAAATAAATTGAGCCTTTCAGGGTTATTAAAATTAAATTTAAACGGGAGAGAAAAAGCTGTACATGCTGACTGCATGTGGGTGGGTGTCCAAGTGTGCGCACGCTTGCGTTTCTTCACGACTTTCCAAACACCAGTGCAGAACCTTGTACATACACAGCCAGAGCAGCCAGTGTGAACAATGTCCTATACGTGGGTTTAATTTGTTTTGTAAATACAAGTGTAATTGGCATTTAAGGGGCCACTCTAAATTGCCATCGCCCCCTCTGTCTGAGCATGAGTAATCTAATTTTTCTGCAGAGCATGTTGCAGTTTGATAGACAGGTCTCCGAGGACTGTCTTGTATGTCAGCATCGGTGAAAATGAGTTCTGAAGTACAGTCACACCCCCACGCGAGCGAGGAGTCCCAATCACCCACGACTCATAGATCCATTTGCCCCATGTCTTGCTTCGGACAGATAATATATTCATTTGCTTCTGGCTAAAAAAAAAAAAAAATAGTGAGAAACCGCTGGTGCATACTGATGGCATCCTCAAGGAGCTGTAATTGGGAGAAGTGATACGCAGCTTCTGAACATGCCAGGGGACCTCAAGCTGCTATCGTCCTTCTTTGCTCTGCAGCCAACTGGAAACAATGAACCCCCAAACTCTCAGGGGATCTAACTGTCCTCTCTTGTAGGGCTGGAAAATTAAAATCTATCTCTCGACAAAAAGGGAATTTGTTTGCAAGTGCCACTAAGTATTTAAGCTGAACACTAAATGTTATCTGATTAACATTACTCCCTGAGGAAAAGTGTTAGCTTTCTTGTCTACTTCCATTGTGTTTAAACAATGCGCGATGCATGTGTGTCCTTCTGTATTGAAATATTTAACATAAGAGTATAAAAAGCAAAATAAAATGATGAAACTGCAATGTTTAAAGGGTAGGATGAGTTCACTCATGGAGAAGTTAGCCATGCGCAAGCCTGAGTTCCACTCATAGAGGGGCATGAGCCATGTACTCACAGGCCCTGGTCATTCCCTGGTGAGCAAGCTTGCTTATGGGAGACAGAGAATTTACCAGGAACTCAAGCATCTCCCTTCAAACAGTACTGATAAGCCCTTTACTACTAACCCATATTTTGATATTTAATAATGTGGTATGTATGCTAAAAAGCTGAGGACTTTATTATACCAATGTGAATTGCGTTGGTTAAAATGTTTTCATTTGGATGCATCAATTCTGTTTTCTATTAGTTAGAACAGTTTATATTTTTGGACACCTTTATTGTATATACAAGAGCTATTTTTGTTCAACAATTTCAGCTTTTGGAAATATCTGGGAAAGGATTGCTTTGTGTGATAATGAAAGTGCACCTGCTCCATGTATATTGCAATGTCGGACCCATTTTCTTTACTCTCCCTACAGCGTGCACTGTACAGTAGTTGCCCAGTAAACTATGATTTGAAATGCAAAACGAAATCAAATTAGGTAGAGCACGTAAGATGACTCACTGCATGTACAATTTTAGGATGTCCCAGAATATGTATGAAACAATGTGATCAAATTACAATGTACTGATAACTGGCATTAAATTCATTAAAGAGGCTGGGCGCAGTGGCTCACACCTGTAATCCCAGCACTTTGGGAGGCCGAAGCAGGCAGATCATTTGAGGTCAGGAGTTCAAAACCAGCCTGGCCAACATGGTGAAACTCTGTCTCTACTAAAAATACAAAAATTAGCTGGGCATAGTGGCACACACCTTTAGTCCCAGCCACTCAGGAGGCCGAGGCAGGAGAATCGCTTGAACCCAGGAGGCAGAGGATGCAGCGAGCTGAGATCACGCCACTGCACTTCAGCCTGGGTGACACAGCACAACTCTCTCTCAAAAAATAATAATAAATAAATTCATTAATGAGAGCTCATAGTCTGTGCTATGGCCTCAAATGCCAGACAACATATTTGCCACGTGTTGAGTGCTTTCCAAAAAAGCAGGGTCACCACAAGTCTTTGCTGGTTTTCCTGGGTGTTGGATTTGTCTGCCCACCAAGTCTATGAGTCACCATTCTCCACATAGCATGTCTGATCTCAGTGGCTACTCCCCTCAAACACCTATTTGTTGCTTACCCCGGCAACTGGTGGGCAAAGGGAAGAGGGCAGGCTGGAGAAACAATATGTACTTTAAAAACAGAGCCCTGTAAGGAGGGAGAGTGAGCAAGGCTCATGAGGATGCAAAAGAATCAGGGGCCTAGTTTCAGAAGAACCCTGCCACCATCTGTTACAACCTATCTGCTTTACCCCCAGGCAAGTAAGCCATCCTCCCCCTTACTCTTCTTCCCCCTCCACAGCAGGCTGAAGAGGCCCAAGCCTAGAATCTGCAGCCAACAGCAACATCTCAAAGTACAGAACCATGTCTGTGACCTTATAGGAACTAAGTTGTGTGAGTGTGGTCCCTCTCAAGCAAGGGCCACTTACAGTGTATTTCCACATCTACATCTTGGTTTCTGATTTAATATCTCCCCCGTCACCCTGTCTTCAACATCCCCACCAGCACCACACATACAACAACCAATAAAAATGTGCATTCGAGTGCACATATACTTGCACATATTATAAACTGCCTCTCTTAACAATTTCAAATTGTATAAGACCAATAACATTGTGTAAAAATGCCATCTTGTTTTATTAAAAGGGCCCCAAAGTAAAATTCCATGGCAGACATATGGTTTAGCATTAAGATAATAAAAATGCAGAAATCACTTTATGGTAAAACAAAATAAAAATTATGCATGTTTGTTATTGAGGTTAAATTTCTATAACATAAAATTAACTGTTTTAAAGGATAATTCAGTGGCATTTAGGACACTCACAATGTTGTACAAATCTCCCTGGTTCCAAAATATTTCTACCGCTCCAGAGTAAAACCCCTCACCCATGAAACAGTCACTCCTTACTCACCTTGCCCTCCAGTCTCTGGAAACTACAAATCTACTTCCTGTCTCTCTGAATTTGCCTATTCTGCACATTTCATATAAATTGAATCCTGCAGTATGTGGTCTTTTCTGCCTGGCTTCTTTCACTGAGAATGATGTTTCTGAGGTTCGTCCACACTGAGGCATGTATCAGAACTTCATTCTTTTTGATGACTGAGCAATATTTCATTGAATGGATGGATTGCATTTGTTTATCCATTCACCTGTACAAACCATGTATTCTTCAGGACCCACAGCTTGACAAAGTGGATAAGAGAAGGAGCTCTGAAATTGCCCAGCTCTGGTTTGAATTTCAGTTCTACTGATGAGAAACCGCTAAACAACTGGGCCCCAAAATACAACGAAGCCGTGGGGTTGGTGCAAGGGCTAATGAGATGCCAAGACCCCCAATAGAGTGCTGGAGGTGGCATGCATTGTTATCTTTTAAGACTGCCTCAAACACAAAAATAAGATTTAAAAAAATCTTTTGGGGAAAGAATTTTCATGATAATTTTAACATGTCCTCTCTTCACTTTATTTAAAATTGACTTATTTTCATTCTATTCATTTGCATAGATATACCATACTGTGTGACCAGCCCAAGGTACATGACTCATTTTCAAGACTCTTGGAAATCAAATAGAATTAATTTTTCTGATCTTAAGAATTTTTAACAGCACCATCTTCAGACCGTAGCAAGAGGAGTCCCCCACTTGGGCCCCATAAAAATCACACAAAAAAACACATTTATTAAAGAGCATACAAGCTCCTCTGTCACTTGGGATTAGGCACAACACAGCCTGTCCCCTAAATGTCCCTGCTGGTGACTTCATCTCTGGAAGCCACACCTCTTGCCCTCAGTTTTCTTACAAAAGGCGATTGAACCCAACAGGCACGGGTTTGCAGGCTGTGAAGTGCCAGCATGAAGAATGCATGTGGCTTAGAAGTGAGGGGAGGGTTTGATTGGGAAAGTGAGAAAACAAATTAATTAACTTGTCAGTATTTTGTCTTAGATAAAATGAATGCAATAGACATATCATTTCCCTCTAGTGCCTAGCTCTCATTTGTAGCTTCTCCTTCTGTTCCAGTTGGTGATTCCAGAGGATCTTACAAATTAACAAGGTGTTCACAACAGTTGCCCATAGCACCAAGGATAATTTTGCAACACTAAACAGATTTATGTCCAGCTAAAATCTGAATAGCTGGAGATGTAGATTAAGTGTAAATCAAGTCTGATGCTTTCCTTGATATTGACAGAGAGGGACAGAGAGCCCTGGAATGGAAAGTTTTATTTTCATACGAACATTTTGTAAGATTTTATTAACCATTAACTTTTTCAAAAAGTAAGAAAATGTTTCAACCTTACTTATATAATTTTATTTTAAATGTTAATGGTAGAATTTGTATTTCTCTTTTATTTATAATAGAATTTTTAAGATATTTTAGGATGAACTTTTTAATGTTTTAGATGTATTCATTTTAGTTTTATTTTTAATGAGAATACAATTTTGTTCACTTTGAATATGATTATATTTTATTATTCAATTCTTTGGTTCCTCCTCGCAGCAAAACACAGTTTTAATTATGAAACAGAGAATTGTCCGAAATTATAGCAAGAAAAATAATATATAGAATAAACATATTAATTTACAAATTATATGTTTTATGTTATTTACATCCTAATATTGTCATCTCATCATACTGAATATCTGAACATATGTAATGACAATTAGTGACTGAAGTCACCTTTAATATTTTGTTAATTTTTATTCATTTTTAAGACATGATTTGTCATTATTAAGGTTTAGCTATAATATATTTAACAGATTTTACTTAAAAGTTTTTTAGCATGAGTTATAATTGTAGGTGGTTTTTCAAGTGTATCCTTATTCCAGTCTCCAAAAATGTTTTACATTTCAAAACATACAAAAATTTGTGTTTTGTTTTGTTTCATGTGTAGAGAAAGGTCTCACTACAAACAAAACAAAACCAGATAAATCTCAGGCTAGCCTCAAACTCCTGGGCTCAAGGAATCCTCCTACCTCAGCCTCCCAAGTAGCTAGGATTATAGGCAGGTGCCACCACACCCAGATGACATGCACAAAGTTTAAACTACAATTGAGGATAACATAAAATGGTGATATTTTAGAGACACTCCTTTCATGTAATAAATTAAAATTAATAATCTCAATGACTTTAAAGATTCTTTCATTAAAATGAAAATATACATGACTGATTTTGAGCCCAGAATATCACAGTGGGATATTAAATTCCCATGCCTAATAACTTTATATGTTATTTTTATTCCAAGTATGCAAAAAATAGAGAAAATAAACATTTGAATAATCCCCATCAATCCAGCTACACCAAATCTGTTTTGCCATATTTGTTTTAGATATTTCTTTTCTTTACAGGTAAAACATTACAGAATCAGTTGTATTTTTCTGCATCCTTCAAATGTATCCAACACTTCTGGTTCCTCCGCAGAGCTCATTAATGTCTAGAATCTGGTATTTATCATTTCTATGCATGCTTTTACATGTATTCATACTTTTACTCAGTACCCTACATTTGTAAACAACATACAGTATTATTTTGCATGTTTAAAATTTTCATATAAAGAATGAATAATCACAAGCTTTCACAAACAGCTTTTTTTCAACCAAGATTACATTTTTGAGACTTGTTAACAGTCACACAGGCCATACTCATTAATTTTAACTGGTGTATTCCACATCACTTTTTACTATACCACAATGTATCATTTCTCCTTTTGATAGATACAACAGTTCTCACTATTGTAAACAATGCTGCTATAATCTTCATTAGACATTTCTCCTTTGGCAAATATGAGAGAATTTCTCTAGGCTGTGTATATCTAGAAGTATGATAGCTGGGTCCTGAGGAATGCTCATCTTCTTTACTAGCTGTTGCTAGTAAAGAAACCTACTGCTTTCCAAAGCCATATCAATGTATACTTCTCCTCATAGGTTACGTGGGCTCAACTGCTTCAAATCCTCACTAAAAACTTGTTATTTTTAAAGTTTAAAGTTTCACTTCCTACTTTGTTTCTGGCCCATAAGTATTTCCTTTACATTCTTTTGCACTAAACCAATAATTTAAATGGAAGTATATTATATATATTATATATATATATATAATATATATGTATGTATTTCATCCAGCATTTCTAGGTGCTTGCAGTAGGAGAATTTTTAGAAAAGCTGGTCAGTCATATTGCAGAAACCAAATGTGTCAATCAAGGAAAAGTACGAAAACAGAGCTATATTGAAAGCAGGGAACTGGTTACTGAGGTGGTAGAAGAGCTGCAGAAAAAAAGGACAGAAGTCAGATCCTGAAGCAGCGAGAGAGGTCTGAGTGTTATCCAGATGAGGAAGCTGCCATTATCCCTGGCTGGACCCCTGAGCCTGAACTTTTTGGCCCTACTGAAGGTGCCATGCAGCTAATAATGGAGCATGAAGAGGCATGAGGGGGTGCCTCCCAGAAGTAATATGGCTGTTTTCTTTCTCCCACCTTCCAATCTCATCCCAGGGCCTTCTATAATAGAACATAATTAGAACCCAGCAGCCTACAGTCTAAGAAATAGAGCTAGCAGGCTTTTAGTCTCCTAAAGCACAGAAGAACTGGAATAGATTTATATACAGACAACTGTTTGGCACACCACATGACCTAATTATTCTCTCTGGAAGCTTTCAGAATCTCACATCTAGAATTCTAAAATGTCATAATGATGTGCCTTAATGTAGGTCCTGGTTCATCATTGTTATAGCTATTTAGTGGCCATTTTGATGTGGAAACTCGTGTCCTTTAATTAAAGAAAATAATAAATAAAATTGCATGTATCAACACAGATAAATCTTATAAACATAAAAAGAAAAATGTAAATTTCAGAACATATTAATAATATATAATATAAATTCATTTATATTAAATTTGAATACGTGCAAATCAGTACTATATATTGTCTTGGGATGTATTTTATGTAATAAAAGTAAAAATGCATGGAAAGTTAAAACACTAATTATGATTGCTTTTGCCAATGAAATAGGGAAATAGGATTGGGAAGTGGTGTACGTGACATTTTAACCTGTGCTCTGTGTTATGCTCCATTTTTAAAGCTATGTGGTAGGCACATGGATATTTTCATATTACCATGTATAACATTTTATATATCCAAAACACTTCATAGAAAAAAAGAAGATTGAAAAATCAAGTCAGATTTTAAAAATTAGGAATCAGAATGGCATCAGACTTCTTAAAGTGAGCAATGGAAACTAGAATGCCATGGGGCAATATCTTCATATTGTCAGAAACTAACTTCCAACCTAAAAATCTGTACCCAGACAAACCATCAAGGAAGTGGTGGAGGAAAATACAGACATTTTTACTCAACTAAGGTCTCAAAATATTACCTACCATGCAACTTTTATTAGAAAGCTAAGTTTAATCAGAAAGGTGAGTTTCACCAAGAAAGGAAACAAAGAAAAAGGAAAAAATTAGATCCAAAAACAGGAGATTAAATATAGGAGAGACATGAATGGACTTCACAGGATGACGGTGAAAGTGGATCTAGGATGACAGCTGGGAAGCAGTACTTTATTCATACAAGTAGACTGCCATAGTTTTTAAACTCCTCAAACTATGGCAGTGGGATGGCAGTCTACTTGTATAAATAAAGTTTTATTGGAACACAGCTATTTCCATTCATTTACATATTGTCTAGAGCTGATTTTTCACTACAATGTAAGAGATGAGTAGCAACAATGAAAACTTTATGACCCACAAGATTAAAATATTTACTATCTGGCCCTTTACAGAAAAAGCTTGCAGATCCCTGGCCTAGAGTGCGAACTGGCCAACGTGGAGCAGGAAAACGGAAGGCTTCAGGAAAGGTCTTCCAGTGGAAAGAAAATAAAACTAATAGATTCAATTTCTGGGTGTGTTTGATCTTATTGAGAGGAGCTTTACAACTTTGTTGCAAAATAAGGAATGAATTAATAGGTACATATAAAATTAAGCAAATGAAAAATAATGTAATTTTTAACTCACAAGAAAGTAAAAAGCTGCACAAGAGACTATTTGTAATTACAGAACTATAGGTAACTTGTCTGTGAACAGTATTTCATAGGCAGAGTAATATAAACACTTAATATTGATTTAGCAGTATTAGGAGGATAGAGGAGTTAACTGTAAGTTGGGGAGAGACAGAAAGTGAAAAATAACTATCTAAAAGAACTACTCCTTCAGAGCAGAATATTAATAAGTGTTCTATAAAATTGAAAACTTAATATATAAAACTATTTTATTCAGAAATATGAAATTAAATAGAATAGGCATTTCTATTAGAAGATTTATAGACATATTTGTTTTTGTTAACTGGATATACTTGATTAATATAAAACATAATTTAGAGTAAAATGACAAGGCCGTAAGTATTTCTTTATTAATTTGTCAAGGTCGGTTTAGAATGAACAGGCAAAGAACCATGGATCAGGATGCCTTCCCTTTCCATGTGCTCCTCCCTGTGAACTGCTTGCCTTCATCTATAAACAATGTACAAATAAAGGCCAAGCTAAAAGAAAGGAAGGTAAAGAAAGAGGACAAAAAATAGCAAGCGAGAGAGAGAACAGAGAGATGGAGGAAATAAATTTTACTTAGAGAAATTGTCAAAAGTAGCTTTCCTGTAAATAAAATTCTGTAAATGTCCTATAAATGATTGTCTCCTCTCTTCATTCCCACTGTTTTTTTTTTCAAAAATGACTAAACTTTTCAGAAAACTGTAAGGAAAATCATTGTCCTCAAAACGTTGACAGTGTAGTTTTTAAGCAAGACAAAGGTAAGAAGTCATAAATAACAAGAAAAATCATTCAAGTATTAATTTATTCAACAAATATTTACCTACCCTACACAGGCACTCTTCTATGAACTGAAAATACAAAAGTATAAAAGGCAGATGAAGTCCAGACTCCCAAAGAGCTTACCTTCTATAGGGAGAGGTAAACAGTAAGCAACAAACAAACACACATATCGAATGGTGATGAATGCTGTGCAGAGAATTAATATAGAGTGATGCCAGGCCTGACATTAGGGATCTCAAGGACAATGAGCCCTGCAAATATCAGGGGCAAATATTTTCAGGCAGAGAAGTAGTTTGTGCAAATATTCTTAGAAGTTATTAAGCCTTGTGGGTTCAAGGGATAGAAAAGAGAATGCTGGAGCCCAGTGATGAGTAAGGACATGAGGGGTAGATGGTTCACCAATATTCTCCACGGGGTTGGCTAAGCACATAAGTATCACCTAAAGACGGTGTAACCAAAGGAGCCCAAGATGCACACCTCTGGCCAAATAGGATACTAAGGCGAGGGGGCCTTCTGCCTGCAAAGAACCCTTGTATTTTCTGCAGCCATCTGCATCACCAATGCCTTCCTCATGGTTGCAAAGCAATGGTAATCAGGACCCAGGACAACAAGACCCTGGTAGCAAACTGACTAGATTCTGCACTTATCTCTAGGTAAAGGATCAGGAATAGGACTGGTCCCTATAGACTGAGCAGGCTCCCTGGATTCTCAGATAAATGGAGGCAGAAGGCTTTATCCCTGGAGAGGCTCAAGTTCCTGCTCATCTGCACTTGGTGATTCATAAGGAGCTAATCTGAAAACTTAGCAACACAGTAAGCTCTTACACTCCAAGCAGTTGAAGTTGGTCATGGCATTACATATGCGGAAGGATAAACTGAGAATTATCCTACACCCACATAACCCAAGTGTGTGGACTTTTTGTGGTAATTCATTCATTCTGGATAGGTAAGAGATATTTTCCACAACACGAAGGTCTCTTGAAGCATAAGTAAACTGAGAAGAAGTCAAATGCTTAGAAACTGCTTTCCAAAAAGTTGTTTTATAACAAGTTGATGCAAAATTCTAGTAATCAAGTCACATTATTCCTTGTAAGGGACCAGACTCTGTTTGCCTAGGAAGAAAATAAATCTGACAGTGGCAAGCAAGATCTTAGGTAGGTCAGCTACAGACCTCTTTCATAAATAAATAGAACTGGCATCAGAGCACCACCATTTTCTTAAACCTACTCCTTCCCTATTGGGTACCCCAAAAGTGCGTGTAAAGAAAGGTCTTTATTAGCCTGAGGCTAAATTCTCAACTGCCAGGGAATTTAAGCATATTAAGGGGCCAAGGATTTAGGATTCCTTCCTCTTAGGAGAAGCAGAAGAGGTATCTGACAGAGGGAAGTAGACACACTAGGCAATGGGCTATAGGGTGGCTCTGAGGGAAAGAGTGGAGAGATTGAGGAAACAGATGTCAGATAAGAGGGAACAGATAGATACATAGATGATTATGCATATAGATATTTAGACACAAATGAAAATGTAGATGAAGACAGACATAGATATATGGCACCCCAAAAGCCCAAGAATATGAGACCTTCTCTTCTACTGGGTGTGGTACATGGAAATACGTTATTTTCATAAAGTCAAAACTTGTCCCTGCTTTGACACGTTTATCAGACCCTGCTTTTGGCTTTGTTCATCTCTAGCAAGGGCTCAGCCTGGAGAAGCTTTCAGGAAGTGGGCGATACTTTCTCTTGGATCCCCTATTGGGTCCAGCCCCTTGTTAGTAATTAGATGGAGAGAAAAGGGACCAGCAGATGATGCCAAGTTGTGAAAACTTAAAGCCTGTTTCCTCATGAATTCATCCCCCCTCATACACAATTCCACTGTGGGCCTAAGAAGCGCCCCTTGTGGCACAGACAGGAGCAGCCATGCTACAAATCCAAGAGACGCACACTATGCTCCATACTCTTAGAACAAACCAATCAGGAGGCAGTTACTGACACTGAAACACTCCGCTTGATCACTTCCTACAGTCCACCATAGCCTGTTGCTAAAAGTGCAGACCTCTCCGTGTATTTAAAATGATTTCGTTTACTAAAATGTATTAAACAGGTTTTCAATAACCCACATTTAACTTAGGGTAAGGTCAAATGGTATGCTTTCTGTGATTCGGTATTCCTGGATCTAACACTGAGTGATTAGTGACCCCAATATTCTTCATATGGGTATTGTTGGTGCAAATCAATATCTAGAAGAAATTACGTTTTAAGAAAAGAAACTAAATATTGGGCTAATGCCACAGACCTAAAAGAATTCAGGGCAGAAATATGAACGATCTCTACCTTTTTGTCTGCTTCATTTCAATTTGATTTTCATGAGAATTCTGTTTCGAAGGAATCCTGAGTGTACTTGTTGTAGATCAATACTTCAAAAAAAGTTGAATGAGGAGAGCCATGCAAAGAGGTGGTGATATATGGAGGTGACTTGAGCAGGAATAGAGAAGTCTTCATGAAGAAATGCTCACAGTGTCTTGGTTTTTATTTTCTATGTTTGTGAAAAATGCAACTCTTACATTGTCTCAGAGCAACACAAGCAATAATAGGAACTATGTGTCACAACATATTTAGTTGTTTTTATATGCATTTCACCATATGATTGCAATTGTAATGATTGTAAGTTTCTTCTCCTCTCTGAAATGTGGGAATTTCACATGGGCATATTGCTGGGGCACGTGCCTACCTCCCCACTCCAGTGCATGTTTAAAATTTACAGGTGAGAAAAGAAGTAAGGATTTATAAATCTCATATAAGACTAAAGAAATTTTATCTGTTGAATAGAACTTTACGGGCCTGATTTTTTTAAATTTCATTTTACTTTAAGTTCCGGGATACATGTGCAGAACGTGCAGGTTCGTTACATAAGTAAACGTGTATCATGGCAATTTGCTGCACCTATCAACCCGTCACCTAGGTGTTAAGCCCAGCATGCATTAGCTATTTGTCCTGATGCTCTCCCTCCCCGCATCCCCGCTACAGGCCCCAGTTTGTGTTGTTCCCCTCCCTGTGTCTGTGTGTTCTCATTGTTCAGCTCCCACTTTTGAGTGAGAACATGCAGTGTTTGGTTTTCTGTTCCTGTGTTAGTTTGTTGAGGATGATGGCTTCCAGCTTCATCCATGTGCCTGCAAAAGACGTTATCTTATTCCTTTTTATGACTGCATAGTATTCCATGGTGTATATGTGCCAGATTTTCTTTATCCAAATGCCCGTCTATCATTGATGGACATTTGGGTTGGTTCCACGTCTTTGCTATTGTGAACAGTGCTGCAATGAACATATATGTGAATGTATCTTTATAATAGAGTCCTTAATGATTTAGAACCAGAAATACCATTTGACCCAGTAATCCCATTACTGGGTATATACCCAAAGGAATATAAATCATTCTATTACAAAGATGCCTGATTTTTTTTAATGCCTGAGTTTTCCCTTAAGAGCTAGGACTCTTGCATGGATCATCTCACTGGATTCTATAAGTTTTCTCTGAGATTTTAGCACCGTACATACTTTTCTGTAAAATGAGCCATCTGAAAAAAGAGATGATTAAAGCCAGTAGGAAAGTAGATTTAGCAAAATGGGAAAGTGATGCATCGAGCTTGTAATTCAGGTAGGAATTTAAGACACTGTTCATATTAGGATGCTGTTCATATTAGAATGCTAATTATATTTAGGATGCTATTCATTTTAGGTTAATTTGGATGACAACCTAACATTAATTGAGAAAGAGGAGAACATTGTGGGAAACTTCCTGTGATTCCCTGGGTAGTGGCTCACTAATGAAAGGAAATGAGGATTATGTTACTACAAGGAAAGTTCCAAACATCATGTCAACCCTGATATTAATTCACATTTTAAAAGCCAGTTTGGATTTTCTTTTATTTCACACAGTTGATTCTATTCTCATTTTTCACACATAGAAAAATATTATTTGCATAAAAGAACAAGTGTTTTCAAATCAGGTCACAGCCAGTGAAGAAAGTTGTAAATTCTAAATGCATGATCTGAAAAATTAGGAAGGCCTGTGCAGAAGGAAGCACATGCCAGGTAAGCCATGTACCTGTGCTTTGTACACCCCTAGAGGCTGCACTCTTCAGATTTCAATACATTGCCAATAAGTAATAAATTGAATGGATATACAAAATCATTTGTTCTCTGTATTATCAAAAATTTCTGTAACCAGCTGAAGTTTTCTTTGAGAGTTGGTTACCAATGGGTAAAACAAGCCATATCCCTCCTCCCCTAACATCCAAAACTAACAGGGAAGTATATCAGCAGTTTTCTGGCATCCAAGAGACATTTGGTGGATCCATCTGACAATATAAACAGTTTGATTTTTCACATAACCAGAAATTACTAGAAGAAATGCTGTCTGTGAGAAGAGGACTTTGGGCACCATGCATGAAATACCCTATGTCCTAGGGCCCACATTCAGTAGTCTCCTCAAAATTCTCATCAAACAATTCAGAAATATTTGCAAACACAAACTTGGTGAGGGACTTGCATCCAGAATTTACAAAGAAATCTACAACTTAATAAGAAGAAGACAAATAGCCAATCCAAAAGTGGGCAAAAAACATGAACAGACATTTCTCCAAAGATGTATGAATGTCTAATAAGCACATGAAAAGATGCTCAACATGATTAGTCATTAGGGAAACACGAATTAAAACCACAATAAGCCAGCACTTCACAAGCACTAAGATGGCTATAATGAATAAAGTAGGTAATGATATGTTGGTGAGGATGTGGAGAAATGGGAATTTCTTGTACATTGCTGATAGAATTGTAAAACGGTACAATTACATGATAAGACAGTTTGGCAGTGTCTCAAAAGTTAAACATAAAACTTTCATAAGAAGGCCCAGTAATTCTACTTCTACATTCCAAGAGAAATGAAAACATATGTCCCTATAAACACTTCCACACAAATGTTCATAGCAGCATTATTCATAATAGTCAAAAGGGGAAACAACCTGTATTAGTCTGCTCTGGTTGCTGTAACAAAATGCCATAAAACAACAGATATTTATCACAGTTTTAGAGGCTGGAAGGCCTGAGACCAGGTGACAGCATGGTTGGGTTTTGTTCAGGGCTCTCTGGCTGCCTTGTGGATAGATGGCTGCCTTCTTGCTGTGCCTTACATGGCAAACACAGAGAGAGCTAGCTCCCCAATCTCTTCCTGTAAGGGCACTAAGGGCACCATGAGGACTCCACCCTCAAGACCTCAACTAAACCTAATTACCTTCAAAGGCCCTGTCTCTAATACCATCCCATAAAGGACTAAGGCTTCAAATATAAATTTTGAGGGTATACAAATATTTCTTCCATAACTCTGCCCTGGAGCCCCCAAAAGCCATGCACAGTTAGCATGCAAAATATAACCATTCCACCCCAACAGCCCCAAAAATCTTCACTCTTTCTAGTATCAACTCTAAAGTCAAAAGTCCAAAGTCTCATCTAAATATCATCTAAATCACATACTTATAAGAGATACAATCCATCTTAAGGCAAAATTTTTCTCCAACTGTGAACCTGTAAAAGCCAAAATATACGTCGGAGGACAGGCATAGGATAGATATTCTCATTCTAAAAGTTAGGAATGAAAGATGAGGTGACAGATCCCAAGGAAGTCCAAATCCAAGCAAGGTAAATTCTATGAGAGCCAAGGCTAGAGAAAAATCCTCTCTGGCTCAGTGTTCTGCTCTCCAGATCTACTTGGATGCCAATGTCACCCCCAGGGCTTGGTGGCCTACCATCCATGCCACAGCTCTCTGCAGGGACAGTGCTCCCACACTTTGAAACTGAGGTTTACTTGATCTTTTCTGCAAGGCCTGTGCACGGTGGGCCTGTGGTGGGACTGGCTGTCCTGATGATCTCTGAATTGCCTGAACTAAAAGGGATCCTTCTTCCCTTTTAATGAAGAACAGCATATGTTTGCAGCCAAATAGCTCTATTCTTCCATCTTATAGAAGCCAAGAAGTCCAACACTTTTCCTTCATTTTGTCCTGTATTCTCTGTCTCCATTAGTTTGAATTGCACTGCCTTTGCTACTATAATCCCATCTCTACTCCTGGCCTCTGCTGAAATGGCTGATTAAGTTCATAAGCTGCACCTATGATCTCTTTATCAAATGGTTGTGCAGCCACACCCTTACTGTTCTCTTCAAAGCAAGCATTGTCATTTTCTGTAATTTGGGTAGGCTGAGAATTTTTGCCATTTCCAAGTTCTAGTTCCTTTTTGCTTAAAAATTCCATCTTCAATTTCTCTCTCCCCCTCACATTTTACTATAAGCAGTCAGGAGGAATCAAAATGCTTCTTCCATGCTTTGCTTGGAAATCTCCTCAGCTAAATTTTCAATTTTATTGCTCACAAGTTCTGCCTTCCACAACACACTAGAACACAATTCAGCCAAGCTCTTTGCCACTTTATAACACGCACTGCTTTTCCTCCAGTTTTCAATAACAGAGTTTTCTTTTCCACCTGAGACCTCAACAGAATGGTCTTTACTGTGCGTATTTCCAGCAACATCCTGTTCATGATTATTTATGTATTCCCTAAGAAAATGAAAGCTTTCTCTCTAGCACTCTTCTATTCTTTCTGAGCCCTCCCTAGAATCACCTTTAACAGTCCCCCTTTCATGGCAATTCTGGC
This sequence comes from Homo sapiens, assembly GCF_000001405.40. Taxonomy (NCBI): domain Eukaryota; kingdom Metazoa; phylum Chordata; class Mammalia; order Primates; family Hominidae; genus Homo; species Homo sapiens. Next base: position 97,854,165 of record NC_000015.10, read on the forward strand.
TCTTCCTAGCATGCACCTGAAAACTCTTCCAGTCTCTAACCATCAGCCAGTTCTAAAAATGCTTTTACTTTATTTTATATTTGTTATGGCACCTCACTTCTAAATACCAATTACTATCATCATAGTAGGACAATGATTTGTTCTTACAGGAATGGACACTCTAGATATAAATTTGCCTTCCCTGCGTATAATGCTTCTGCCAAAACTACCATCTGTGGATTTACAGAATGTCTTATCCACCATCATAGTATTCCACGCAGCACTGCTTTTGACCAAGATACTCACTTCATAGCAAAGAAGTGTGGCGATGGGCTTATGTTCATGGACTTCATTGGTTTTATCATGTTCCTCACCATCTTGAAGCACTTGCCCTAAAGTAATGACGGAGGGGCCATTTGAAGACTCAACTATAGCACCAGCTAAGTAGCCCTACTTTGCTAAGCTGAGGCAACATTCTCCAGCAGGCTGTATATGCTCTGAATCAGGATCTGATATATGGTGCTCTTTCTCCCATAGCCAGGCTTCATGAGTCTAGGAATCAAGAAGTAAAAATAGAAGTGGCACCACTCACTATTATACCCAGTAATAACTATACAAGTTTTTACCTCCTGTTCCTGTGACCTTATGCTCTGCTTGCCTGAAGGTCTTAGTTCCAAAAGGAGAAATACTTCTGCCAGGAGACCCAACAATGATTCCATCAAACTGGAAGTTAAGACTGCCACCCAGCCACATTGAAATCGTCATGCTTCTGAATCAACAAAGAAGGGAGGTACTGTGCTGGCTGGGGTGATTGATCCTGACTACCAAGGGGAAATTATACTGCTACTTCACAATGGGAGTAAGGAAGAGTATATCTGAAATATAGGAGGTTCCTCAGGTGTCTCTTAGTACTCCTAAGTATGTCCTGTAATTGAGGTCAATGAAAATTTACAACATCCATCCCAATCCAGGTAGAACTATGAATGGCCCAGACCCTTCAGGAATGAAGGCTTATGTCAGTCCATCAGGTAAGGATCCAGGCCTGCTGAGGTATTTGCTGAAGGCAAAAGGAATACATAATGGGTAGTGGAAGAAGGGAGTTACAAGTACCAACTACAACCTCATGACAAGTTATGGAAATAGTGGCTGTAATTGTCACGAATATTCCCCCTTATTTTGTAATTAACATGAATGTGTGTATGTATCACACACACACACACACATCAAATAGCTTTGTTTTCTTCCCTATCTTATCCTTTATGATGTAACATAAGATGTATTGACTTTATATCATAGTATTTAAGTATTATTAATATTATATTTAAGTTCTCGAATACAAAGGAAGAGCATAAACATCACTTGAGGACTTTACTTTCCCTTCTGGGGAAGGGATTAATTCATTTCCAGTTGTACACAAAATAGTTATATCATGTTAGGTAGAATTATGACCTTATTATCTTTATTTGGAAATTAAATATGACTCAGGAAGATGCATATGGGTGACGTTGACAAGAGGTAGACTTGTGATAGTTAATTCTATGTGTCAACTTGAATAGGCCTTAGGGTCCCAGATATCTGATTAAATATTATCCTGGATGTGTCTGTCAGGTTGTTTCTAAATGAGATTAACATTCCAATAGATGGATCCAGTAAAGCAGATTGCTCTTCCCACTGTGAGTAGGCTTTAGCCAATCAATTAAAGGATTGAGTAGAACAAACAACTAAGCTAGAGAGAACTCACTCTTGCTGTCATATGCTTCTGGTCTCTAGTTGGGACCTTCGTCTTCTCTTGCCGTCAAACCTGGGCTAGAACTTACACCATTGGCTCTCCTGGTTCTCAAACTTTCAGACTAAAGGTCTTAGGACTTCTCAGCCTCCATAATCATGTGGGCCAATTCTTTATAATATAAATATATAGATATCTACAGAACCCTGACTAATGTCAGCAGTCTAGCTTGTCTTCTTCACTAAGGGAATATTTTGGTGTAAATTAGCGCAAATGCAAAATTCTCATTTCAGAGCAGTTTGTGAGATTTTTGAAGGCTTGGCATAAATAGCATCTTTCTTCTTCATCATCCATTTTCCTGAAATACAGACAACAGGCGTCCTCCTCTCTGCATGCTTCACCAAAAGCATTCTGTGAAAGGAGCATCCCACCAAATGACTATGGTCCTGAAATAGATGTAGCTTCCACTGATGCAGCACACAGGGAATTTCACAGGAAGCCCTAATTAAAGGGGTGTTCACTCTAGAATTCCTTATGGTGTTCACTACAGATTCATATAAAGAAGGACGTGTAGATGTATCTAGAGACATTTGTGTTGATCAATTGGTTGTGGGCTCCAGAGCCAGAACCAAGTCACCCTGGTGATACTGTAACATGAGGACAGCTGTCTCTAACTAGTCATTGGATCTGCACTAATTTGAGAATGAATTTCTAAAGTTTACATCTAGGTTTCTCCAATATATGGCTTACTTTATGACATGGTTGCCTGGTGAGAAAGAGTTCATTGTAGCATGACAAAGTAGAAAGGTAGATTGAATTAAAACAAACAAACAAACAAACAATCTGCTTTGTAGGTAACATGAATAGAGGTTGGAGGATGAACTCTAGAAACCGGTAATGAAGGGAATGTCCAGCCAGAGACTCAACACAATAATGGAAATTTCCAGAAATAAGTCACACTCCAGGCAAGCAATTAGCATGGGGTCCACTTCTAGTTGAGAAATAGGTCATTTTATAGAGACTAAGCTGGCAGGCCTCACACAGCAGGCAGGCAGGAAATCCGTCAGCAACCATCTGGGTGCTGCCCTCAGAGGAGGTCCTGGGAGTGAGTGAGTGAGTGTGTGTGTGTGTGTGTGTGTGTGTGTGTGTGTGCATGCACATGGTAGGTAGTAGAAAGAGAAGAGAGCTTCATTTGAAAAAAATAGGAGCCAACTTACTTCTTGCAGATAATATGCAGGCAAAGGACATAAGCAGAAGGAACAAGACCAACATCCAGGAGAGATATGGAGAAGCCTGGTTCTAAGGCTGAACACAAAACCCTAAATAACGTAGTTCCTAGTACGCAACCACACCAAGACTGACCTGCAGTGAAATTACCCTTAAGTAACTGAAATAACAGGATGAAGCAAGATTTGTCAGGAAGATGTATAGACTGTCATACAGATCTGACAAGTCTTGCCCAACACGATCATATGTTCTGGAGTTAAGGTAGCCAGTTACAGAATCCCCACATTGGGCAGAAATGTCCAGTCCGAAGTAACCCTGACACCTTCAGTCACTGACTGGGGACTGGCTGGGGAGAGTATAGCTTCGACTCAAACAATGCAGCAGACCCCAAAGGAACTATAGCTGGAAACCAGTAGCTAGCTGTACTCCTAGCAGCTGAAGGCCAAGTGCTTCTTTGAAGACAGATGTGAGTGGTCCATGGTGCCAATGTAATACAAAATCTGGAATTCAGGAAAGTGGTCTAGGCTGGAGATATCATTTTCCCACCATTTGCATGCAGATAGCCTTTAAGGCCATAACCTAGAATTGGGATCACAAGTAGAGTGAATTTAGATAGAAAAGAGGACCAAGGACTGAGCTTCACACTGCAAAATCAAGAGTTTAGAGAGAAGAAGAACCAACAAAGGAGAGTGATGAAGAGCAACTCCTGAGATGGAAGAAAAACCAAGAAAGTGTGGGGTGTCTTGAAATGCAGGTGAGGAGAATTAATCGAGCGCTGCTCAGGGCCAACTGAGATGAGGAATGAGAAGTGACCAAGGGATGTAGCAACAGGAGATAACCTGGATACGAGTCATTTCAGTGGAGTGTGGGGCAGCAGCATGGCTGCAGTCACTACACAGAAGACAGGAGGCAAGGAATTGGAGAGAAAACATGTATTATAGACAACTCTTTTGAGAAATGTTGCTCTAAGTAGGGGCAGAAAAAATGGTAACAGCTAGGCAAGAAAAAATTTGATTTGGGTGTTGTTTCAAGATAGGAGAGGTAGTAGTATATTTTGGTGCTCGAAAGGTGGGGACTCCCCTTTTCTGCAGTAGATAATGATGTGACTTACAAGAAATGCTTGTGGAATCTAAGCAGAGGGTGTTTTGGCACCTAGCATTGTGATTAAACCTCTCGAGGAAAGCTCGGGAGTTGTGTCACCTGTATTTAATAAGGCTGCTGCTGCCTGCCTTTGAAAGCCAGGCCTAGAGTAATTACCCAGCCTAATATTTTCAAGCCTGCTTCTACATCTTTTGCATACAGCAGTTGATCTCTTGGCTTAACCATTCTGAGAAGGACATTTGGAACCAACACTCACTGGACTCCTCCCCATGTTGTACATTTCCATTCAGACCTAAGTGACGCCACATACTAATTTAATCACCACTTGGCACTGTGAGTCTCTGACAAAACAGAAGGCAGGAGGAGGATTACATCTGGTTGTGTGGAAAATGAAAGAAAAAAATCCCTTGATTAAAATTCAGCACCTTTCACCTTCTGCTGAGCCACTAAATACCGTTAGGTTTCAGCCTGTTATGGAAATACAGCCCCCTTCAAAGTCATTTTGATGGGATGTTAGGCAGAATATTATCCATCCAAGAAGCAGAGCATGGGATGTCAAGAAGAATAAAACAGAAACAGTGGGAAGAATTCAGAGAGCTCCATGAGACCGATGGAGATGACCACGGATGCTGCTCAGGGTCCCTGTGCTGTCATTAGCAAAAGGCACTATCCCAGCCTCAGAGGACATGCTCACTCATTACCAATGTACAAAAATGGAATATGCCTAGGGGTTCAAGAGCAATGAATCAGCAGTCCATCTTCCCAATTGTCTGTCTCAATTGTTTCCAGTTCCAGAAGCACCTGGACTTCCAGATCCAGTTCCAGTTCCAGCTGGCAGCTGCTGAAGAGGCTGGGGCCTGCTCAGAGCCAAAGGAAGGAGGAAAACCAGGATGACAGCCCTTCCTCTCCTCCAAGTCTTGTCCTCTCTGCTCCTCCCAATTCCTAAAGCTGGAGAAGCAGGGATTATGCCCAGTTCCCTCCTCTTTCTCACCCCACTCCCTCAATCCAATCATCCCCATACTTTTCACTTCCTGATTTATGAATGACAAATATCTAACACTTGAAAATATTACTGTCACTTGCACACACATACTGCAGACATTAGCAATCAACAGCCATCTTCTCCACTGAACTTTGGAAATCTCCTTGTTCCAGAGTGTCTGGCATCTGTCTCCAATCCTTCATCGTCTTTCTATGGTTACTGTGGCTATTCCAGTACAGGCCCACCTTGGCGCTCACCTTCCTGCTTCTCTACCTTGTCTCCCTCAAGCACTACCTTATCCCCACAAGAGAATTCCATCTAAAAAGTAGATGTCACCATGCCACCTCCCTGTTGGATATCCTTCCATCCTGCCATCTAGTAGCATCAAGTTCCAGAACCTGGGCACAGCCTGCAAAGACTCCCAGGCACTAACAAGATAATAATACATATGGTGGGCAAAGAAGGAGCTTCCACTAAATACCATTAGGTTTCAGCCTATTATGGAAATATTCAGTTTCTTCTTAAGATTAGACTAATAAGATTGCCTACTTTATAGAGTTCTTGTAAGCGTTAATCTTCTGTTGTTATCACTATTAATTTTTGGACATTGGTTAACCCACAAAGCCTGCCCCTCTTGCTCCTGCAGCAAGTTGCCCATCATCTCTGCCCTGATGCACTGCTTCTCAACGCCACGCCTTTGCTGGGACCTGAACCACTCATGCTGCACCGCCATCCCCCTTCTCCACCTACGCTGCCCTGGCTAATGCTTCCTAATCTCTAATACACAATGTGAGGTCACCTCCTCTGAGATGCCCTCCCTGGCCCTCAGATTCCCACTTGAGCATAAATTTCTATTACCATGCCCACCATGTGTACTATTATCTTGTTAGTGTCTGTCTCTCCCTTAATCTCTGGTGTCCCAGAGGTCAGGAACTAACTCTTTATCTTTATATTAATAGTTCCAGTTTCTAAATAAGTTTCCAGCACATCATAGAAAATTAGTAATGATAACAGAAGATTAATGCTTACAACAACTCTATAGAATGGGCAATCTTATTAGCCTAATTTTAAAGAAAAAGAAACTGAGTCCTTGAGAAATTAATAATTTGCTCAAGGGTCAAGCCAGTGATCAGGCCTGCAATAGTCTGATACCAGAAAATAAGTTATTACACTCTACAAAATAATTATATTAGGATCCGCTTGGAACTGCAATGGACTATCGAGGCACCCAGTGGAAGCTCCTTCTATGCCCTTCATGAACGCTTTGGGTGGGTAACACCTTATCTATCACAAGAGAGAAGATTTAGAGCACCAGGGGGCTTTCCATAACACCTTTCTACCTTAAGACTCTCTACAGCCCGCCATTGTGTTTAGGTCATAGTCATATAGAAACAACACCCTTTGCTTTTCCCCTTCTTCGGTGTTGGATTTAGGTACCCAACTGTTACTTAACTTGATGCAGGATGTTGGACAGAACACATCTGAATTTTGATAGTAACCTTGGCACCCAATGTCTACCGGCCTTGGAAACATCAGGTAACTTTGGCCATGATTCAAGGAAGATATTTTAGATTCCAAGACCCCAAGAACTCACACAAAGAAGATACAGTCACAAAACGATAACTACAAAATTCTGCACCACTCACTTCTCTTGTCTCTTTTTCTGAAAGCTCCGTTTGACATATAATGAGGGTTGCTATGAGGAGAGGAACTAAACTGGGAGGGAGTTGAACACAGTAAAAATATAGAAAAGCCCATATAAACTTCAGAAAATGTGCTCATCACAGCTGGCCTTGAAATAGATGCTGTATTATCTGTTACCAGATAGATCAAGACTATTTTACAAGATACATTCATAAATGAGAGAAAATGTCCTATGGCCTGGAATCTAGCACAGTGCAGGGCACATAGAGGGTGCTCCCAAACTATTTGCTGAATGAATGAAGAGTAGAATGACCAGGTGAGTAGTTATGCTGTTTATTGTTAACATTTATTAATATGGATGATTAACATCTATTGAACTACAAATAGAAACTAGAGAAAGAACCCAAAAGAATTTCCTACTAATGGGGGGATATTAAACTGCTGGACTGGCTCTCCCTAGTAGTCAGAGTGAATTGTTGAATTGTTACTAATACATCAAAGGGATGGGGTAGGCTCATCTGCTAAGCTGCTGGTCAACTGTGCACATAGTTTAACTCATTCTAAATCCAGCATTCAGCTTGCTAAACTCATTTTAGTTAAAAATCCCACTAATAGTTGTAAAAGTGCCCAAGTTCTCACAAAGTTTGGAAATCACTTCTGCTCCTTATTATCTCAGTAAGTAGAGCCAAATTAGGAGTTTCTAGCCTCTCATTTTATTCTGTATTCATGCACATTTCAAAGTCAAATCCCTCTCTAAAATTTTCATACTGTGAATAAAATAAGAAAATACCTCTATTGCAATAAATATGCATTAAGAAAAAAGATTAAAAGAGTTCAGGAATAGCTTAAAACAGAATAATACAGTGCACTTTGAAACGTCAGAAAACAAATCTTGATGAGTTGACAGTTAAATGCATTAGAGGAAATCATCTTCTCCTAGCAGTTTTGGACCTTGAAACTCTGCATAAGTGCAAAAATCATTGAATCTCCAGCTGCTAACTTAGCTCCCATTTGGTCTGTCAATGCAACAATTCAGAGAAGCTCTGCCCGTGGTCTCACTGGAAATCTTGATTCATATTTAAACAAGTTCCAATGTGGAGTTGGTGCACAGGATGTATCTTTATCAAGTCAAGCTTTTCATTATGTGTTTTTGCAACAAATGGGCCCATTTTAACACAGGATGTGCACAGCAGTCCATCACACAGAGTACATCTGTCATTCACCAGGCACCACCCAATAAAAGTGCTTAACATGCTCTGCTTCTCAGTTAAAGCAGAAATCACAGTTGTTTGGGGAGAATGGTTTGTCAGCTAATTTCTGTCAACCCAACAGCCTTAGCCATGAGAGCTGGAATTAAAGTGCACAAAAGCCTCATAAAAGGACAATGGTTCTATCAACTAATAAAGTTGGATTTTTGGCATGTTAAAGACAATAGATTATACAAAGGAAAGAAAAAAAAAGCTTTACAGAAGGGCTAACTCTTCCCTTCCGGCTACATCCTCTGGACCATGGGATTCTCAGGAGCTACAACACAGATAAAAGAAAAGCTTGATTTGCCCCACAGACTAACAAAGAAATGAAACTTTTTTTTTTAAAAAAAGAAAGCTTTATTGAAGTATAATTAAAGTACAAGAAACTTCACATTTTAAAGTGTAAAATTTGATGGTTGTGGTATGTGTATACGCATGTGAAAACACTACCATAATCAAGAAAATGAAGAGATCTGTTAGGTCTAATCATTTTCTTGTTCCCTTTGTCATCCTTTCTACCTCAGCCTGCCCCACCCAACCCTTCACCCTCCCTCTCAACCCTCTTACCTGCCCCCTTCACAAAAAACCACCAAACTGTTTTCTAAAGTGGCTGCTTCCATTGAAAATTGTAACCAGCCCTGCATGAAAGTTCTAGTTACTCCACATTCTCACCAACACTTCGTGTCGTCATATTTCATTTTAGCTATTCTATTTGTTGTGTAATATTATCTCATTGTATATTGTATATTTAATTTGCATTTTCTAAGGACTAATAATGTTGAGCATCTTTTCATGTGTTTACTTGCCATTCATATATCTTCTTTACCTGCCATTCATATATCTACTCAAATATTTGGTCCACTTTTTTATTGAGTTTTTTTCATATTGAATTTTGAAAGTTCTTTAGATATTCTGAATTCAAGTCCTTTATCAGATATATTCTTTACAAATATTTTTCCTAGCCTGTGACTTGCTTTTTTTCATCCTCTTAACCATGTCATTTGAAAAGCAAAATTTTTAAATTTTGATGAAGTCCAATGTATCATTTTTTTTCTTTTATGGATCATGCATTTGTGTTTTTCTAAAGAAATGTTTGTCTAACTCAAAATGCTAAAATTTTTACCTGTTTTCTTTTATAAGTGTTATAGTTTAGGTATTATACATAAGACTATAATTCATTTCGAGATATTTTATATTTTTCCATATTATTATGAATAGAAATCCTTTTTAATTTCAATTTACTTTTGTTTGTTGCTAGTGTATAGAATTGCAACCATATTCTGCATATTAATCCTGTTGCTGAAATCTTGCTAAAATTACTACTTTTAGCAGCTTTTTTGGAGACTCCATTGGATGTTTTACATAGAAAATTATATATGTGAATAAAGCTATATTTCTTCTTTTCTAATATAAATGCTTTTTTTTTTTTTTTGCCCTATTGCTGTGGCAAGAGCTGCCAGTAAATTGTTGAATAAAAATGTTGAGAGCTAACATCTTTGTCTTGTTCTTGAACTTAGGGGGAAAGGACTCAGTCTTTTATCTTCAGTATGATTGTTAGTTGGAAGTTTATAGTAGATTCTCTTTCTTGGGTTTAGGAAGTTCCCTTCTTTTCCTAGTTTGTTGAGAGTTTTCACCAGGAATTGATGGTGAAATTTTGTCAAAATGCTTTATCTGTATTTAATTAGATGATCATACAGTTTTTAAATTCATTTTACTAATACAATGAATGACATCAATTGATATTTTCCAATGTTAAAACAACCCTACATTCCTGAAATAAACCCCACTTTGTCTTGTGTATTATTCTTATGTATTATTGGGTTCAACTTGACAACATTTTGTTTACAATTCTTCCATACATTTCCATAAGATACACTAGTATTCTGTTTTCTTTTCTGGTAGTATCTTTATCTGATTTTGGTATCTGTGCCTAAAAAATTTCATTTAAAAATATTCCCTCCTTTCCTCTTTTTCAATTTTCTTTTAGACTTTTATAAAAAAATTATTTTCAAAAATGCTTAGTAAAATTTACTAGTAAAGCCATCTGAGTTTTTTTTTCTGAGAATGTTTTAAACTACAAATTACATTTCTTTAGTATATGTAAAGCCATTCTTGTGTGGTCATTGTTAATTTGTCACTTTCAAAAAAGTTGACAACTAAGAATCTAAGTTGTCAAAAATATTTTCATTAAATTGTTCATAATATTGTCTTCAACCCAGGTCACTGGCACCCAACCCTGTGAGTTTTTCTCTAGGTATACTGTATCTGCTATTTCTATACGGGGGTTAGGCATCTAAACGAAAATTGCTATAAAATGGCAATTTAACCCAGCAACTAGGTTACGAGCATGAGAACACTTACTTAACACCAAGAAGTATGTAGGTGAGAGCCTTTGTTACCTGTTTGCATAAAAATCACAAATTGTGACTTGCTAAACATATGATGTCATTTATTTGGACTTATATTAAACTATATATATATATATATATATATATGTATATATAAAATACTGAATTAAACTTACTTGAACAATTCTGTATTAGCTGCCCAATGTCTGTGGAGACTGAAAGAAAGCCATCAGGGCAGGATATAAAAATAAATATATATTTAATATTACCTAACACTTAGTACTGCCAGATAAATTTGTTGTTTTTGAAATATAACTGGAAAGTTACAATATGCACATGGAGACATATAGAATGTACATTTTTTCCAGTTCCTTCTAGTACAATGTTTATTATTGCAGTTCTGATACTGTAAATGATGAGAGGAGGTCCTATCATGCCATTGTCCCAATCAGCTTCTTGGAATTAATAATACCATGAATATGCTCATACTTTGAAAAGAAAAGCACTTTGAGCAGTCAGAGCTCCAGCATTTGAACATTTTGTTACATGTAGATACATCCAACTTTACTGCTTTTCATGAGGTTCTATGAAGGAATAGGAAAAAAGAATTCATTTTTGAAAAATGGCTCTAGAGTGACTCTCTGTTAGAGAAATTCTATTTTCCTATAGACTTATGTGACCAACTCAGCGATGCATTCCCCAGAAAGAAGCCCCCAAGTGTACATATTAGAAAACATTTCAGGGAGGTGGCCAAAGGAGTGGCCAGATCCCTCCTACAGGATCACAGGCTAACAACTGCCTCTAAGGTCTTCAAAGCATCTGGTTTCAGTAGAAATTCACCAATCTGGATTTTCCATCCCTAGGTTAGGCTTCCTGCTTCTCCGCCACTCCATCTGAGGCCCTAAGAGTTGCAGCCAAACCTGGTGAGCCATGACTCCAGACTCCTGGCTCCCAACACTCATGCCACTGCAGCTCAGTCCAGGGTTTAGAATCTGCTGCTTACCAAGCTTGTCCTGCTCTGGGAGCTTCTAAAGGAGGGGCTCTGGCTCCAGAAAAGAAGAAGGAACTGACAAGGAGTATAATGGAGCACCCACTGCATAGCTGCACTGGCTAAGAACATTCATATTCATTATGTCTTCTTATTTTCAAGGCACTGTGAGGTAAATATTATCCCAGTGTTCTGGAAAGAAGTCTAACCCTTAGATAAGCTAGTATGGCAAGTGTGGATCAAGTTCATCTGCCTTTAAAGACCATGCTTTTTTCTATGCCCTCCTATGGTTATCTGTATATCATCAGCATCCAAAATACTCCATAATCCCCATAGAATTCCAGTTCTTCATCATCAGTGAATGTTGGCAAATCCTGTCTCCCATCTCAGAAACTAAATCTGATAAACTTGCTGGATGGAATCTTGGATACTTCAAGGATTTTTAGAGAAGAAATTTAGAAAGAAAAATAAACTTCATATAAATCAGAGCCCTTAAAACTATTCTCGTATGTCCATTAGGGAATACAGAAATTATATATTTCAAAACATAATTTGATTCTATCTCAAATGCTTGAGTTAAAGGTGGGATTAATTCAGATATTTGGACTACATAACCCCTCATTTGACAATGGAAGATTGGGGTGAAAGGTAACCATGTCATATTTTATTGCAGTGTTGCTTCTCGCTTTAATCCCTCTCACTATTGCTAGTGCTGGCTGCCCTGACCTGGACATCAGAGAAACACCCTCCAGGGGCTGAGTACATGAGCAAATCCAAGTTAATCAGGATTTCTTTTTTTAGTTTATTTGTTATATTTGCCTGGCAAAAGATATTCTGTACCCAGTATAAGCTCTAAAAGCAAGATCCCTTTCAAATAAAAAAATGGAATGACTTATGATAGAAGAGGCAATGCAAGTAATAATAATAGTAATAATTTTATTATGATCCAAAATAAAATTTTTAAAAGGCAAAGAAATAAAAAAAAAAAAAAGCCAGTCTACGAAGTTGCACCCATTCAGAGAAGAATGTCTACCTTCTGGCCATTTCAAAATGGTACCAGACCCTGTTATAGCCACTCAAGCCCTGCCCTGCCTCATCCGATGCATTAGGAATTCTGCAAATGAGTGTTCATGGTTCACAGGGGGTTCCATCATAGAAAACTAGTTGTTGATCTTTGGATGCCTGCAGGCCTGCAATCTGTGCTACAAGTTTATCCCTCCTAGGGAAAAATTAAAGAAAAAAAAACAGAAAAGGGGAAAAAAGGAAGGAAGGAGGAGACAAGAGGATGGAACCAATACAAGCATCTGTAACAAGCTAATTGGACCCTTGGGGGCCACCCAGCAGGCACAAAATTAAAACAAACAGAGCTACGCATTGTGCACTTTCAGGACCGTAGCCACCCTGGGTCTATCAACTTTTCCCCGGACTCCTCCCTTGACCGTCATTTTTAAAGGACCTAATTATGGGTCTTTCTGAAGGATCACAAGCCAGTTTTCATCTAAAAAGAATAAGGTGTTTTGCCTCCAAACCAGAGACACTGTTAGAAGTTGGTAATTAGTATGACTTGTTAATGGAGTTTGGCTGTGATTAGGCGGTGATTGAGTGTGAGTTTGGTGCCTGTCAGTGGGTAAGCCTGGGAGGGTGAGAGATGTTTAATGAGACACCTGTTGTTGGGGCCCCACTGGGGTTTGTTGCAGCTGATTGGCACTTGGATGCAGCACGCTCCATGATGGGGGCTGGGCTGAGCGTGGCAGGTGGTTGGCACCACAGCAGAGCCTGCCGATCCCTCTAAGTCAGGGCTGGCTGTGTTTCCTGAGCTGTTTCTCCACGGCTGCCGTTCCATGTCCCCACGTGATCCAGGCTGACTATTGCTATACTCCAACTCCCAGCGGGCACTGCAACCACCATGCAGGAAAAGATCCCAGGTATCCATGACCCCCGCTCCCCACCAAATACCAGGCAGGGCACTGGGCACTCCTCCCCTCATCCAGCCTTTCCTGTCCCCAGACTGTCGATGAGGAAGCTGAGGCAGTAGACATTAAATAGTTTAACACAGCAAGTTCACACAGCCACCTCCAGGATCAGAGGTACTGTACTTAGAAACAGCCCCTCTCATGCCTTAAAAGGATCCTTGGGAAACATGTCAAAATGCATGTTTTGGTGAGTAGTTCAGGTGTGGGGCCTGAGAGATCCTAAGAGTTTCCGGGGGCACCCATGCTGCTGGTGCAGGGACTAGACCTTGAATGCAAGTCTATAGGAAACCTTCCTGTATTTGAGATAATCAGAACTTACAAAAGATACATGGTTATTGTGCATTTCAACTTTATGATGAAAACCATATGATGCTTTTCAAGGAAGAGAGAGAAGGGAAATGCATAATACCTTGCCTAAAAACAGAGCCGGATGCTAAAGATGTTCTGGAACTCTCTACCTAAGCCCATGGTGGAGGGGGGCTGGAGGACACAGCACAAAAATGTGAGGCAAACCTGAGAAGTTAGAGGAGAACCACACTCCACACTCAATGCACTGGCAGAACATTTCCAGGAGGGAAGAAGGAGTCTCGTCTCAAGGACTTTGTTCTGTCAACGATGCTGAAGAGCTGGCTGCAACTATCCACCTTCACAGCTGACCCTGTTCCCGCCTGCTGGTGCCCTGTCCACACCCACTTGACAAACCACACCCTTTCCTGGTCACTAACCAGGGCCTGAGGAGCAAACAGCTCTTTGTTCTTTCCCGACATTGTTGCAGGCTGAACACTGAATCAAAACACATGCTGGAAGTCACAAAGGTGCTGCAGCACCTGGACCAGGTTAGGTTCAGGTCAGATCCAGATGGAAGAGCCAGACCTCCACCCTGACCTTCACAGAGATCCCGCTTACAGTTCCTGCCACATTGTCTCCAACATTCAATGAAGTTTTTCTGAGACTGAAAAAAAGACTGACAGCCTCCAGCAAAGGTTTAGACTAATTTGGATAAAGCTTAGAGAGCACAAAAATACGTAAAGAACAGAGCAATTTCGTGTGCTTTCAGGTCCCAAAACGAATATTAAAAACAGATAAAATTTACTTGGGTAATTCACAAAAAATATTTTTTAAAAATGCTTTGTCTTTAATCCCATCAATTATGGAGGGTAAAAATAGGACTTCGTTCTAGTTATCCAGATAACCATCTCATTTCTTGGCTTCACTTGACTGAGGAAGACCTGGCCTGAAGAAAATATGGGTCATTCAGTACATTTTCCTTGTATTAAACGATTAGGGTGTTCATTTATTTTTCTAAAGAAATAACATAGTTAACTGATGTGGACAATTTTACTTTAAATGTGATCAAAAAATAATTATTACATTAAATTGCAAAAAATAATTATTATATTAAATTTGATCTAGTGAAATTCAAGATTCAAAAAGTAAGTTATTTCAGTATTTTTGTATGGATTTGCTTTCTTTACATTTTTAACCATGACATCAGAGTTTAAGGTGTTTTTTTGTGTTATCTGCACCACATTTTCCAATAGAAATGTAGGCTTTAGACTTCTAGAAGGATATGGAAGTTTCAGATCAGTCTCTCAATAGGGATTCAGTATTTTTTTTGGTGAATATGGGCAGAAGGGGCAGTCACGTGCCAGAAACTTACAGGAGATGCAGAGATGGCTTATGGAAATTTTTTTTTAACTGTTAAAATTTTCAAGTCCCAAAAGGTGCTACATCTCAAGGATCCATATGAAAAAAAGGGAAGTGCAAGATGCTTTATGGCAGAGCGAATAAACAGCAGATCTGAAGACAGATGGATTTAAGGGAGAGCCTGGTTCTGCCAAGTCCTGGCTGTGTAGCCTTGGACCGGTGGTGTACCTTCTTTGGGCCTCAGTTTCTTCATTCATACGTTGGAAGCAATAATATATCTTGAGATGTTGTTATGATAGTTGGACATAAGGTATGGAAAGTTCCTGGGGTATGGCAGACACTCGATGGAAACTGATGTGGGTTTCTCTGGCTCGCTGTCTAACCAGGATCATTTCCCACGTGGCACAACCCCACCAGCACTACACTGCTAAACTTGCCCCGTCAGCAGGCAGCTTGGGGTGTATCTATTTAGCCATTTCATTCAACATAGGTGAACCAAAACAAAGCCCATCCAGGAGCTATCTTCTCACCTGGACCATTGCCATAGCTTTCTAACCAGTCTCCTTGTGCAACTCCCACTCCCCTACCTTCGCCACTGTCTATCGTCTACATAGAAATCAAACTGATCCTTTTAGTTTATTTCTTTTTATTATTTTTTATTTTATTTTATTCTTTTTTTTGGAGATGGAGTCTTGACCCCAAGAGGTCAAGGCTTCAGTGAGCTATAATCATGCCATTGCACTCCAGTCTGGAAAGCTTGACCTCTTGGGCTTAAGTAATCCATCTTAGCCTCCTGAGGAGCTGGGATTACAGGTGTGTGCCACTACACCCAGTTAATTTTTTTTTTAATAGAGATGGGGTCTTGCCATGTTCCCCAGGCTGGTCTTGAACTCCTGGGCTCAAGCCATCCTCCTGCCTTGGCCTCCCAAAGTGCTGGGATTACACTGCACCTGGCCAAAGTGATCCTTTCAAAATATAAATCAGACCTCGACTTATGTCACACAGAGTGACAAAGTCCTTTCACTTGCCCAAGGCAAGTGAAGAGTGGCTGCCTGGTCCAGCCACTTGTTGCCCCTCTGACCTCTCATCCTGGACCTCACCTGCTGGCCCCCTCTGACCAGCCACTCTGAGTGCCACATGGGTCCTGAGCATGACACATTCATTCCTCACCTGCGTTGCCCTTACTGTTGCCCTGCTTAGAATGCTCTTGTTCCAGCACTCTGGCAAACTCACCCCCTTATCCCAACAGGTCTCTGCTCACATTACAGAGCTGGGTGCAGGCTCTCCTACATACATTTGCAATTCACCCAGGCCTCCCCATAGCATGCATCAACTCTAATGAGTAATATTTGGTTATCCCTAAACTTTAATATCTTGCTCCCTCTGATAAGGGTAAAGACTTTGTTTTGTTCTTTGCTGAATCCCCAGCGACTAAAACTATTACCAGGCACACCATTTTTAAAAACCTGATGAATACATGAATAAATAAAGGAATAAATGAATGAAGAATGAGTATCTGGGCGGGGCTCAGTGGCTCACGCCTGTAATCCCAGCACTTAGGGAGGCCGAGGCTAGCCAATCACCTGAGGTCAAGAGTTTGAGACCAGACTGGTCAACGTGGTGAAACCTCATCCCTACTAAAAAAAAAAAAAAAAAAAAAAAATAGCCAGGCGTGGTGGTGTATGCCTGTAATCCCAGCTACTCAGGGGGCTAAGGCAGGAGAATTGCTTGAACCTGGAAAGCGGAGGTTGCAGTGAGCAGAGATCACACCACTGCACTCCAGCCTCGGCAACAGAATGAGACTCCGTCTCAAAAAAAGAAAAAAGAAAAGAAGAATGAGTTTCTGACAAATAGGGGGTCCAACATGACTTTGTGGAATGGCTGAACAGAATTGGTTCTTTTAATAAGGCTTTTCTCTAAAATAAGCAGCAGCCCCCTAAAGGGCAGGAAACTGATCACATGACTACAGCATGTTCCAGCTGCAGGAACAGGAGTCAAAAAGACTCAGCCTGATGAACATAAAATCAAAGCCTAGAAGAGAAAACTAATGAGGGGCAAGAAGAACTTGAATCCAGGCCCAAGTCTTCAGGCCTTAGCTTGACTGTTGCCTTGTCCTTGCTGCCCCTTCTGGTGGACCTGATGCACCCTAAACACTCCTGGGCCATGAGCTAAGGCTCAAAGCATATTGGTCACATGAGTGTCTGAAGACGGCCTCTGTGAGTCCCTGCAGATTTCCTTACACATTTCACAAGGAAGGGCAATGCCTTCTTTGTGCCTCAGACCAGAAGAGTGAAGGTTGACAGCCTTGGAGTAATTCCCAGGAAAGCTGCCTGGGAGAAAATGCCACCATGGGCTTTCTTCCTGATGTTGGTTTGGTAGGCAATGGCCCCAAGATCCTCCTGAGGCCTCTAGCCAGGAGGGATGTGTGGGATGCCTCTGCCAGTGTTTGCCCCATGCAAGTTCCATGCAGAAAAGATTCATGGGTCCCAAGGAGACAGAACTGAGAGCACCCAGGCTAGAGAGCAGAGATGCAGAGAACCCAGCCCACGTGTAGAGAAAGCCCCCTCCCTGTCCTATGGTAAGGAGCCCTCATCCCCCACCAATGCAGGGTGGAAGATGGAGATGGAGATGTTTTTTTTTTTTTTTTTTTTTTTTTTTGAGACGGAGTCTCGCTCTGTCGCCCAGGCTGGACTGCGGACTGCAGTGGCGCAATCTCGGCTCACTGCAAGCTCCGCTTCCCGGGTTCACGCCATTCTCCTGCCTCAGCCTCCCGAGTAGCTGGGACTACAGGCGCCCGCCACCGCGCCCGGCTAATTTTTTGTATTTTTAGTAGAGACGGGGTTTCACCTTGTTAGCCAGGATGGTCTCGATCTCCTGACCTCATGATCCACCCGCCTCGGCCTCCCAAAGTGCTGGGATTACAGGCGTGAGCCACCGCGCCCGGCCGGAGATGTTTTTTGAGAACCCACCAACCTCAATCACAGACTGAGCTCTGAGGCATGGCAGTCAGAGGCTGAAAACATCCACAGAGAGTCACCAGAGTCAGGATACAGAAAGGAAAGATCTCGCCACAGGTGTGTCGGGTTAAGGAGAGGGTCAGGGGAAGGCAGGCAATGCAAGGAGATGAGTCATGCGGATGAGCCCCAACCAGAAACCATGGCCTGGCAGCCTTGACCAGGAAAGCCTGTCAGAACGCCATCGTGCTTCACTGAATATTCTCTGCCTGGGATTATATTCAAATTAACCTTATTATAGTAAACTGCATTTCTAGTGCACATTTCAGAGTTTGAGTTTAATCATTCACAAATAATCTCTTTTTCTACCTTAAATTTGAAGTTAAAAAACCCTTCGAGGGATGTGAAGGACCTCTTCAAGAAGAACTACAAACCACTGCTCAAGAAAATAAGAGGACACAAATGGAAAAACTTTCCATGCTCACGAATACGAAGAATCAATATTGTGAAAATGGCCATATGGCCCAAAGTAATTTACAGATTCAATGCTATTCCCATCAAGCTACCAGTGACTTTCGTTGCAGAATTAGAAAAAAAACTACTTTAAATTTCATATGGAACCAAAAAAGAGCCCCCATCGCCAAGACAATCCTAAGCAAAAAGAACAAAGCTGAAGGCATCACGCTACCTGACTTCAAACTATACCACAAGGCTACAGTAACCAAAGCAGCATGGTACTGGTACCAAAACAGATATGTAGACCAATGGAACAGAACAGACACCTCAGGAATAACACCATGTATCTACAACCATCTGATCTTTGACAAACCTGACAAAAACAAGCAATGGGGAAAGGATTACCTATTTAATAAATGGTGCTGGGGAAACTGGCTAGCCATACACAGAAAACAGAAACTGGACCCTTTCCTTACATCTTATACAAAAATTAATTCAAGATGGATTAAAGACTTAAATATAAAACCCAAAACCATAAAAACCCTAGAAGAAAAAGCCCTTCAAGCTACCCAGCATTTTCAAGAGCTATATGGGATTGATGGATATTTACTGTCTGTATTATAATCAAATCCCAGTGCATTGCCAGGAATTGGTAGAACTAAGAACTTTCAGGATGTAGCCTTAAGTAGGCGTATGCCTGCCAAGGTGCATACACATTGCATTAAAGTACTGTGCAATGTGCCAGACATTGTATATGTTATCTAATTTAATCCAGAATGGTAGACATGATTCTCTCCATTTTTATAGATAAGGAAAGTTGAAGAAAATAGGTGATTATATTAGTCAGCTAGTGCTGTCATAACAAAATACCACAAACTGGATGGGGCCTAACCAACACAACTTTATTTCTCACAGTTCTGGAGGCTGGAAGTTCAAGGTCAAGGTATCAGCAAGGCTGGTTTCTTCCTGAGGCTTCTCTCCTTGGCCTGCAAATGCTAACCTTCTGGCTGGGTCCTCACATGGTGCACACATCCCTGGTATCTCTGTGTGTCCAAACTGCCTCTTCGTACAAGGACACCAGTCAGATTGGATTAGGGTCCACCTTAGCCTCATTTTAACTTAATCACCTCTTTAAAGGCCTTATTCCAAATACAGGCATATTCTAAAGTACTGAGGATTGGACAGCAAAATGTGAATTTGGGTGAAGGTGGCATAATTCAGTGCATCAGGGGCCATACACTCTGTTTTGCCTGGGACACTTGATCTAAGCTCATTGTCCCAATGTAATATGACTAAATAGCATATTCTTTCAACCTTAAAATTGTCCCATTTGAAAGACCAATTCTACACTCACTCTACTATGACAGCAGCAGGATTAGCAAAACATCTCAAGAACAAAGAGATGGAGTTCAACTCTGTTCTACACGCCAAATCTGCCTGCCCCCTCCTGCCCCTTAAAAACCTCCTTTGTAAAAATATATGCCCCTTCCCCCTACCCCAGGGGACTGCTTACCTGGCGTTTTACAGGACATAGGTAAAGAAAGCCAGAAAGGCACAGTGACTTGGGAGGCAACAGGTGGTGTACAGGACCTGCCACAGCCCCGAACTGCCTCTTGCCAATTTCAAAATGAAGAGATGCTGTTTGAATGAACAGGAGCAAATGGGTCTTCTCCTTGTCCTCACTCCTCACTTTCGGCTTCACTGCTCCAAAATTAAAAACAAAAGCAAAAGCCTGTATCCAGGAGGACGCCATGAGAGTGCCTGACCGATCTTGGTGGACGTTCCCGCCAGAGCTCTGTGCCAGGCTGCCGGTGCTGTTTATTCTCCCTTGGCAGGCCCGCAGCATATGGTGCCTCCCTCACCTCTTCGGCGTCTTCCACGTCACATGCAGTGAGAGACTCCACTCTCCTGGGGGGTGTGTCGGGCCCCTCACTGGGCCTGTTGCTGTATCATCTGACAGATTACAGGCCGCATATTGCTGGGCTCTGCCTCTGTTGGGAGCCAGCTTAGTCATTTAACAGTTCATTCAGAGAGGGAACCAGGGTGCCCTGTGACTGCTGACGTGATGGATTTTGTCTGGGGAGGAAAGGAGGCACAGCCCTGCAAAAGTCTACAAATCCCATGGGTGGGCCAAACTTTGATGACTTGACCTAGTCGGCCCCAATTTATCATAATAAAATGAAAATAATATAATAGCTTCCACACAGTGAGTGCTTACCATGTGCTAGGCTTTGTGCTAAGATCTTTAAAGCCATATTTTAATCAAACCATGCAAACCTGTGAGGCTTGACTCACAGGCAGCAAGCGGCAAATTTGAACCCAGTTACGCCTCTCCCTCTGCAGCACTTGCTATCATGCTACCTCTTCCAGCATGTCTTCCAACCGTTATTAGGGTAAGCTTTCTAAAACGTGTATTTTCTAAAATGCACCAAAACTAATTAATACTAATATGACTTTTGTATTTAAAAAAAATCACTTATTCATATCTACAGTAAAGCATTCCAGAGTGCTAGTGGTTCCCAAAGAATTCTTCTTGGCGGGGTGCGGTGGCTTATGCCTGTAATCCCCGGACTTTGAGAGGCCGAGGAGGATTTCTTGAGTCCAGGAGTTCAAGACCAGCCTGGGCAATACAGCAAGATCCTGTCTCTATTTTTTTTTAAATAAAATAATTCTTCTTTCACAAAATATTAATAAATGTCCTGCCTTGGCGAGTCTTCCAACAAAAGTGGCTTTGTGGCCATCTGTGCTGGGAATACAGGGTTGTATTGGAAATGTTCTTTACTGCAGGACTTCTCTGAGCCTTTAATGTGTTTGCATTAATTGTGAAACTCCACAAGAACACAGTATGCAGTGTTTCCCAGACTGAGTCCCACACAGAATGCTTTCTCTTTCTAAGAACCTCTAGAGGCCTAGTCACCTGGACAGCACCCGAAACGCTGGCCTCTCATAACCTCGAGCTTCCATCTTAATTTCCAGGCCCTGCCTGGTCAAGTTTCCCCCTTGTTATTCAGCAGGAACATTTTCTCTTGAAACGGACGGTTGGAATCCTGGCCTAAACTCAGGTTCTCCCTCCTCATCAATGTCTCTCTCCACCTCTCCTACTAGAAGCCCTACCTCCAAGTGAAAGGTGACAACGTGCTAGCAGCCCTGGCTCGCTCTCGGCGGCGCCTCCCCGTCCTCTGCGTCCGCTCTGGCCGCGCTGGAGGAGCCCTTCAGCCCGCGGCTGCGCTGTGGGGGCCTCTCTCCGGGGCTGGCCGAGGCCAGAGCCGGCTCCCTCTGCTGGAGGGGAGGTGTGGAGGGAGAGGCGCGGCCGGGAGCCGCGGCTGCGCGCGGTGTTCGGGAGCCGGCGCGGGTTCCGGGTGGGCGCGGGCTCGGGGAGCCCCGCACTCCGCGCGGTTGGCCGGCATCTGCTGGGCTTGATGCGGGGACGAGCTCCCTCTGAGGTGCCGGAGTGCCAGGGCTAGGTGCCACAAAGTCCCTAAGCGAGTGCCATTGAGAACTGAAGCCGGCTGGGCTTCTGGGTCGGGCGGGGACTTGGAGAACTTTTCTGTCTAGCTAAAGGATTGTAAATGCACCAATCAGCACTCTGTGTCTAGCTAAGGTTTGTAAACGCACCAATCAGCACTCTGTGTCCAGCCAAACGTTTGTGAACACAATAATCAGCGCTCTGTGTCTAACTAATGTGGTGGGGCCTTGGAGAACTTTTGGGTGTAGCTAAAGGATTGTCAATGCACCAATCAGCCCTCTGTGTCTAGCTAAAGGTTTGTAAATGCACCAATCAGCGCTCTGTCAAAACGGACCAATCAGCTCTCTGTAAAATGGACCAATCAGTAGGATGTGGGTGGGGCCAGATAAGGAAATAAAAGCAGGCCACCCCCGAGCCAGCTGGGGCAATCTGCTTGGGTGCCCTTCCGCCCTGTGGAAGCTTTGTTCTTTTGCTCTTCATAGTAAGTTTTGGTGCTGCTTGCAACTTGGGTCCGTGCCACCTTTATGAGCTGTAACACTCACTGCAAAGGTCTACAGCTTCATTCCTGAAGCCCGCGAGATTACAAACCCACCAACCCACCAACCCACCAGCAGGAAAGAACAACTCCAGATGGGAGGAACTAACAACTCCAGACGCACCACCTTTATGAACTGTAACACTCACCGTGAAGGTCTGCAGCTTCACTCCTGGAGTCAGCGAGACCACGAACCCACCAGAAGGAAGAAACTGCGGAGACACCATCTTTAAGAACTGTAACCCTCACTGCAAGGGGCCGTGGCTTCATTCTTGAAGTCAGTGAGACCAAGACCCCGAGCATCCTTAACATCCCAGCACCCCCTCTCCTGCTGCAATTCAGTCCAATTAGCCCCTGGCCCAAAATCTAATTGTGTGCAAAGCACAAATTAACACTAAACCGGATCAGTGTTGTTTCTTTTTAATGCTGAAACAGTTCAGGGCTCACTCATCCTACTTCATCAGCTAGATTGCAAGCTCCATGTAGGGATTTTCTCCCTTTTATTTAAACCACCAGGCTGCCCCTTTTAGTGGACCTGATGCGCCCTAAACACTCCTGGGCCATGAGCTAAGACTCAAAGAATATTGGTCACATGAGTGTCTGAAGATGACTTCTGTGAGTGCCTGCAGATTTCCTCATACATCCCGCAAGGAAGAGCAATGCCCCATGTCCATGAACGGGGACCATGACTCCCCACTCTGGCTGCGACCTTCTTTTTTATTCTCACCTTGCTGAAAATAATCAACTCATCTCAGTCTTCCTGAGGCTTTGCAAGTTTTAGCACTGACAGTTCCATGAGCTGGGAACCCGCTCAGTGCCAGGCAAACCATGACGGTGGATCACTCCACCTGCCTGCCCTGCCCATAAATGAATTAAGGTTTTGCATCCTGAATCTTTATCCTCTGGTTGAAATGTTCTTATCCCATGGTTAGCCTTTCAAGGCCAGGTTCAAATGCTCTTCCCCTCACTGGACATTCCCTTATCACATCCTTTACATGCCTCCCTCCTGAAGAGTCTGGCCAAGTCACATGGCCTGGCACCATTACTAATTGCCCACTGACCCATGGTCTAGTTCTCAGTATAACTGCTTCCCTTCTGGATGATTCTTACAGGCAGGGTGTCTGTCATGCACATCGTATGCACATGCTTGCTTCCCCAGCAAACCCAGCACTGTTCCTTGCACCAGCACATCGTCAAAATTGGCAGACGCTTGATCAGCATTTGCTGATTGATTGATTGGTTCTGATCCCTAGAACAGGCCCAATCTAGGGAAGCCCAAAGCCAGGCAGCAGTACAGTGGAGAATCTGCAACTAGCTGCACTCATTCCACTCCAGCTGAAAACTCTCAGTAAATAACACTAAAATCTTCAACTGGCAGAGCACCTAGCTTCTCTGTTCAATGTCTAGGGCTGTCTATAAACCATTAGTGGTGTGTTAGTGTTTTTTCTGCATACAGACCTAAGTCTTTGCTGATTTATGTAGAAAGGAGTCCACAGCAGGGCAGAATGCATCCCAGGAAAAGGAAACGGTTCTCATACAACTATGCTAGGTCATTCAGAATAGTTATCATTATATGCCCTGCTTGGGAAATTGCAGAGACCATATTTTTTAAATGAATATAAAGTCTGAAAGGAATTTTGACAGGTCAGATTTACAAAAATCAAAGTAGGCCACCCTGATTTGCACTGTCAATAAGGTGTTAGGGAAGATACTAGGAGATTAACACCCTTTCATGATGACCTAGCTGTTCCCTTGAAGGTGGTAACACCCAGTCAGGCCCAGGATGAGGAACAAAGAGGGACTGGGGGTGACACTGGAAGCTTTCAAATCTAAGGAGCCACAGATCTCTTACTCATTTTTTTAATGACGTTTATTATTTTTTTAATGTCAGTAGCATTGCTTTCCAATCCATATCAACCACAATAAAGAAAAATTTTCATTGGTTATTTTTCTTCCTGTTGTATTACATTACATTGATTTTCAGGAAGTTACTATATAAAGAATCTCTCTAGATAATGAGAGAATCTCTCTCTTTCTATATATATATAGTGTATACACATAATAGTTATTTCAATTTTTTAATTATTTGTCACTTATATTAAATATATATTTATTTGTTATATATTTATTTAAATGTATATTAGATATAAATTATATACATATATATTTGTATATATAGTTTGTACCTATTGTATATTACTTTGGATACAAATATTTATGTACATATGTGAATTTTAACTGATGGAGATCAATTCCCATCCAAACACTTGTTGTGTCACTACTAAGAAAGTGCATGCCAAATTGGGAAAAGCCACAGTAATCGCCATACCCATGTTGTCCACCTAAAGTCAATGTTTCTCTAGGTCACAGGCAAATTGAACTAGAGTCGAAGCTCTCAGGTGGTGACGAGCTCCCCACCAGCTAGCAAACACGTGAAGAGGAAGACTCTTTTTCCCAGGATCTCGCTGTATTTTCTGGTCACATGGAGGTACAGAGAATCCAATCAACTCTAATGTTGCTTCTACAGTTTGTGTGGAGCTGGAGCCCAGTCTGGGGCATCTACTATTCAAATGTTAAGCAACTCTGCGCACTTCAGAATTCAGTATCATTGTTTCTGCAATTTTAATATCTCTATTATTAAATTCTTTAATTTGAAGCCTCCATGTACCATGTGGTGTTACCTGTAAAATTAGAGTTTCCCCTGCTCACACATCTGTGCTCCCAGGAAGTACCAACTTCACCCCCTTCTTTTCCTACTAAACTGCAGAGGGGCTTATTCAGGCATTCTGAAGACTCGAAGACAGTTCTCTGTGATCTAAAATGACTTTCCTCAATAGTCAATGTGAAGCTTTTTTTTTTTTTAATTTAGTACAGGTAACAAAGAACAGAAAAATTAGAAAGAAAACAAGCCAAAGAGAAAAAGGGACACCAACAGTAAATGCGCAGTGGTCTGTCTTCTGATTCCTAATGTTCTTCCTAGAGTTTTGATTAACAAATGTTTTAAATGAGCACTTACTAAATCAGAGGGCACCTGCATCTTCCCTTAGGCAAAGCTAAGAACTCTTTCTGGATCTCCAAACATGTTTACTTATTTCTATGTTAGTTAATCATTAGTTAGTATGAATAATTCTAAAATGTGAAGTAAATAGAGGCAAATTAATTTTTTTACAGCAGGAGGAAAAGTGTATTAGTCCATTCTTACATTGCTAGAGAGAAATACCTGAGACTGGGTAATTTATAAGAAAAGAGTTTTAACTGGCTCACAGTTCTGTAAGCTGCATAGGAAGCATAGCAGCATCTGCTTCTAGGGAGGCCTCAGAGAGCTTCCACTCATGGCAGAAGGCAGAGCAGGAGCAGGCATGTTCACATGGCTGGAGCAGGAGGAAGACAGAGAGACGATGGAAGGTGCTACCCTCTTTTAAACGACCAGCTCTCGTGAGAACTCTGTCACTAGAACAACACCAACAGGACGGTGCTAAACCATTCAGGAGGGATCTGCCCCCATGATCCAGTCACCTCCCACCAGGGCCCACCTCCAACACTGACTGGGGGTTATAATTGAACATGAGATTTGGGCAGAGACACAAATCCAAACCCTATCAAAGAGTATTTTTGTAATGCTCAATAAACAAGGAGTTAAGAACTTTATTGGATTCTGGCCCGTAGTTCTGCCATGGGCCAGCCTTGTGAACATAAGCAATCCAGGCCATCTTATGAAGACTCAGTTTCCACACCAGTGCATTGATGATGTTGAACCAGATTAACCTTAAGATCCCTTATGGACCTAATAGTCCATTAGTCTATAAAGAAGAAAGGAAATAGAAACAGATTAACTAGGATTAAATAGGGCATTATTTTCTCTTTTGGACATCCATTCTTAGAGAGAAATACAGAATTAAATTTTTAATAGCAAAAGTAGTAAATGTTTATAGTTGAAGAATAGAAATTAATGTCACTATCTTCCCGCAAAAAAACCTAAAGTCCTAAAATCCGAGTACCCAAAAATGACCATTGTCAACATTCTGGTGTTTATCTTTCAGACTATTTCCTACACGCATACATAAACATTTACATGGCAGAACCAGGGGCTACACTCCATGTACTTACACATATAAGTAAGATATTTTGGGCCAGGCGCTGTAATCCCAGCAATTTGGGAGGCCGAGGTGGGTGGATCACATGAGGCCAGGAGTTTGAGACCAGCCTGGCCAACATGGCAAAATCCTATCTCTACTAAAAATACAAAAAAAAAAAAAAATTAGGGTGGGCTAATGTCCCTGTGATCCCAGCTAGCTGGCATGTGCCTGTAATCCCAGCTACTCAGGAGGCTGAGGCAGGAAAATTGCTTGAACCTGGGAGGCAAAGATTGCAGTGACAGATAGCGCCACTGCACTCCAGCCTGGGCGATAGAGTGAGACTCCTTCTCAAAAATAAATAAATAAATAAATAAATATAATATTTATTTATACTATATATTTATAGATAGGTAGCAATCCTATATAAATGTATATATTATATATATACATTTATATATATAAATGTATATATAAATTATATAAATATAATAATAATATACTTTGCTTTGGTTTTGTGATCTGTCATATAGCATTGGGGAAAGCTTATTAATTGGTGTAGATTTTCTAGCAACCAGGTTAGCATTATATATCAAAAGTCCTGAGGATATACATATTCTTTAATCTAACAATTACATTGCTAACAAGGTAATTTCCTAAAGTGTAAGTGTATTGAAAAGGATGGTCACTATATCATTGTTTAGAAACTAAAAAAAAAAAAATGAAAAAAGAAAACAAACCAAATGTCCAAAAATCAAGGTCCTATCAGGTAAATCACAGAGTACTTTTACACAATGGAACACAATGCAGCCTTTAATAATGATACTCAGATATATATTCAGGAACATGGAAAACTATAGACAACCAGTATTTGAGGCATTTCCTCTGACAACCACAGGTAAGGGAGTTCACTGAAATGATTTCTTTAAAAAACCACAATAAAGCTGCTGGGATGGCACAGCCCTGATCTGGGCTGCCGACAACAATCCCAGGCTTTCCATATGCTCCGCAGCATCCAGAAATGGCAGGCTAACATTTTCCTCCTGCTGGCACTGGTGGGCTCGCTGCAACTGTCACCGTTCCATCCTCACTCTCCACCCCATCTCCACAGCCTTTGCCCACTCTTAACCAAGGACGGAGAGACACATTCTCGAGGCTGAAAAATTAGAAACCTGTTGAGTTACCCTCTTGCACTGCAAAGTTGCCAGGAGCCTGTCTGGGGAAGGACAGGAAGTGAATGCAACAGGATGGGCAGAGGCAGAGGCAGCAGGAGAGGGAGGCAAGCGTGGGAGTGCAGGGACATCCAGCGGAGAGAGAAGGAGGGTCAAAGAGAGAAAGGCAACCAAAGAGACAAGGCTCAGGGCTGCAGCAGAAAATGGGAAGCACTACTTTAAAAATAATCATAGAGGGTAAGAATAAAAGATGCTGCCATGATTCCTTCCCTTTGGTGATGCAACCAGTGAATTAACGAAGGAAACCCGAGGTAGAGCCAACCAGTCTCTGAACTGCTTACAGATACCTGGAAGAGGAAGGATTCCTTCTTTTGCTTACTCTTTTCCTTTCCTTCCCCACCATCCCTTTTTGATTCTTCTGGTTCATTTATATACTCTCTCTCTCTTTTTTTTTTTTTTTACATTGTCCAGCTAAACATTACAACGGTTTGAAGTAGTGTGACAAAGATGGGAGCCAAGATGAGAAGCAGGGAGCTGGAATACCTATTCAGGATGAAAATGTGTAATATGATTCACCTGTTCATACCCTAGTGACATGGTTTGGCTGTGTCCCCACCCAAATCTCATCTTGAATTGTAACTCCCACAATTCCCACCTGTCATGGGAGGAACCTGGTGGGAGGTGATTAAATTATGGGGGAGGGTCTTTCCGGCGCTGTTGTCGTGATAGCAAATGAGTCTCATGAGATCTGGTGGTTCTAAAAAGGAGAATTTCCCTGCACAAGCTCTCTCTTATCCTGCTGCCATCCACGTAAGATGTGACTTGCTCCTCCTTGTCTTCTGCCATGACTGTGAGGCTTCCCCAGCCATGTAGAACTGTGAGTTCTCTATTAAACCTCTTTCCTTTGTAAATTGCCCAGCCTCGGGTATGTCTTTATCAGCAGCATGAAAACAGACTAATACATCTAGTCTTTGACGTATTGATCTCCAACAGGAATGATTGGAGACTTGGAGAGTGTGAAGGTGCCATACTGTGTAACTTCCTAACCCTCTGCTGGTCACTCCAGTTGCTGTGGCTTTGCTGTACTCAGCTTCTAATGGGTCTTGTCTAGCTTTCCTTCATACCTTCGTTTCTCTGGTACCCCCTCTCACTAACTCCAGAATACTTATCCATATTGGACTCTCAACAATCCCTTTTCTCTCTGTGATTTGTAATAGTAAGCACATCATTTAAACCCATCCATCTCCTTCTCTTAAATGAAGCATACTTTTCCTCAACATTGCCATACTTTCTATCTCTATACTTCCCTGTTACAGTGCAATGCTTAACAATTAATTAATTAACCTTCTAACTCAGGGACACAATCTGAGATGCAAGCAAGAAATAAAATGTCTGCCCTCAGCATCTTCCTTGGCAGCCTAGCAGTACCCGCCACCCCAGCATCATGCACTTTTCTGTACCCAATCCCCATGAGGCCATTGGCAGGTCCAGTTTTTGCTGTCCTGATGCTTTCAGGTTGTCCTCTGGCTTCCAAGAATCCTAGTTTCTTAACTAGAGGTGATAAAATGTAGAAGGAAAGTCCTGGTGCAGCACAAAATTAATGAAGAATGTATATCTCCATAGTTCCCAACTGAAGAGGTGTTCAATGAGTCAATGACACCACTCCAAGGTGAAAAACGAGATAGATTCTGATTAACTGAGAGACTACTGTGTGCCAACTACTGTGCTTGATGCTTCCTGCTTACCAGGAACCATTATCTTGCTAGGTACAGGAGACACAGTTCCTGTCCTCAAACTACACTCTGTGTAGACAAAGCATTCACAAGATAATTGGCTTGTGCACCCTTGCAAGGGACATCTGCCAGAGTAAGTCAACACAGAGTCAATATCAGAAAAGTACAGATTTAGGATAATAAAAATAATTTACATTATTAAGTGCTTACCACGAACCAAGCACCATGTCAGTCCCTTTAAAACACTGGGCTTCACATTCTCAGAATTGTCTTCCATGGACGACAATGAGATTTGAGATTTACAATGATCCAGCACATAGTAGAATTTGGTCATGTCCTCTGTACCATTAGAGAGATGTTGAATGAAGGAGGAAAATCAAATGCCTTTTAAAATCAGTGCTCAGTTAGTATATTGATGCCTACTTATTAGCCCAAATTATTAATTTTCATTTTATAAACACTTTGGATAAAGTGCAGTTTATGAAAACTAAAGAACAATAATTAGTCCTATTGGCTTAAAGGCTGTTAATTCTGGCACATAATATTAAGTAATATTCTCAATAATGGATATTTAAGGCATAACATGAATCATTACTGGTATGAGTTGTGATATTTATAATGCCTGAGCATTGTGCTAGACACATGCTGTCAATCATTGCATTTATTACTCCCAGTAAACTTATATGAAAGATTCTATTATCAGTCTCACTTTACATCTGGAGAAACTGAGTCACAGAAAGGTGAAATTGTGCGTGCTGTCAAATCTAGTAAGTGCAGAGGGAGGACCTGAGCTCTGGTTTACTTGATTCTAAGCCCACTGTGTCCTAACCCATGACCATCCCAAATGGTTTTTATTACTATTTTAAATAATAAAACAATTATAATTTTTAAAAATCTCTAGGATATGTTTCACTATGATGTAGTAGTCAAAATCCCATTGAAAGCAAATTGTGCCCAATTTTTTAATATTTCTGATGATCAATAAGCAAGATAACTGCACCATTTCCAGAGGGTTTCTCTATAGGAGTGTTTATCCCTATCAAAATGCTTTCTTAACTTGAAAATTACCAGCATGGCTTTAAACCACTAAAGCTGACTTTAAAAGGGGAATGGACTGGGAGAGGGGCGGGGAGGCTTTCATCACTTACAAACAGTCCTTCGTTTGCAGTTCTGACACCTGTGAAAGACAAAATTATTTTTTGTGGTCATTGCTGGTCGCACTCAGGCTCCTAGGGAGCCTCCTTCAATGTCTGATGACATCACAGACCTAAGGGAACCTTCCAACAGGGCTGGCTGCTTTGCATCCCTTGGAAGGCAAGTCTGTTTTGCTCTAGGTTTTATCTCTCAAGTAGGGATCTAGTTGCCAGGATTTAGGGTGTTGCCCTCTTATATCCAGGAGTTGAGAAATATTTCAAATGGTGAAAATGTTTTCAGGTTCTCCCAGTTTTGCCTCTGAAAATTGCTGTTTATTCTGCCCTAACAACAGTCTCTTCCTGACTACCTTCCCCTGCTATTCTGTGGATTTCACTGTGCAATGATGGGAACATTCAATTTGCTGAGTGTTACAAGTGGGGCTAGGCTTGTATTGCATAGAAGATGAAGCAACTTCAACACCAGGAAGCTAAATGGAGAAAAAGAGGATTCTGAGGTTTTACTGAAGGGATTTTTGTTAAGTATCAAACTCAAGAAGAATATGAATTTTTTCCCACTAAATTTCTCACTTGAAATAGATAGAAACAAGAATTTTTTCCCACTGAATTTCTCACCTGAAAAGATATTGGAGCACATGACTATAACCTTCATGTCCAAATGAATATTTTTATGCTTGAATAGATTTTTAAGCCCCAAAACCTACATACTATTGTATGATCCTGAAGGAGGAGGATGATTTCACTAAGGCTGGTGAAGGTTGAGAAAAAGCTCTCCTAGAAAAATCCAGGCTGGGATTATAATTGAAAGAAGAAAAAAATAGACATGTTCTCTCTTAACCTCTACTACACCAAAGACAAACATATAATTTGCCAAAATGGTCCAGATTCAAACGAAGGCTACCTATAGCTAAATTTGCATATATATGAAGTTGGAAACTAAAGCATATTGGCCTCGAGCCAAAGTAAAAGCCTTTCTTACATCAAACACTGAGGGAAGATCCATGAAACAAAATTTCTTCCAGTTTATATTATCTCTTAAACCACAACAATTATCTCCTTCACAAATATAAATACTTCCTACAAGTTCAAAACCAATTATGTTTTCTAGACACTTGTGCACCTATTTCAGTTAACAAATCACTTTGTCCATTCCCATATGCCGCAACTCATTCATCTTGACCTTGGCAAATCACTTTATTTGGACATTTTCAGTGCATTCCCACTGAGATCACCAATTCTAAGTAATTATCACTTTGCACAGGCTGGGTTAGAAAGTCAAGGTGTTTTCATCCACCCATTGTGGTTCCTCTGTGTTTTCTGCAGAGCACTCATGATTTTCTACTGGAAATCCATACATGTATACATTTCTTGCTCTCTAAACTGCAAGCTTCATGAGAACAGGAAATATTTCTTTACCTGCAAAAATGGTCTCCTGTTTATAGCCCTCCTAGGACTTTGCACACAATAGTTAATAAATGTAAGTTGAAGGACTCAGACATTTTGCTTCCAGGGATACGCCCTATAGATCTGTTGGCATAAGGACGCAGAGAGATACTCGTTGTATACTGTTTTCAGCAATGAAAATTGGGAGCTACATAGATGCTCATCAACAGAGAAATGGTTAAATAAACACACATATCCTCTGCAAACTATGGATTGCTACCTATCTATAAATATTTAGTGTATACACACATGTACTTGATAATAAGAGCAAATTAGATAAATAAGATATGGAAAAGTGTCTGATGTTATCAAGTGGAAAAAGATAAAAAAGGAAAAGTTCAGAAAAATATGTCAATATACTTCCATTTTTAACAACTGGTTATGGATATACTACATTATATACTGTAACACATATTTTTTCCTATGCATAGAAAATGTCTGAAAGGATATACAGTATGTTCTCATAAGCAAATATCTCTGGGAAGCGGGATGCAGTGGAAACAGGAGAAATGTTTTCCCTTACATATCTATTTCTATACTGCTGATATTCTTTACACTGAGTGTGTATATGTTTTTAATAAGAGGTTAAGGAAAATAAATCTATTCTAAATGAATATATGAATGAAGTCTACATAATTTAATTGTTAATTCTGTGTCCCTAGTCTGGTTTATGATGATAAGCTGGTGAAATCAGTCCTCCCTTGGGGATAGGCCTATTACAGGGCAAGAAAGATCTTTGCTGAAAGATCCCACAGCAGCATTCAAATTACCCTGTCCTAGGAACCAGTAGACTAAATTCCTGATTCATCTGCTACCTACCAAGCTGTAGAACAATATAGATTCCCTGTACCTTACTTTCTTTATTTATAAGGTGAGGTTGGGTAGACCAAAAGATTTCCAAAGTCCCTTTGAATTCTAAATTTCTCACCCCCTTCTTTGGGAGACAGAGAGAGAAAAATGATGAGGGTCACCAAATGGCCACAGCATTAAAGACGTAAGTTGCACTGCTATTAGAAGACAGGCAGTTAACAGGATCTGACAATGAAAAAAGGAGCACTTAGAAGGTTAGCGTTCATTTTATGCTTTGCTTCATTATATAAATTTAGGCTTTCATCTGCATTCAATCCTACATAACATCCTATAAGACAAGGGAACACTGTTTACAGCATGGCATTTCAAATATCCAGATGATGGTCCATTTGGAATAGATTACAACTCTGCTTTCTGTCATCAGGCATTCTCAGACCCATATTGCATCCATATGTAGCCAGGGACCATTAATTGGTCCAGTATTCTTTTATTTGGGGGAAAAAGGAAAAATGGGGCAAAGTTTAGTACTTTCTTCATATTTTTTATTCTAAATTTTCTAGATTGAAAACTAAATAAATTATACAACAGTTTATCCATCATCGAATTTAACACGTAACACCTATTAATCATCTATGATAAAGTAAACCTGAGTCTCATCAACATGAAATGCAACGTCCTGTCCCAGAAACCACATCGATCCATGAATTTTTCTCTAACTATGATATGGAGTAAGACCAGGAGGGTCACTCAGACATAGCCTAATGAGAAAAGCTTCTTATATTATTTTCCAGCCTCAGTTTAAAAAATAATAATAAAAGGTAACTTTTTCTATTCATGACATCCTATTAAATGCAAAAGAAACCAAGGGTTTTCATTGCCCCCAGTGATATTATATACAGCCCTTTTCTTGTTTTCTGACAGAGCATCTTAATTAGGCATTAGAATGGACAAGTTTATTTTTTAGCCAACTTTGAAAGATGATCTTCCCCACCTAATTTTCTACTTGAAAATCAATACATACAGTTTTGCCTTCCGCGGTTCCCAGAATGATATCTATAGCATGCCATCTTCCACTTGCTTGCATCTAGTTTTCATTACCCAAAAATGTCTTTGTTCCTCTTTAAGAGCTCTAAAGAAAGATCTGCTCAGACTGCATTGAGAACACAGGGAAATAAAACATTTCGGAGTGGGGGGTATGACAGAAAGGATTGCCCCCTTGGAGCTGGGAAACCTGAGTATTTAAGCATCAATGTTTGAAATAATGATGGATCCAGGGCTGGCAAAATGACGACCATGTAAGCTCTTCTTCGGGAAGCACTTGCCTTCAATAAACTCCCCTCTCTTCCACCATCATGCCAGGTGCTTTTCTACTTTCCACTCAGTTGACCAGGAATCCCACTTTCCCTGCTGCCAAAACTTAAAGTAGACTAATCTTCCTCACCGCAGCAATGTCTAGCAACAGACTCTTTTCTTCAAACTCTATCCAAACATACCTAACCTGTGCAGACTCTACTCATCTGCAGACATTAAAAGATCTAAACTGTTAAGGTAGGAACTAAAGTGCACACGTTGTATGGCAGCTCCTGAGAATAAAACCAGAGGTCCAAGACAACTCTCCCTGACTCCTCTCTGTTGCAGGCCCCACCAATCAATACCTGCACTTGTTCGCTCTAAGCCCAGACACAATCTTACAGTCCTTAACACTGGATTCTGAGCAGCCACAGCCGCTTCCAGTGGAACAGAGTCAACTGGAAAGTTGGAAACTCTTTTGCCATAATTGTCTTACCCTCAAAAAACAAAAATTACAATTGCTAGAACCATAGATAGCTGCCGAAGAAAGTGGGTAAGGTGATCACCTTGGTTGGATAAGGTGGACCTGTCAGTAAACTTATGACAACACCCCACTACCTACCTGTGGAGCTGACCTTACCTCTAATATACCCCTTCTGATATTGGAGGTAAGGACAAAGTGGCCATCGTCCATCTGCAGTATGCTCTCTAATGACAATGCCAGCTTCTTCTATCTCTATTTAATGGTTTAATGCTTCTGCCTTTAAGATATTCAGATACATCTTTTTATACATTTAAAATCAGCATAAAAACAAAATAAATTGCAACTGTTCTTGGATGCCATACTCCTACAATTTTTTCACCAAATTCTGAAGTTGGAAGCATTTATTAAAATATA
The DNA here is from genome assembly GCF_000001405.40 of Homo sapiens. NCBI lineage: Eukaryota > Metazoa > Chordata > Mammalia > Primates > Hominidae > Homo > Homo sapiens. The sequence goes on from NC_000015.10 coordinate 97,889,011, forward strand.
CAGTAAAAGCATAATGTATTCCTCTATAGAAAAAACTGCCTACTGAAAAACTCCATTCAGCATACATTTTATTACTCAGCTTGAATTTAGGGAAACCTTTTTGATTTTGTATGATCCCCCTTGATCTCCAGCTCATTGTATTGAATATACACACTTGTTACACATATACTATGGGCCTACCATACATAAAGTAGCCATCGGAATCAATGTTACAAGTGGAAACTAAACTGTCTGATTTTGGAAAAGCAAGCCAATTGTTTGGCATTAGCATAGATGCATCAATTCTTTTTAATGGCTTGGATTTTTGACTTTTCTCTATGTCACCTTACCACCACCCACAAACACTCATTAATACAGGGGTCAAATTATCCTTGTTTTTTTTCTATCAGGGTATTTCACTACAGATGTCTTCTGAAAACCTATTGGTTAACCAGAATTCCTCATTCGTATTCACACTCTCTCTGCCCCTCCTGCCTGATTTCAGCACACTTCCAATTTGTTTGGCATTCCTCTTCTCCAAATTTCTGAAGTTAGTCCTGGCTTTCTCCGGATGAAAAAGCCTCAAATACTTAGTTTCCCTTATTAATAACAAAGTTTGATCCATTCAGTCAACTGGTGAATAATCATTCACACAGTGAAAACTGTTAGCCTGACTGCTCACAGCACAGCTGATACTGTTTGACCCTGTTCAAGATCAAAGCTTTTTGCAGGTCTGACATCTACCATAGACTCAGCTCATTTGCCAGGTAATCAAATTGCTATTAATTTTTCTATTAACTGAATTTAATACCAGAGGGACACTGTAATGAGACCTAGCAAATAATTTGGGAACATTAGGATCCCATGGATCTACTAATAAAAGCTGTGATTTCTCTACTCTTGGTACTGCTTTTTCCTTACTAGGAAATTATAACGCAATACAATCTTAAATTCTGTGTCTATTTCATTCACGGTGAGTTGGACCCTGGTCTCACCAACGCATTGGGGACCATTTGGCCCTAGTGCTTGGCTTGAGATTAAAATTTTCTCAAAACTGAGGAATCAGATTTTTCATACCAGGGACAACATAATACTGTATCGAGGTGAATTTTTTTTAAAGCACATTGTTTTCCAGAAGACTAAAATTTGTGTGGAAATAAACAAAGACCACCAAAACGAGAACATTCATTCGGAGCTTGCTACAACAAGGGCATCAGCCACCATCACTCATGTTTGGCAGAGACTCAAGGGCAGGTAGAGGAATGAGAAAGCTCACAGCGGAAGGAAAGAGGGAGGCTTCGATGTGCCCTGATTGGAAGCTGTTGGAGTGTAGGAGGCTGGAAACAGGCTCACTAGAAACCAGGCATCCTATAGGATTGGTTAGGAGTGAGGAGCTGGGCTTCTCCAGCTGGCCCCAAATTGGAAGGAGGGACAAATATTAAGAAAGTGTTGTTACTGGTTAAACCCTGGCCATCTTGGGCTAATGGCTATAGGGGTTTATATTTGGCTTCATCAACTGGCTGCTTCAGGTTGTAGGTCAGAGTTCTATTTTTATACATGATCTGGCCATTGTCTGTTTGTATATTCAGTCTCTCAACTGATACACACTGAAAAGTCTCACTTAAATCTGTCAACATTAAAATGTCTGTGCAAAATTAAAAATAGCACTACCATCCAATTTGCTGGTTTGGCATTTCTTTTCTGCGACTACAAAGCAAAACCTATTTAGTGTATGTTATTTGAAGAAAGAAAAAAAAAACACAAAAATAAAACAATCACCAAATATCTCACCATGTTTAAAAGATAGCCCTGATAACATTTTGGAATATTTATATTCACTGCTCTTTCTATATACAAAATTTACAAAACCAGAATTGAACTGAGTATAATCATTTCTAAACTGTTCTCTAAACCAGCAATAAGCCAACAATCACGAACATTCTCTGCCTGATCATTTAGTAATTTTCCCTGTCATGATTTTAATGACTATATTATTTTAATGACTTCACATGTTAAGGGTTCCTATAATAGATGCAGCACTCTGCTCTTTTGGGATATTCACGCTGTTTCTTATTTTTATTATAATAAAAAATATTGCACGGAGCATTCTTTCAGGTAAGTCTTAGCGCACAGCTCTGAATCTCTAGATTCTAAAGAAAAAAAATGGAAAAGGGATGGTGTTGAGAACTAACCAAGAAGCAATAGAATAGGGTAGGAAGACCCATGGGAAGTTGGTAGGTGTTTTTGGTTATACTGGTCCCACCATCACTCACTTTTTTTTTTTTTTTTTTTTTTTTGAGGCAGGGTCTCTCTCTGTCACAAGGGCTGGAGTGCAATGGCACGATCTCGGCTCACTGCAACCTCTGCCTCCCAGGTTCAAGTGATTCTCCTGCCTCGGCCTCCCAAGTAGCTGGCATTACAGGCATGCACCACCACACCCAGCTAATTTTTGTATTTTTAGTAGAGATGGAGCTTCACCATGTTGTCCAGGCTGGCCTCAAACTCCTGACTTCAGATGATCCACTCAGCTTGTTCTCCCAAAGTGCTGGGATTACAGAAGTGAGCCACCGCGCCTGGCCCCACCATCACTTCTTCTGTCACTAAACCCCTTATTTCTCTTCCTGGGCCTGAGTTTCCTCAGGAGAGAAAAGAGAAAGGGCTGCCAAGGAGGCAGCAACAACATTTTGCAATTCTCCTCACCTGCTTCTGCTCTTCACAAGACCACAACAGCTGGTGACTTGGGCAGAGGCTCGCAGGACCTTCTCCTAGATGAGGCAGGCAGGGCCCTTCAGCCTGGGAGGCCTGGACATCCTGGTGAGGGTGGGACAGTGGCTGCCCTCATGCTGCCTGGTTTTCACTGATAGCTTGATGAAGATGTTACAAAGCTCTTAAAAGCCCTATTTCTGTGTCTCTTTAAACTTCAAAGGGTGCCATGTCACAGCCTGCCTTAAGCCCTGGGGTGATGCGAGCCACCCTTGAACAGGTGGACTGATTGGTACAGGTTACATTCCTGCTGTGTACACCAATCTCTCTCTCTGGGTAACCCATATTTTCATGTTGTTAACTGTCAAGTTCGAACATTTGAACCAAATCATAAAATTTGTATGAGACACAAAGTTGTCCAGACAGAAATGAGCTCCATTTCAGTGGTAGGGAAACAAGCACATTTAAACACTCTGACCCGAGGTAGATCCAGCTGGAGGCCCTGAAGCTTATACAATTTGGGCATGCCATGTAAGAAAGAGAATAAAAAGTTACAGCATAACATTAGCTACAGAGCCTTGGAAAGGGCCTTGCATAGGAGAGGAATGAGGCTCAGGGTTGTTCTAAAGCACCCTGGGGGCTTGGTCAACCCCAAATGCTGACGTCATTCCCAGAGCTTCAGTTTAGGTGAGCATGACGAGGGACTGGGAAATTTCTAACAAGTTGTTCGGTAGCACCAAAGCTGCTGGTCCACACAGAGTGTCCATACCTTGAGAACCACAGATTTATACAAACACGGGTCACGGTCTCTTCAAGAAACATACACATTCTTTTTCACATTTTACAAAATCTTATTTAGTATCCCACATTTTACCAAAAATACACAGGACAGCGTGACAGTCTCTCCCAGGGCTGTCGAAGGGCCCCGGCGAGTGAGAAGCACAGAGGCAGAAGCTTCACTTGCTTTGCAGACAGGCCATGGCTGGGGAGGCCACTTCACCATTCAGCAGAGCCCTAAGAGGTTGCATTTCTGTGATGAGAGCACTGTGTCAACTGTCCTCAAAACAGAACACTATGTCTTGCCTGGATGACCAGATGCTGGTTATCTGTATTGCTACCAGACGGAGCTAGGACAGTGTGTACGAGCTGTTACTATAGAGCTAGATTAAGGAATTCAAATCATGGACTTGCCATGGACTGCGTGGCCTTGATCAAGTTACTAACCTTTCTGTGCATCAGTTTCCTTGTCTCAAAAGTGGAGATGGTAATGGTACCTCCTTCGCAGTACAGTTATGAGGATTCGGCACTCAGTAAATGACTAGCTGGTAGCAGCAGCAGCAGTGTAATTGGCTTACAGCACTAACTCTAGAAACTGACATGGATTCAAATCCTGGCCCCACCACTCCAGAGTGGCACAAACATAAGTAAGGAAATAATCTCCTTGAGCCTTTATTTCTTCATCTGTGAAACAGAAATAATAATGACACTTATCTAGCTAGAGTTCTTTAAGAGTGAAATGAGATAATGCATACGAACATGCTGCGTGCCCAGCACACAGTAAGGTTCCATAACTGTCAGCTGCTGCTAATGTTGTTACTATTGTCTCCGCATTTGATGATCTTATGTTAATCCTCATTGGCTCAGAAATCACAGAGGAAGCCCCCGGACCCTCTTGTTCCATTGCTGAGCACATGGTAAGAAGTCAACGCATGTCTTCTGTATTGAAACCGAAAATGGAATTGAATGCCTTTGTCTCATCAACATCAACATCAACATCAACATCAGAATTTATGGTTCATTTTGACATGAGTTAGTAAAAGTAATTCTATGAAAATCAAGGTGCAATTGTTCTGGTGGTGGAAAAGATGTAAAAGCTGGTTTCTTAGGAGTAAACCAAATTTCCCCTTTGGGTTGAATAAGTGATTGGTCTACTCATATTTATTGAGAGCTCAGTGATTTTATTGTTTGTGTGGCTGGGCTTGGATATACAGAACACTAAAACTATCAGGAGTGGAAGGAAGGGGCAGTTCTGGGAACTGTCATTTCATTGGCTACCAGGAAAATGGCTATGGTGGCGTTTCTAAGGCCACTCGGCAGACAGTGGACAATTGCCAGTGGGCCTGTTGGGGGCCATCTGTAAAGGGGCTTCAACTACAAAATGAAAAGGTTAAGAGACAGTGAAGAACCCTGGCCAGAAGCCTAGAACCAGCAGCAGAGACCACCCTTTGGTGAAGAAAAAGAGGCTGATTCTACCCCTATCCTTCTTTCCCTGCCTAAGCTCCTCCAAGAGGGGACTGGTGAGAGAGCAATGCTGAAATCCTCAATTGGAGGCTTTAGTTAAATGACGTTGTGGCTGTATTGAACTATCAGGTGTCAGAACCTATCATTTATACAGAAAAGGAGTAAAAATAGGATGACTCACTAAAGCTTTCCAAAATGCTGATTCATTCATTCAAAAGCATGTGTAGCACCTATTGTGAACCATAAATGGTTTCAACACCAGGAGGAAGTAAAGTGTCTATTCATCATTTTTATGATCGTGCCAGTTCCAGGTGCCGTAGAAACTCGTGTTCCCTACAGTGCAAGACTTATAGTACATATTCAATTAACTCTAGTTCAATTAAAATACGCAGGGAATATGCTTCTGGTATCAGATTAGAAGTATTTAGTCTGCAAACATCATCATGTTTACCATGGAAGATATGATACCCTGTTGTGTGCCTCCTTCTATATGAGTATGTCCTGTTTGTACAAGGAGACTGCCAGGAATGCCTCTAAGAGAGGGACCATGTAGTAACCAGCATGTGCCCTGCTAGTACCTGTCACAGGGTCTGTATTTGCTAATGAAAGTGGTCATCAACAACCTCCATATAGCGGCAATTGTTTATTGTGCCCCAGTCATTTTTCCTGTAAACCATGCCCAGCTTATGTGGGCAAGGTGTCCTGCGAACACAGCATAGGGAGCCTGCTTTCTGCTGAGAATTTCCAGGAAGGCATCTCAAAGAACAGACATTAAATTCAGTCAGTCCTTGAGATATGAGTAGGACTTTGGTGGTGCTGACTGTAGTGAATAGGGGGAAGAATATTTCAAGCAGAATGAACAAATAGCATATAGACTATATAGGACATTCAGGCCAGTAGCTGTGGCTCACACCTGTAATCCCAGCACTCTGGTAGGCTGAGGCAGGTGGATCACCTGAGGTCAGTAGTTTGAGATCAGTCCGGCCAACATGGTGAAACCCCGTCTCTACTAAAAATACAAAAATTAGCTGGGCGTGGTGGCACGTGCCTATAATTCCATCTACTCGAGAGGCTGAAGGAAGAAAGTCACTTGAACCCAGGAGGTGGAGTTTGCAGTGAGCCAAGATCGCGCCATTGCACTCCACCTGGGGCAACACTGCAAGACTCCATCTCCAAATATATATGTGTGTGTGTGTGTGTGTGTGTGTGTGTGTGTGTGTGTGTGTGTACATATATATGTATATATACACACACATATATACACATAAATGTATATATACACACATATATATGTATATATATAGAGAGAGAACATTCAAATTAGGACGGGTGGAAGGAAATCCAAATCAGAGTATATTTTCAAAAGAATTGAAAACAGGCACCCAAACATATCTGTAGATCCATGTTCATAGCAGCATTATTCAAAATTTTCAAAATGTAGATGCAACTCAAGTGTACATAGACAGATGAATGCATAAATAAGGTACTCTATAGATAAATAACGAACTATCATTCAGCCTTAGAAAACAAGAGAATTCTGACACATGTTACAACATGCATGAACCTTGAGGACATTAGGCTAAGTGAAATAAGCTGGTCACACACACAAAAAAAACCCTAAATACTGCATGATTCCACTTACATGAGGTAACTAGAGTAGTATATTCATAGAGACAGAAAGTAGAATGATGGTTGCCAGGGGTTGAGGGGAGGGGGGAATTGAGAGGGATGGTTTAATGGACACAGTGTCAGTTTTACTAGATGAAAGATCTGGAGATGGATGGTAGTCATGGTTGCACAACATGTGAATGTACTTAATGCCACTGAGCTGTACCTTGAAAAATGGTTAAGATAAATTTTACCTTATGCGTACTTTACCACAATGAAAAAAAGTCTTTAAAAGGAAAAACCAACAACCATTACAACTGTGCCCTGAGAGAAAAATTCAGCTTCTAAATACTTAGATACTTGTACCCTCAAAAATACTATGCATTTACATTTTATGCAAATTTCTAATGTGCAAATTTGAGATAGACACAATTAAAATATTCATAAATATCACATTATACCAAAAAATGGAAACACGAATCTTTTCCTAAACTTTTTTACTTGACCAAGAAGCATATAATTGTAGGGCTCTAAAGCCAAATGAATTGTAAACTGTGTTTAAGAAAAGATACATGGCAGCTTTAAATGAACAGCACAAATTTATGTCATCCTTGCCAGTGACTCCTGAACTGTACAGCACAAGATTTTAGTGAATATTGAGTTATGATGTTTAAATACACTCCAATAAACTTAAATTTTTCCCTATGCTATTGTTCTTGAAATTCAAGCTCTTCTACGTCAGTACCATCACGAATACTGAAAAAACACCACGGAAAAGAAAGAACTTTGAAACACGTTAGACATGCCAGAATCTTAAAGAGCAAGTCAATCATTGATTAATAATCTACCTATCTCCTTAGGCTAAAAGGCATATTTAAATTGTTCTTAAATGCCCTATCTTCTTCCATTTGTGTCTTCTGAGGATGCATCCTCACAACTCAAAATTATGCACGTCTACACAAATGCATTTTGCACATGAAATGCAAATGCTTTGTGTAATGGAAGTCCAATTTTCCTTTGGAAATGCTGGACTGTCAGAAAATGTCTAGTGTCCGCTGGCCTGCAGCCCTCCTTTGCCATCCCATGACTGCAATAATCCCATTGCCACACTCTGCTTCTGCAGAATCTGCTTCCGGGCACTGAGCCCCATTTGCTCAAAGCTGTCCATGCATGTGAGAAGCAGACCTGAAGGCAGCCACAGGACAGCGCGTGCACTTGCCTGTCTCCCCAGCACCTGAGTCTCAGAGGCCTTTCTTTAATGGGGAGAGGCTGCCTCTCAAACGGTGGGAAATGATCTCAACTCCTGCACAGATTTTCACCTAAAGCCAGTCCTGAAATATTGTCATAGCATGGGACCTCTGATCATCTGAAGCTCCAAAAAGTATCAAAATAGTTCAATAATTTTCCCACTAAAGAATGGAATAACTTGAACTCATAAGCATATATGGTCCTAACTGAAGATATGAGTATGAGAGGAGAGAGAGATATATATATACCTCTCAGGACACACATGTCTATCAAATAATAAGAAAACTGTAAGCTGGAAAAATATCACCAAACATATTGGAGCCCCATAAAACATTAAGCCTCTTATCGAATACACATTTTTGTTCTATGCACCTTCCAACAGGGACAGGCAGTCTGTCTTTATACCTAGGCCAAAGTTCATCTGTGAAAATGCAGCTGTAACAGAGGGAAGTTCCCTACCACCCTTTTAAAACCTAAAAAAAGGCCAAATGCGATGTGAGGTAGGAAACATCTAGTGGCGTTGTCACTTTTGTCATCACCTCCAAGTCCAGCTCACAGCCCCCCGTGGCAGTATTAAAGAGCCCCCTTATCCTGAATGTACAGGAATTTAGTTTTCTGAAAGGTTGCTTCACATTTCAGCCCAAGTCTCTAGGGTAATAGGTACATGGGCAGCTGCAGGGAACCATCCAGGTGTGACACCCTCGCATCCCTGAGAAAAGACTCTCAATCAGTGCTCAAAGGCTTATCCCTTTTTCCCAACACTCACACACAAACACACACACACACACACACACACGGAGAGACAGAGACATACACACTCACACACACACAGAGACACACAGACACACACACAGACACACACAGAGACACGCACACACAGAGACACACACAGAGACACACACACACAGAGATACAGAGACACACACAGAGACACACACACACTCTCACACACACTCACACACACACACACACACACACACAGAGGTAACCTTCCCAGCTAGGATAGGATGGCAAGAATTAAATGGAGTAAAATCAGAATGTTAAAAAAGCCCTTCTGCAATGAAGATATATCCGAAAATCAGTCCAAAGAATCTGCGGAGATTTCTGCTCCCTGCGGAGGTTGTGGTGGGGGCTGAACAGTGGAGTATCTGGATCTCCCCTCATCGTGACTGTAATTGATAGAAAGAAAGAAAAAAAAATGCATTGTGTTTCTAACTCAGTTCTTCTAAGATTTTATTTTTGATGCCGGGTCTCCTTTTCTATTTTTCAATCACACGACATGGTACTTATTAATGAGCTCTCAAATTACATAAAGAGAGATCTAGAGCACAGGAACACGACTATGCCCCGTGGCATTGTGGCTTTGAGTGCAGAACGGCATTTGTGTGCAATTGAGGACCAGCCGCAGCTATGGAAACCAGAGCCAGACAAGGAGGAAGATGGCGCCCACAACAAGAGGTGGGAGCTGCAGAAAGGAAAACCCCCCAGAAAGGAAGACACATGGCATCGCTAAACACACACACACACACACACACACACACACACACACACACACACACACACACACGCTCCCAGGTACTGGTACCCTAAATGATGCAACTCTCATATCCCAATCATCTTTTGTTATATGTTGGGTTTTAAAATTGAAGTATCCCACATGAACAATATATATATATTTTTTTATAGTACTACCTTAACAAATAAAACCAAGTATTTCTGCAAGATATAAAAGTGCGGATTCTTCAGTCCATTAAGATCATCCTCTGTATGTTCCGCCTCCAGTCCAGATGGGACCAATTAAGAGTAAGACCCCCCCAGTCCTAACAGATGTTAACCAAATAAGCCAAATCTGAAGCTTTAATGAATGAAGTCAGTCACATTTAGTATACCCAAGAGAAGCAAAAATAAATATAATGTATACAGTAGGCCACCTGGGTTAACTTTAGATGACTAGGGTTTTGACCCATGACAGTGATTACTTTCAACTTTCCCCACGTATTTGTAATTAGCATATCAAAGGCCGCGATGGTGTTTAACACAACCCGAACCTTGGAATTCTTTACCTCGACTTATCTTTCCTTAATATTGTTTGAAGAGGCAATTTCCACCTCTAAAATACTTTTCATTGCTTCTATTGAAACGGGAAGCATGGCTTTGTAACATTCTAAATCAATAATGATTAGTAACTCAGTGTGCAGCTTGCTCTATGTCAATAAAATATGTCGCTTTCCAGCTCTCTCTGATAGCTGTGACAGGCTTGGCTGGCAACACTTTTGCAACTTGTGCCTCACTGAATTCCACGTAGGATGGCGTCCAGACTAGAGACGCACCTCAGGCAGGCCGACCATCTCCCAGGGCCCGGTCCGAGCCCTAATGTTTTCCTGAACAACAGGTGGCGGTAAAGAGACATTCCGCAGAAGCTCACTAAAGAGGTTTTCTGTTTCAGGCTGGCACGTACACAGGCTGCTTAAGAGAAAGGATTGGGTAGTAAAAAACAAAACCTGATTCAAGTTTCTGTGCACACAGTGTTCTGTTCCTACATATGTCACACCTAGCTCAGAGATTCTCCGCCCACCACCCCCTTATTTAAAGAACTCACCTTGTGATATAAATACTTTCCTTATTGCGGAGATCTCAGCTTTCGTAATGAACAGACCTCTAACCACTGACTCCCCTCACCCCATACACACACACACACACACACACACACACACACACACACACACACACGCTGACACATCTAAAAGAGCTTGAGCTTTCAAAAGCACAGATTCCAAAGCAGCAAAGCCAAGGGGTGCTTTGTGAGAAAGCTGCCATATTATGGGAACATTTGGTTTCTGAACTGCCTTAAAACAGTGACCTTTTTTCTATTGCCAAATAAACATTCTGCAAGCTGCACTGGTGTAGAACAAAAGTATCATCCAATAGTTGATCATGCTGATCAAAGAGTTGTCTTTCAGGCCCTTTTGTCATTTTGACCAGAAAAGGGATTTGTTTGAATTCGGAGCAGAAACCGGCCCACTTTGCCTTAAATGTACATGAACAAACAAATCTTGCAGGAGCACACAGCACACAGCTCTCCTCTGAAAAGACAGAGAGAGAGAAATTGAGAGACTGATTTAATAAAACATTAAGTCTCAGGGAATCTACATGACTAATTTCGTATTAAAAAATACCGAAGATGTCTGTCGCAGTGGGAGCTGTCCCCAACAATTAGTAATTGCAAACATTAGTCACAGAGGCATGGAAAATACAATCTGTAGCTCATCTAGTACATTTTGCCCAAAAATACAATCTATGGAGCTGGGTATTACCCATTTTGTTGCAGCGTGCCGTCCAAAGACGCAGTCCAATTCACAAGGCAAATCTGCCAGGTTTTACTGATTCATTCCATTGGCTGGGCAACTCTCTGGAAGCAGCCACCACCACACCAAGCAGGAACGCATGGCCAGCCCTCTTTTTCCTGTACTCCCTGCATTTAGCCTGTAAGCTCATGGATATGCTGCGCTTAGGATACCATGGATTCCAACAAAAGAAAAGGAAACCTTTAAAGGGCAATACTGGACCTGTGAGTTATTTAATAACTCAGCCCCCACCCCTGCTCTTTTGTTTCTTGGTTCCCAGAAACTAGAGGGAAATATTTTTCATTGATCAATGTGTAATCTCCCAAGAGATTCTCACAGAGAATAAACATCTCGAAGTGTTCCCAACATCCATCATGACCTAGTCCTTCAATTCTTCCAAAAGTGGCTACTTTGAAGGTCCAGACCTAAATAGCCACCTGTGTACAGCGAGTCATGTGCCACGCAAGAAGTCTAGGACTCAAATTCCTCCCTCTACCTTTTCCCAACAAATCAAATAATGACCAGTGAGTCTTGCCTCACCCTTCTAAATATATCACCTGGCTAAGTGATATCTCTAGGTGTAGGATTTATTTTAAATGCAGGAGAGGGAGGGTGGTTTTGTCCCCCCCACCCTCTCTACCCTGCACCTAAGTTAAATCCTACATCTGTGTCTGTGTATTTTCATAATCCCCTGTGCCCAATTCTATCATGGCAAAGTCAAATGTCATAAAATTGTCTCACTGCATGCTTGTTTTCTCTAGGAGACTATGAGTTCCTTGAAGAATATAACTATCTTTGCTCGCTCTCTTCTCAATATATGCCTGACCCAGTATTTGGCAGATGGATGGAGGGATGCATGTGTGGGTGGAGGATCAGTGAGGAGCATTCCTGAGAGGAGATCCCTACCTTCCCCTTGCCTGCAGGCTCACTGTGGACACACAAGTTCAAATCACCTCAATCAGGAGGAAATTCTTGGCCTCATTACTTAAGATGGTTCTTAAGAACAAACTATTTTTAAAGAAAAATCAATTTACGTTCAAAGACAATAAGTCCCTAAACACTAACTTTGGGAGGAAACCGCAAAGAAACAGCTCTAAGTAGTGAAAGGCTTGTCTTAGAGGCTAGACCGTGTTTAAATTCCAAATCAAACAGGCTGCTGTCCCGACCCCATTTCCATTTCTTTATGCAGCCACAATGTAGCTCTGCTATAGCCTAAAAGGCCTGGTTTCAATTCTTCCAGGTGGAACATGCCTGCCTCAATAATTAAAGGCACTTGATCTACCAAGATTAAAGCCTCTTTTGAACCTGGAAAAATGTAAGTCCCAAGAAAAGGCGGTAAACTTTCACCAGCAGAAATCCTCTATATCTCATCATACTCTCCTCAGCACATGAAATACCAGCTATCGGTTCAGGTTGCTGACTTACACAGGATCCAGGGAGAGTTACCACATAAAACACAGGCTACACAGTTACATTTATTTCAGATAAACAATAACTAATTTTTGTATTTGTATGCCCATGAAATATCTGGGACGTATTTATTCTAAAAATTGTCCATTATTTATCTAAACTCCAAATTTCACTGAATCTCCTATATTTTATTTACTGTCTCTGGCAACCATAATTCCAGGGTGCAGGGCCAAGTGTCTCATCTGAGATTCTTGTGAAAGTAGATAGTTCACTGCGAGTTAAAATAAAAGTTCTATCCCTTGGCTGGATGCTGCCATGTGGAAAATACTTGCTCTTAGTGCTCAGTCCAAGCTGGTCATCCCTGATGGAGCTACAGCTCTTCATGCCCTCCTAGCCTCATTTCAAAGCCAGCTTGAGCTCATAAAATCAGAACATGTTGCCGATGTATTCTCCCAGAATTCTCTCAAATCCGTCAACCGGATAATTACTAAAAATGAAAATCATAACTCCGATCCCGTGCACAGCAATGTGAATGGAGAACCCCCCAGGAGAATGAAGGCATTGTCCAGAGGAGCCTTTCCTTTTCTAGAATCATCTTGGGGCTTGTGACAGCAGTTCCAGCAGTCACACGTCAGTGTCTAGACATCTTTCATGCTTATTTCCTTCTCTTTGGCTCCAGGTGCAAATAGGCAGGGTGTGCAGGAGAGTAAGGTGAAAGATACACCTGGGCTGCAAAGTTTCCGGAGACGTGAAGTCTCAGAGCAGATCAAACATGCAGTCAGCACCTGAGAGAAAGTGTTGCATCCCAGGTGCCTCATTCCCCTCACCTTAGTCCTGGCCCTGCAAAAATAGGTTATTTCCTTTTCAACCAGAATGGTTTGTGAGACAAGAGTTTGGCATTTCTAACTGGTTTCATATCATTTCCGGGTGGAAACAATCCAGATTTACGAGGAAAGAGATTGCAATCTTTTAGCAAATGCCTAACACAGTCCCTCACAGACAGAGGATAGTCATCAGCGTGACGTCCTTAGCACATGGGTCTGACTCTGTCCTCATCAACTTGGCAAGCCAGTAGAGCATGCATTCATTTCCTAGGCTGTTGTAATACAGCACTGCAGACTGGGTGGCTTAAACACAGGAATTTGGCGTCTCACAGTTTTGGAGCCTAGGAGACTAAAAGCATGGTGTGTCAGCAGGGATGCTTCCTTCTCAAGAGCTACGAGGGAGAACCCGTTCCAGGTCTCTCTCCTGGTGGGTCACTGGCCATCTTTGCTGTTTCCTGGCTGGCAGATGCCTGCCTTCATCTCCACGTGGTGTTCTCCCTGTGGGCATGTTTTTCTCCACATTCCCCTTTATTAGGACGCTAGTCATATTGGATTAAGGCACACCCTAACGGACTCATTTTAATTTAATTACCTTTGTAAAGACCCTACCTCCAAATAGGGTCACATTCTGAGGTACTGGGGGGTAGGAATTCCATACATGGAATTTGGAGGAACACAATTCAATCCATAATAGAGCACCTCTACACTGACTGTAGAAGGACATGCTTGTGGACTCTCAAGGCCTCCTGGACAGGTGATTGTTTCCCTCCAATTTAATTTCTGTAAGTGCATATCTTTTTGCCCTCCCTCTAACCAATCCTGGCCCTGATGTCCACACCGCTAAGTCATGCTGGACAAAACCCTTAAACACTCTGGCTCCCCGCCTATTATCCGGCACTGCCAGAAGTAAGTGGACTTCAAAGACCCTTCCTGCTCCACATTATTGTTTTTCTACTTGCTTCATTACAAGCATCACTATGGGGGAAAATGGCATTAAAGGACCAAAGCATTGCAAATCCCAGGCGGGTTCTTTTTTTCCCATAAGCAACGAGCTAGAGGTCACAGGTGGAGAATGGTGGAAATCGGTGCCTGCAATTGGTTGGGGCCTATCAAGGAGACTAAGGAGAGTGACTGGGGGCTGAGGCAGTAGTCTAAAGGGTCAACTGGGGTTCCTTCCCAACAATGCACCATGTGGCATCGAAAGCAGGAGCATCTACAGGAGAGCAGGACAAGATGTGGAGGTGGGAGGAGGAAATGATGTGGGGGGCGGGGAAGGAGGCAGGGGGGCACATTGGACTGCTGAAAAACACCATTGTACTGAGGAATCAGCCAGTAATAAGTTTGTGATCTTGTTCTTTCTAGAATTGCTGTGTGACCTTGGGCAAAATCCTTAACCTCTCTGAACCTTATTTTCCCCCATTTAAAAATGGGATCATGATACCTGCCTCACAGGCTTGTTGAAAGATTAAACAAGTAAGGCACCACAACCTGGCACACCTATCCTATCCGAGGGAAGTGGATTCTCACTGTCAATTTCCTTTCTGGCTTCCTGGAAGAACTTTTAAAATATGACTCCATCCTGGCAGAAGTGTCCAGGCAGCGCCAGCAGAGAGACAGTGGAAGGACTGAGGTGGGAGGAAAGCGCTGCAGTTCTGCAGGTCCCAGGCTGCTGTCCATGGTCGTGATGGTCTTGGGGCTGCAGGAAGAAGAAACTGAATAAAGGTGGCCTGTTGGTTCAGCGAGGACTCAGGGGCCAAGATACGAGAGGCTCACTCAGGGGCCCTTTCCAGAGAGGTCAGGAACTGTGGACAATTAAGACCAAAGAGGCTGAGAAGAGCTCTCTGGTTTCTGGCAACAGACGTCGCCCAGACCTGGAGATTTCCCAAACCCCCAGGAGATGAGGCACTGAGCAAGCCCGACACCCGGCCCTGCCGACGCGAGGTGGCGCCGCACAGCCAGGAAGCCCGAGGCGGCGCCTCCGCGCACCGCTCCCAGAGCCCGGCAGTGGGAGGTTTTCCACCGGACCTCATCCCAGGCGGCAGGCTCTGCTCAGCCCCTGGCTTCTTGCTGCCTTCCTAGTCGCGTTTGCTGAGTAACACGCCACCTTTTATTTCTTCACACTCAACCCCCTGCAGAGATGTATAGGCACGTTGTGATGACCAGACTGTTTGTCTCCTCTGTTAGTTTTTCCTTAGTTAAAATGAGGTTTGAAGGACTGGTCAGGAGGAAACCGAAGGAACAAAATCATTCTAAACCTTGTGGCTGGCGCCCATGGGTGAGGTCTGAGTTCAATAATGAGCATTTACAAAGTGATCATGTAGAAAGAGAGGAGGAGGAGGAGGGCTAGCTAAAACAAAACAAAACAAACAAAAAAACCCCATAAGACAGTTTCTGGTGAAATTCAACACACTGCACCCAGTGACATGGAAATTCCACTGTTACGAAGGAGCGCTGACCGCCACAACGCATGCACAAGAACGCTCAAAGCAGCTTTATTCCTAATCGCCCCAAACTGGAAACAATCCGAATGTTTATAAATGGGAAAATGGACGGACGAACTGTGGTATATTCATACCATGGGATTGCTTTCAGCAAGTAAAAGGAATGAGCTGCTGGCCGGGCGCGGTGGTTCACGCCTGTAATCTCAGCACTTTGGGAGGCCCACGCAGGGGAATTACTTGAGGTCAGGAGTTCGAGACTAGCCGGGCCAACACGGCGAAACCCCGACTCTACTAAAGATACAAAAATTAGCTGTGCGTGGTGGCACGCACCTATAATCTCAGCCACTCGGGAGGCTGAGGCAGGAGAACGGCTTGAACACGGGAGGCGGAGGTTGCAGTGAGCCGAGATTGTGCCACTGCATTCCAGCCTGGGTGACAGAGTGAGACCCTGTCTAGAATAAATAAATAAATATGTAAAATCAAGGGAATGAGCTGCTGAAAAGAGCAACAGTGTGGCTTTTGGTTAAATGAAAGCCGCTGATACAAAAGACTACGCTATGCGCTGAATGATTCTGGTTCCGTTCAGATGAAGTTCTGGGACAGGCAAACTAAGAGTGACAGACAACAGCTCAGTGGTTGCCTCTGGGGTGCTGATTGCCTGGAAAGGGACACGGGGGAACTTTCTGGAGTAATGGAACTGTGTTCATTCTTAATTTGCATGGTGGCTGCACATGCGTGTGCAGATGTAAAAATTCATGGAGCTGTACGTTTAGATTGGCAAAACTAGTTGAGCTTCTACTGTTCCACGATGGTACAGGAGATTTCAAACCATTCTAACTTTCTGTTCTTATATCCTTTTGAAAGATTTCTCTTAGCAAGTTTTTTCTCTATTGTGAAGAATATGGCCTATTTCTGGCATCTGTCTCTCCTGTCCATTTTTTTGTTTTGTTTTGTTTGGAAAATGTAGCTAAAGACTTCATTAGCTTTATTAAATGCTTATGCTTCCAACTAATGAATTGTCCAAATCCTCATCATAAGACTTCAATTTCACTCATTAGAACCTTAATTGTCAAGCAGCGGAAATGATTCTTATTGTTTGTCCTAATTGCTATTAGGAAGGAGTACCAGAATTATTTGTAATTTATTAGTCACATAAAAATAATGAGGGATAAATAAAGTTATTTTCCCTGAAGTTATTTTCAAGGCACAGACGCAAGGAGGGGTGTGTTTAAGGAAAGCCATACCAGGCTTCTCTGGGAGGGAGGACAAGTCTGTCTCTGGGAATCTCTACTCGCCGTGCTAATCCTCAGAATCACTCCTTTTCTACCCTGTTCAAGCACTTGGGGTCTTGAAGAGTGATTCTGAGGATAAGCACAGCAAGTAGAGATTCCCAGATCCCTGGAGCCTGGAGGGATTGCTTACTGTTGCCCCCATCAGAACCCACTCTTGGAAAAGATCTTGTGCTGGTCAATTTCACCTCCTTCCCAATGGGACACAGACGTGTCACTTCTGTCACTTCTCCTTCCTGGCGTCAGGGAACCAAGCGCTGGAGAGATGGAGTTGCCGCATTCCACGACCAGGAGCCAGGAATCTGGAGGACATGATCAATGACTTCTGATTGGCAATGGTGTGCAAGGGGTACGCTGAACAAGGTATGTCCCTGGCTGAAGGGACATATGGGGCCAACCCCAAAGCCATAGACCCTAGAGTCTTTTCCTTCACCTAGAGGGAGAGCCTTTCCTTTTGCCTGTCACATACATTCAGAGGGACCATCTATTTGTAATTTGCACAATTCACCAGTGAGGTTGACAGTGGCCCTAAATTTATCTTCTAGAAGACCAAATTGCCATTATGATCAATGCACCTATTTTCACACCCAGTTATGAAGAATACAGACAGGATGTGGACCTCCCACAAAGAATTTACATGCTAGCCAAGGAGTGGAAAACAATGCCAGAAGCTAGACCTCCTTCCCCATCCTACCCTCTTCACTTAGCCCATTCCTGTTTGGTCTTTCCTCCCCTCTTTGATTCTCTCAGTTTGAGTTGAGTGTCGTGGCAGAGTACTCCAGGGCACCAGCACTCATATCAATTCTTATCATCGTTACAAATGGTGTCAGAGGTGTGGCGCAGTAGCTCACACATGTAATTCCAGCACTTTGGGAGGCCAAGGCAGGTGGATCGCTTGAGCCCAGGAGTTTGAGACCAGCCTGGGCAATGTGGCAAAACCCCATCTCTACAAAAAAACTACAAAAATTAGCTGGGCATGGTGGTGCGTGCTTGTTGTCCTAGCTACTTGGGAGGATTACCTGATCCCAAAGAGGTCAAGGCTGCAGTGAGCCATAATTGCACCATTGCACTCCAGCCTGGGTGGCAAAGTGAGACCCTATCTCAAAAAAAAAAATGGTGCCAGAATTTACACACACATTTATATTGTGTTTTATATATATATACACATATATATATAATCACAATGACTTACTAAGGTCATAGCCTATTTCCTTGTGTATATAATGAGGATAACAAAGGTCCCTACCTCCAAGGATTGCTGTAAAGATTACACAGAAAAATGCACTCTTTCATTTGTTTAATGCCCCTGTGATATTCTACTGATAGCGGAGGAACTGAGGCAGGACTTCCACAGGTGCACACTAATAACTGGGGAGCTCTAGAAAGAGAGGGAAGCACCCAGATGTCAGGCCAGTCACCAGCCTATCTTCTTTCCTATCTTGCTTCCCAATAATAGAACCTGTTTTAGTTGGGGTGGTATTGTTTCTAGGGCCATTTCCTGGCCTAGCTTGTAGCTAGGTACATCCACGAAACTAAGTTCTGACTAATGAGATATAAGCTGACATTATTGGAGAGGGTTATGAGAAATCTCTTTAAATGGTAGAAAAATGGCTGTGCAAACTCTTTTTGTCCCTCTCTTCTTCATTTTTCTGTCTGGATCATGGATGTAATGGCTGGAGCTCTGGTAGCTGTCTTGGACCATGAAGCAACCTTAAGGATGAAAGCAAAGTGATAAGAGTGCAGAGCAGCAACACAGAGGAAGACTGGTTTCCCAGTGAGCCTATGGAGTCCTCACACCAGCTCTGACGTGCTTTCCTCTAGATTGTGATATGTGAGAAAAACATCCTTTCATCACATTCTGTTTAGTCTCTGCTCTTAGTAGTCAAACACAATGTCTCACTGATATAGCAAACATGACCAAGATACCCTCAACTTTACACAGCTTACAATCTCATTTGTTGGAACTAACACAATATGAGAACTTTGGGATACTGGATTACAGGAGGCATATAGGAAACCTGGAAGATAAAGGAAAATTTCTCCAGAGAAGTCAAACCTCGGATTGGAATTAAGGATTGGTCAAAGTTAGCCCCATAGAGAAGAGAGAGAAGTGTGTTCCAAGAGAACAGCATGCAGAAGAGCCCAGAGGCAGCGGAGGAAGCACAGCCTGCTTATGTTAATAAATATGAATTTGATTACAAGAGTTATAGAGACTACCAAAGGCTTTTATGCAAAAAAAAAAGTGATAGTAAAAAAAATAAATAATATCCCAGGGCCAGACATGGTGGCTCACTCTTGTAATCCTAGCACTTTGTGAAACTGAGATGGAAGGATTGCTTAAAGCCAGGGGTTCAAAACCAGCCTGGGCAACATAGTGAGACCCTGACTCTACCAAAAAAAAAAAAAAAGTAAATTAGCCTGGTGTGATGGCACACACCTATAGTCCCAGCTACTTGAGAGGCTGAGGCAGGAGGAGCACTTGAGCCCAGGAGTTCAAGGCTGCAGTGAGCTACAATCACACTACTGCACTCCAGCCTGGGAAACAGAACAAGACCCTTCCATTTACCAAAAGATCCTTCTCACTTCTAAGCAGAGAAGGGACTAAAAAGGCAAGTCTGAAAGCAGGAGATAGGTGGAGGCTCATGCAGAAATCCAGATAAGATACCAATGCACCTAGAACTGGCAGGGTGCTGGCAGTGGGAGGAGAGATGGATGGATTTGAGTGATGCTTGACAAATAGAATTGGCAGGACATGGAAAGTAAGGGAATACAGTCAAGAGAGGGTCTCAGTGTGTGCTGGCTTGAACCAATTTCACAACAAGAGAATCAGCTCAGCCTGCCACATTGCACCCAACACCACTGCAGAAAAGTCTTGTTTTGTAGCAAGAGATTGGTTCTCTAGCCTCCCTTGTGGATATGTCCATGGGTCAGCCCCGGCCCAGCCATTCATTACTACTGAAAATATGTAAGAAAAACCTTTTTCATTTACAAAGTAACATTATATATAAGGTTAAAATGTGATGGGTATTAACTTGCAGAGAAATATTTCAAGGTTTCTTGTGAAGGTAAAAAGTGGTAGGTAGTTTTTTATACAGATAAGTGCATGACAATTAGCTTACAGAAAAATGATCCCAACTATTCTTAGAGTACAAATTCTGTGGTTCTTTTCCAGCAATGTCGTCAGTCTCAACTCTCAGAGATGATTTGGGGAAGGGTTCTGAGATTTAGTATATGAAAATGCGGGGCATCAAGAAGGAACATCCTAGGAATAAAGAGAAACCCACCTCACTTCAAAGAGAGCAGTCTCTCATTGAATTGCCCAGTGCAGTTCTGAGGACCAACATCAACAGGGTGGAAGTAACCATGCAAGTGCAGTGACAGTGGCTGCCATGAGAGGGCAGCCTAACACGGTTCCTGTAGGAATCGGGGCTGCTCAAGGCTGAGAGGTATAGATGGCCTAGGGCTTCAATATGACCAACACAATCCCACTTAGAGAATTCTCTCATTGTAGAAGTAGTGCAAAATATGGGGTTGAGGAACACATCCTTAAGAAAGGTGATTTCAATATAATAAGTAAGAGGAAAACTGGAAGCAATATGAATATCTAACACTAAAGAAATGGCCAAGGAAATTATGATATATGCAGAATAGCATGCTTTTTCCATCAAAAATTATAAGGAATGAAACAATAATGTTGCATTTTCAATGCAAGACACAATGTGCTAGATATGAACATGAAATGTATTTAAATATACAATTAAAAACTAAATTACTATGGGAAATATGGGCAGGAAAAGGTAAATGTTATAATAAGCCTTCATAATATTAAAAAAAAGACTTAGTCATCAAACAAGAAGTGCAAGTCAGGAAAGACGTATAAATTGGAAAGGAAAAAGTCAACCATCTAGAAAATTCTAAACTGTCTCTTAAGTAATTCTTGTTTTTTTTTTTTTTTTAAGGCAGAACAGCAAGAAAAAAATGTGTTTTTTCGATTCATGGCATTAAAACCTACATAATTAAATAAGAAAAAATTAATGAGTTAAACATCCAGTTCAAAATGTTAAGTAAAACAAAAATAAAATAAACTCACATAACACATGGAAGAGGATAATAAAGGAATGAAAGAAATATAAAACAGAAAAAAAGTAGAGCATTTTCAAGGAAAATACAAGGCACAAAACTGACCCCAGAAGAGGGAGAAAACATAAATAAAACAAGAAAAGTGAAAAAAATAAAATAAAAAAGAAATAGTAAATAGCAGTAGCATTCATGAACAGAGTTATTTCCCTACAATAGAAAATATTGTTATTTATTAAAAGGATAAAGGTCGTTAGAATGAGCTGATATTAAGGTAACTTTTCTCAAAAGGAAAATGCAAGGTTTAGCACAGCAGGTATGCTGTGACCTCCTTGTGCAATATTTATTTATTTATTTAGACAGAGTTTTTGCTCTGTTGCCCAGGCTGGAGTGCAATGGTGCGATCTCAGCTCACTGCAACATCTGCCTCCTGGGTTCAAGCGATTCTCCTTCCTCAGCCTCCCTAGTAGCTGGGATTACAGGTGCGCACCACCACACCTGGCTAATTTTTGTATTTTTAGTAGAGACGGGGTTTCACCATGTTGGCCGGGCTGGTCTGAAACTCTTGACCTCAGGTGATCCACCCACCTCTGCCTCCCAAAGTGCTAGGATTACAGGGATAAGCCACCACGCCTAGCCCCTTGTGTGATATTTAAAGACCCATGTAGACATATGGTATTAGATAAGTTTGTGATATTAAGGACCTATTGTAATCGGGGCAGCGTGGTGCACTAGGTAATACTGAGACTCAGGAGCCAGATTCTCTGGATTTGAATCCTGGCTTCACCACTTTCTAGCTGTGTGATTGTCAGCAGTGTCCTTAGCTTCTCTGTGCCTTAGCTTCTTCATCGGTGAAATGGTAACAACAATAGACCCTAATTCATAGAGCTATGGGAATTAAATGGGCTAATTATTACAAAGTACTTTAGAACAGTGTCTGATAGTAACATAATAAATGCCTACTAAATATTAGCTGTGGTGATCCCTCCTAAAAGCATTACTAGGAACTGTCCTTGGGAAATTGGGTGGAGGGTGCTTAGAGGCAAAATGAGCAAAGCCTCCATTTTTCTGTGTTCCTTTCTGAACTTCTTGCATTTCCTAGGCATCCACATTACTAAATAGGACTGTGTGGACACTGGAATCATGGGACACTTTGGTTTTCCTCTTCATCCTTTTCTATATTTATAATATATATATATAATACATATATACTTATCTTTATTCAAAAATAATTATATATAATATTTTTAAATGTTGTGTTTGTACTTAGCACAACTATGTAAAAATAGAAACAAATGGAAAATTATTAGAAGGAAAATCTTAAAAATTATAGGACTTTTGTTAGTATAAGAAAATACAGAATCTTATTTCCCCCTTCATTTTAAACAAGTATTTTATTTATTTATTTATTTATTTATTTATTTATTTATTTTTGAGACGGAGTCTCGCTGTGTCCCCCAGGCTGGAGTGCATTGGCACCATCTCGGCTCACTGCAAGCACTGCCTCCCGGGTTCACGCCATTCTCCTGCCTCAGCCTCCCGAGTAGCTGGGACTACAGGTGCCAACCACCCGGCCCGGCACATTTATTTTTAAATACACTAGCTTCAGATGATATATTTTTGTAAAATATTTCAATGTAAGGTAAAAATACTTTCTGGCCTTTTCCGTGCTTAGCCCCTCCAGGGAGGGCATCTTCTCTCTGCATTAACATAGACACATACATAGTTATAGAAATGTGTAATTGCGATGTTTTTAGCAATATAAATGCCATCACACTTCATGTATTGTTCTGCAACTTGCTTTTTTCAATTAAAAATATGTCTTGGAAAAAGGAATTTCTATGCCAATACACAAATATCTACCTATTTAATAGCTGCATAGATTTCTGTGATGTGTTTGTGGCAACAGTTTATGTAACTGTTTCACTATTGATGGGCATTTAGTTTGTTCCCAAATTTTACCTCTTGCCATCAGTATTGCAACACACATACTTCTGCACATCTATTTCTCTACAATTTTTTTCTATTTTGTATATTTTTATGACATATTGCTTTTATAACTTTCAAACTAATAAAAGTATGGATAAGAGGAACATTAGCTTGCTTTCCAAACCCAAGAATGTTCACTGTGATCTCTTATTTTTTGAGACAGTCTCACTCTGTCACCTAGGCTGGAGTGCAATGGCACAATCTCTGCTCACTGCAACCTCCACCTCCCAGGCTCAAGAGATTCTCCTGCCTCAGCCTCCCGAGTAGCTGGGATTACAGGCGCCTACCACCATGCCCAGCTAATTTTTGTACTTTTGGTAGAGACGGGGTTTCACCATGTTGACCAGGCTGGTCTCGAACTCCTGACCTCAGTTGATCAGCCGGCCTCAGCCTTCAAAGTGCTGGGATTACAGACATGAGCCACTGCACCCAGCCTAAGTATGATCCATTTCTTAAAGCATAACATAGCAGGGAGAATCAGAACATCTATAAGTGCACAGTAAAGCCAGACAAAACCCCACAAACAATAAAAAATGCATCATTTTCCTCAGGAGGTTGTAGGAAGTACAAACACGAATCTGCAGTTTAGCAAATGCATGGCCGTCACAGCATTAATTGTCCAGTGGGACGTTTAGGGATAAACTACTTTTAATGGAAACATCGTGAAGGACAATCACGTCTCTTGGCGCAAGTGCCAATGACAGGCTACTGGACTAGATGGATCAAGAGCCAGCCAGAGGTGATCCATCTTGTGTCCTTACGATCACCATTACCAACCAATGACAAGCCTTTACAAAGATCTTCCCATAACTTATTATCTTGTCTGTCTTCTAATAGGTTTACTGTTTCATGAGAAAAGACCCGCAAATCAATTAAGTAAAGCTGATTATTTTAGATAAGGAAAGTGAAATATCCTTTTTCTACTTCCCATTTTTCTTTCTCTGAATTTGCATGTAAGGCACAACAAGCTTATGTCGTTTATCACAGCCAAGCCCCAGTGCAGCAACAGAAATTGCTGGGAACAACAACAAAAAAATGTGACAGACCCTCTCGAGACCTCTCAAAGGGGGAAAATGTTCCTCAGTAAGCTCTCATGTCAGTAAAGCAGAGAGACGGCGAGGCTGAGCTTCGCCCTGTTAAATATCAGAGCAGAACGTGTTATTTTGTTTAATAGGACCACAACGTGATGCTCTTCTGAATAGACAGTTTGATTTAGGAGAAAAAAGAAAGAGAGAAAGCAATTTGGCCGGTCTTGCTCAAATCGACACACTCACTGAAGAAGAAAACAAAATAATGTATTCTGCTTAACCCCATGGTTGCAGGGTAAAAATCTCAATATGAATATTTGGGAAAGAAAAAAAATACAAGCACAGATTCAAAAAGAAAAGTTTATGAACTTTATATAAGACTATTTGGGAAAGCGTTAAGACCGAAAGGAAAGGGTCAAGTAAATTTCAAATCATTACTCCATTTGATCTGAGTTTTCGGGTGGCCTGGAAAAGAAACAATAATATTGCATTGCTCTGGCAGATTAATCTTAAAATCACATTTTAACATGTGACCTTTTATCAAAATCCCATGTGTTCCCACTGCTCACATCAGCAGGGTTTTAGTTTCTTTCTGCCTTCAAAGTCCTCCCTCTCTCCCTCCCTGGTACCTTCCCGCACAGTATAAATGGATCGCTCATTAGCGCCTTCCTTTTTTCCCATATTCTCATCTGATTTCTGTGCCTTCTCTTACCACATTTCTTTTGTTGATTTCATTCTGTGTGCCATTAAAACTTAAAGCAAAAGATGATGAGGAAGCGTGATGATTTATGAAACTCTTATTTGAAAAGCAGTTGCCAAATTAAAGCCTAATTTATGGTTTTATGTCACACTAAAGCAAGTGTCTTTCTGAAGTGTTAGTCTTTGTTCCTCCTGCACCAGAAGACCTTGTGATGAAGAGTTCCTGCCTGAACACAGCCGAATGGTCAAGTCCTTCCACAAGCACAAGCACTCAACATGCTGTTAGCCTTCGGAGGATGGCAGATTCAAAATCCAATCCAATCTCCTTTCCTTCTCCATTTACTACTACAGTGTCTGCAAAAATAAAAATCAACTCCCCTACCTCTGCTACAGATAGGAATTGCCATGTGACTCAGTTCTGACCCACGAGATATAAAGGAATCCTGCTGGTGGCTTCAGAACCCTATTCCTATCTGCCTGGAATGCAGAGAAAGTCTGGCTGAGCAGCCACCACCTTGTGACCAAGAGGGCAATGCCAAGACAATTTTGGAGATTTAGCCTAGGCATTGCGGAGCTGCTGAATCAATGTCTTCAGCTGCCTCCTAACCAAAGCTTCTTATGATGTAAGGGAAGCAAACTCCCCAGTAAAGTTACCTTAAGGCAGATTTCTGTTGCTCACAGGCAAATGCATCCCTAGACTAGATGATATGGGCTATAAAGATGACAGTCTAGATCCAAAGAGTTTATAACATCTTAAGAGAGACAGGTATCTAACTAATTAACTAAAACATCAAACAATATGAAAATCAATAAGTTGAGGTAAGCAAAGTTCCACGACATGGAAGCAAAAAGAGAATTTTTTTGTTACCACTGAGACATGGGAAGCCCTCACAGAAAAGATGGAGAAGACATTGGAGCCAAGATTTGCAAAATGAGATTTCTCCCAGCCAAGAAGGGCTGGAAACCCCACATTAAGGATACAGCAAGAAGAAATGAATGACGGCCAAAGACATCTGTGATTAGTGGACTGTGCTTAGTGAGAATAATGCAGTTGGTCTCATGCCTGATCTTGACGCGTTACAGAACAGCTTTCTCAGCCCTGCCTTCTCCTAAACCATTTCCCACTCCTGTCGTTTCTGTGCTCAGTATCAGTCTTCATCACGTATATCTTCACAACAAGAAACTAGGGACAAATTACTGGCTGCTACCCTGCAAAAAGAAAAAAAAGAAAACCACAGTTTCTAACAGTTGATAATATGAAAATCTAATGATTCCTTTTATACAGGTGGTTTTCAACCAAAAGTGATCTTCTTCCTGGGGACATTTGGCAATTTCTAAAGGCGTTTTGGATTTTCACAATTGCAGGGGATGCTGCTGAACATCCCAGAGTGCACATACGGTACAGCCAGCCCCCCACAACAAAGAAGTATCTGGTCGAAAGTGGCAATAGTGCTGAGCTTAAGAAACCCTGTTCTTTTATTATTTGATGTGGACCAGTGACTTCCTATGTGTGGCTTCATATCACCAGATAAGCTCATCACAGAAAAATGAGTAAACGCCAGCATTGCCTTAAGAAAAGACCAGTGAATCATCGTGCGATGTGCTATTATGTTTTCTTTTTAACACTGAGCAAAACTACATTGACTGAAGCAACATCATAATGTCATTTAATACTTTTAGATTCCCTTATACATGGAAATTCCTCTAACAGAATGCTTGGTAATAAACATTTGTTGACTAGATGAATGCAGAAACAAAGGCCCATCTCACAGGATTCAAAATATACTTCTTTTACAGTGAGTTTTTCTGGGAGGGTGGTAGAACAAGGGTCTAGCTTATTAGTTGTTCAGAATGTTAAGCCTTTGCATGCAACAAAAACAACAGCAAATCATTAAAACAGTTGTAAAAGCCATATTTACTATTTCATTCAAAAGATACTCCATGCCAAGAATAATAGTATGTTACAAAAGTAGTTTTCTTAGACAAACTTTTTTAAAAATCTATTGAACTACAATGGGATTCAGCCTTTGCTCAGAACTGTGTTCAGATCACAGATGGAATATTGAGAACTGTGCTAAATCACAGATGGTATATTTTTTCCTATATTTCACGAAACAGGCCCTTTCTACCTCTTTTTTTTCTTTTACATTTTGCTCTTGGTAATCATGTGGCTTGAAAAAAAGGCTAAACTAAAAAGAAACGTGGAAACATTTACTTTTAGTGCTGTTTATCATCTTACTCTTTAGTGGATGGATACATCACTGAATTTTCTGTGGTGTAATTTACTCAAAAAAAAAAAAAACTCAGAGTGTAATTCATTTTAGGTGAGCAATTTGTTTTATGAGCCGTGTATGATTATTTGGGGTTGTGCTGTTCTTTTATTGAGTGCAATAAAGACATTTCTTATCAATTGATTTGTTGTATCAGCAATGGGCTTCTTTCCAGATTGAAACATGGCAGCTTTTCTCAGGACATTATCCAGCATATAATTTCACCACAGATATGAATCTGGGTTCATTAGGGCCCACTTGCACTGCCTGTTATGACCTCATTTCTAGGATTCCTGCTTGATGCTGGCATTATCCTTCTCTGCGCGCAGTGCATAACATGGTTGTCAAATGGGTTCTTCCTCTTTGATGGTTCATCACATATACAAACTTTTAATTTTGCCAACTTTTATACCAACTGATAAAATCAGAAGTTCAAAAGTTCATTTCCAATTCCATATGACATAGAAACTTTAGGTATTATAAAGCTTACACCTCTTGTGAATAATTAATTGCAATGCAGGGCAGGAACTAGAGGTATTAGATTACTATTTTGATGGTGTCAATACACTACCAGGAAGTACTTCTTAATCCAGATGTGGATAAGCACATTTCAGTGGTACATGATGCAAGCCACCAACCTTCTATCAAGCCTGGGTATGATAAACACTGTCCTTTTGGGCGCCATTGACTTACCATGACTCTCAGACCACGGGACACCTTGCAAGACCTGTTATTAGCGCTCTCATGTCGACACATGATCACATTTATTTGCACCTTTCCAGACTGAGAAAATCATGCCTTGAGAACAAAATTATGCTGATGCATATCTCACACAAGTACGTATCACAATGTCCTGGGGAACACCCCTTTGCACTTCAGTAATGTCACGCATGAAGCAGAACATAAGTGATATACACCCATAGAAAGCAGAGCCAAGAAATTGAACAGCTGTGCAAACGGGCTTGAGAACGTAAAATCAGGAAGCTATGTCTTTAGAAAAGTATTTTTTAATCCCCAAATATCACATCTGGTTGCATTAAGTTGTCATTATGACATAGTATTTAAGATGATTTAATGGGTTATTGCAGAATAAGAATCTTGGAGTTTATTTAACTACTGTGCATTAACAGAATGTAGCTATTTAAATGACATTCTGACAAAGCAGATGAAAAGCTGTTCTTGATGGTGAATGACTTTATTATATACTTTTTTACTGTATTCAGTATAAATATAGATATTCAAACATAAGCAGAATATATTGAAATACAAGAGTGGAAGTGGGGCTTTGTGATAGACATTCAAATCAAGCAGTGCATACCAAAATGTAGGCAACTATTCACCCTAGATTTATGAGATGCATTGGCCATGTGCACGAACATGGGGGTGTCACAATACAAATGTATCACTCCTTGACTGTCCCTTCTTTGCCAGTCCCCTGACTGGACATCTGCAAACGAACAGGCCAGTCCTCAAATAGATGCCTGGGTATCTCGGATCTGGAAGCCTCCTGACCTGTTCTCGCTCATGTCCTCACCATCTTCCACCTTCCCCTGTTGACCTGAACCTCTTGCCACTTCTTGTCAGATATATACATCATTTTTTATAGAAAACTGAGGTTCTATGTAGTTAGAACAATTTCAAATAACTTATTAGGGCCTAAACTAAAATCTGGCTTCCCAGTTTCCCAATGTGTCGCTCTATCACATCATCCCATCCTTGCTGCCACTTACGGGACATCAACATTGCACGTTTTTCCAACCTGGCAAAGCATACAAAAGTCTTTCTAATGCCTCTCTATCCCTAAAGTGAATGCGTTTTGCTTTAGCATCCTCTGAATCTGCTAAGAATTTCTAACGAGGAGGGTTAAATAAATAAAGCATTATGGTGAACAGCAAACTTCCAGCAGATTGCAATGGCTGTATAACAGTGTCCCAAACAAATAGAAGTTCAGTCAGGGGCTAGAACAGAGATCTGCTCAATAATATTTTCAAGGACATAAGCTCCTCCAGCTCACTGTTTCATCATTCTTATGGCAGGTCCATGTTCCAGGCAGCAGAATTCAGGAAAAGAACTAGAGGAAGAACAGCAAACAGCTTACACCAATTGCCTCCTAAAAATGGTTTGCAGAAATTGCCACACAACACTACAGTTTACATCCCACTGGCAAAAACTTATACTTTGTGGCTATATCCAGCCAAAAAAAAAAAAAAAAGACCAAAAAGTTTAGTTTTATTGTGAGGAACCATGTATCCAGGCAAAATTTCACCATTATGAAAGAAGAAGAGAACAATGTGGTTGCTGATGGTGACATGTGCATTTGCCCAGGGACATTAAACCATTTACAAGACTTTTTTTAACGCACTGTTTCTTTCATCAGTCCAAGACTCTAGAACTAAAGTAGCATATAGGTTTTAAAGCCAACACTGATTAATTGGCAATGACTGCTTGAGAAAGCCATTTGAGACAAAGTGTGGTCTCAGGGACAAAGATCTCAACAATCTATTAGTGATGTCTGTAATGGATACAGGAAAAGAGAGTGGGGGTGAAGATGCTTTCTTTTATATTTCTATTCTCACACTGTCATTTGACATTGACTTTCAAATTAAAGTAATGGTTCTACAAGTCCAGCAGCATAATAATAATGAATGCTGCTAACACACCTATGACACATTACCCAAAACAATCTATGCATGCAGGCACTAATTCCATCCTGACAGCTCTATCATGAGATAATAAAGTATTTTTATAAGCCCCAATTTGGAGATGAAGAGGTTAAGTTTTGAGCAGAGCAATGTGTTTCCACCAAGGTCACCTAATCATAAGTGGCAGATCCAGAATTTGAACTTAGTTCTTTCAGCAACATCAGATGTGCTTTCCACTCCCTGTATAATAATACTATTCCAAAAAGAAAGAATTAAGTTGTCCTCCTTGTAGATTTTCTTGGATCTTTAAACTATTTTGGTCCAATATATTGTGGAAAGAAGGCAGAGCAATTGTATATTATCTACTGATACTATCCCTTAAAGTTTTGGGTCTTCTCTGCTAATGAATTTCCTGTGGTACTCAACAAGACCAACTGAAATAGTCACAAAATTCAAACAAAAACCTTACTGAAACAAAGCCTATTAGGAGCTGGGCAAGAGATACTCATGAAAAAGTAGTTTCTAATGGCCTTTAGCCCACAGATGTGCAAACAATTACATGAACTGCGGTGTGCCAAGAGCTGTAGTAAAGGCAAGCACAAGGACCCATGGTGGCACAAAGGAGCCAACTGCTGCCATTCCAGGTGTGGGCAAGCAGTTGGTATGTCAGAGCCACTTCACAGAAGGAGAGATGGGTGGGTCCCAAAGGGCGGGTGGGTAATCACCAAGCACACACAGGGAACAGCTAGCCATGCAGGGAGAAGCAGATGCCAGGACTGGATGTGCAGAATGGCAAGGCAAGTTCAGAACAGCATGGCCAGTTTAGAAAAGCTGGGCATAATATGTGCATGGCTGGAATAACCAGAATGAAGTGGGGACCAGTAGGGGAGGTGGTAAAGAGGCTAACCTTGAGAGGATAGGGGCACCTGGACGAGGCTGTGCTTTATGGATTTTAGCGTGTAAGCACAGAAAAGCCACTGAAAGGTTTTTAAGCAGGGGAGCAAAAGAATCACATTGATCTTTGAGAGAGACCCCTAGAGAAGTTGGGCTGCCATTACCAAAGCCACAGGCAGTGAAATCAGATAAGAAACGAGCAGAGCTGAAACTGAGAGTACTTCCCCTGGAACCTACACTTTTTGAAGGGTTTATGAAAGGCCTGGAATGGTATGACCCAAATGTAGGACTTAGTATTTCTCTGAGGAAAAGTGCTGTGCCTTTCCCCGGTTCTCAGTGAAGCCCACAAGCAGAAGGACAATAACAACCTGTAGGTTAAAAATGTGTGACCTAAGCTCAGGCCACTGCAGTGGAATAAAAAAAAAATAGTTATATCAGAGTAGTATATAAAATGAATAGGAATGAAATGCATGTATTTGCATTTAATTTTTAAAAAACAAAAGAGCAAAAGTCTTAACAACGGGCCAACTATTTTTGGTATATATTTCATATACACAAAGTTAAGGAATTCAGATGTACATGTATACAGGGGCCTTGCCACAGACATCCCAGGATGGACCACATTGTCAACATCCCATCTTCTTACACCGTGTTGCTATTACAGGTGCTCTTTTACTTGTTGGACTATATATCCCAAAGTTTGGTTTGAAAAGTAAATTCTCTATAAAATCAAGCTCCTGAGAAGGTGGTCATACTTCTAATAGCTTTTGTGGGGAGAGGGCAGTGTTGAGAGGTATCAAATCTCAAAGTTCTTGCTACAGAAACATAAGCAGAAATGGAGGCATTGCCAGGCAACAAAGTAATTATGTGGGAAAAATCTAGATCAGTTGTTCTTAACCGTTTTGGGTGTCACAGAGCCTTTGAGATGTTGCTGAGCTATATAAATGTTCTCAAAAAAATTCTTAAATGTATCTTCTTATAAAATTGTACATAAATTTCCAGAGGTTTATAAAACTCTCAGAGTCCAAAAACATTGAGGTGACACTGGATGGAACCTCAAGAACCTTTAGTTTCAAAAATTCTCCTTTCTGTCAACAAAAATTTATAGATTTTCATCTAAATTAGCCTCACTAATGTTTTCTTTATCTCCTTTTTACTGATACTATTTGCTCTGCAATTAATTTCCCCTTTCTCGCATGCATATAATCTCCATCAGTGGTAAAATCACAAAGTCTGAGAAAAGGAGAGTGATTCCAATTTTCACTAAATTGAACTGTTGCCCAAACAACATACAAACTCCCAAATGTTTTTATAAACCTAGAATAGAAAACATTGTGCTATGCTTTCACTCCACAAAAATGCCTTCCCCTCTCAATGCTAGTATCTGTCTTAAAACCAGGTGTTTGAATCCTGGTCTACTACGTTGTTGCATATATGTTCTTTAACATTCATTCTACTGCAAACTTCAATACCTTTATTTGGAAATTAAATTAACTTTCTTTCAGAATAAATAGAAGCCCAGCAATGGTCTTGTTTTCTTAATGGGCTACAAAGCAGAATATTTTTAAGGGAAAAAAAATTACCACAAATTCTATAGTACTCCTTCTTTCTCCCACATTGCAGTTACTACGAACCTTTGATTAGCCCTCTAAAAAAGACCACATATTTCATAATTTGAAGCAAAAGGTTAATGGTGTTATTACAACTATTATCCCTTTTAAAATCATTATCCTTTTGTTTTTTATGGCTATATTACCTTCACCTTTCCATGAACCCACTTTACCAGCTGTTTCCCTGTGTCATAAACTTTGCTGAACATCATCATAGAAATAGGATAAATGCCATGTTTTATCAATCAAGCCTAAGGGGATCTGAGGATTCTTATAACTACAACTGTAAAGGGAGTTTACTGCAAGTTTCTGTTTTGATTTGTAAGTTGTCCTTAAGTAAAAAACACACCTGATGCAAACGTCGAGAATGTTAAAATGAAAGACGGTATGCTACAAAAATCTGCATCATAAAATTTGCTGGGTTGACAAATGCAAAAGCTAAAGACTATTGAGAAACACATGCAGGTGTGTTTCCTGTGTGAGCTGACACCTGCTGGCACTGCCATCCCTACCCATACCTAAGTTCCATCACTCCTAATTCCACCCACCCCAGCACTCCAAGGAATATATGAAACATAGGAAAGGTGCTTTTAACTTACACAGGCTACTTAGAAAGTCTCAACACATTTCAAAAATTAATATAATTAAGATGATATTTCATAGTAATATCGCAATAAAATTTAAAATTTACAATAATAGTCCCAAAATATCATCATACATTGGAAACTAATAAACACACTTCTAAACTATAAGACATCATGAAATATTTACAACTAAATCACAGAAACTATTAAAACTTTTAAGTTACAGCTAAACTAGTACTTCAGGACATTTTGCGGCTTTAATAAAAATTTTTTAGGATTGAAAATAAATTAATGAAACATTTAACTGAAGCAGACATAAAAAAGAGCAAGAAAAATCTAAATTAGGTAGTGGAAAAGAAATAACTAAAAGAATAACATTGAATACATTTAAAAAAATATAAATGAACAACAAAACCAAATTCTAGTTTCTTAAAAAGATGAGTACTATTTATAAATTTCTCACGAAAGCGATCAAGAGAAAAGCAGGAAAGCCACAAATCAGCATAATTAGAAATGAAAAAGAAACGTAACTATAGATAAGTTACAACTTATGTTAATACTATGAACAATCTTTCCAATACATTTGAAAACATGTGAAATGTAAGATCTTCTAAAAAAAAAGTTTAATTACCAAAATGACTAAAAAACAAATACATTCTGAATAGATAAGCAACCATTAAATAATTTTAATCAGCAGTCAAAAAATCTTTCCCAACCAACTACACAGAATAATTGTATTAAATCCACGAAACCCCCAATCTCTATTTTTAACAAATATTTTTCAAGAAAAAAATGTAAGAAAAGCATTCCTTTTTATAACATCATTAAAACCATATGCCAAATCAGTCTATGACAGTGCAAAAATTATTTTAAAACCCAACTCATTTATAAGCATAAATGCAAGCATAATACAATAGTAGTAAATCAAATCCAATACTGTATAAAAATAATTCATCATGAATGAGTTGGATTTATATTAGTAAGACAAAGATATTTCAAAACTATAAAATTGATCAACACTAAGAATAAAGGACAAAATGGTTATTCTCTCTATAGGTGCAAAACAGTTTAAATAATATTTTTATTATAAAAGCATTTGGCCACATTGTAATAAAGATAAATTTTCTTAACCCAAAGATGACATCATTCTTAACATTAAAATTTGTAATGAATCCCAATAAATCCTGGAAAAAGGCAAGAATTCCCACTATTGGCACCACTGTATAATACTATACTAGAAATCCTAGCCTATGAAATATGATAAGAAAAAGAATCAAGAGGCTTGCTTAATGGATGGCTTTAAGAACAAAAATAATAAAATTATTATCTACATCAAGTCTCTGCAAAATAAGACTCATGGGCCAAATAAGGCCCTACTGTAGGCCAAATTCAGTTACACCCATTTTTGTTTTACATATTGTCTATGGCTGCTTTTATCTTAAAAGTCAGAGTTGAGTAGTTGCAATGGAGGTTGCATGAACCTCAAAGAAAAAAACATTTACCACCTAGTCTGCTCCCAAAAAATGTTTGAATACTTCTGTTCTACATAATATGTCAAACAGAATCCATAAACAAACAAGTAGAATGAATAAAAGGACTTAGCACAGTTTCTGGGCACAGGATCAATGTAAAAAAAAGTCAATAGTATCTTTATACAGCAGCGTAATCTACTAGAGAGCTATGTTAAAAACACAGCTACAATTGACAATTAATAAACTATTTGGTATTTAAAAATACACCACACCTTTACAAAAAATTTTTTGAATGAAGTAAAAAATGTAATAAAATGAAATGTACCATTTACTAGATGTGAAGGTACAATACTCCAATAGCAGAGGATGGTTATGATTCATCAACAAAGATACAATACCATGTAAAACAACATCAGCAACAACAACTGTATCTAGTACTTATTGTATGCCAGATTATATTCAAAGACAGATGGATAGATAGATAATATCCAAAACAAATTTTAATACGAAGAATGATGTAGAAAGCCTTTTCTTGCCAAAGATTGATATATATTAAAAAGGTATAATAATTACAACAATGTGGACTTGGTCCAATAATAGATAATTAGACAAAGGAACTAGAATACAGCACTTAGACATACAAATACCTGGAAACTTCATATATGGTAAATGTGACAGTAAAGATCAGTAGGAAGAGGATAGAAAATTCTGAAATAGTGCTGGTATAATTAGTTATCTATCATGCTGGTTATTTATTATTACCTCTCAAATCCAAATTCATTCTTTTTGTCCACTCTGCAAAAAAAGATCTGGGCCTGTTAAATACTTTTG
This sequence comes from Homo sapiens, assembly GCF_000001405.40. Taxonomy (NCBI): domain Eukaryota; kingdom Metazoa; phylum Chordata; class Mammalia; order Primates; family Hominidae; genus Homo; species Homo sapiens. The sequence goes on from NC_000015.10 coordinate 97,924,194, forward strand.
CTGTCAGATGGCACATTATTGAGTTTTGTCAGTAGAGGACACACAAGAGAAATTGCAAGAAGAAGAAGTTTTGGTTTCCAATCCCAGAAAGTCCACTGGGCATGCTCCAAGGGCCTGACTTCTCTAGCACCAGGTACCTGCAGCAAAGGCAGCTTCCCAGTGCACAGTCTCTTGCACTGTTTGGAAATAAATGCCCATAAACAAGAGAAATCAATAAATAAATGTTGGCTTAGGCATACTATGCATTATTCTACAACAGTTGAATGAATGAACTAGTTCTGTGTGTATCAACAAGAATAAGTCTTACAGTGTTAGAAAAAAACATTGTGTAATAATAATAATATGTATGTAGAATAATTATATACATTTAATGGAATTATGTATGTATATACATATACACACATATTGTTATATATGTGTGAAATAGAAGGGTATATAACTTTTTAAAATTTGTTTTTCATTAAAATTTTTATTGAGGTAATTATAGATTCATATACATTTGTAAGAATACAGAGAGATTCCTGTATGCTTTCTGGGTAAATCCTTTCTGATAAATCCTTTCCAGCAGTTTTTCCGTTCATTTTACCAAGATCCTTCAGAAGAATCACTATCTATGGTAGCTACGACCTTATGGCATCTATTTCTTAAATAATAAGACTTTGAATTTGAAATTACTTATTGATCCATGGGCTGAAAGTGGAAGTTGCATTATCAGACATGAAAACCATTAATCTCCTTGTACATCTCCATCAGAGCTCTTGGGTGACTAAGTACATTGGCAATAAGCAGTAATATTTTTAAAGGAATCTTTTGTCTGAGCAGTAGGTCTTAACAATGGGCTTAAAATGTTCAGTAAACCATGATGTAACAGATGTACTGTCATTCAGACTTTGTTGTTTCATTTATAGAGCACAGGGAGAAAAGATTTCACATAGTTCTTAAGGGCCCTAGAATTTTCAGAAGAGTAAACGAGAATTGACTTCAAAAAAAGTCACCAGATGAATTAGCTCCTAACAAGAGAGTCAATTTGCCCTTTGAAGTTTTGAAGCCAGGCATCAACTTCTCCTCTCTAGCTATGAAAGTTCTAGATGGCATCTTCTTCCAGTAGAAGGCTGTATTGTTTACATGAAAAATCTGCTGTTTAGTGTAGCCACCTCCATCAGGTATCTTAGCTAGATTTTTCTGAGTACTTGCTGTAGCTTCCACATCAGCACTTGCTGCAGCTTCCACATCAGCACTTGCTGCAGCTTCCACATCAGCACTTGCTGCAGCTTCCACATCAGCACTTGCTGCCTTGTCTTGCACTTTTAGGTTACGGAAACAGCTTCTTTCCTTAAACCTCATAAACCAATTTCTGCTGTCTTCAAACTTTCCTTCTACAGCTTTTTCACCTCTTTCAACCTTCACAGAACTAAAAAGAGTTAGGGCCTTGCTCTGGATTAAGCTTTGCCTTAATGGAATGTTGTGACTGTCTTCATCTTCTATGAGACACTCACAGTTTCTCCATATCAGCAACAAAGCTGTTTTGCTTTCACACTACTCATGTGTTTACTTTTAATGTTCCTGAATAACTTTTCCTTTGCATTCACAACTTGGCTAACTGCTCTGTGCAGGAAGCCTTGGCTCCATCCTATCTCAGCTTTCAACATGCCTTCCTCACTAAGCTTAATCATTGATAGCTTTTGCTTTAAATTGAGAGACATGTGGCTGTTTTTTTTTTTTAACTTGAACACCGAGGGGCCATTGTAGGATTATTAGTATTAATTGTAACCCTACGATTAGGTCACTGATTTGAACATTGTTTTGTCTCTCAGGGAACAGGGAAGCCCAAGGAGAGGGAAAAGATGGGAAAATGACTATAGTCAGTAGAACAGTCAGAACATACATGTTTATTGATTGAGTTTGCCATATTATAGGGACACAGTTCATGGCACCTCAAAGCAATTAAACAATGGTCACTAATCACAGGTCACCATGAAAATATAATAATAATGAAAAAGTTTGAAATATTGCAAGAATTACCAAAAGAGACACAGAGAAACCAAGTGAGCCCTTGCTGTTGGAAAAATGGTGCTGACTTGCTTGACACAGGGTTGCCACAAACCTTGAATTTGTATAAAACACAATATCTGTATAGTGCAATAAAGTGAAGCCCAAAAAAAGCAAGGTGTGCCAGTAAATATTTTTCTCTCAATGTCTTTGTCTGATATGAATACAGTCATTCCAATCTTCTTATGCTTACTGTTGTATGGTATTTTTTCGCCTTTTTTTTTTCTCTTTACTCTTCTAGGACTCCAATTACATGGATGTTAGATCTTGTCTGTTCCCCACATATCTATGAAGATTTGTCCTTTTTCCCGCTAATCCTTTTTCTCCTTTATTCTTCACATTGAATAGTTTCTGTTAGTTTATTTACAAGTCTACCAACTATTTCTTCTGTCTCCTTCTTTCTACTATTAATCCCATTCACTAGTTTTTCCAGATAGTCTATTTTTCAGTTCTAAAACTTTTTAAATATTTTCCACTTCTCTGCTGAAACTTCCTATCTTTTCATTGATTGTAAATAGTTGTATATAACTATTGATTATATGCAAGCACAATTACAATAGCTGCTTTTAAACCCTTGCTTGCTATTAAAATCTTTGTCTGATAAGTAAAAATTCTGTCTGATAATAATGGCAATAGGTACTATCTCTGAGTCAGTATCCATTGTCTTTCTCTTGAGCATGGGCCATGTTTACTTGCTTCTAAGTATATTAAGTAATTTTGAAATGTTCTAGAAATTCTAAATGATACATATTAGAGGGTATGGATTCCAATACGTTTATCCAGAAAGTATCTTTGTTGTTTTTGTTTTAGCAAACTGTTAATGTAACTAAACTGAAACTACAAACTCTGTCTTCTCTGCATTATGCAGCAACTGAAATCTCAGTCCATTTTTCAGCCTCATTTGGACTGCTTAGAATCAACCCTAGGCTTGTGTGGCTCAGGGGCGAGCCAAAGATTGAAAAGGTTGTAAGTTTATACACGGAATTTGGAGCTCCTCCTATTTTTTCTCCTTTCCTAGATTTTGACCTCAATTCCTAGCTTCTGAGTTTGCCCCTAGCCATGTGCCCTGATTACTCAAGACAATTAAACTATGAGTTTTCTTTCCAAATTTTAAAAAGCTCTCCAACATGTCCCAAACTGGAACCTGCCCTCAAACTAGAAACGGCAAAAACATGGAATACTCACTTAGTGCCTTTCTGTTCTTCCACACGTCAATTCTGCTAAAGTTTTTGCATGCTTTTATGATCTCTCCAGGGTCTGCACAGAGTTTTTAAAGCATTTTATTGAGAATTTATCGTTGTGTTCTACAGGATGATTCACATAATAAAAGCTACATCCCACCCCGCCACTATCAGAAAAAGAATTTACATAAAACAAAACATAACCTAAACTCATTTGGTAATTAATCTGACCTAAATTCCTGTAAGACTTTCATAGTCTTTATCACCATATCTCAAAAAAAAAAAAAAAAAAAAGAAATGTTAATGGTTTTGATAATAGAATACTTCCCTAAACCTCAATAGAAGTGTTTGGTGATAATCAGCACATTCATGGTATGATACTATTTAAAATATGGAGAATCAATAATTATGAATCACCTCTGTGCCCAAGTGATAAACAGACAAGTGATTGAAAAATTATATCTGTCTCATAGAATATATTTGGAAAAAATAACATATATAATGAGGAATAAGCGAGTAGATAATTTACAAAAGGTACACAGTAAGCCATAATGTTCTCACCCCATTTGAAAATGATCAGGAAGGCAGTGATACCAGTTGGAACAAGACAAATATAGTATATATTTATTCTTCTTGTCAGATTAAAATGTTTGTTTCTTTGTCAGGCTGTCTAATCACAATACATTCATTAACTGTTGAGTCTCAGATTGTCAAATTTCCATTGCTAACCTGCTCAGTGACTATTTTGGTAATTTATGTATTTCTCAACATAATTTGATATAGATAATAATAGATTTGTTGGATGTTATTTTATTCAGCATGTACAGAACAAATAAAGGATGAAAAGTGGAAAGGTGAGAAAGAAAGCAAATTCAACAACCATATTTTAATTTATTATGATAGTCATCAAAATATTTACTAAATTTAAATTTAAAATTACCGAATATCTATAATATGCTGTACTCTGAAATAGGAATGTAATGCACCTACATTTTTCACCACAGTCTTATGAGGAAGATATAATTATTATTTTTAATTTATTAAATATAGATGGAGCAACTGAGCCTTGGAGAGGTTGGTGCCTTTAACAAATTGCACAGCTGAGCATTAGGTGCAGATCCAAACTCAGGCAATTAATTGCCAGAGCCTGCTCTCTTAATCCTCACCCCTGTGAAGTAGATATTATTTTTCTCATTACGAGACATAATATTATTATCCTCGTTATCTGAAGATGTGGAAACAGAAGCTTGAGGCTATTAAGTGTCTTGATCAAATCCATAAGCCCAGGAAGTCGTGACGTTGGTATTCAAATTAGGATGTCGCTAAAGTTCCTTTCATTGCTACTACACCAACTCTGATCCAAAACTTGAGTGATGCCAGTAGTGGGAAATAAAAAAAAAGGTTTAAAAATTAATTATTCTGCAAACAATACGAGTTTGGGTGGAACAAACCCTCATAAATGTCAATAGACTATACATTATTAATTAATGTGTCAAAGTCAAAATTTCAAATATTTAAACATTTCTACTGTTGAAATGTAAGTACTAACTACCACAATCACTAAAATTACTGAAAATACATTAAATTTCTACTCCTCACTAGTAAAGTATGGCCTCAGTTGATCCAGTTGTAATAATTTTCTATAGAAAAACAGGTTGGGAGATCTCTAGAGAGATGTTACAAGTAAAGAGGCTATCCAGGTTACTGATTCTTAATATATGAAGCTGCTTCCTCCACCCATTGCATTAGTTTTTAGTATCCTTGCATTCTGTTGAGATAAAATTTAATTCTTGGCAATAATAGTTCGAAGTAAGTGTTGGCCTCCTATTTTCTTTGAAAGATAATACATTTTTATTGTATATTTTTTAAAAAGAGAGATAACATTTTGACAACGCTAACATCCCTAGATAACTATTCTTGACCATGGAGTACATTTTTAAAATTGAAACAATTCGCCAAGAACTGCTATAAAATTGCCTCAGTGAGGAGACTTGTTTGGACCTGAGCAATGCGCCATCAAAGAATCTGGCATTTTGTTTGGAAAAGGCTGAGTTGAAATGTAGAAATAAAATTTGACCTCCAAAGATAGTAGTAAGCAATTCAAATTACTATGTATAAATCTTTTATCTAATGTCCAGTGGGACCAATTTAAATAGCGAGGTCAGAGTTTCCAAAGCTTCTGGCCTAGGCTCAAAGCCAAGAAATGGAGTTGTCTGCTCAAGTGATTGTAGAGATTATGACATAATCCCAGGCAGCAGATGGAAACACTAGGACAGATTTGAAGCCTCCAGAGGAAGGGATCTATCAAGGGTCAGTAGTGGATTTTGGGCCGTTCTAGCAGGCTAAATTTCAAAGCCAGCTCCAGGCAAGGATTAATCACACATACACCCAGTTATTGGTATATTACTACTGAAAGCTCGGTGAAGAACCTGAACTTCAAGACGCACCCAAAACTTGAAGGAGGAAAGTAACTATGGGATATGTCAAATGGTCTGGTCTCATTTAGATTCCTGATCTAGCCAGCTTTAGATCTCCAGGCTCAGTAACTGGGTAGGACTGAAACTGCAGGTTGAATATTCTTTGCGCCTTGAGATGAGCAATACGAACACAAATAATAAAGATCCCATTGCCACATGATAAGTTGTGGGAATGACTCAGCCTTGCTGTATTTCCAAATTCTCAAAGGTTGTTTATCAAGTAGGCAGGGATGTTTAATCAGGTTAAGGTTGCCTCAGTAGGAATTGGTTAAAACTGATCATTGAGCTTCTCATTCAATAGGGTAAACAACACACTTAGAAAGTTATCAATTTATCCCACAAAAATCCCATTGAGATGACAAGAGCAAAATTATTAGTAATTTGATGAAAGCACTGGAAACCCAAGAAGTTTTCCACCAGAGGACAAGAAACATTAGAAATTGTCTACAGGACATAAAACAGGTGGGACAGGACTGAAGTTGACACCACACTGAGTTGTTACTTGATGCAGGCAAACAAAGAGGTGGTTGAAAGAATGAATAACAAATTGTGCAAGACAGTCTCCCAAATCTTTAAATACAGAGTCAGCAGGTTCAGGTAGCAGGAGCAGGTTATGGGTTTGTGGTGGACTCTTAGCATGGGAATTAGAGCCAGAAAGAGAAGCTGAGCTGTTCCCAGGCAACTTCAGGCACCCACAGCAGATGTGAGCCTCTGTACCTTAAAATAAGATGCTCCAAATCTTCTCACCCTACTAAAACTCTACAGACAACACTCCCATTCATGGCTAGGGGAAGAGGGACACACCATTGCTGAGTAGCTCTTTATCAGCTACTCATGTTGACTACTCTAGATATTAATGTATAAACAATATAGAAAGAGATGACTAAAAATCACATCACCAGGCATTTAAAGAAAACAGCATGGAAGAGAGAAGGCACCCTATACAAGCAAAACAAATGGTTTCCCAAGGAAGCAACATGAATGCAAGGAAGAGAAGAAAATGTTGCCAAAAACCTGAGTATCTTTCGTGATATTGAAGGTAATGCTGCATATGTATAAATGCATGCTGGTAAAAACGTATGGCCAGAAACTTTTTTTTTTTTTTTTTTTTTTTGAGACGGAGTCTCGCTCTTTTGCCCAGGCCAGACTGCAGTGACGCTATCTCCACTCACTACAAGCTCTGCCTCCCGGGTTCATGCCATTCTCCTGCCTCAGCCTCCTGAATAGCTGGGACTACAGGCGCCCGCCACTGCGCTGGCTAATTTTTTGTATTTTTAATAGAGACGGGATTTCACCATGTTAGCCAAGATGGTCTTGATCTCCTGACCTCGTGATCTGCCGGCCTCGGCCTCCCAAAGCGCTGGGATTACAGGCGGGAGCCACCGTGCCCGGCCTAGCCAGAAACTTTTAAAAATTCTTAGAAAAATAAAAATATCCCTACTGTAATATAAAATTCAATGAGAGACAATTTTTAAAGTTCATACATGCAACCACCAAAGTAGTCATTTTAAAAGTCCAATTTGAGAACGTAAAGCAAAAAACAAATAGGATGTATTTGAGAAGTGCTATTTGAGAAATACTTGAATTTTCAGAAGAAAAGTGCCACCTAAGCACTAAAAAGGAATACTAAAAAAAGAAATTAGTATACATATATGCTGGTATTTCTAAATTCAAAGGTTAATTCTGAAAAATATTGAGAACTTCTGGAATGCTAAAACAAGTTCATTAAAAAGGAAAAAGAAACAAATATATGCTGAATTTGTTGTACAAAATGCTAAGAACTAGAACTCAATTAAGAAGTATCTATATTGTTCTAAAAAGAATACAGTGAAGCTTTAATGCTTTAACAAGCCAAATTATCATTTACACATGAAGTCAAACTAAGCATTTCTTAAGTTGCTCAAGGATTCAGAAAATATACTGGCAAAATTATAACTTTTATTAACAATATTAATTATATACTCCAACCAAATAAAACAATTATATGTGTATATCCAAAAAGGAGAAAGACCTTAGCCATAAAATATGCTAGAGAAAAGCAACAGATAAAAACCTAGAACTACATCAAAACAAGGGTGACAGTATACTTCTAGAGTGTAATGCAACTGTTCGGAATAGATACTTTTAAAAACAAGAGGTGCAAGGAACTTTTAAAATCATATTTTTAAAAATTTGTAACCAAAATATAAGAATTACAGATATTATCAAAACCCAGGTCTTGGAGCATAGAAGAGGATGAATACAAATGTTTAGAAAAGCTGAAGTTGTTATTTTCTTTATGGATTATACATACTGATGAAATAGAAAGTAGAAGCTGAAAAATGCTTATCAAGATTTAGGGCTATCTTTGAGGGAGGAACAGCAACTGAAAGAACAATAGGAAGTCTCCTAGGGTACTGATTACATAGTGTGCTCACTTTCTAAAAATTCCTCATGCTATATACTTTTGATGTGAGCAATTTTCTTTAAGTATGTTCTACTTCAATTTAAAACTTCTTAAATATGATCGCAGTGACTGGAAACAAGATTAGAAATTCTAAATTGTTGTAGATAAAAGAGAACAAACAAAATTTTGTCAACCAATCAAAAGTGGAGAAAGAATTTAAATAAACAATAGAAAGATGTAATTAGTGTATAAGTGCATTCTCACACTGCTATGCAGTAATGCCTGAGACTGGGTAATTTATGAAGGAAGAGGTTTAATTCACTCACAGTTCACATTGCTGAGGAGGCCAGCAATCAAGGCAGAAGGCAAAGGAGAAGCAGACACCTTCTTCACAGGGTGACTGAATGGAGTGAGTGAAAGCAGGGGAAATGCCAGACGCTTATAAAACCATCAGATCTTGTGAGACTCACTCACTATCATGGGAATAGCATGGGGGAACCCATTCCCATTATCCAGTCACTTCCCACCCAGTCCCTCCCACTACATGTGGGGATTATGGGAACTACAATTCAAGATGAGATTTGAGTGAGGACACAGCCAAACCTTATCATTCCACCCATGGTCCCTCCCAAATCTCATGTCCTCACATTTCAAAACACAGTCATGCCTTCCTAACAGTCCCCCAAAGTCTTAACTCATTCCAGCATGAACTCAAAAGTCCAAGTCCAAAGTCTCATCTGAGACAAGGCAAGTCCCTTCCATCTATAAGCTGGTAAAATCAAACACAAGTTCGTTCCTTCCAAGATACAATGGAGGTACAGGCATTGGGTAAAAACACCCATTCCAAGTGGAAAAAATTGCCCAAAAAAAAGGAGGCTATAGGCCCTATGCAGATCAAAAATCCAACAGGACAGCCATTAAATCTTAAAACTCCCAAATAAGCTCCTTTGATTCCATGTCTCAAATCCAGGTCATGCTAATACAGAAAATGGGCTCACATGGCCTTGGCTGCTCTGCCCCTGTGGCTTTGCAGGGTACGGCCCCCTTCCCAGCTTCTTTCATGGACTGGCATTGAGTGTCTGTGGCTTTTCCAGGTACACAGCGCAAGTGTCAGTGGATCTACCATTCTGGGGTCTGGAGGATGGTAGTCCTCTTCTCACAGCTCCACGAAGCAGTGCCCCAGTGGGGACTCTGTGTTGGAGCTCTGACCCCACATTTCCCTTCCACACTGCTCTAGCAGAGGTTCTTTATGGGGGCCCCTTCCCTGCAGCACACCTCTGTCTGGACATCCAGGTGTTTCCATACAACTTCTGAAATCTAAGAGAGAGTTCCCAAACCTCAATTATTGACCTCTGTGCACCTGCAGTCCCAAAACCACTTGTAAGCCTCCAAGGCTTGGAGCTTGCACCCTTTGAAGCAATCGCCTGAGCTGTATGTTAGCCCCTTTTAGCCTTGGCTAGGAAACAGGGCACCAAGTCCCAAGACAGCAAAAAGAAGCAAGTCCCTGGACCCAGCCAATGCAAACATTTATTCCTCCTAGGCCTCTGGGCCTGTGAAGTTAGGGCTGCCTTGAAGACCTCTGACATTCCCTGGAGACATTTTGGCCATTGTCTGGGTTATTAACATTTGGCTCCTTGTTACTTATGCAAATTTCTGCAGCCAGCTTGAATTCCTCCTTAGAAAATGGGTTTTTCTTTTCTATCACATTGATAGGCTGCAAATTTTCCAAACTTTTATGCTCTGTGACCTCTTGAATGCTTTGCTGCTTAGAAATTTCTTCTCCCAGATACCCAAAATCATCTCTCTCAAGTTAAACGTTCCACAGATCTCTAGGGCAGAGGCAAAATGCCACTAGTCTCTTTGCTAAAGCATACCAAGAATGACCTTTACTCCAGTTCCCAACAAGTTCCTCATCTCCATCTGAGACCACCTCAGCATAGACTCCATTTTCTATATAACTATCAGCATTTTGTCAAAGCCATTCAACAAGCTCTAGGAAGTTCCGAACTTTCCCACATTTTTCTATCTTCTTCTAAGCCCTCCAAACTGTTCCAACCTCTGCCTGTTACCCAGTTCCAAAGTCGCTTCCACATTTTCAGATATCTTTATAGCAACACCCCACAACCTTGGTACCAATGTACTGTATTAGTCCATTCTCAAACTGCTATGAAGAAATACCTGAGACTGGGTAATTTATTTTAAAAAAAGTCTTAATTGAGTCACATTCTGCATTGCTGGGGAGACCTCAGGAAACTTACAATCATGGCAAAGGAGAAGGCAAAGGAGAAGCAGGCACCTTCTTCACAGGGCGGCAGGATGGAGTGACTGCAAGCAGGAGAAATGCCAGACACTCATAAAACCATTAGATGTCGTGAAGGCCAGGCACGGTGGCTCAAGCCTGTAATCTCAGCACTTTGGGAGGCAGAGGCAGGTGGATCGCCTGAGGTCGGGAGTTTGAGAACAGCCTGGCCAACATGGTGAAACCCCGTCTCTACTAAAAATACAAAAATTAGCTGGGTGTGGTGGCAGGTGCCTGTAATCCCAGCTACTCGGGAGGCTGAGCCAGGAGAATTGCTTGAACCTGGGAGGTGGAGATTGCAGTGAGCCAAGATTTCACCACTGCATTCCTGCCTGGGTGACAGAGTGAGACTGCCTCAAAAAAAAAAAAAAAAAAAAAAGCCATCAGATGTCATGAAACTCACTCTCTATCACAAGAAAAGCACGGGGGAAACTGCCCCCATGATCCAATCACTTCCCACCGGGTCCCTCCGACAACATGTGGGGATTATGGGAACTACAATTCAAGATGAGATTTGGGTGGGGACACAGCCAAACTGTATCATTAGAAAGTTATAAGATTAAAAGGTAATCACAATAAATGCAAAAGGATTAATATGACCTTTTAAAAAGTAAACAATCCTCTCCAATTAAGCAAAATTTAAAACTAAATGCTATGGTATTCAAGAAAAGCACTAAAACAAAAGAGGCTTAACACTTGAAAATAAAGAATAGATGAAGATATGCTAGAATATGACCCATAAAAGGCAAAATCAATATCAGACTATGTCAGAAAGCAAGAGATGTGTTTTATCTAGGGTCTAAGTAGGAAAACAGAAATTACTGCAAGTATTTTTAATAGAGGAAATTTAATGCAGAGAACTATTTACAGATATGGAGAAACTGACTTAACAAAAACAGTAAAGGATGAGGTGATGTTAAGCTAGAGAGACAAAAGAATAAAGCATGTCTCTGGTGTCCAGGGGTGACAGGGTCACTGGAATTACTGTAGGCCTATAGTTGGGAGGCAGTTATAAGGATGCAACCCAGACAGAAGGATGAAAGGAAGGAGGAATAAGTACCCTGAGTTTTCCACTCCTCCCACTATTAATCCCTTTCACAAGTCCCCCGCACTGACCCATCTGAAAGCCAGCTGACAAGGGAGCCCAGAATCCTGAAAAACACAACATGCACATGTCACCCTCCCCACACTACAGTGCAGAACAGAGGTGGACAAGGAATGAATATGGAACAAACAGGCCAACAACAGACAAAGAAAATTGAAAAGGAATGCATTTAATATTGATAAATGGCATGACCGCCAATATCATATAATAATCATGAATCTCTTTGCACTAAACAATATAGCTCTAAAAATTATAAAGTGAGAACCAATAATGGACAAGTAGGAAGGAATTTTGGGGGACAGAAACATTTAATACAAACTTCCAATGTAAACCCCTCTTCCATGCCCCCATGCCCGTATAGAATTGTAAGTCTAATGTTCATCAGTATTTTTGTGTGACTCCTCTCTTTGAGGGGAAACCCCCAAAATATTGAACTTCACATTGGGTCAATATAGAAAAGTAGAGAGGTATTAGGTAAAGTCATGAGACCTAGAGCAGGAAGACACATAAAAGAGTGGGTCCAAAGAATTAAAAAGAATCCTGGAAAGGTTTGAGGCTTCCATAAGTCATAGAATGATATACTCAAGGCTATGTAGATTGCACAGTGTGTGTGTGTCTGCACATTTGCATGCATACATGGTTCTAAAAGCAAGGTAAAAATCAATTGAAGGATTCAGAGCAAACTCCTAACAGAGGTTACCTTATGGAAGCAGTAGAAATGGATGTGTGACATCAGTCAGTGAACAGTTTGATGATAGACATGTAATAGATATTTTAAAGAATTTAATATGAAAATGTATTAACTAAGTATAAGGTTGTTAACTAGGTACTTGAGGGCGAACAAAGAGAATTGTAAGGTATTAGAGAGGAGCAACTTGCAGGAAACAGCTCAGAGATTGGGCCTCATGGGCCTGGGACCCAGACATTTAGGAGGAAAAGCTGGCAGATAGTGATTTTGAGGATGCCACAAAGTTTGTTTTGCACACATCAGAAAAAAAAAAAGCAAACTAATCAACTGCTACTTCTGGAGTGGAAAAAGGAACCAGACACAAAATCCAGAGGAGTGAAAATGAAGGAGCCAGTGAAGTGAAGTCTCCCTCTATCAGCCCTGCAGGCTGCCTCCAGGACCCCAGATTGGCAGAAGCTCAACATGAAGGCAGCTAGTATAAAAGGAATGTAATTTGTAGAGTCCCAGTCCTGACATCACAAAGCAAGGTGAATGCTCACAACTAAACTTGAAAAATATTTTCTTATTTGAATACAGTCAAACTATTATACTTTTCAAATCGTTATAGATTTCTGCTTTTATAGAAGTAAGCTGTCTTATCTATAATTTGCTTTTATTTTAGTTAGCCAAATTATCACAATTTTTCCAGTGGAAGTCACCTTTAATATGGTTTCTGAAAATTTTCTATACCATCTCTAAACATTTAAAAGTATTCTTACTTTTGTGGACAAAAAAATGTCCCAGGCTCGCCTTGTAAACTTACCACTTCTTTCTAAGCAATCAGATAGCTTATAGTGAGAAGAGTATTAGAACCCAAACCTGGGGCTAAGGATATAAATAGCATTGTTTGTTTGCAGTACATGTGACATATACCATCTAGTGACAAAAGATGGAAATGATATGTAATTTTTAAATTGTGAGTTCAAACTGACATTTTAAATGTACTTTTAAACATTTTCCTATTGCATGCCACTTTGGATTTTTAACTCCTTACTTAACATATTCCAAATTGGTAACTACAATCTCAATTAAAACAAACATATTTATTTCTCAAACAACAAAATGTCAAAAATTTACTAATTTAACACTTTGATATGTAAGATTTAACACTAAAGCCTTCGTGACAATTTTTAACATGTTTCCCTAATGTTTTAAAACAAACTTATTTTGCATTATTTGTAAACATTTGTCTTCCATTGAACTTATTAAAAAAAAACAAGTATATACTTTCATCCAACAACTGAAGTTTATTTTAACCACAACTGTTGGTCTTCTAATGATTGACAGTTTTGACTTTGGAAAATATTCACTTACCTTTTGTTTATTTAATAAATATTTATTGAGCTATTAGCGATACAGCAATAAATAAAACAAAAATCCCTGTCTTCCAGAAAGTTGCATTCTGTTTTGCAGACAAACAACAACAACAAACGATAAGTAAAATAAATAGTATGTCAGATGACAATAAGTGATATTGAGGAAATATTAAGACCACTAATAAGATGTTAGGGGAGGGATAACTAACAATTTTGATGGGGTGACTAGGGAAGATATCAAGGACAAGGGGAGAGGGAATACGAATAAGATGAAGACACTATTCCAGAGAATATCCACAGAATGAGAGCATTCCAGGCAAAGGTGACAAGAAAGACTTAGGCAAAGCCTGCCCGAATAAGAGAAGGTTAAGTTGCTTTTCCCAATTCAAAACCATCACTTCTTCAATTCCCTTTTTTTTTTTTCTTAAATTGTTAGCTTTGGGAAAGTTTTGCATGTAAAACATACACTGAATACATACACACATACACTCACACCAAATTTGTTTAATTTTACATCTTATTATAGGAGTAAGTACACTTTCGCCATTTTGTCTCTTCTGCCAACATGGAAGTTATTTTAGTTTTCTTTTTAAATATAATGTTACGATTATTATAGAAACAAAATTAATGATTAAAACATAGTTTGAATTATAATTGCATTTTAATGTAACTGTTAGGAATTTATCTTTAATAATGATTATAACTTTCATTTTCAAAAGACACATCTTAATTAATTCAAACAGATTTTAAAATAAGTTGATTGTGTTTACACTTTTTGCCAATGAAAGTTTAACATTTTCAATTAAATATTTTAATTGGTTGCTCATAAGGTAGCTTTTCAAAAGACACATTTGCAAGAACTTGCGACCTCCAAACACCATCTTAAAATTCAATTAGTTTATAATACATTTGAATAAATTATAGTTTTAAATTATAGTTTTCAACAGCTCTTTTGGAAAGCTGAATAAGATAAACAATTAAAATACTGTTACTCTATATTGCCAATGTGAATACAAACTTTATTTTTTTATTATTATGAAATATTTCAGTGTCCTAAAGAATAGCTAATATAGAGCTACAGGGTATAAAGATAATTTTTAAAGTACTCATTAACCTTTCAGAAGGCAAATAGAACATCAGCATTACTGTTGAAGCCTCCATTCATTGCACCTCCTTTCCTCTGTATACCAGGCACCTTCCACCTTCCTAAAGGTAATTAGTCTTCTAAAACTTGTGTTCATTTTCTTGCTTACTGTCATAGTGTATGAATCCCTAGACAATATATTATTTATATATTAAATGCCATTGAGTTTCATTTAAGTGGTATTATGTTGTATGGTTTTACTGTAACTTGTTATTTTATTTAACACTACATTCATGAGATTTATCTATGTTGAAATATACAAAGCTATAGTAAACTCTTTTTCACAGCTAAACAGGATTCTATTGTATTAATATGCCACAATTCATTTATGGATTTTTGTTTATTTTTAAAATTTTACTATCAGAAATATTGCTACTATGAAGACTACTGAACACATCCCAGTGCATTAGGAATATCCTTAGGGATGGGTTGTAAAGTATATGCAACTTCATTTTTAAAAAATAATAACAAGTTAGTTTATAATATTGTTGCAAGAACTTATACTTTCAGCAGCAATGTATATAATTATGGTTGCTTTTTTTCACAATATTTTGACAAAATGATCGATTTTGTCCAAATTTTTAACACAGTGAAGCAACATTTTTAAAGTAATGAAAGAAAAATCTGTCAACCCAGAACTCTGTAACCTATAAAGATATATTCCAAAAATTGAAGGCAAATTTTTTAAAAAATATCAACCTAGAATTTTATAGCCAATAAAAATATCTTTCAAACACTGAATGCAAAATCAGGACTTTGTCACCTTTGCAAAAGATAAAAGAATTCATCACTGAAAGACCCTCTCTACAGAATATGCAAAAGGAAGTACTTCAAGAAGGGGGAAAATAATGGATTCAATCTCTTGCTATCTTGCCCTTCCACCTTCTGCCATGTGAGAACACAGCAACAAGGCCCTCACCAGGTCAGATGGACAGATCTTGGACTTGCCAGCCTCCAGACTAAGTTTCTGTTTATTATAAACTGCCCAGTCTTGGGTATTTTGTTAGAGCAGCACAAAATGGATTAAGACAAATATCTTAACTTTGTGGGTAAAACAGACCATTACCTAACTCAGGAGAGTATATTGAAAATCAGAAGGAATTGAATAATAATTTTTATTATAAGCCTCTCTGTATGGTTTGAGTCATTACTTGGACCACTCATTTTTTTAATTAAATATTTTCTAGAGAAAATAAAACAGGCCAGGCATGGTGGCTCACATCTGTAATCCCAGCGCTTTGGGAGGCCGAGGTGAGTGGATCACTTGAGTCCAGGAGTTGGAGATCAGCCTGGGCAACATGGTGAAACTTTGTCTCTACAAAAAATACAAAAGTTAGCCAGGCATGGTGGCATGCACTTGTAGTTTCAGCTACTCAGGAGGCTGAGGTGGGAGGATCACCTAAGCCTGGGAGGCAGAGGCTGCAGTGAGCCATGATTGTGCCACTGCACTCGAGTCTGGGTGGCAGAGTGAGACCCTGTCTCAAAAATAAAAAGAAGAAAAACAATAAAGTTTCTTTCATGACTAGTCTCTGCGATCAGAGAAGAAAAAAGTATAGTTAATTCATAAACTTTTTCAAACAATGAGAGTCATTAAACTTCCTAATTTGTGTCTTTAGCAAAACAAATTCCTGTTCATATTAAAAATTAAGTTTGCATTTCAAACAGAGGGCCATGGGAAAAATTAAAATATAATCTGTGGAAAACTGACTAAGAAGGCATTTGTAAAAGTCCTGCCTTGCCAATCATCCGCAAAAATTAATTTCCATGATTCTTATTTCTTTCCGTTTTATTCTCAACTCAAAAACATTTTTTCATTTTCATTGCATTTTTTCATTGTTCATTATATAGCAAAAAATCCAGTTGTTGACAAACTGGATATTGGTTCTTCTCATTATGGCACAGGATTAAACCTGCATATGGTTTATTTAATTTATTATCCAAGACAAGACTTTCTGATTATAAAAAGGAACCCTATTAATAATAGTCTTCCCTTTTCCTTAGTCTGGTTTTCCACTAGTGTTTCCTTAGACCTCAGGTTCTAAGAATTCCAAATTATTCACAGTCTTTAATATATGCCATGCTGCTCATACCTTCAAGGCTTTGCACATTCAAAGACTTCTGGATAGAATGCCACTGAGTACTTCAGAAACTCTTCTTGGGCTTTTCAAACCCACCTTAGGAGATTAGGCAACTCTTAGGAGAATCCAATGCTAATGCCCTTCACATCTTGACCATTCTCTTCATTTATGAAAGATTCAGCCACCGACCACATGTACGGTGCTCTACGCTACAGAGCTACTCAAGATAAACATGACCTTTATGCTCTGGGAGCTTAACATCTGTGAAAACTGAACCTTGAAAATGCTTCTATTGTACTTATTTCACTGTATTACAACTACCTGTCGCATCCCCTTACAGAGCTGCTAGCCCCTTGAAGACAGGCATTTTAGTTGACCTCTGTATCTGACAGTGTCCTGACTCTGTTCTGGAGAATTAGCCCTCCATCATTGCACAATCTTAGTAGGTGTATAAATTAACTATTGATGCATAACAAACCATACTGAAACCTTCATTTAGTTTCCAAACTCAAAACATTCATTCGGCTCATGGATCTTCAGTCGGACTGGGAAGTTTTGCTGCTGTGGACTGGCCTGGTTGATCTTGGGGCTTATATACACACCTATAGTCACCTGGAGGGTTGACTGGAGGCTGGCTCATTGTAGTGGTTTAAAAATGTCTGAAAATTTTTTCACATTCCTCCCTTCAGAAAGTAAAGCCTATGGTGAGGGAAATTTTAAAAAGAGAGACAAAAAGTAGAGCCTAATTTCCCTGCCCTTGATTGCAAGCCAAACTTGGTGACTCATTTCTAATAAATAAAACATGGCAGGCTTGGCACAGTGGCTCATACCTGTAATCCCAGCACTTTGAGAGGCCAAGGTGAATGGATCACCTGAGGTCAGGAGTTCAAAACTAGCCTGGCCAAATGGAGAAACCCTGTCCCTGCTAAAAATACAATAATTAGCCAGGTGCGGGGTTGCATGCTTGTAGTCTCAGCTACTTTGGAGGCTAAGGCAGGAGAATCACTTGAATCCAGGAGGCAGAGGTTGCAGTGAGCTGAGATTGCGCTACTGCACTCCGGCCTGGGCGACAGTACAAGACTCTGTCTCAAAAAAACAAAAACAAAAACAAAAAAAAAAACAAATAGAACATGGCAGAGAGGCATTTCCATTTTCCACTTGCTCTCTTAAATTGCTTGCTTTGTGGGAGTTAGCATCATGCTGATATTTAAGCAGCCTGTAGAGAGAGGCCCTCAGGGAGAATAACTGAGGCCTCCAGCCAACTACCAACTTGCCAGTCACATGAACAAATCACCTTGAAAGTGAATCCTACCTCAGATTATTACAGCCTGGCCAACATCTTCTCTGAAACCTCATAAGAGGCCCCAAGTCAGAACCTCTCAGCTAAAATTGCAATGGATTTCTGATCTTCAAAAACTGTGTGAGATAAGAAATGTTTTTTATTAGTTTAAGTTACTACATTTTTTGCAGTAATCGGATGTGCAAAATGAATGATGGGTACAATGGCTATGATAACCTCAGCTGGAATAACTCATCACTGCTCTACATGGACTCTAGTCTTCCATCATGCTAGTCCAGATCTGTTCTCAGGGCTTTACAAATGTTTTGGTCAGGGCTCTCCAGAGAAACAGACACAATAGGATATGCATGTGCTAGGGTTTGGACGTTTCCCCTAAAAAGCATGTATTGGAAACTGAATCCTCAGTGCAACAGTGTTGGGAGATGGGGCCTAATGAGAGGTGATTAGGCCATGAGGGTGAAGTACATGAATCTATGATGTTATTGCCAGAATGAGTTTCCCATAACAGGAGGAGAACGGACCTCTTTACTCTTTCTTTCATCCCCTTTCCCCTTTTGCCATGGGATGACACAGCAAGAAGGCACTCACCAAATGCCAGCCCCTCAATATTGGACGTCACAGCTTCCATAACTGTGAGTCAATAAATTTCTATTCATTATAAATTACCGAGTCTTACCTATTCTGTGATAGCAGAACAAAAGGGACTAAGACAGTGTTCATATGTGTTTCTGTGTGTATTCAGAGAGAGAGAGAAAGAAGGGGAGAGATTTATCATAGAAACAAGCTCATGTGATTAGAGAGGCTTGAGAAGTTCCCACAATCTTTTCTGGAAACCCAGGAAAACTGGTGATGTAATTCATTCCACATCTCAATGTCCAAGAACCAGGGGAGTCAATGATATAACTTCCAGTCTAAGGCCAAAGGCCTGAGAACAGAGAGGCAGGGGCAGTGGGGGCAATATGAGCCCCAAAGTCTGAAGGCCTGAGAACCATGGGTTTCAGTCTCCAAGGGCAGGAAAAGATGGATATCCTAGCTCAAAAAAAGGAAGTGAATTCATCCTTCCTCTGCCTTGTTGTTCTATTGGGGCCCTCAATGGATTGGATGATGTCTGATCACATTGGTAAGGCCTGATCTTCTTCACTCAGTCAACAGATTCAAATACTGATCTCCTTCAAAACACCCACAGAGACACATCCAGAAATAATGTTTTACCAGCTATTTGGGCATCCTTTAGCCCAGTGAAGTTGAAATATAAAATTAACCATCACAACAAGGTTTAGTGAAAGCATATGATTACAGGGCACCCTGAGGCCCGTGCTCAGAAATGGCATGTCGACTATACCATTGGCTAAAGTGAGCACCAGGCCAGCCCAAGTTCAAGGATGGGGAGATAAATACCTCCCCTTGAGGGAAAAAGCTTCAAAGTCACATGACAAGGAGCAAGGATTACAAGAGGAAAATATCTGAGGTGACTTTTGTAATCCATCTACCACAATTGAGTTTGTCAATCAAGGTGTTTCCTCTCCTTTGTCCCAAGGGTGGGTTTTCCATCCAAGCAAGGGCAGTCAAGTGCTCTCTACCTCAGGAGTCTTGGATGGAGGACCTCAAGGGGGAAAATGAATGGTTTTATGCTGATGATGAGCGGTTTGAAGAGGTGCGGCATTCATTCTTGCTGCTACATTTCTGTAGCTGCCCTACTTTCTGTTCTGTATGGTTCTTTAGCTAGTCCTTTCTGTAAACTGCCATGTGCTTTCCAACAAACACCATTCTTTTCTAGTCAAGTTAGCCAGAGTCCGTTTCTGTGGCTTGCCACCAAAGAAGCCTACATTCCCGGTCACTATCCCTGTGCCTGAGACCTTGGCAGCACGGAGCATGTGTCTGCATGGTTTCCTTAGGAAGTGCTTCTAATAAGCACCGTGTCCTTTACAAGAGGTACAAGCCAGAAAATGCCATAAATAAAGCACTGAGAAATCTCTCAGAACATTACTGGCATTTTAAAAATAGCTTTTAAAACTCTTTAAACTTCCTTAAGGACAAACATAATACAAATGCAAAGCAATAGCAATGAATGCAACAACTACCCTGAAATGTTATTTTCTGCAAAGGCTGAATTGTCTAGCAGCATTTCCATGTGGCAGTGCTGCTGTCTGCCATGGTTATTGTATTCCAGAGGAGGCCAAAGATTTTGACAATTGTACCAAATATTCATATTTAGGCTATGAAGTCAACTGTCTCCTGCCTCATGCTTTCCACTGACATATGGCAGCTTCAGGCCGCTGTTCTATTTGCTTGTCTATAGCAATTGAGGTTTACAATCTCTCCAGGCATGAAATACTTAATAAATTCTGCTTTCCGCTGGTCATGTTCCCTTACTACACTACATGGTCATGTTTTCCGCTGCACCAATTGGGGATGACAGAAGGTATCAACTCCCTTTTCGGGTATTTAAACTTTGAGCAGTCATCTGTATTCAGAAAGAGTGCCCATGAACTTCTGAGAGCTTGGCTTACGCAGACCTGAGAGTGTGAAAGATGCACAATCAGATCCTCGCGAATATATTTCCCAGTCTACGATCAGCAGCTTCTAAAATAAACTCATCAGTGCGTCTTTCGGCTGGAGTTCCAGCAGTTGTTAATCAGGGGTGGGCTTTGGCGTCTGACAGTAGAGACAGCGCGCCCTAGTGATTAAGGACGCAGCCTTTTAGCCCAAAAACCATGAGTTCCTGTCTTGGCTCTACTTCTTACTACTTGAGCATCTTGGACAAACTACTTAACCCTTCTCTGGGCCTCAGTTGCCTCCTGGGGAAAACTGTGTCAAAAATAGAAGCTGCCTCATCATGTTCTTCTGATAATTAATATAACAATATATGTAATCCACTTAGCACAGAGCTTGGAACATAGGAAGCACTCAAACGGAATTGCTACTGCTTTTATTATTATAATTACTAATACTGCTACTGCTAATAATAATTTAACATGCCAGGAGCTTCCAGACTGGAACAGCAAGACAAGGTACATTTGACTCACCAAGCGGCAGCAGCAGACTAGTGCTAGTCCACCCGGGATTCGCATCAGTCCTCAAGGGCAGCCACCTGAGAAGGTAGGGCTGGAGCTCAGAGTCTGAGGTCAACACTAGACACTGTCAACATTTCACCTCCACACTCTATCCAGGTTGGACCAAGAGTGTCAGAAGCAGAGTCAGAGCTCAGAAGAAAGGTGAGAACTCATCTAACTCTCAGAGCTGGGCTCCAATCTCAGCAGAGAACTGAAGTAGCTGCCTGGACTTTGGCTGTGGACTGACGTCCACCGAACACCCAGAACTCTGGTCATGCTGTGCTGGCTTGGGCAGTGGAAACTCTCCAGACCCATTCCACCAGCAGAAAGGAGAAGCTTCTGCAGTGCTGCCAAGTCTGGCTCTCTATCAGACTGAAGGCAGTGCCTTAATGTGAGCTGGTCCTTGTATGTAGGGCTAATACCATCTCGCTCTCTGAGCTGCAGGAAGAGATACACTTGACAAGGAAAGGGAAAAACATAGAGCCCGCAGTGACAGCACATCTGACACAATCACTGAGAGTTGCTCCAGGAGACAGCAGGGCTGATTACCTAAAACAGGAGGCAGTAACTGGCATGTCAGATACCTGAGGCTTCAGGGCTAATCTGTCCCCTCTCCAAAAAACGCCAGCGCTGTTGCAGGCTGCCAGCTGCAGAGACACTCCCAACAGATCCTCTAGGACCTTGCTGCTCACAGTGGTTCCCAGAGGGTGCCAGAATCTGCATATTTAACAAAGTGCCATGGGGTTCAAATGCACACTTCAGTTTAAGAAGTTCTGTTAGGATGTCCTTTCCATTGATGGAATTTAACCAATTCACCAGCCCTGGTTTCAAAATAGACTGAAGTCGAGGAATGCTGAAGGCAGGAAGCATATCCCTCATTTCAGAAAGAAGGACGGAGTCTATTAGTGATGTTTTTTGGTTCATGAGAACGTTACGAAGTAGCCAGTATTAAGACCATCCCAGCCAAGCAGAGACGAGGGGTTGGAATGAGTGGAAACCAGTGAAGAAATCTGAAAAGAGGCAGAAATTTGGAGCATGAGCATAGAAAGACACTCCACTCGACCTTGACTCTCACAACCTATTTTGTCATCATTTCCTTCACTGTTTGCTCATCTTTATTGTTAGTTTCCCTGCATCATTTGTGGTTTCGAGAACATCAGAGTCACTCAGCTGTGCCTAATACCAAGGAAAGGTGACTTTATCTAGGTCGGAATGTAGGGGGCAGCTGCTGGAGTCCCCTGGGAACCAAGAACAGGTGGCAAGAGCAGGCACAGACTGAAGAAACAAGGACAGAAAAGTGAAGATCTGGGGAAGCACGCAGTACCACCTCTCCCTAACCTGTAGACTTTCCTTCTTAAAAACTGTGTCTGCAGGAAGGGGAACATCACACTCTGGGGACTGTTGTGGGGTCGGGGGAGGGGGGAGGGATAGCATTGGAAGATATACCTAATGCTAGATGACGAGTTAGTGGGTGCAGCACACCAGCATGGCACATGTATACGTATGTAACTAACCTGCACAATGTGCACATGTACCCTAAAACTTAAAGTATAATAATAAATAAATAAATAAATAAATAAATAAATAAATAAAAAGAAAAAAAATCAGTTCAAAAAAACAAAACAAAACAAAACAAAACTGTGTCTGGCCGGGCGTGGTGGCTCACGCCTGTAATCCCAGCACTTTGGGAGGCCGAGGCGGGCGGATCACGAGGTCAGGAGATCGAGACCATCCTGGCTAACACGGTGAAACCCCGTCTCTACTAAAAATACAAAAAATTAGCCGGGAGTGGTGACGGGCGCCTGTAGTCCCAGCTACTCGGGAGGCTGAGGCAGGAGAAGGGCGTGAACCCGGGAGGCGGAGCCTGCAGTGAGCCGAGATCGCGCCACTGCACTCCAGCCTGGGGGACAGAGCGAGACTCCGTCTCAAAAAAAAAAAACAAAAAACAAAAAAAACTGTGGCTGAGCCTTTGTGTGGGCATGAATTTCATGAAGGTGGGTGTTCGCTCTGTGGTTCCTAAAAGATTGGTGTCTGCGGATTCATCTCACAACTCTCTGAAAGCGATGAGCCTTCCCCCCTTCTTGCCTCATCCCCCAAATATAAAGACTCACGTACCCTCAAAGCTTGGCATGCAATTGCAAGAGTTTATGGAGCCCCTTGATTTCAGGGTCCTCAGGTTAAGAATTCACACTTGGTACCTTTCATATACTTTTATTTCTTCATTGGAGCTATAGCTTTAAACCTTGACCCTATCATTGTTTACCAGCTTGCTTTCCATTGGGTGACAGCAATGAAAACAAACTCACCTTTCAGGCAATAAGTGTTGGGAGCCTTAGTCCTCACTCTGGATGTGTGCTCCCCTGGTGATTCTAAAGTCTAGCCCTGGTAGAGAACCACTGTTCCCAGGTGCCTTTGCCCTGGGCTGTATCTGGGCTAAGCGATTGGCACCAGCTTACCTTCCCCTGTTCGTGCCTCTCAAAGCCTCCTCTGCATGAGAAGCCGGTGTGCCCAAGCCTGGGAAATGTGAGACGGTGAAGAAGCAGCTCCTCTATTCATTTATTTTTCACTCAGGCACAATCTTGCTTAAGTCCTAATCATGAAACCTATAAAAATACTAATAAAAGCCGAGTTTAACCAACACCTGTCAGTAAGTTATGAATCTTTGTCTCTGCCCCACCATGTACAAAGGTCACTCACAAGCAGGGTGGGGAAAGCCTCTGACCTCTCCCACGACGCCTTTCCGTGCGTGTGCTTGTGAAGCCGCAGGTGAGTCACTTCGTGTTTAGTAATCAGACGCCCACGCATAAGTCCACTCTGGATCTTTGTGCGTACCTCACTTCCACAGACATTTTAAGAGGAAATGGGTTTTTCCAGTCAACCCTTGAAGTAAGTTACTTCTTTGAAAATCACTGAGCAATATATTTATTGGATATTGGATATTGATGGATATTGGATATTGGCAACAAAGGTGATACATCATTTAACTGGCAGTCTTAAAGCTCAGCTTGGAAAACAATTCATTACTTCTCATGGCTTCTTTACCAAAAATTATCCTAGCTTTTTTCAAGAACAGAATGAATGATTGCCACATCTTGGTAAGTGGTTAATATCTGGCTTCTCTTCTAGAATGTTCAAATCAGCCACTGCTCGGGTACACAACCTATCAGGATATGATGCTTTGGGAAAAAAAAGTGTCTCA
Organism: Homo sapiens; assembly: GCF_000001405.40. Lineage (NCBI taxonomy): Eukaryota > Metazoa > Chordata > Mammalia > Primates > Hominidae > Homo > Homo sapiens. Next base: position 97,948,508 of record NC_000015.10, read on the forward strand.
GCAACGAGGTTTTCCTTCAATAAAATGTTAGTTCTTACACTACAACCCACTGTGTCCAATTGTAAAGAACTTCTGGTTCAGACTCAAAGTTATGATAATCAATTAATCTTCTTTATTAACAATAATTTAAATGCCTCTTCTACCCCAGCCTAAATTCAATGACTAAATGAGAAGGATTATTTCTATCTTGCTAGTAAGAGCAAAAGAATATTGGGCCTAAGACAACTGATATGTCTTCATTGTTTCGCTAAGTAATCCATAATGCTGTGGCTTGAGGCAAGAAATCAAGGCTTGTTCCTTAACTTTTAAGTTTAAGCGTACATGTGCTTTTTGGATATGGATCTTGTACCTCAGCACTTGGTGGACTACATCTGTTAGAAGACAGGGCTTGGACATAAAGTTGCCTAAGGTCCTAGTAGATCACAGGCTAGTGGAGAAAATAAGGCATTAAAATGATATGGTATTAAAATGATAAATCCACTCATAACTTCTAAATTTTAGCTTCCCTGTCTTCTCTGAACTGTTTGACTTTACAAGTGAACAGTATTAGGCTCAACAGATACACGTTGTTATACTGGTAAATTTGTGTCATGGGGGTTTGTTGTACAGATGGCTGTGTCACCTAGGTATGAAGCCTAGTACTCATTAGTTGTTTTTTCCTGATCCTCTCCCTCCTCCCACCCTCCACCCTCCGATAGGCCCCAGTGTGTGTTGTTCTCCTCCAAGTGTCCATGCGTTCTCATTTAGCTCCCACTTATAAGGAACAATACGCAGTAATTGGTTTTCTGTTCCTGCCTTAGTTTGCTAAAGATAATGGTCTCTAGCTCCATCCATGTTCCTGCAAAGGACATGATCTTGTTCTTTTTTATAGCTACATAGTATTCCATGATGTATGTGTGCCACATTTTCTTTATCCAGAGTACCATTAGTGGGCATGTACATTGATTCCATGTCTTTGCTATTGTGAGTAGTGCTGCAATGAACATACATGTGCATGTGTCTTTATAATAGAATAATTTAAATTCCTTTGGGTATATACCCAGTAATGGGATTGCTGGGTCAAATGGCATTTCTGTTTTTAGGTCTTTGAATAGCCACACTGTCTTCCACAGCGGTTGAACTAATTTATACTCCCACCAACAGTGTTCCTTTTTCTATGCAATGTCACCAGAACCTATTACATTTTGACTTTTTAATAATAGCCATTCTAACTTGTGTGAGCTAGTATCTCATTATGGTTTTCATTGCATTTTTCTAATGATCAGTGATGTTGAGCTTTTTTTATATGCTTGTTGGCCGCACATATGTGTTCTTTTGAAAAGTGTCTGTTCATGTCCTTTGTCCACTTTTTAAATGGTGTTATTTGTTTCAGACTTGTAAATTTATGTTCCCTATAGATACTGGATATTAGACCTTTGTCAGATGCATAGTTTGCAAAAATTTCCTCCTACTATGTAGGTTGTCTGTTCACTCTGTTGATAGTTTTCTTTGCCGTGCAGAAACTCTTTAGTTTAATTAGATCCCATTTGTCAATTTGCTTTTGTTGAAATTGCTTTTGAAACCACAGTTTTAAGTCAAAGTCTCATATGTCTTTGAAAAGCAGTGTCCCAAGATGTTCAGTTTCACGAGAGAAGTGAGACACCTGGTTTTGAGTGAATGCTTGGTTGATTACCTGGTATCCTTATTACACATCTTTATGGAAAATAGCCTAGCTGAGAACATCCTTAAAAATGCACACAAACCCAATAACTCAAACTCCTGAAATTTTTCACAGGATGCAAATGATATCTGAAGCTCCCTTTACATATTGTGATTACAAAATGTGCTTTTAATGCGAGCTAATAAAATACATTTCTTCTCTCTATCTCAATGAGAATATCTTTTCTTATGCAGAGAAAGAAGGAAGACAGTCAGAAATGACATGATTACCAGCTACAGTTACATGAAATATACATACACGGACATACATGTTTTTACTCAATAATTTATGACCAGCCCGACTTTGAGGAAACTGAGGCCTAAAGAATTCAAGTGGCTTGTCATAGGTCACACCATCAGGAAGTGGTAGAGCCATGACTCCAAATCAGACCTATCAGACTCAAAGTCCACCTCAGCCACCATCACCTTGTCAACAACAACAAAGGCCTCGATGTGTTGAGCACTTTCTGTTGACCAGACATCTTCTATGTAATATTTCATTTACCATAACAAGCCCACAATAAAGATGTCATTAACATCTGAAGCCTAGAGAGTCCCTTCCTCAATTTTATGCAGCAAGTGCTGAAAATAAGGCTTGCTCCCAGGAACCAAAGCCCCTGATCTTTTCACTGTCCCTGGGCCTTGGCATGCAGCAGAGACCTACCTGCCTTCCACATACCTCTAAACCTCACACAACACACCATGCTTAACAGCATGCAGGTCTGTAGCTGATGCTAAAGGCTAACAGTGCCTCCAGCCTGGCAAGGAACAGAGGAAGCTGGAAGGTTCTCTGTCGAGCCTGATACTGTTCATTTGTAAAGCCAAACAGTTACAAGGACACAGGAAAGTTAAAATTTATAAGATAGAAGTGGGTTTATCATTTTAATACTATATCATTTTAACACCTTATTTCCCCATTAGCCTGTGATCTACTAGAACCTTAGGAAACTTGATGTCCAAGCCCCGTATTCTAACAGATGTAGTCTCCAAGTGCTGAGGTACAAGATCCATATCCAAAAAGCAACAGGTTTCCTCTACACTAGCAATCACCAATCCAAAAACGTCAAGGAGAAAAAAAAAAAAATCCCATTCATCTAAAATACTGGGGAAAACGCTTATTATGAAATAAATCTAACCAGAAATGTGCAAGGCTTATATGAAGAAAAATGTAAAATGTCACTGAAGAACACATAAATAAATTCCTGGATGAGAAAACTCATTTAAAAATGCTCGTTCTCTGCAATTTAATGAATAAATTCAATATTTTCCCAATGCTATTTCAATCTACCAGAATTTTTATAAAAATCAAGCGAGTCCTGGCTTCTTTTCTGAATGAGAAAATATTTTAAAATAGCCAAAATAAAAAATTTAAAGAAAAGAATTCTGGTAATCCTTGCCCTACTAGTTATCAAAACGTACTACAAGAAAACCTGCAATGAACAAAAAATGTTGTTTTGGTGCAGAAATAGACAGTAGATCAGTTCAAGAGAAAATAAACACAGACTGATGGATTTATATCAATTAATTATGTAATAAAAATGAATATTCCATTCAGTGGATAGAATGCAGTGGATTCCATTCTGCAAGATAAAAGGCTGAATGATGAGAACGCATAGACACATGGTGGGGAACAAAACACACTTGGGCTTGTTGGAAAGGGAGGTTGGAGGAGTGAGAGCATCAGGAAGAATAGCTAATGGATGTTGGGCTTCACACCTAGGTGATGGGATGGTCTATGCAGCAAAGCACCATGGCACCCGTTTACCTATGTAACAAACCTGCACATCATGCACATGTACCCCTGAATTTAAAACAAAAGTTGGAAATAAAAAAGAATAAAAATGTACAAGATGAGAGGAAATATTTTTATTATATAACACCAAGTTTTAATACCCAGAATACATTTAAAAATGTATAAATCAATGAGAAAAAGGAAAAATAACATAATGGAAAAAAGAACAAGAAAGATAAATTGCCATTTCATAGAAGAAACATGCCATTATGAATGTATTCTCAACTTCAATAATATTCTCTCATATTCTTAAAAAAGTAAATTTAGGCTGGGGGCGGTGGCTCATGCCTGTAGTCCCAGCACTTTGGGAAGCTGAGGCAGGTGGACTGCTTGAGGTCAGGAGTTCGAGACCAGCCTAACCAACATAGTAAAACCCCATCTCTACTACAAATACAAAAATTAGCTGGGCGTGGTGGCGGGCGCCTGTAATCCCAGCTACTCGGGAGGCTGAGGTAGGAGAATCGCTGGAACCCGGGAGGCAGAGGTTGTAGTGAGCCAAGACAGTGCCACTGCACTCTAGCCTGGGAGACAGAGCAAGACTCCATCTCAAAAACAAACAACAACGACAACAAAAAACAAAAACAAAAAAGTAAAACCACAATGAAATATCGTTTTTTTATCCATTTAGTTGGCAAAAATCTCAGACGAGTTATATCCAATGCTGGCAATTAAAAAACAATCTCACTCACTGTACTTGAGAATAAAATCTTTGGGAGGGCAAATATACCATTAGGTTCCTATGCCGGGGAAATAGACATGCAAGGGAGTTCAGCATTATTATTATTAATAACCCTAAATCTAAAGTAACATAAATGCCTATTAGTGAGGCTAAGGTTTTTTTTGTTTTTGTTTTTGTTTTTTGAGATGATGTCTCACTCTATCACCCAGGCTGGAGTGCAGTGGCATGAACTCAGCTCACTGCAACCTCTGCCTCCCCGGTTCAAGCAATCCTCCTGCCTCCCTCCCGAGTAGCTGAGATTACAGGTTCTCGCCACAGTGCCCAACTAATTTTTGTATTTTTAGTAGAGATGGAGTTTCATCATGTTGGTCAGGCTGGTCTCGAACTCCTGACCTTAAATGATCCAACCACCTCTGCCTCCCAAAGTGTAGGGATTACAAGCGTGAGCCACCGCACCAGCCAAGTCTAAGATTATATAAAGAATGGTGCAGTCACACAATGAAATCCTACGCTACTCATGAAAACTATGAAGCAGACCACAGAGTTTGAAATGAAGACAAGCAAGGTGCAGATCCCTCAAGAAAGGTGTGATTTTCAGTGTGTGCGTGAGCATGTAAGGCAAATATATACAATTATATAAGACAGGTTTTATGTCACATAAAAAATCCGTGTGTTCCTAAACGCACATGTGTTTGCAATTGCATATGCAAAGCTGGGAGCAGTGAATATTGCTTCAGACCAAGGGAGAAGGGTGCTGATGGGTGGAAGGGCCTGCACGGGACCAAAAGATTAGCATGGGCCTCACTCACACTCACGTGCTCTTTGCCATGAGTCTGTTGGAAAACACAGTGTCTTAATTCTCTGGACTTCAGTTCAAAACGTGATTTTTTTAAAGCTGTTATAGTTTCCACCATTTTCATAATCATTTTATTATTTAATTCAATTAGAATACTTCATGAGCCACTAAATATTTATAAGCAGGTTTTTTTAAATCAATGATAGAGTCAGTTATCGCAGGGCAATTTCAATTGGAACTGACCTTCTTAGGGGAAAAGAGATATTAAAGGGCAATCATGTAGAACGAATAATGTTTCGTCACAGACGAGCTTTTCCCATTGATTCTGCGTTCAATATAAATCTAATTATATTTATTGAAGACCCGTAATCATTACTCATCTTATGTGTCTTGATTTCATGTTTGCTTGCTCAGTTTTAGTAACGGCAATGCAATCTACTATTAGTTCATTCGTGGAAACTCTTTCCTCATTCTGTTCATTCTGTTGTAATTGCAATACAACTACGTTATGTATGTGTAAACCATGACATAAGAAGGCAGGACCTTTTCTGCTATTCAGAATAAGATACCTTTAGCAAAAGGATCCTGAGCCCTTATAGTAACCTGTCTCTTCATCAAAATAAAAACTGAAACAAAAACTGTCTCCAATGTTTTCATTTGTTTTGTTTTTGTTTTATTTTATTGTCCTGTTATTAGTTGTCTTCTTCCCCATACCCTTTTTTCCTTCAAACTTTCCTTCAAGTAAAAAAGCTCTGTTATTTCTTCCTCAGCTGCCAGAATCATTTTGGGGAGATGGGGGAGAGTAAATTTAGGCATGAGGATACATGGAATGCTCTAGTACAGGGATAACCATTTCCAGTAAAGTATTAGTAACTCAAAGGGCAGTACCTCAGTGTCAACAGTGCATATAACCATGATGGTAAAGAACCCACACAGGAACTGATGAACATCTGTCCTGTCTACTGATTAAAATAAGTTCATCTTCTTCCCTTCCTCCTTTTCATTCCATCCTTCTGTTTTCTTTCTCCTTTAACCTTGAAGGCAGTATAGTGAAAACAGGACAGGTAGCCTTTGGTTTGATACTGTCCCTACCGTTTACTGGCTGTGGAAGATGAAGGAAGACACATGGCCCATCTTTCTGAACCTTGGGAGCCTTGTCTGTCAATTCAGACCTCTATTCCAAGATGCACTTCCAGAGCTTTTTACGAGTGTGAATAGGATTGTTTATGTTGAACATCTGAACAGGAGTTCAGTGGGTGCTTAATAAAGATTAGGTCTCGTCCTTCTTTCTACGGATATTTTCTTTGCAAACTATTTCCAATTGTGAAATTGTGAAACTGGAATTTGAGCCATAAATGAATTTCCAACATCAATAAACATATAGATATGGTCTCCCAATTAAAACAGAAGTGTGTGCAAACACAAATTTACAAGATAAAAAAATCTAAGCAATAGCAAGACGAATGCATGCACCATACAAAAAGATAATGAATGAGCATTGGTATAATACTTAGGCAGTGATTCAATCACCTTCATAAAATCCGAAGGGTCCAAAAAGATAAATTGGAACTTCTGGTGTTGGAAAATATAGAGTTAAAACATTACAGCCTATCTCTCCTAGCGATCTTAACCAGAATTCTGAAAATAATAATCATAAAAGCAATTATCTCAGCACCAACACATTAGCAGGTGGTTTGGGGAGGGAGGTCAAATTCTGAAGTGCAAACTGTAACAAGAGCAAATGTTGTGTAGGGTTTTCTCTTTTATTACCTCCTGGCTTTGAACCAAGGGCGGTCTCAGTGGGGAACTACCAGAGGACACAAGCAGGAAAAGCTTAGAGACAAATCTATCTTTCATCCAGAGTAACAGGAAAAATGGTATCTCCAAGCAGGAGAGTTTGGGGGAGTAGGTCTGATTGTTGTTTAATAAATTTTACCTTGGAAAAATTTTATATTTCAGAAAAGTTGCAAAGATAGTACAGAGAGCTCTTGTACACATTCACTTAGTTTCCCCCATTATTTACAACTTACATTACCACAGTTCATGTGTTGAAACTAAGAGACCTATATGGGTACATTGCTGATATGGATTGGCTGTGTCCCCACCCAAATCCCATCTTGAATTGTAGCTCCCATAATTTCTCCATGTTGTGGGAGGGACATAATTGGAGATAACTGAATCATGGGGGGTGGTTTCCTCCACACTCTTCTTGTGGTAGTGAATAAGTCTCATGAGATCTGAGGGTTTTATAAGGAGTCTCCCCTTTTGCTTGGCTCTCATTCTCTCTTGCCTGCTGCCATGTAAGACGTGCCCTTCTCCTTCCACCATGGTTTTGAGGCCTCCCCAGCCATGTGGAACTGTGAGTTCATTAAACCTCTTTTTCTTTATACTCAGTCTCCGGTATATCTTTATCAGCAACGTGAAAACAGACGAATACCAATTACTGTTAATGAAACTAGACTTTATTTGGTTTCACTAGTTTTTCCACTAAAGTTCTTATTCTGTTCCAGGATCCAATCCAGGATACCATATTGCATTTAGTTATCACATCACCTTAGTCTTTTCTGCTCAATGGCAGTTTCTCAATCTTTCCTTATTTTCCACGGCCTTGAGAATTTTGAGGAGAATGCATTGAATATTTTGTAGAATGTCCTTCAAATTAGGTTTTTCTGATGTTTTTCTCATGCTTAGACTGGACTTACGGTTTGAGGGTAAAATATCAGAGAAGTGAAGTGCCCTTTACATAACATCATATGAGAGGTACACACTATCAACAGAACTTATCACTGGTGATGTTAGTCTTCATCACCTGGTCAAAAGATGGTTTGTTGGGTTGAAAGCAAGTCACTAGGTCTAGCACCCACTCCAAGTGAGTGGGAGGAGAATCTATATAAATTATTTGGGATTCTGCTGTAAGGAAGATTTGTTTCTTTTCCCCCATTTTTATGTTTATGCCTTGAGAGTAGCATAAACATAAAATGTAAAATTGTCTGATGGGTTTTCTGAGGTTCATACAAATGTAAATTTTAATGTATGTGGATGTAATACACATGACAACTATAGCGTAAAAGGGGAAAGGCAGTCATTCCTAGAGCAACTGCTAAAAATATATATAAAGTAAAAAAAAGATAAATTTAAATGGATTACCAAAAGATGTTCAAATAATCAAAATGAAAGCAGGAAAAAAAGAATAAAGAAACACAGACACACTGATGAAGGCACAACCAAAGCAAATAACAAAATGACACATATAAAACCGACTGTCTTAGTCTGTTCAGGCTGTTATAACAAAATGCCATAAAACGAGGTGGCTTATAAACAACAAACATTTATTTCTCATAGTTTAGAGACTACAGAGTCAAAAGATCAAGGCACCAGAAGATTTGGTGTCCCATGAGGACCTGTGTTTTCATCTGGTGGTGGTTGTTGTTTTGTTTTGTTTTGAGACAGGGTCTCACTCTATGACCAAGGCTGGAGTGCAGTGTCGCAATCTTGGCTCACTGCAGCCTCGACCTCCTGGGCTCAAGCAATCCTCCTGCCTCAGCTTCCCAAGTGGCTGGGACTACAGGCACATGCCACCATGCCCAGCTAATTTTTATATCTTTTATAGAGACAGGGTTTTGTCATATTGCCCATGCTGGTCTCCAACTCCTAATCTCAAGCTTTCTGCCTACCTTGGCCTCCCAGTGTGCTGAGATTATAGGCATGAGCCACCATGCCCAGGCTCTTAGTCTATTTAGTGTTGCTAAAGAAACAGAATACCTGAGGCTAGGTAATATATCAAAAAAAAAAAAAAAAAGAGGTTAATGTAACTCATGATTCTGGTGGCCAAAAAGTTTAAGATTGGGCAGCTGCATGTGGTAAGGAATTCAGGCCACTTCCACTCACCACAAAAAGCAGAAGGGGAGCAGACGTGCACAAAGAGATCACATGGGGAGAGAAGAAGCAAGAGAGAGAAATGGACGACACTCTTTTTACCAACCTGCTCGAGTGAGAACCAATCCAGTCCCATGAGAGCAAGAACTCACTCACTCTTGCCAGAGGGTGTTAAGCTATTCATGAGGGATCAACTCCAATGACCCAAACACCTTCCACTAGGTTCCACCTCCCAACACTGCCACATTGGGCATCAAATCTCAATATGAGTTTTGGTGTGGACGAACCATATCTAAGCCATAGCAGCCTGCGTCTTCATAGATGGTGCCTTCTACATCCTCACACGGTGGAAGGAGCGAGAGTTCTCTCTCGGGACTCTTTTGTAAGGGCACTAGTCCCACTCATGAGGGCCCTGGCATTCACGGCCTAATCACCTCCCCAAAGCCCCTACCTCCTAATACCATCATCTTGGGCGTTAGGATTCCAGCATCTGAATTTTGGGGATGCAAGTTATAGCACCAACGTTGTTACGTTGTTAAAGATCACATTACATGCAGATGGTAAACATGCCAATTAAAAGACATTGTCAGATTGGATTTTTTAAACTGTCATATGCTGCTATATTAATAGTAGCTGAACTCGAATATTCATTGTAATGTATACACAACAAAAATGGAATTTTATCTGTGAATGAGTTGAGTCACCATATAAATTAACTTCTCTCTAGTTATAGAATATTTTTTATTTAAATATCCTCTTTATGTCTGGCTGGGGCAGCTCTACGCTATAGCAAATTTGGCCAGACCCACTTAAGCCACTCAAATGGCTCTACAATGTTGACTGCTCAACAGCCATTTGCCCCTCTTCCTTGTTAACAGAGCTCTGATTGTGTCCAGCACCCAGAGAAGAATGACTGGTCTAAGTGAATTGTAAAAATCCTACTTATTTTTGCCAGTCAATAATCTATAGGTGTACATATGACTCAGTTTTGGCCAATGACATGTAAGAAGTCTGTTGGGGGCATCTGGGATATAAATATATCTTCTTTCTGAGAGAAAAGAGAATTTTTGTTTGCTTGCAGACCCTCCCTTGCTTTATGTGTTGAACTCTGTGGTGTAAGGAAGACAAGGAGACACTTAGAGCTGTGGTAATCCCTACTACGATGAAGGGAGCAGAGTATGTCAAAGAGAAAGATAAAAGGATTCTGATGAATCAATCTGAAGGGCCCATACTCTACTACTGACCTTTTCGTCTAGTAAACAAGAAATATTTTTAAAGGCAGAATGTGTGTTGGTCACACAGTCTGTTGTTACCTGTAGCCAAAACTATTGTTTGTTGTTGTTGTTTTGAGATGGAGTCTCGCTCTCTTACCCAGGCTGGAGTGCAGTGGCACAATCTCGGCTCACTGAAAACCTCCGCCTCCCGGGTTCAAGAGATTCTCCTGCCTCAGCCTCCCGAGTAGTTGCGACTACAGGTGCGAGCCACCACACCCAGCTAATTTTTGTATTTTTAGTAGAAACGGGGTTTCACCATGTTGGCCAGGATGGTCTCGATCTCTTGACCTTGTGATCTGCCCGCCTCGGCCTCCCGAAATGCTGGTATTACAGGTGTGAGCCACCATGCCTGGCTGGCCAAAACTGTTCTTAACTGAAATGAAAACAGAGAGTCTGGTCTTTCCCAGTACAGAATGCAAAACCTGCCATTTTGTCCTTTCATTACCGTTAGGACCATTGTCCTTTTCTCCCTCTCCCAGCCACTTAATTTGGAGGGAACCATTGCCTGGAGACAGTGAAAGTTTAGTAGAGTAAGAGGCAGAACACTATTCATGTATTGCAGAGCCAATACTACTACACGGTTAGGATACATCATTCAATCACTCAACATTTATTGAGCACTTACTGTATGCTAAGATCTGTGTTAGGCCCTAGAGGTCAAAAAACGAATGAGAACAAGTTCTGTGTTTCAAATGAGTGGGATGGATAATACATAGATAAACACGTAAGGTCACGTTGTGTTATATAAAAAAAAAAGTAGGCAGAGTAAGATCATGTAGGGAGCTATTCTAGACGAAATGGTCAGAGAATAGCAACTATTTCTGAACTTTACACAGAGCCTAATTTGTGACTTTTCCACTTTCTCTGAGAGGTAATAAGGAAATTTTGAACTTATAAAACTTTACTAAATCTCCACATTAATAATCTAAACTCAACGAGGGTAGTAGAGCAACCTTTACTTTGAGGTTTTTTTTTTAGGAAAATTGCTAAATTTCATTGTGAGATTAATCAATACATAACAGCTCACAAACGTGGCATGTCGATAAGGGGACAACTTAAAAGTTAAGAAAATGATGACCAGCTAATGACAGCTATGCAAGATGGTAAAAAACAGAACAGAGAAAAAATGGAAGGTTGAAAAGGAAAATGTAGCAGGACAAGCCGGAGGAAACTTGGGCGTGAGGAACAAGTCATCAAGGCAATTGGAAATTTCTGTGGATATGACAATGATGTCAGGAAACTTTCGGGTGGGGCAGAAACTTGAGTGACAGATGTTGTTCAAAAACAATGTGATTCATGATCTTATTTACAGCAGGAAGAATCAGAGTTCCAGCTATTCCTAACAGCGACACTGCGGAGCTTAGGAGGAGAACTCCTTAGGGGATGTATCAGGTTTAAAACCACAACCCTCATTTTTCTTATCTATGGCTCTTACATGGGCTGGGAATTCTGAAACCTGGGAGAGGCGGTGATCAAAAACCTGGAGGTTAGAAGATTCCAAGTCATTCATTAAAGTCCCGATGCGGCCGGCCCCCAAGATCTCAAAAGGAAATATTGCCGAGTTCCGTTTCCCAGAGCATCTATTTCCCCTCGAGTATTGCAGATGTAATCATAAACACAAGCCAGTTACAGCCACAACTTCATGCTTTAGCGAGAACCCAGTGGCTCCTGCAAAGTCCTTACGCTGCTAGAAACCCCGCCCCCGTTCGTAACTATGGGAACGGCTGACACGCTGAGAGCCGGAGATAACCCTGTTCCGCCCCCTCCCTGACAGATACTGTTTCCCACTGTCTGTCCACATGGGCGCACCGCCTCACTATTGGCCAGGGCTCCAGGACTGTGCCTGGCCTCAGCCAGTAAACGGCCTGTGCACGTGCACGCCGGAGCCTCCCGATTGGCCAACACTCCCTGATCACGCACGGCCTTCCTGCGCCCACCCACGCGTGGGAGCGCCAATGAAATGACTCAGTGACCATCTACAACAAATCAGCAAGAAGCAGGGCTCGCAGCTGACCAATGGCCGCCCGCCGGGGGTGGGCTGTCCCGGCCCTTTTCCAGGCCCAACTGGGTTTGTTAAAGCGACAGGCCTCTCGGCGAGCCGGTGCCCCATCGGGTACCGCACGGCTGCCGCGGCGGCCTTACCCTGCCGCGAGCGCCTGTGACAGCGGCGCCGCTGTGCTCGCGACCCCGGCTCCGGGCCTCTGCCGACCTCAGGGGCAGGAAAGAGTCGCCCGGCGGGATGGGCGGGGAGGCTGGGTGCGCGGCGGCCGTGGGTGCCGAGGGCCGCGTGAAGAGCCTGGGTCTGGTGTTCGAGGACGAGCGCAAGGGCTGCTATTCCAGCGGCGAGACAGTGGCCGGGCACGTGCTGCTGGAGGCGTCCGAGCCGGTGGCCCTGCGCGCGCTGCGCCTGGAGGCCCAGGGGCGCGCCACCGCCGCCTGGGGCCCGAGCACCTGCCCCCGCGCCTCGGCCAGCACCGCGGCCCTGGCTGTCTTCTCGGAGGTGGAGTACCTGAACGTGCGCCTCAGCCTGCGGGAGCCCCCGGCCGGTAAGCGCAGGCGAGCGCCTGGGGTTCCCCCGCCAGGCTGCGGGGCCGGGGAGGGGCTGGGAGGCCGCGCACCCTCGGGATGCCCACCTGGCAGGTGAGATCAGGGCGGGCTTCCGGGGGTGGGGTCCGGCCTACCCTCGCGGGTAAGGAGAGACCGCAAGTCCTGGGTGCGCAGCTCTTCCTGGCGCCCCGCCCCTGGCCCGCCGGGCCTGACCGGGACCAGTGGCTCGGGATTTTCTAGGACCGCGACGGGAGGGGGCCATTGGGTGCGGTGGGAACCTGTGATTGGACAATGGGGGATCCAGAAATCTAGGTCCTGTTCCTTCTGGTCCAAGAAAGGGACGGTGGAACCGGCGGCTATGAGGTTCCATTCTGCGGTGCCCGTGTCCTATGGCCTCCACTCCTCCCTATCCTGCATACGTTCTTGGTTCATGATGAATTAGCAGAAATTTGGTTTGGGGAATAGGGAAGTAGTTTCTGAGGGGTAGGAGTTCAAAGGAAGTGTTTTCCAGACTTGATCATCATGCTTGGTTTCCCTCTTCTGGGGAGCAGGGCAACTTAGTAAGAGTTGTACCTCTACCTGATACTGCTGCTGTTTCCTCCGCATCCTCTTCCTCCCCATCCTCCTCCTCCCCTCCTACCCGCTTCTTCCCCTCTCCCCCACTTCTCTCCACTCAAAATGCCTTTAGAGACAAGAGCATCAGGGCGTGTCGGGATTTCCCTTCCTGCTCACTTTGGTGAAGTCCAGTTCACAGTGTAGACTTTTCCAGAAGTACCCATGTGGGGACACACTACATGAGCGTTTCATTAATATTAGATACCAAAATTGGATCCCTTTAGTCACGAAAATACTAAGAACCATGAGTCTTACTCATTTCATGGATGGAAACTAGTTTAAACTTTTACGTTTTTGCCATGAGCTTTTATCTATCAAATAAAACAATGGTATGCACCTCCTCTCCTTGAAGAGTAAACGCATTATATCTATGTGCTATGTCTTATACAAAATATAATAGAATATGTGGTTTTGCCCTATCCTACTGTGGACACAGTGAACTCCTCGAGGTAAGTGATCATCTGAGTCATCCCAAAATTGTAGTGAGGAAAACTATATTTGGAACCAAAACTGCCTTTTGGATCAATGGGAACAGTGTGTTAGTGATAGTTCTTACTCCTTCATGCACTTTCCTCAGTATGGCTTCCAGGATCAACCCAGGCCCCAGTGGAAGCAGACAATACAATTTGCAAGATGGCCGAATGGAGTCAAGGACCTTGGGAGTGAGACATACATTGATTTTTGTCCAGGACTTTGGACTGTATCTCTGGGCCTATAACTGCTGAGTCAATAGATGTAAAATTAAAAGCAGTTGAACCTGGGATTAGCAATAAAAAACTGCTTTGGTAAAATCTGGGCTAACATTTTTTTTAATTCACAAGTCAGATGTTTATTCGTCACACACACACATATATACACATGTGGAACAGAATGTAAAAACTAGACAATTTGAAAATCTTAAACTTGTTTTAGAATGTATCATAGCACATATTGGCACAATTACATTTTGCTTAAAATCATAGTCTCTTTTAGTTGGGGAAAAAAAATAAGTCACCCCTAATATCTATAGCTTGGAAGAACTTAGCATCTTTACACAGTCTAGATTCTGGGGGTAATTTAATTACAAAACCTGGCTGTGTTTCAATCACCTAAGGAGATTTTTAGAAATCCATATTATGTAGCACTGGGATCTGTTTTCACAAATGCTCTCCAGATAATTCTTTGACATCCTTAATCTAATTCAACTACTTGCTGTCATTGTGATTGATTTTCTTCATATTTTTATTGAGAAACTGTAGTAGAAAACAAGCCAGAATCAGAGAGTTGGTCTCAGTTCTTGGTCACCCACCAGCAGTGTGACCTTATGCAAGTCCCTCACCCTTCCTGAGCCCCAGTCTCTGCCTCTGTAATGGTCTTCTGCATCCCACGGCTCATCAAAACCTTTAATTATGAGCTTTGGCTGTAAGGCCATTAGTGATTGAAACATCTTCCTGTGACTTTGTAGTGCTCAGTATACAAGACAGAAATAATGAGCGGTTGGTGCAGAAGCAGAAATGGGCACATGGTTCAGCTTGTGAACCTTTTACATTAAAAACAAAACTTGAGAAAGAGGAAAAGAAAACAAAGATTGAATTCCAAATATTATAACCCATTTTTATCAGTTTTTCCATTTCTTTTTCCTGTTTATGTTTTGAGATAGTTGAAAGTCTCATTTTAAATGATATAGATCCGATGTCGATTTGTTGCTTAATGAAAGGGGAACTTCATGTCTCTCATTCTCTTCAGTATCCTGGGCAACTGTGTTCCCCACAAATGCCTGCCATGCTCTTCCTCATGCTATTCCCTTATCTAAATTTCCCTTCCTATCTGTCTCCATTCCAGCCCTCAGGTCCTGAAGATGTCGGGCCCACCCATGTTCCTATGTGGGTGCTCTAGGTTCTAGCACTCCATGGTCATTGCTTGTGTACAAGCATGTAATCTCCTTTCCTCCCCCGGTCTCTTTGAGGATTATCTGCGGTGCCTGAAATCTAAGCACTACACATTTTAAACTCAAATGAAATACACATTTCAAAACATTTGTAAATACTTCGTCATGTTCTGTAATCTAGTAATTTCAAATTAGAACTTTAGCCCAGCTCTTTTAGGAGCACTGGGATTGCCTTGAGCCTTTCACTCCACAGCTGTCAGGTCGAGATGCTTCCCTGGTCCCTGCTCTGCTGCTACCTTCCTGAGCACACGTCAGCCACTGGGACCCGCCCTGCCACTGAATTTAACATGATCTCATGCCCCTGTGACTTGTTCTTCACTTTGCCTCCAGTCACCCAACTGTGGAGTATTCAAATTGACTTAAGTGGCAGGTGTGTCACTTTTTTATCCCCCTTGATGTTAACACATTAAAAATTGGGGATAGATTCAGAAGACCTAATAGGTCAGTAATGTGTTCCTATTTTCTAAAAGTACGAAGTTGAAATGTCAGCTGACTTGGTTAAGGTCATAAAATAAAACTCTATTTTTTTATTTAAGGGATAAAAAATTCCCATTTCACTACTGATTTCTTTAAATTTTTTTTTTTAGTGAATGGATAAAGTAGAAATCTTCATTTTAGTGTCAGATGACCAGGCAAATCTCAGAGTTCTGTCTCTGTGTTCCGATTTCTTCATCTTATTTATCCTATCCACAATAAGGGAATTCAATATTAAATCTGAGCATGAAATGAAAGGACAGTGTATAAGTCTCTCAAGAGAGCCTCCTGACCAACCGTGAAAGCCATGAAGTCTACTTTGGATCTGAATTAAACAGATTGTCTTGGTGCCTTCATCAGAGGTTTCAGTGGTGCCTCTGGCCTTACAAAGTCCCTCCACACCCTGCATTTTGGCCTTCTCACAATCTAGTGATAAGCTTCTGCCTGAAATAAAATGGAGCTGGTAACCCAAAGCTGAGAAAAGGGCCCTGGCCATGCTTGGTAAAGCCCTTTCTGTATTCCAAGTTAGCCACCAAGAAACTCTGTGTTAGTCAGGAGAGCTCAAGGATACATACATGACTTGCTTAATAGCTTGTCTTGTGGGTTTGGCTGTTTTGTGTTATACCCAGTATTAATGATATTCATAAAGTTTTCACTCCCTTTTCCATTTCTGCTCAAAGAATACTCAGTGTGATGTTTCTGGTATACCCAAAATAAATCTGTCTTTTGCTAAATTAGTTTTTGGTCCAATTTAATATTGGTATTTCCCGTTAGTATAATAGAATGGGGGTAAGCAGTTGTGATTTTTACATACACACACACACACACACACATATACATATCCATATACACATATATATGTATGTTGGAGTTCTGAACCTTAGCACTTTAGTAATTGGTCTATTTGAGAATGGAATATATGTGTGTATGTATGTGTGAGTGTTATGGTACTTGGTAAAAACTGGCCAAGTGCAGTAGCTCACCCCTATAAGCTTAGTGCTTTGGGAGTCCAAGGTGGGAGAATCGTTTGAGGCCAGGAGTTCGAGACCAGCTTGGGCAATATAGCAAGACCCTCGTCTCTGGAAAGAATTATTAAAAATTAGTCAAGAACCATGGCACATGCATATAGTCCCAGCTCCTTGGGAGTCTGAGGCAGGAAGATTGCTTGAGCCCAGGAGTTCAAGGCCGTAGCACTCTGGCCTGGGCAATAGAGCGAGACCCTGTCTCTAAAACACATAGACACACGCACACACACCCCCCTTCAAACTTAATTCTCTACATTTGTTTAATGAACTTTTGGAGTATGCTGCATTTTGTAGCGAGAAAAACTTCCTTCAAAAAATTATTTACATTGTGAAAACTCTTGATCTAATACTAACTATCCTTCATTAAAATAAAATACAATCTCTTATAGGTGAAGGCATCATTTTATTACAGCCTGGAAAACATGAATTTCCATTTCGCTTTCAACTTCCATCTGAGTAAGTGAAACACTACAATTTTGTGGTTATCCTTCTCTGCAGTATGTCCATTCAAGTTTATCACTGCTAGGTCTCTTCTGATTCTCAAGTATGCATGTTTACACTGAATAGTCCCTAAATAGACTTACTCTTTTTTTATTTCCAACCTAAAACATTTTAAACCATGCTTTTTTTGGCTTTGTTTAACTGAAAAGTAAACTCATAATTAATGTCTTTGGTTGGTTTCAGACCTTTGGTCACCTCGTTTACTGGGAAATATGGAAGCATTCAGTACTGTGTGCGGGCAGTGTTGGAACGACCCAAGGTACCTGATCAGAGTGTAAAGCGGGAACTCCAGGTTGTTAGTCATGTCGATGTCAACACACCAGCATTATTAGTAAGTTCTTCCTTTTTCTCTTCCTCCTCCTTTTCCTCCTTCCCTCCCTTCCTCCTTCCTTTCAACAGTGGGATCTATATTTAGCCAGTTTACTGGTAGTCTGTCCTGTCACTTTCTGATGGCTTGGAAAACACAATCTTGTAACCCAAAGGCATTCACTATAAATATATGATTCTAGGTTGGACAAATTACAAATTGTGTGTGTTAATACTATTGATTATGTCCCTGCTGTTCAGGGCTTCTTTTGCCAAAAAGTTACACAGGCTTGAAATGCATTAATAAGGCTTAATAACAATAATGCACACACAGAGAGTAGTTACTTTTACCAGAGTGGCCACATTTACAGGACTGGGGTATTCTAAACTCCTCAATAATAGCAGGTTGAGGAACAGTAATTATGGAAGAGTATTAATCATGCTCAGCCTGTTATTGAAGCTCAGGCCATTATGCTATGTATCCTTCCATTTTGCATGTCATTTTCTAACATTAAGTAAGTGCATGCAGCTGCCGCCGAGATCCTTTCACTTATCATTTCCTTATGACAGATTTGGCCACATTAAAGCATTGAACTTCTAATAATCACCAGAAATACTGTAGACTGATAAGAAAGATCAGGCTATAAGTAACAACAGAATAGGCAAGATGGGAGCTAATGAGCTAGATTCTTTTATCTAAACCCATATTATCAAAATAATATAAAATTATACCTTGTACTTTCATGATAGCTACTAGGACCTAATGGTTCTTCATTTAAATATGAATGAATGATTTTTTTTACTTCATAGAAAATACTGAGATAATTTAAACTTTCCATCACGATACTGATGTGACAAAGATGTATTTTTCATGTTGGAGGTTTTTCTAGCCTGTGTTTTTAAAGACAAGGAAAAAGCTAGCAGTTAGAAGTTGTTGTTTAAGTCTTATTTTCGCATGAGAAAGAAATAGAATTTAATGTTCACCTTTAGATTATGAAAAGATAGCAGATATGCTGTGGTTCCATGGCCTCTTGTGGTCAGAATCATAAAACAGCCGGCACCCAGCTGGCCTGGCTTATAGCTGGGACTTTAACAGCCGCTTGAAAACCATTTTTGAAAAATTGGTGATGCCAAGTAGCTTGTATTTTTAAAAACTACTTAGAATTGGGAGGCTGAATATTTTTAAAGTTTTTATGACCATTGTGGGAATTGATTTAAAGGGATTTGTCTTTGCCAAAAACAGACACTGTTGATCCCTTACGATTCTTTATATAAATAAAAAAAAAATATTGCAAGTAACTGGGTTTTACAGAAAGCTTTGGTGTGTGTAACTCGTAAACTGAACATTGTAAATCTTGTAGTAACTTCTCTTGCCACTATAGAATAGAATACTGCAGTGAGAGGGTATGTTTAATAAGCTTTTCAGATCGGTTAACACTACACATGTTATTGCACTATTACACAAAACCCCAAAACCACTCCAAATTAAGAACACATGAAATTTCTGCTTGATAATGCATTTTGAAGTAAGTGGTGGGAAAAGGCTGTTTGTTTATTCCACTTTATTAAATGCCAAAATAAATATAATGTTCTGATTATTTTTTATTTTTATATCATTTATCCTTCCACCTGACTTTTATATATAAAGTCTTAAAAATAATTCTGTCATGTTTATAAGTCCTAATACAGCTTTTGATTTTTTTTTAAAAAAATGGTATATTATTTCCTGGAAACATAATGACTTCAGGGTAAAATAAGATGGTGTCATGCTAATTTTTGAATCTGAAAATTCACTGTAGTTTTCCTAAAAGGGGAGTCTTAACACCCTGTGTTTTTGTGCATATTTGGCCTAATATGTTACATGAGGATAAGAAAGTTTGATTCATTTTTTTGGTATTTCCTTACAACCATTCTGTGAAGATAGATATAATTTTAAGTTCTATGAGTTCTCTAGAGTGGCTTAATTAAGGTTGTTTTATTGTTTGAAATTTTCAAGACCCCTGTATTGAAAACTCAAGAGAAAATGGTTGGCTGTTGGTTTTTCACTTCTGGTCCAGTCTCGCTGAGTGCCAAAATTGAAAGAAAGGGATACTGTAATGGTAAGCAAAATGCTTGAAAGTCCAAATGAAAGATTTCATTCATTTTCTTAGCTAATTTTAAGTGATTTTAAATAGTGTTTTTTGTAATTATATGACGTGTATAGTATTTTAAAACATGAATAGTGATACATTTTTTATATAAATAATTGATATTTAAGTATTTTTAAAAGGAGGAATTGTTTCCAGTCAAACTCCTGTTTTTTTTCTGACTTCAATCCTGTTACTTTAGTAACAAAGAGTATAACTAGAGGAATGAGAAAATGCCAGCATCTGATTTTAATGTTGCAAAAGAATCTCCAGGGTTGTATTGCTAAAAAGAGAACTACTGGAGTATGAAATGCTATTAGACATTCTGATTCCATGCTGGCTTGATATATGCAAATGCATGGGACTGGAATGTAGTGTATTAACAAACTTAACAATCAGATTGTTACTGGAATTGCCATTAGTGAAGGGCCCATTTCCAGCAGTGGATTTGGCCCCTGCTCCAGGATTCTGACTTGTTAGAAAGGAATTCAGTATGGAATGGTATGATGTGCAGCCATAATGTTATAAAACTTGCCTAATCCATCCGTTGATTCTTTCTGTGCCTTAACATTATTAATTCCTTAAAAGCAAAGGCTTTGTTCTCCTGTTAGGCAGATTTTAATTTGATAAGCACTAATGAGTTTGTTAGTGATCTTTTATACTTAACATAGTCCTGAATCATTTATTTGTATGTCTTATCCTAATTTATATAGACACTGGTCATTTACATATCTTTAGAATTGCTAATGCAATATTGCTACTTTAGAAAAGTCAATAATGCAATAATTAGAAAATAAGATCTACCACAACCTGCAGTGAATTTTTATTTCTCTGGCTTGAATTTACAATATGTTTTCCATCAAAGCTTCTCAATTTGTTAAAGTGATGTTGGAACATTTCAGCTATACGGCCCTAATCCATTGTGGTGAGAACTTTTTCAAGAGTCTCTGAATCCTCCCTGGTTTTGTTTTCTTTTTAGGAGAAGCTATTCCAATCTATGCAGAAATAGAAAATTGTTCCTCTCGTCTGATTGTTCCAAAGGCTGCTATTTTCCAAACGCAGACATATTTGGCTAGTGGAAAAACAAAGACCATTCGACACATGGTCGCCAATGTGCGAGGAAACCACATCGCTTCTGGGAGCACAGACACATGGAATGGGAAAACGCTAAAAATCCCACCTGTTACTCCATCCATCCTGGATTGCTGCATTATCAGAGTGGACTATTCCTTAGCTGTAAGCAAAGCTCTTTTTTAAAAAAAAATGTGTATGATGGACAATAACTGATGTCATGTTACTGTGGGTATGTAGAGTTGCCTATAAAAATGTCATTTTATTTCAGCATTAACACCAATTGGGGACTGTATGAAGATTGGCCCTTGTTTTTAATAAAACCTATTCCCCACAGGGGATTTAATAGAATGCCATAAAAGAATTGAGGTGCATTAAGGGGTGTTTGTTATATTGAAGACATAGCCTTAATTTTCTATAATTATTATATAAGCCATGCAAACCTACAATGATGCATGTTAAGGACACAGTTCTCTGTCACAGAGCATTCACTATGTTTTGTGTACTCTTCATTTTGTTTAATCAAGACAATTGAGAATTGTGATGGGGGTGGTGGCAGCCGACAAAAGCATTTGTTTCTATGAAAAAAAGAAATTAATTGGGCTACCTACTGGAGGTGTAGCTTACATTTGTTCCTTTCTCTTTTTTTTTTTTTTTTGGCTTATTAGGTATACATTCACATTCCTGGTGCTAAAAAATTGATGCTCGAACTGCCATTAGTGATCGGTACAATTCCATATAATGGTTTTGGCAGCAGAAACTCCAGCATTGCCAGCCAGTTCAGTATGGATATGAGCTGGTTGACACTGACCCTGCCAGAGCAGCCTGAAGGTAAAATATGTTGGCGTTCTTTCATAACGAAGCTTTACCTAGAAAATACCTAGGAACAGAATATATACACTATTAAGTGCTCAGATGTTGATGAGTACTGCTACTATAGGTATCTTTATTCCTACTACTAAAAAATCAGAAAGCATTAGTCCTGGGAGGGACTTTGAAAGTTTAGCTTTATCTAGGACGCAAAGCTGCTGATAGCAGATTCAGGAATAAGATGTACATTTCCTAATTCCTATTTGTAATAGGAAAACAATGAAAAACAGTCAAATGTATGGTGTGTTATGTCTTTTCTATAGTCATATTTCAGTGATATTTGTTTACCTATATCTCAAGAGACTAGAATAGAAGCTATTAGTAGTAGTTTAATAAAAGGAGAATCTATTTTTTATTGTAATATGCATAAAACCTTGCTGATTAGAGGGAAAGAATGCCATATTTTTTATCTTCAAGTTTAGCTGTTTCTTGTTTTTGTAGCAGTTAAGAATCGAGATTAATTTTTGAGTGGATTTCTTAACTCCAACTTCATTTCTATTTCAGCACCACCAAATTATGCAGATGTGGTATCAGAGGAAGAATTCTCTAGACACATTCCTCCTTACCCTCAACCCCCTAACTGTGAGGGAGAAGTGTGCTGTCCTGTGTTTGCCTGTATACAAGAATTCCGGTTTCAACCCCCACCTCTTTATTCAGAGGTAAGCAAAGCAAAAGAAAATTAGACTTTTACTGTATTATTTTCAAATAATCATTTTTTGTCATCCGTTCATTAGAGTGTCTGTTGCTGACTCATAATTAGTAAGGGATACATTTAAATTTGTTTATACAGTGGTAATAGATTATCGCTGATTCATTTGCCAGATTTTTTTACTATTGTCCTTGTGATCTATGGCATCAGATACAGTATTGTGGATTGCCTTTAAGGTGTGTTATTTGGCCATGGAATATAGAGAACTTAAGCACCTTCTGGGACTTACACAGGCTCTGACCAGCTTGGCATATAACCATCATATAATTACAAATAGGTACTAGAATCGTTTTAAATAATGCTACAACACTAATCTCAGTCCGCTCTTTTTTTGCAGGTTGACCCACATCCTAGCGACGTAGAAGAGAGCCAGCCTGTTTCCTTCATTCTCTGAACGTATTTCAGAAATCACTGTGTTCATCATCAAATTAGAATGTTGGTTCTTTTCCTTCTGCCTTTTTGGGAAAGAGACAGGAAAGATTCACTTGAAAACATAAATGAACGTCAAGACTGAAGGCAATAGAAATTAAAGAATGTGAGAAAGTTCTGGTGGGCCGGCAGGATTGCCGCACAAGTTTATATGATGGTCGTATATATATCCCTGTTAAAAACTGGGATGAAGATGTGCAAAGTCACAGAATGTAATGGAAGTCCTGATGGTTACAGAGTAAGTGAAAGGGTGCCTGCGCTGACGTGAGAGAAAGGAATCTGTAAACAGTGGAAACACTGTGGGAGTTTCCCATGGTGAAGAGTGGAACGAAGGCGATATGAACTGAAGGGGTGAAGACTTGATTTTGGAGAGGGCAACAAAACAAGGGTGTGTGTGCATAGGAGAATGGCCCACTCCAAATACGAAGTGAGATCCTGAGTCTTTGGGTGCTTCATGATTTCCTACCATATTCAGGCCTAAAGACATTGAAAAAGCATCTTTTCTTGAGATCATGGTCATATGAGGTCCTAATGAAGTACTACAGTTTTCATTCTTTCAAGGGTAGACTAAAATATAGTTTATAAATCGGCAGTACGGTATTATGAAACCAAGAAAGGGTTTCTTGAAAAGCTTGTCGGTTCAAAGAGGAAAGATGAATTTCAATGTGAAAACACGTTTTGTTGAGGGCTGTACTTTTTACCCCCTTTAAGTGCTTTAACAGGATATACGTTTGATTTTCCTCATATCTTATTTACCTAGGAGCATGTAAGAGAAAGAAGGGAGAGAAAAGGTTGCATCTGCAGGATGCCTTGATAACTACACAGTCCCAAATAAAAGGCCTTTTTCTAACCTACCTCTAATGGGGTTATCAGATATGTTTTTAAATCTCTCGCCCTGAGTACTCTTCTTGGGAGTTGCTGCTGTTTACAGCCACAGTCTCATCTATCACTAAATATGAAACTGGGCCAAGGGGAAAATTCAGTAAGTTAGCGTTAAATGGAAGTAAATATATGTATACCTAAGAGAATGTCAAAATAAACACCAAACCAAAAGAAGGTAGGAGTGCCATTTTTAGAAAAGACACAACTTTAATTCCTGTCAAGAGACCTAGGTCTACTGATGGCAGTCACTGCATTGTACATTATTCCAGTTCTTCAGTAATTCTGTTTAAACTGTGATTTTCTTTATTGTGTTGGTGCAATATTTTATTATCATTTAACCTCAGGATATTCAGACCAACAGGATTGTGTTGCTGCTGAAAGTCTGAGCAGTGTTTTACCGTCCCCAGCCCCCCTCCCACATGGTCACATGTTCACTTGCTTTTCCTTCCATCTGTTGGTTTTGTGAGCTGAGAGCATCTCTGGACACATGGAAGGGAGCCAGGGATTCCTGTGATACAGATTTTGAACCAGCAGAGTACTTTGGTTTTCTTCATGTCCTAAGGGTTTGATCCAGAAACCCTGGTGCTTCCCCTGCAGAATACTGTACTTCATTTAACAGAATGATTGATTTTTCTTTCAATCAGCATGTTCACCAAAAATAGAAAAGTTCTTCTAAGGTTAAATTTTGTATTTAAAAGTTAGTTGGCCATTTGATCAGGGAATTTTCTACACACATTAGGCAAATGTATGCTTTTCATCCTCTGGGCTTACCTCTCTCCTCTGCAATCCTGGAAGCATCGTGCATAGTTCTTTCATTGTAAGCCGCTATTTAAATTCCCACAATGCAAAACTGTTAGACCAGTAATTGTGCTACTGAAATTGTCACAAAACGTTATTCCTTGATTTGGTTTTTAAATTTTGCTTTCGTGTGTGTGTCTTTAAACAGGTAATGTGTATTTAAGTGTTGTCTAAACAGTTGATTTTTACTTTAGAAAAGATCATCTTCAACTGTTTATTGACTTCTGAGTTATATAGTTCATGCCCTGCCAAGGCATTGTTCGACTCCATGATACTAAAACATAATGAAAGAAACAAACTCCAGTATGGAGAAGAGAAAGTTTAATTATTTGGTTCCATCTAGAAAAGCAACAACTTAAAGGAATCCTTCACTAGGATTGTCTTATCACCTTTATTAGATAAATCATGAAGTGTCCCTGTGAAATTGAAGTGAAACTATCTCTGTAGGACTTAAGAGAATAGCTAAAAGGTGTGACTTGCCTTATTGAAATGATACTGGCATATCTGACTGTAAGCAGTAGGTTGAAGATATCATTTTATGAATGTGGAGAATTCTACATTGAAACAGAAAATACCTGGGAATGAAGATTAAAAATGTAGCTGCTGTTATTTGCTTGGTTATTCCCCTCTTGCTCTTCTTTAGTTTGAAAAAACAAAAACGTGGCCTTGGAATTTTCATTTTGATGCAGAAATTTTGAAATTGAAAATGTGCATGTTTTGGTGCACAAAATCCTTCTGTGGGCAAAACTTTGTTTTTGTTTTGCACAGTAAGAAACAATAGGCAAGCGTTATGTTTTTGGTAAGTTAACTATGAAAGCTTTCTTATTTTTATTATTAAAAATGTAACAATTTAACCCACAGGAAAAAAAATTACTTTGTATGCTTGTTTGAACCCTATGGGTTCGTTTTATTAATAAAATTATTACACTAATGCTATGAGGTGCTAGTTTTTTTTTTCAAATATAAATTATTATAGACTTAAGGGAACTCAATGCCAAAAAAACAAATGTTGCTGCAGTTGAAATCCTTTTCTCTAGGTGTGTTATCATGAGGGAGGAACAGCCCTAGAACCTGACTTTGTTTTTACAGTGGGCTCCGGTTCCCAAGGTAGTCCAGTGTTAGCATTCCATGAAGAAAAGTAGCTGAGACAAGTGAGGAAACTAAAGCTATATTGGTTAAAAAAGCATATCATCATTTATTCCCAAATGATAAGGATTACTCTTTAAAGCCTCCTGAGTTTGAGTGTGTGATTGTCCAGAATCTCCCCAGGATCGATTTAGCAGGTCTCATGGGTAGTCAAGGGACTCTTCCTGGGACACACTGACCTAAGTATGCCACCCCTTTCTACGCAAACACTCCAGTAGATATGAGCACTATACTTTATACAAGGAGGATGTGATGGTATGTCATTTCAAGGAAACCGCCCAGACCCTCTGCCTGGAAAACTACCACCTGAACTAAGGAGTAAGAATTAGTCCAGTTGGTTTGCTCTTCAGTTATTTCTAGTAGATGGTGTTACATAATAAATAGGTTCTTTCTGTATCCACATTTATAATCAACGTAAGTTGAAATATCTGTCTTATGCGATACTGAGGAAAAATTTTTGATTACCATTACAATTTCTGTAGTTTATGTGTAGTATGAAATTTAGAACTAGGCAAGACACTGCAAAGAAACTAGGACAAAGCCCTCACATTACAAATCAGGATGCCAAAACAGAGAGTTGTAACCTGAGAGCGTGGTCCCTGCTTGCTCTGAAATTTCCTGATTCTATAATCTTCATACAAGTAATGGGAACAACTAATTGTTTTCAGTTACACAGCCTAAGAGTTGCAGACCTGGTTACCTGGATACTAAGCATAGGCTAAATCAAGAGTCTTCAGTGTTTACACTTAAGAGCGCTGCCTCCCGAAAGGACACCAGTCTTTGACTAAATTGCTTCCAAGTGTGTTTAGTTGCCAGAATCTTTTCTTCAACAGAGATTTATGTTTCTACATTTATATAATGAAATAATTACAGACTCTCAAGAAGTTACAATAATAGTACAAGGAAGTCTTGTGTACTCATCACCTGGTCTTCTGCAATAACTACAGTACATTAGCAAAACCAGGACATTGAGAATACAATTTAGCTAGAGCTTAGACCTTACTTGGATTTTGCCAGCCTTTGCATGCAGTCATTTTTCTTGTGTATGTTTTTGTGTATAGCTCCATGACATTTTACCTCCTGTAGAAAGGCGTATCGTCACCACCACCAAGACACAGAACTGCTCCATCACCGCAAAGAAACTCCCTTAGGTTGTCCCTTTATAGTCACCCCATCCTCCTCTCCATTTCCTTCCCTCACCCCAGCCTTCCCACCCGTTTTTCATCTCAGTAATTTTGTCATTTTGAGAATGCTAGAAAAATGGAATCATTCAGTATGTACCTTTTGAGACTGGCAGTTTTTTACTCAGCAGAACATCTCTTAAGATCCATGCAAATTGCGCCATGCATCAATAGTTTGTTTATTTGTATTTTAATGGAGACATTTTAAAAGAAACAGAATCGACTACTTCTGAAATTTTCATTATGCACCTTGCAAAGAAAATGTGTGACATCGATAAGCACATGATACCTTTGTAAATATTTTGATTTTGAGTTTGAGAACTTTTTATGTACAAAATATGTAAATGCAGATTGATACAAATTTTTAGGGCTAATGTTTAGCTTGTCAAATACTTGAAGTATTTTGCCTTTAAATAGAAAGAGATTGCATTATAAATGAGCCAGATAGACCTGTGATGAAATTAGACAACAAGGAGAAACTATATTGGGCTATTTATCATATCGGCTTCTGAGTCTGATGAATTTTAACATAAATTATCCAGGAAAGAGACTACAGTTGCCTGGTGTGTTTGAGTATTAAATTTTGTGATTTTTTTCTCTTCTTTTCTGTTTCTTCTTTAATTCCTTCGTTCATACTCCCACTTCTTAATATCTGATGAAATGGAAAGACCACTCGGAAGCTGAGAAAATTTTTAACTACAATATATGTGTTTATTCCTAATGAAACAATACTATAAAACATGGGCTTATTTTCTAAGACTATTAAATTTTTCTAGAAAGGAGAGCTCTTATTTTATAGAAGCCATTACACACTAATATTTCCCAAAAACCAGACATGAGTTTGTTGGTGATGAGCAGCAGCAGCAAAAGAAAGACACCGAGATGGGGTGGAGATGGATAGAAAGGGTTGACCAGTGTCAACTTCTAGAATGTCACTATAACTGAATTCGCCATGAACTGTCTCTTTGGTGGAGCTTTCTGTGTTCATTGATGGAGATTTCACCATCCCTGACAAATTTTCAGAGAACCAAGACGTCTTCCTGAACAGGAAGAGACACGCTTTAGGCAGCTTCTCCCACTGGAAACAAGGGAAGCATAGGTGCCTCCCTCGTGTTTGCAAACACCTGCCACATACGTGCACACACACGCATGTGCACACACACTGTTATTTCTTCCTCTCCTCCACACCCTTTACCTCCAGAGCTGTGTCTCTTTCAGGTAAGAATGTAAGCTCCGTTACAAAACGAACAAACAGATAATAGGTTCCTACTTCCACAGGAATTTATTGGAAGAGAAGTCTTTTGCCCCAAGCTTCTTACTAGTTTGCCCCCAAACAGTACGAGTCTAGTAGAAAGGTATCAGGGAATTGTAATTAAATGAGAAAATGGGGGGGAAATAGATGCCCTAAGTTTATGTTTTTTCTTTTTTAAAAAAAGTCACTGCATGGTATAATAGTCATTTCTCCATGCTGCCCCAGCCTCATAGGTCCTTATTTTAATGACTAAAGGACATAAAATGTTCCAGACCAAAATAATAATGATTACATTACTTACAGCTCACACATCTAGTATTGACTGTGTTCTTTACAAATATGCAGTCACTTTCCCATAACATGACGGTTTCCGTGGTATTTTTTTATTTTGCTTTTTAAATTTTAGATGACAGAATCCATCTGATTGTCCACACGGCAAGTGTTCTATATGTGATCGCTTATTCATATTTGCTACCACTGCAAATATTTGGACTTGCTGGAACTGGTTGATTGAGTTGATTCAGTAACATCTAAAGATTTATTGTCTACAGTTAACTAGCTTCTTTTTTTTTAATTATACTTTAAATTCTAGGGTACATGTGCACAACGTGCAGGTTTGTTACATATGTATATATGTGCCATGTTGGTGTGCTGCACCCAAAACACAGCACACAAATGCACACACACGGAAACACAAGGCATGCACGCATGTGCACGCTGACATGCACTCACAGATGCTCTGTTTATTGGCTGGAGATTTCACCCCTTGGGCAAGAAAACTCATCAAAAATGTCATTGTTTATACACCTGGGAATCAAGAGAGGGCACATTATCAACACTGAGTCATCTCACTACTAGAAGAACACGGAGCTCTAGCTTTATTTTTAGTAGTTGCTGTATTGGTGGGTGGTAAACAGATAAGGAATAAGGAAGAGTCCAACAAAACAATTCCCTATTTCATACATCTTCTAAATCACTGCAGCACAGGAAGCCAGATTCGATACCCTACTATTAAACTGGAATAGCAAGGTATAAGATGGATCTAGGCTCACATGTGAGCACATCTGAGAAACTGCACTGAGGGTTCACTGTTTCTGAGTTTTGCTACAGATCTGTTCTAATACTTCCGACAAAGCTCAGGTTATGGAAAAACAGTTTAGGAACCTAAACACTTTCCTAACTTCTTTCTCCTGCGTAAACTAAAACAAAGAAGTATATGTAAGTATGCATACACATGGGAGGAGTGTGATATTGAGCTTAGTCTCTAGTTTCCTTTATCTTCCTTAGTGAAGTGGCATCGTTCATCTGGGATAATACCTGAGGTTTGTTGCCTCACGCCAAGGAAATCAAGGACACAGATACACAAGGAGTGAGGTTAAGAGCAGAGATTTAATAGGTGAAAGAAAGAGAAACGGGCAGGTCTTCCGGTTCCGTGGTGAAATGCACGGGATTTTATACAGGAGCTTGAGGAGGCGGTGTCTGATTTACATAGGGTATGAGAGATTGGTCAGACCAGGTGTGTCATTTGCATAGTGCAAGAAGATGGCCGGCCCACCATAATCTTCTATTATGCAGCTGGATTCTCTACCTGGCCAGCACCATGTTACCTGCTTCTTTACTGTACATGTGGTTGACAAAGAAAAGGGATGATGGAGCCTCCATGTTGAACATGCCTGGCCCCCAGGTAGCCTTTTCCCATTGGCACAGCTGCCAGCATTCACCCATGCAAGCTCCTAGCTTGCTTTTCTATGTCAGCAGCTTGATTTTTCAGGCTGCTCTTTGTTAGAAAAGACATTATTTGGGGGCTGCTTTTTCTTAAAAACAAAACCTTGACAAAGACTCTCTTACCCTCACTAACTGCCTAAATAATTTCTTTCTAGCTTCTGTATCATTAGGAGAGGACAAAGCCAAAGATTCCTGGTAAACCTCTCTTAAGAGAACCTCTGTGTACAGAGGTGGATTTAAAAGCAAATTTCTGTATGTGTTATTTCATCCTTAATTCAACCATCTGGCCCTCTTATATAAAAGTGGAATACTGCTTATCAGGGGAAACTTTAGCAGCAAATACTTACTTTTATCTCATCTGACATAACAAAAAAGCTTGGTCATGATGTCAAAAGATAACTTATCTCAAACATGTATGGCTGCAAACACCAACAGCTGTTCCTCTGAGAGTGGCAGCATTACTTCAGATAAAGGCGGTGCTTTTAAGAAAATTAATCTCATTTTACGTAAAGCCGTTTTAAGACAACCAGAATTATCCTCCTAAGAACAAAACAAAAATAATTCCCTTTGCTAATGGGAAGATGTTTAAAACAGTATCTACGTTGAATAGGGAGACTTCTAATGGTCTCAGACTTGCTACTGAACACAACAGGGAAGTCTCCTGTGGAGAAATACATTGGTGGAAGCCAGGAAACCCACATGTTAACCTCCTTTCTCTAGCCTTGGCCAGCCAGGGACACTGGGTCTTTGAACTTTAGCAATGCCTGACTGGCTCCAAGATAAACAGTACCTTCACAGACTCCATGGCAGCTGCTGGAGAGAGCTGGAATGTGTCATCTTGCCCCAAGTCTGGTCTAAGCCTGGACACTTGAGCATTTGCCTTGCTCACCCATTGCCTCCCCTGGGCTGGATGACCCACACAGAAGACTGGGCCTGTACTGGGAAGAAGCCCTTTCCACATCAACCCACTTAGTGGAGACCCAAAGCTTCAATTCCAACACCAGGAACCCCAGGGGAAGGAAGGTATAAGAAATTTCTTACAGCAAGGAATAAATCAGAAATGGCTGCTATCAGCAGAAATGAGGGCTGTATACATTAGATAAGCTCACTAAGAGGAAATTGTCTTTTTTGTAGGTTTGTGTGCCCGTATGTGTGCGTGTGTGTTAAAGGAGGGAGGATTGGGGTTTTCTTTGCATCTGATTTTTGTGAAGGAGCTTTATGACTTAAGACCTAAACAATGCTGATGTTGGCACCTCTCTTCTTGCCCAGCCAGGGCCCTGATGCCCTCCACAGCTATTCCTTGGCCTTCCCCAGAGGACCAGCTTGTCCTGGTTTGCCCAGGGTTTCCCCAGGTTTAGCATTGAAAGCCCCCATCCCAGGACCCCTAAATTCCAGGTAAAGGGGTTTGGTTGACCACCTTCCCCTCGTTCTTTCTACTGGGGCAACCCAGCTCCCCACATCCACAGACACCAGCTGTCGTCCTCCAAGAAGCTTCCCTCACCTGCTGCCTTCTAGCACTAAATTCCTCCTGCTGTCACTAAACAGTCCCCATGCAGAGTGTCTTCCCAGAAACGAACAAGGACATTGGGATGGGGCCAGAAACCTCAGGCCCCTTTGGCCATTGGCACTTGGATGGCATCCCCCACAGAGACCAGCAGTACAGCTGGTTCAGTTCCCATCTCCCCCAGTTCTAGTGCCCTCTCCTTCCCCATTCTGTGCGGAGGCCCAGCCTGCCCTGGGCCTGCCCACAGGGGCTGCCAGGGACCAAGGCCTGGCTCTGGATTAGAGGTCACCAGACCACAGATGATTTGCACACCATTTTTTTCAGGACTTGTATTCTGTGGAAAAGTGTCCATGGTCAGAGGCTACAGACATGTTTCTCAGGCTGTCTTTGATTTTCTGCTCTCTCTCTCTCTCTCTCTATCTCTCTCGCCTACAAATAAATGAGGACCTGATTTCCCAAGAGACCTGGGTCTCTTTCTTCTTCCTGCGGCTCTGTCAACAGTGGCCTGGGGCCTGTGAAAGCGGGCCCTTCTCCCTGTCTAATCCCAGGACCGGGTGGTATGCTCATCATATGAGGAGTAACTGCAAAGGAAGGTGACGCGAATGTGCTCAAAGGATGCCCAGAGCACTCTCGAAATGGCCCTCAGAACCTGTGGCTTCGTCTTCTTATATCTTCACTAGGGAAGAGTCTTTATCCTTTGAGGTTAAAGGATAATATTTTTGATAATACCTAAAGCTCATTCAGAAACAACCCTGCAGAGTAAAGCTGAAGGCCGGGCTGGGTGTGGCACTGATGGAACCAGGCAAAGCAGAGGTGAAAGACAGCAGCAGAGGCGAGAAACACATCCGACAGGGAGGTGAGAAACACATCTGACAGGTAATACTGAACTCATGCTTCGCCTTGTCTGGGTGTTCCCAGGCATCGTCAGCCTGTGGAGGTGAATTGGGTTCATTAAAAACAAGATCCCCATGTTGCTAATTCTTACCCCAACTTGATCTTGAAAAATCTCAGCTTCTCGCCAAGTCCATCTTCTACTCCCAAGAATTTCCTAAAAGTCTCCAGGAATAAGTCAATCTCCGCTACTCCTTAGCATCACCTCTAATGCACTGAAGTCTTCACAATCCCAGGCTAGGATTGATTTGGGGAAAGTGAAGAAGAATGATTTTTTTCATTTTATATTTTGTTTTATTTTTATTTTTTAAGACAGAGTCTCTCTCTGTCGCCCAGGCTGAAGTGCAATGGTGTGATCTTGACTCACTGCAACCTTTGCCTCCCGGGTTCAAGCAATTCTCATGCCTCAGCCTCCCTGAGTAGCTGGGATTACAGGCATGCACCAGCACGCCTGGCTGATTTTTTTTTTTTTTTTTTTTTTTTTAGTACAGACAGGGTTACACCATGTTGGCCAGGCTGGTTTTGAACTCCTGGCCTCAAGTGATCCACTGGCCTCAGCCTCCCAAAGCGTTGGGGTTACAGGAGTGAGCCACAGCACCCGGTCGATTTTATATTTTGTTTTGTAGAGGCTCCCCACAAAAAAACAGCTTCCTGTGCCCCACCCTATTACCTTGTTTTTAGAGAAACTGCTGTTTTCACCTTTTCCTTTGCAGATTTTCCTCTGGGTAAGACTCAGATGTACAATCTTAGGACTGGGCTGCTGACAAAAATCAGGTGATCCAGAGTCTCACCTCCCTTCTGAACACTAAAGCTCTGGAATTGAGCCAAGCTTAGCTTCCCTGGCATCCTCTTACCTTAGGATGGGTCTTCTGAGACCCCACAGGCCCCCAGCTGTTTTCCAGGCATCAACATACATCACTGAGCCCTGGCTCAGAGTCAAGCTGGGGCCCCCTCCATCTACACCCCAATGGCCAGAGAGTCATGGAAAAGTGACTGCAGGAGGGACCTACCACCTGCCCTCAGAGAGGCCCCTAGCTCGGACAGCTGATGGCCCCTGCTGAGTGGCCCCTGCTGAGTGGGGGGCTGGGCAGAGGAGCACCCCAGGCCATCCTTGTGTTTCTATTTGAAACACCCAGGGCCTGCGGGCCAGAGGACAGGGGGCTGATATATCTTGCTAAGGAGGAAGAGCATCTTAGCTGTGGATCACTGCATGGTGAGGACAGGTCCAGGGGAAGTCATAATGGGGGTCCCCAGGCCATTAAGGAAAAGCACAAGGTCACCTGCCCAGGTATCAACAGGGAGCAAACTGGGCACTAAATGTGCCCCTGGGCTTGCTTTGAACTTTGCCTCACTTCTCACTGCCAATTCTGTAGCCATCTGGGCTGCGGACTCCCACTTGGACAGAACAGTGTGAGGAATGCAGTCTGCTTGTAGTCAATCTGGCCAATACAATGTTTCCTGTCTCCTTATTACCTATTTGGTTGGGGTTGAGGGGTTCAATCTCTAAATGAGCTTTTCCTATAAAAAGCCTCCATGTGTGCTTAGTATGGAGACTCGGAAGCCCAGGGAATTTTTATATTTATTACAGAGAGAGGCAGGCATCCATTCTGTGTGTTTCCATTAACACAGACTGGCAATTAATGTGTTTGGTTCAAAAGACTTCAAACATTTGTACGTCCATTTGCACGTTTAAATGGCTCTGTATAACAGTCAAGCAGGTGGTTAACTATATGTATATTAAATTCATAGAGAAACTGGTAATTTTCAATTATAATTGTCAGTTCACAGTTTACATGATAAGAATTTTTTGAATAGACCCATTAGCTGATTTTAGTTAGCCAGGGTTTTTATAAATCATGGTTTATTTGCTTATTCTACTTATAAAAGAGAAATTTTCAGTATTCTCACATGAATCAATAAATATTTACTTTGGTCTTTATTCTGCTCAAATGCCAAGTTTGACAATGGATGAAATATCATTGGGCTTCCTTAAACAGCTGTTTGAATGCGGCTGTTTTATTAGTTGTTTTGTTTAGTATTATTACCCGGATAATGGTTTAAAAGTTTTATTCATTTGCTATTAATTTGTTTTTTTTATAAATAAAGTCAAAATAGGACTGAATTGCAGTTCCTTATAATTTTACAATGTATTGTACTTTCCTGGTAATATGTTTTGACAATAGAAACTTCCAAGCCAATGAAAAGCTGTCCCATTTTTCTAAATTATATCCTCTAAAGCAAAACTCCTAAATATATAGCACTAACTTGTGCATAATAAAATTTGATGATTTTGTTACTGTGGATAATATTTCTCTTTCCTAGGCAACAGAAATAATTTAAATGCCTCTCATTTGGCTTGGCTTTTACAGCACAAAAGGCAGTGTGAGACACCAGATCTCTGGAGGAGAATGCTGAACTGGTATTGAGAAGAGGAATAGCATTTTGAGAAATACCTTCAACATTCTACACCTTGTAACTCCCTCGGGTCTGTTCCTGGATTTCTGCTTTTCAAAAATGATCAAGCAGGGCCAGGCATGGTGGCTCACGCCTGTAATTCCAGCACTTTGAGAGACTGAGGCAGGTGGATCACTTGAGGTCATGAGTTCGAGACCAGTCTGGCCAACATGATGAAACCCCGTCTCTACTAAAAATACAATAGAAATTAGCTAGGCGTGGTGACAGGTGGCTGCAATCCCAGCTACTTGGGAGGCTGAGACATGAGAATCACTTGAACCTGGGAGGCAGAGGTTGCAGTGAGCCGAGATCACACCGCTGCACTCCAGCCTGGGTGACAGACTGAGACACCATCTAAAAAAAAAAAAAAAAATGTCAGGAACTTGCTGTCACCAAGGCATGTAAAGAGAGCTAGTGGAAGATTTTCAGGTAGTTTCCAAAAGCTCAGAACTCTGCCTGATCTCCGTGGAAGCCACCATATCTGTAACTGGGAGCTGTACCATCCTTGACACCCTTCCTCTTCAGTCCTCTCTGTCTTAGCCATCTGGGCATGGACTCCTTAAACGATGTAAGAAACAGAAGCCATTTGCTTTAGTCTCTCAAACCATTTCCTGTGGGTCCAGCCAGATATTTTCACACCGAAGGAAAGGCCTAAGTGACTGAACATGGCTGGCCCCCACTACCACAACTGATGCCTTTAAGACTGTCACTCAGAGGCAAGACCTGGAGAAGAATCTCTCTGTGTTACTCAGCTACAGATGAACAGATAATGAAAGACAACGTTAGAAAGAAGTATTTTATCTCAGATCTTAGGAAAATATTAGAAACCACTTAACGCCCCATCTATAAGCTACTACACATTTTGAAGAAACATAAACTTAATAATCTCATTTAAAGGTAATCATATCATGATTCTCTCCTGTTAGTGTTTCAATAAAACGCGCATGGTGAGTGTCAGAAAGCTCTCACTCTGACTTAGCCTTGATTGCCTACTCTACATATGAAGATTTAACTGATTAAAAAGGGTTCTCTCTTCATTGGAGTCTATTGATGTTATCAAATGGGACATTGCAGGAAAAACTGCAGTGTTAGTCTCAAAATAAATGTTTACAGGCAACTGAAGAACATTTCCTGGAAAGAGAGATAGGGATTTGTTATTTAACAGAGAAAAGCAGATCAAATTGGAGAATTTAAGAGGCAACAGCAAACAGAATGAGAGACTTGGCTGTAACTCTTGTCCACCCATATTATGCAACCTCAGGCATGTCATTTAACTTCTCTAAGCCTTGGTTTCCTTGTTTGAAAAATGGAAATAACGATACAATCTCTGGCTGGGCATGGTGGCTCAACCCTGTAATCCCAGCACTTTCAGAGGCTAAGGCAGATGAATCACTTGAGGTCAAGAGTTCAAGACCAGTCTGCCCAATATGGTGAAACCCTGTCTCTACTAAAACTACAAAAATTAGCCAAGAGTGGTGGTGCATGCCCAGCTACTCAAGAAGCTGAGGCAGAAGAATTACTTGAACCCGGGAGGCGGAGGTTGCAGTGAGCTGAGATTGCACCACTGCACTCCAGCCTGGGTGACAGAGCGAGACTCTGTCTCGGAAAAAAAAAAAAAAAAAAAGTACAGGCTCGATGGTTGTTTAGAGAAATAATGGAGTAACATCTGCAAAGCCTAGATCCCCTAAACCATGATGCCATAATGCGTGTTCGGTAAATGTTAGAGGAAACCTGGAAACGTTACATCACTCAACACTTCAACAATGAGATGAGTTAAATTTCATCTCAGAGAGATTTAACATCTACATCCCTTCTCTGTCCATCCCTGATCTTCCCCACTACTAAACAATTCCCAAAACTAACCTTCTCTTCTTCCCCCACAGCAGTTCGGAAGGTCCTGTATGTCTACTCCATAGGACCCTAGTGGTAAACTTCTACCAAGCAGCCACGTCAGTACTGTTCAGGAGAGAAGGTAGGGGAGAAAACGCTGGGGAAAGCTGTTTTTCTGTATTTCTATAAAAGGCTTCAGTATCCATCATTGAAGGTCAAGGCATTGACAGCAGGTGATATGCTATTCGTGCATGGAGGAAAAGAAAAAATGGCACAATGGTCACCCTACAGAAAGAAGTATTTCTGAAGGCAAAATTTGAGCCTTTTAAATGGCATTTTCATAATTACATCACTTTAAATATGATTCTGTACAGGTCAGCAAAGGCCCTACACCCCATTCTTCTTGAGCTGATTGCTAGAAAGTTCTGGGAATAAGCATCTGGGCATAAGTCAATTCTTTGCATTTTTGAGTCATGGAAAAT
The DNA here is from genome assembly GCF_000001405.40 of Homo sapiens. NCBI lineage: Eukaryota > Metazoa > Chordata > Mammalia > Primates > Hominidae > Homo > Homo sapiens. The sequence goes on from NC_000015.10 coordinate 97,985,368, forward strand.
TTACATTTCTTTTAATTTTTAAAACTATGAAGTTATTACTAATTTCAAAAATATGAATGAAATAAAAACATTCATATTTACCACCTAGTTTTTCATCATCCATATTTTGCTTAATCTAATTTAGATGTTTCTAAATATAAAAGTAAAACCTTGGCCGGGTGCAGTAGCTCACACCTGTAACTCCAGCACTTTGGGAGGCCAAGGCAGGTGGATCACTTCAGGTCAGAAGTTTGAGAACAGCCTGGTCAACATGGTGAAACCTCACCTCTACTAAAAATACAAAAATTAGCCATGTGTGGTGGCAGGCACCTGTAATCCCAGCTACTCAGGAGGCTGAGGCAGGAGAATCACTTGAATCTGGGAGGCAGAGGTTGCAGTGAGCCGAGATCACACCACTGCACTCCAGGCTGAGAGTGAGACTTCGTCTCAAAAAGAAAAAAAAAAGGAAAAAAGAAAACCTTTAGATAAAGCCAAAGATCTGGTTGTAGCTCTCTTGATTCCTTCCTCTCACATTCCTTCCCAGGGGAGACCATGGTACCCATGTCTCCCTCTTGTCTACATTTTTACAATCTTACTATGTCTCCCCCTCCAGAAACAACATAGGGTACTGATATGGTTTGCTGTGTCCCCACCCAAATCTCAATTTGAATTGTATCTCCCAGAATTCCCACATGTTGTAGGAGGGACCCAGGAGGAGATAATTGAATCATGGGGGCCAGTTTTTCCCATGTTGTTCTCATGATAGTGAAAAAGTATCATGAGATCTGATGGGTTTATCAGGGGTTTCCACTTTTGCTTCTTCCTCATTTTTCTCTTGCCACTGCCAAGTAAGAAGTGCCTTTTTATCTCCTGCCATGATTTTGAGGCCTTCCCGGCAATGTGGAACTGTAAGTCCAATTAAACCTCTTTTTCTTCCCAGTCTTGGGTATGTCTTTATCAGCAGCACAAAACCAGACTGAAACAATAAATTGGTACCAGGAGAATGGGGCGTTGCTGCAAAGATACCTGAAAACGTGGAAGCGACTTAGGAACGGAGTAATAGGCAGAGGTGGGAACAGTTTGGAGGGCTCAGGAGAAGATACAAAAAGTGTGGAACTTCCTAGAGACTTGTTGAAGGGCTTTGCGCAAAATGGTGATAGTGATATGGACAATAAGGTCCAGGCTGAGGAGGACTCAGATGGAGATGAGAAACTTGTTGGGAACTGGAGTAAAGGTGACTCTTGTTATGTTTTAACAAAGAGACTGGCAGCATTTTTTCCCTGACCTAAAGATTTGTGGAACTTTGAACTTGAGAAAGATATTTAGGATATCTGGTGGAAGAAATTTCTAAGCAGCAAAGCATTCAAGAGGTGACTTGCATACTGTTAAAGGCATTTAGTTTTATAAGGGAAGAAGAGTATGTAAGTTTGGAAAATTTGCAGCCTGACTATGCGATAGAAAAGAAAAACCCATTTTCTGGGGAGAAATTCAAGCCAGCTACAGAAATTTGAATAAGGAGAAAGGAGCCTAATATTAATCCCCAAGACCATGGAGAAAATGTCTCCAGGCCATGTCAGTGGTCTTCACAGCAGCCCCTCCCATCACAGGCCTGGAGGCCCAGGAGGAAAAAATGCTTTTCTAGGCCGAGCCCAGGATCCCTGCAGCATTTGCAGCCTAGGGACTTCATGCCCTCTGTCCCAGCCCCTCCAGCTGTGGCTGAAAGGGGCCAACATACAGCTCTGGCTATGGCTTCAGAGGGCAGAAGCCCCAAGCCTTGGCAGTTTTCATGTGGTGTTGGGCATGTGGGTGCACAGAAGTCAAGAACTGAGGTTGGGGAACCTCTGCGTAGATTTCAGAAGATGTATGGAAACATCTCGATGCCCAGGCAAAAGTTTGCTGCAGGGGTGGGGTCCTCATGGAGAACATCTGCTAGGCCACTGCAGAAGGGAAATGTGGGGTCAAAGCCCCCAAACAGAGTCCCTACTGGGGTACTACCTGTGAGAACAGGGCCACAATCCTCTAGACCCCAGAATGGTAGATCCACTGACAGCTTGCACCATGCACCTGGAAAAGCTGCAGACACTCAACGCCAGCCCATGAAAGCAGCCAGGAGAGAGGCTATACCCTGTAAAGCCACAGGGATGGAGCTGGCCATGACCTGGGAACCCACCTCTTTCATCAGCGTGACCTGGATGTGAGACCTTGAATCAAAGGATATCAATTTGGAGCTGTAGAATTTGACTGCCCCACTGGATTTCAGACTTGCATGGGCCCTGTAACCCCTTTGTTCTGGCCAATTTCTCCCATTTGGAATGGCTGTATTTATCTAATACCTGTACCCCCATTGGATCTAGGAAGTAACTAGCTTGCTTTTGATTTTACAAGCTCATAGGTGGAAGGGACTTGCCTTGTCTCAGAGGAGAGTTTGGATTGTGGACTTTCGGGTTAATGCTGAAATGAGTTAAGACTTTGAGGGACTGTTGGGAAGGCATGACTGGTTTTGAAATCATGAGGACATGAGATTTGGAGGGGCCAGGGGCAGAATGATATGGTTTGGCTGTGTCCCCACCCAAATCTCACTTTGAATTGTATCTCCCAGAATTCCCATGTGTTGCAGGAGGGACCAGGGGAGGTAACTGAATCATGGGGGCCGATCTTTCCCATGCTTCTCTCATGATAGTGAATAAGTCTCATGAGACCTGATGAGTTTATCAGGGTTTTCCACTTTTGCTTCTTCATTTTTCTCTTGCTGCTGCCATGTTAAGAAGTGCCTTTTGTCTCCTGCCATGATTCTGAGGCCTCCCCAGCCATGTGGAACTGTAAGTCCAATTAAACCTATTTTTCTTCCCAGTCTCTGGTATGTCTTTATCAGCAGGGTGAAAGCAGACTAATACAGGTACGGTCATGTGTGTGTGTGTGTATGTGTGTGTATGGGTTGATGCCATATAGAAATACCATCATACTGTTCTATACTTCTGCAAGTAACCTTTATCATTTTCTGTTGTTTTCTGAATTTATTCCTGTTGGTACAGGTAGATCAGATTCATTATTCTCATGCATTTTTGTATTTACTTGTAGGAATCTACTATGATCAATTTGAAACCTGAATTTTTGAATGCTCATTTCTTACATCCTTACCACTACTAAGTACTTCCAAAGTGTTCAATTTATGAAATGTTCTCTTATTATTTTAGTTTTCATTTCTATAATTACTAGTAAGGTGGAACAACATTTCATATATTTATTGGCCATTTGGGTTTTATTTTCTATGAAATCTCCTGTTCCTGCCCTCTGCCCCTTTTTATAATTAGTTTTTTTCTTATTGAGTCATATGATTTTTATATATTTTATATCCTAATACTCTTGTCAGTTATATGAGCTCAAATATCTTACTGGAGAAAGACTTTCAAAAGGTTTTATTTCAGAAAGATTGATCAGCTGGCATGCCCCCTTTAGCTCCTTATGTATAGGAATATTTACCACTAGCAAAATCATTTATTAATACATTGTATATTCATTCACTAATTCATTTCATAAGAATTTTTTTACTACTACATACCAAATAGGCAATCAACTGTGCCAGGCTTTGTGACAAAATAAAGATAAATAAGATGTTTACTTTCCATATACTAACAACATAGATATCTAAAATACATGATAAAACGTAATATGGGCCATAACAGAGAGTCCAACTGAGGGGGCACATGCTTTTGGACATTTCATGATAAAAATGGCATGAAACCCCAACTTTGAAAGTTGAGTAGAAGTTGGACTGCACGAATAGGGTTCATGACATGCGCCTGAAGGAGATTTCATGAGCAAATATCAATCCATTTTCAAAGCAAACAAGTTACATAATTTATCTCCTTTTAGCCTTAAGACAATTCAGCAAAGTGGTTATCATCGTCTTTTCATACATCAGAGGGCTTAGGAAACTTGGCAGAGTTTTCAAAACCAGTTAATGATGGGATTTCAGGTAAAACCCATCTTTCACTGACTTCACAGCTTTGCTCTTAACATCATGCTACACTACCTCCCGAGGCCTCGAGGGTTTGAATGAGAGGAAGAAGCAGATCATAGCAACAGGCTGTTTGTGGAGCCAAGTCACTTGCTGCCTGGGCATGCAGGAAGCTAAAATAGGAACAAGGGAGGCAGCTCAGATGGCAAGGGGCTCAAGGCCAGCTCAAAGAGTGTAGACTGTACCTGGTGGTGTACAGGGAGCTGTTCATTAGACCTCTGGAGAACAAAGGCAAACTATGTGTCAGATTAGTCATGCCAGAGTGAGGGTTTTAGCAGTATGACCTTGTAAGGAGGTAAGCCAAAAAACTAGCACAACTGTGTGTTGTTGTTGTTGTTGTTTTGCTTTAGAAGATGGAAGATGAGACAGTCAGCAGAACTCTGCAACTTCTCAATAAATATATGTTGAATGAGTATGTAAATAACGGGCAGAAAGAATAAAAATATATATACAGCATGGTAAGCAGCCCTACGAAAGTTACTTTACCAAAAGGGAAAGCAGATAGGTCACTATTGTTTTCTTTTAAACCTCTTTTCTTTCTCATGACTGTTTACCTTTGCATTGTGGAATCAAGTAAAAAGGCCATAACCTTCCTTTTCTATTCTTACACATTTGAGCTTCTTCCTGGCTGTTCTCAGTGCATTGAACAGTGTCACCCTTTACCTCCAGCAGGGACTTCCAAGCTGACACAGAAGGGACCTAACAGATTATTGAAACTGATTTACTCGTGTTGTGGAGGAGGAAAACAAGGCCTTAGAATTCAGACATTTGCCCAAGGTCACTGTGCACATTCCTCCTATCTGGCCATTTCCTACTGCTCGTATTAGAGTTTACCTTTAGTTCTTTAGAACTGAGATATACAGAACGTGCATATATTGAGAAAAACAGGCAAACATGCTTCAGTTTCTCACAGATCTTGAGCATTGACTCTTCCTAAAAGAAATAGAATACGAAATTGAGAAGTGATGGTTGTGCTACCTGAGGTAGAAAATTGGACTAATTAAGTCAAGGAGACACACAATAATCCTATTCAACACTTAGGAGGTAATAAAACCCTTGGAGTCCATTGTTTCAACTGGGTGACCTACCCAAAGACAGCCCACCCATTTACAGATGAAGCCCACAGATAATGAATGTCCCACAGATAGTGAATGTGGAGCCAAAGTTTACACCCAATTCTTGTGATTCCAATTAAGGTCTTCCCAACGTTCTTCAGGTGAGAAGAACTAGACAGACAGGGAGGAGAAAGGAACATGTGTCAGTCACCATCAATGAATACAACGTTCATTCATTCATTTATTTATTCATTCTATTTGTTGTATTTAGAGCTTACTCTGTGCTAGATACCACACCAAACATGTAGAGGTGTCTAACCTCAAGAAGCATGTAGAGGTGCCTAATCTCACGAATGCTTTGACGCATTTTCTACAGTCTTTTTATATAAACAACGGATAAGACTCTTGACCATCTCTTCTATCTTCCAAGTTAAAATGAGACTAAATTGTCCTCTTGAAAATTCATCCTCGTATCTCAAGAACACCAAAATACATTTCATAAGGCCTATTTAATGTTTGGGATGTGTCAGCACCCAGGGCTGTTTCTCAACCATCTATGCACAGCGTTTCTTATTACTCCATTAGGGCCACTACCTCCCAGTCAAATCATCCATATAGCCAATCATCTAGCAACGTTGAGGGTCTGTTAGGAAAACATGCAAATATACATGAAGAAGTAAAACATAATACTTTTTAAAACTGTTATCACCCCAGTAGGCATTCTAGCTATTCCTCCAACATACTTGATCATAAGAATTCTCCAGGATATGTGTTAAAAGTAGAGATTCTGGCTGGGCTCAGTGGCTCACACCTGTAATCCCAACACTTTGGGAGGCCAAGGCAGGCGGATCACCTGAGGTCAGGAGTTCGAGACCAGCCTGGCCAACATGGTGAAACCACATCTCTACTAAAAATACAAAAATTAGCCGGGTGTGGTGGCAGGCACCTGTAATCCCAGCTACTTGGGAGGCTGAGGCAGGGGAATCACTCGAACCCAGGAGGCAGAGGTTGCAGTGAGCCGAAATCGTGCCATCACACTCCAGCCTGGGTGAACAAGAGCGAGACTTCGTCTCAAAAAAAAAAAAAAAAAAAAAAAGTAGAGATTCCTGGACACTGCAGGAATCTTCTTTTATTTCAGTCTGTCACCCAGGATAGCATGCACTGGTTCAGTCTTGGCTCACTGCAAGCTCTGCCTCACCACTTCAAGCGATTCTTGTGCCTCAGCCTTCCAAGTAGCTAGAATGACAGGTGTGCACCACCACACCCGGCTAATTTTTGTATTTTAGTAGAGATGGGGTTTCACCATGTTGGCCAGGCTGGTCTCAAACCCCTGACCTCAAGTGATCTGCCCGCCTTGACCTCCCAAACTGCTGGGATTAAAGGCATGAGCCACCGTGCCCAGCCAGCGTGTGAATTTTCTGATTCAGACCTGCCAAGGGAGGAAGTCTCTGGCAAGTCCAGAAATGCTTGGAAAATCTGCCTTAGAGCATGTTGACCATTATAGAAATCAGAAAGGAGAACTCCAGATATTCAACTCAGGATCCTCAATTTTGAGGAATATTTGGAAGCAGGAAACACCAGAAAGTGTTTGAAGTTTATAGGTCAGGTGGATGATGGGCCTGGACAGGTCGTCAAGGCAAGACAGGGTGAGAGATGTGGAGAGGGTCTTGTGACTGAGGCAGGGAACGGGAAGGGCAAAGGAGAACTCAATGAGGTTGTGGATGTCCTCATTGATTCACTGAATGTTCTCACGGATTCAGGAAGCTGGGAGGCTGGGCAAGAGGTCAATAGCTCTGGAGCAAGCAGTTCAGTTGACCCACAGCCACTTTCCTCATATACATATTTACTGACCTAATGAAAAGTCAGATAGCCCAAGCCCACCTGACCTTGAGCTGCTCATAAACAGAAGGGCTGGCTTCATGCCCACTGTTGGCACCACCAGGAACAAAGTCAGCCCTTGGTAATACAGGGAAGGCCATTCAGAGCTTGTCAGGAACCCTAATCTCCTTTGTGGCCCTCTCACAAGCCTGTTCCTTTTGTGGCAACTGTGAGGAAAACTGGTTGGAAGGTGTTTACAAAGGCTCTTGTCAATAATTCCAAGGCTCCCTTGCCTGCTTCTTGCACCTATAAAGATATCAGAAATCCTCATTGTCTTAGCCCTGAAACAGCCTTTTTGGTTTTTAAAGGAACCCTCAATGCTTTGGTTTGATATTATCCAATAGTCACAGCTGACCTAGGAATTCTGGAGCTTTGCAACCTTGAGAAATCTATAAAAATGGAGTACATCTCATTTTAAGAACAAAAGCAGGGGATAATTAAAAAAAAAAAAAAGCACGTGCATGCCTGTAAGACTGCAAAGTAAGATCTCAGAATACGAAAGAAGGAAGTAAATCTCTTCATGGATTTCCAAAATATTCCCAATGTATTTATATCCCTTCACCTTAAATCATCTGAAAATTACTTTCACATTAAGAATCTCCCTTAAAAATGAGTTAGAACTGATTATTCCCAATTTAAGAAGATGAAACTGCAGTTCCGAGTGGTTATGTAACCAGAGTGGGAGATAGGGTGATTTAAGCTCAAAGAAAGAGGTACTCCATGTGACATAACTTGCAGAATTTCCCAGAAATACTGAGAGTGTTCTGATAACTGCTGTCTCCAACTTGATCATAAAAGTAAGCAACTTCTCTTATGTATCTTTGCCTGCCTAACAGTGAGCTCAGAAAATGGTGACTGAATGAATGATTTTAATGATTGTATCCTTAGTCAATCTGTGAAAGTCATTCCTTTGTTTTGAGGCTTTTGGTCAATCCTCCCAGACAATCTCTTCTCAGGGCTTCACTCTCACCAAATCATTTGCTACCGGAGAGGAATCCAATGAGCCCTCTTCTCTCTTTCCCACATGTGACTCAATCCAGCAATATCTAATCTTTCAAAATACCTCACATTGCATCTCAGAGGCATGTCCTTTGAGATATGAATAGTCAACTAAGTCAGGCCACCAGAATGTTGTAGTACCATGGCATTGACAAGCAGGCAATTAGATGAGTCACTGGGCCATTATTGGGTGACATCCGAGCTCCTTTGCCCTATCATCGGGTCCCAGATGGGTGGTAGTTATGCATAACTGAAAGTCAGCTGCAAGATAACTTCTTGGCTTGCCTGTAAGAAATCCCTTCCTGTTGGATGGGTCCATGAAGCTGCTTCTGTATGTGAAAGCTGGCGAAGGAGAGAGATATGATCTCAGTTCCTTCCTCCAGGGGCTGGAGGACACCATTCAGAGAATCAGGCAAACTGCTCCTGAAAGAGCTTCCCTTATGTGGGACTCTGCAGCTGCAGTCCAACCCCTGGGCTTATTTCTGTCAGTTTCCAGCTTTGTCACTTTTAGTGAGTCATAACAATTTACTACACCTCAGTTTCCACATGTACTTAAGAAAAAAAAAAAGAGGGACTATAATGCCACTTTTATCATTGGGTTGCCATGAAATTTAAAGGAAAGAGTTTGTGTGGAAAGGCTGATAACCTAGTGCTTGACACATTATATGCTTTTGACAAATGTCACTTATTTATTATGGAATTTTTCAAATTTAATGGATTGTCTGGTAAAGATGTGCCACTTAGGCCGGGTGCAGTGGCTCACACCTATAATCCCAGCACTTTGGAAGGCCAAGGCTGGCAGATCACTAGAGGCCAGGAGTTCAAAAGCAGCCTGGCCAACAGGGCAAAACCCCGTCTCTCCTAAAAATACAAAACTTATCTGGGTGTGGTGGTGCACACCTGTAATCCCAGCTACTTGGGAAGCTGAGGCAGGAGAATTGCTTGAACCCGGGAGGCAGAGGTTGCAGTGAGCTGAGATTGCACCACTGCACTCCAGCCTGAGCAACAGAGCAAGACTCTGTCTCAGAAAAAAAAAAAAAAATCTGCTATGTACCACTTAGACAACATTACGTAGTATATATGAGACATTTTTGCTCTTTCCAGGCTCATAGAACATGAACTGTAGGAGTAACCTCAGAGAACCCCCACAGAGCACTTCTTCCCTAAGAGGAAGCAGAGGTCCAGAGGGGTGGCAGTGTCCAAGTCACATCAGTGACACACCAGGATTAGCATTTGGCTCTCCTCATACCTCATCCCCATTTGTTCTACTGCACCATCTTCTGCGCTAATGGTTCACACTATTTAGTTTCTAAGTAAATACCTCTTTGGAACCTAAAAACTTTGTTGCTAGCAATGAGAACTGTCAAAGAATAATTTCTTACATGCTCTTACTCTTACAAATCTAAGAACTAAACTCTTTAAGAGTTTTAGCATAGATTTCTGATAGGCAAATCATAAAAAATCATAAAGTGGGGGGGGGGGCATTCCAGGATTGTTTGAGGATAGAGAATGCACACATATCTTAACTTTCCATTGAGACATATTGTTTAATCATATTTTAATCCAATATTTCAAACCAAGGAGATTTATGACTTGATGACATTGTTGGGGGTGTGAGGGGGGTGGTGATTACTCTGTAAAAATGCTTCACTGAGACAGGTGTGAGCATTAGAAACTCAAGATGTCACGCTGCCTTCTCTCATACTGCAGCATGACCTGAAGTGCAACTGTCCTTCAGAGAGGAACCTCAGCTGGAGACCTCAGGGCTTGCAGGTCCTCTGCCCTTGGATGGAGATAGTGCCTCCATGGGGATAAGGATTATGCCTGGCTTTTCTACTACTGCATTTCCACAGCCTAAAGCAGTGTTTTCCGATAGTGAGTGGTCAAAAGTAATTGCTGCTGTTGTTGCTGAGAGACAAGTTTTAGAATAGAAGACAATTATTAAACGTTTGGTCTCATCATAGAACTCAATAGGTCAACAAGAACAAAAACAGCAACAGCAAAACAAACAGAAGAAAACTTGGCTCACCAACTCTGGACTGTGTCCTCCATTCTCCAGGCTGCTGAGTTTGTCCTCCTGCCTTGGCAGATCCAGGTAGCATAATTGTTTGGGTGTGTCACTCCAGCCTGTTTCTCGGTGTCACGCTATCTTCTAGGAATTCACACAATGAACAGGTTTTGGAAGAACACCAGCTTGTTCTCAGACTTCCTTTTCTCTTGTTGTTTTTCAGAATTCAGGTCAGTTTCTATCTCCACATCTTCCTATCACCTGTTACTGGATTTCAGCTTTGGTTTTCTCCATAGGACACAGCACAGACATTGTCATTGGGTCACCATCTGATTTAAATCACTTCTTGTCTCGTTGTGAAAGGTGATCAGTTTGCCTTACACAACAGAAGGGATTGCTGTGGAGTCAAGAAACCTGAGCACATGTCCCTTTGGGAAAGGGGTTAAGTCTTCAAAAAGGAAAACGAGGGAAGAGAACTCAATGGCAGGCAGTAGCACATTGTTTACATGAGACATGGATTCCACTTGTTAAAAAATCTGTCTGTTGGTGTCACAGCGATTTTGTCTTTATGTTCACGGAGAGAACTGATCTTGTGGTCAAGATGACTGGGAAAAAAGCCTCTCAGCTTCAGTCTTCAGGTGGGATGGGGAACAAGGTGTGGAAGAAATTAATGGGAATTTCTAGATACTTAAAAGGTGGCCTTGTTCTCAAGCTTCCTGATAATGGTGTTTTGGTTTCATTATCTCCCAGCTCACTGCTTCCAGCTCACCCTTTCTGACCGCAGCCTGAATGTGTTGGAACAAAGTTATTCTCATGGCTTCTGGAGCCAAGTTCCTCATTCAAAAATATGTATTACGTGTCTTGTGTCTGCCAGGTACTGTTCTAGTTGCTGCAGGGACCAAAAAACCATGGAGCTTTCAGCCTCTTGGGGAAAAGACAGACAATAAAGAGATGCACAAACAAACAAATATTGCAAGTAGTGCCTGACACGATGAAGAACATACACAAGGAAAGGGGAAGGGAGTGGCAGGTTAAGGGTGGTCTCCCTTGAAGAGGACCAGGGAAGGCCTTGTCAAAGGACAGCATGTGAGCTGAGATATGGATGATGTCAAGAAGCCGGCCACCAGAGGGCCAGAGAGACAGTCTTCCCGGCAAAAAGCAGGTGCAAAGATTCAAGATGCAAAAGAGCTTGACAGGGTGCACTGGACAACAGGAAATGAGGAGGAGAGGCAAGGGGATGAGCCTGAAGAGAAGCAAGGAGCCCATTCATCAGCCAGCTGGGCCCTGCACAGAAGGAGGGCCTGATGTTCCTTTAACTCAGACCCGTCCCTGAAAATTCTATCTGAGAAGACGGCCCCTCACATGTAAGCATGTCATAAAAGATGACTGGCTGGTGAGGTCTTAATGAGAAAGAGAGAGACAGAGAGAGAAAATAAAGTCTAGAAATTTCTTAGTGTTGTTTTGTTGTTTATAGAAATTAAAAATTGTTTGTGGCTGGGTGTGGTGGCTGACTCCTGTAATCCCAACACTTTGGGAGGCTGAGGCGGGTGGATCACCTGAGCTCCGGAGTTCGAGACCAGCTTGGCCAACATGGTGAAACCCCATCTCTACTAAAAATACAGAAGTTAACTGGGCATGATGGCATGCACCTGTAGTCCCAGCTACTCGGGAGGCTGAGACAGCGAATTGCTTTGATACTTGGCTTGGTGGACTTGTTACTTTGCAAATAATTAAATAACTTTCATTGTTTATATAACATGCAGAAAATAAAGAAAGATGGAAAAATCAACAACCCTACACTCAGAGATAAATTGCCATATTCATATTTTGTTTGTTTGTTTAAACATCATTGAGATCCCCATGTGATCTCAGTCATGTAACCTGCCTCTTTCAATCACTATGCTGGAATCTGGAAGGTTCTTCATCAACACGATCTTTATGGCAATATAACAGTTCAGGCTATGAATGGAGAATAACGAATTTCACTAGCTCCCTTGGGGTGGACATTCCAATTATATCCAGTTTTCTTATCATAGACCATTTGCTTTTTTAACTTCATATTACGAGCCTGGGGAAAGATATGAAAGAGTAGATATGTATGTAGATGTGAGATCATGTATTTAAGATTCCAGGATGAGCTCCACCATCCCCCACCAAGCAACAGGCATCTCTTGGTCCGGGCTGCCACTCCGCAAGAGCTGCCTTCATGAAAGGCCATCCCTGAGATGAAGCCAAGGACCACTGACCTGACCGATAATGGAATTCCCAGACTTCTAATGGGATAGGGAGAGTGAGTAGGAAAAGGGAATCCAGAGTGAGGTTGCCGACTCCACGTCTGCACAGGTGGCCTGTGTGTCCTGATTGAGCATTTCTTTCTCCAAGACTGGAGTATGCAGATAGCCCACCTCTCCTCTGCACTGTGGCTCGACATCTGGGACCTGCAGTGTTGCCCACCACTCTCTTATTTGATATCAAAATGCACTCAAGCTTGGTTCTATAAACGTGGAGTTTCACAAGAGCTAAAAGTAAAAAAAATCAATCTGTAGAATGGCTGCTGTCAAGGTTGGGCAGAAGGTTGATTTAGTCTAACAGCACACTCTCTTCCCTCCCACCTCTGTCTGGCCCTCTCTCCATGCCAGAGAAAGAAAGGAGGACTGTAAGATTCTCTGCTCCACTTTCAGCTCCAGACAGGGTGTACTACTATGATGATATTGGTCACACTGTACACCTGCACCTATGTTGTGTATCTATGGCTTGGGGAGTAGAGTTGCTATGTTCCTCTTTACTTCCCTAGTGCTTCCCTAGTACTTCCTTAGCACATTTCTGGGTCCAGAGCACGTTCGCAAAAAATCTTTGCTCATCTTTATTTGCAAAGGGGAAAAGAATTAAAGCTGATTTTCAAAAAATGAACGCCGTGTAAATAAAGTGAGTGCTATGGCCTTTAGAGGTTACACAATTCCTGCAGGCCCATTGACATTGTTCACAAACAATTTTTCCAAACCATCTCTTGGAATTATCTTCAGAGGCAGACTCTAAACAAAACATGAAAACAAATGTGATGACTCTCTCAGTGGAACCTCCTTTTTGATGATTGCAGAATAACTCATTTGATCCCTCATTCTTCACCCGATTTGGCTCTGCACAATGACCAGTGCTGTCTAAAAGCTAACGTTTAAGAATTTGTTGGCATATAAGTTATTCTGCTGCAGGGCTTTCCGGGAATTCCCAAAGTGTTTGGAGCACTAGTGGCAGGGCTGGGTTAATGGGAAATTTCCCATCCAATCTGCCAGGAAGGAGTCCAGGTCCATATGCCTGGAACAGGTTGGGAGGCTTGGTGATCATGTCAGTCTCAAAACACACACGATTTGCCTGCAACTTAAAAACCACTTTCTACCATTCCCCAAATAATTCCCCAACTTCCACCTAACATATTCAGTCTATAAAGTATAATAGAATTTAATGGGCAACTGCTCTGTCTTTGTTGAGCTAAACAAGACAGCACAATTACACTCAGTCCCCAGGGCCATACCATGAAAGGTAGAGACACAGACTTATTGCTCTTCATGAAACCCAAGGGAGGTGTCTGGGAAACTCCCTTGGGAAAGAATGACTTTGACAGGAAGTGGCTTCTTGGTATTTTATGGCAGAGAATGCCTCTCTAATTTAAAGCTTCTTTTCTTTTGATAAAAACAAAGCCTTTAACAAAATTGTAGGAGGAATATTTCATGGGCTGTTAAGGACTAAGTTGTGCCCGCCTCCCCATACTTTTATGTGGAAGTCCTAACCCCCAGTGCCTCAGATTGTGACTGTGTTTGGAGGTAAGGTCTTTAAAGTTAAAATGAGGTCTTTTTATGTATTTATTTATTTTATTTATTTATTTATTTATTTTTGAGACAGAGTCTCGCTCTGTTGCCCAGGCTGCAATGCAGTGGTGTGATCTCGGCTCACTGCAACCTCTGCCTCCTGGGTTCAAGCAATTCTCATGCCTCAGCCTCCTGAATAGCTGGGATTACAGGTGTCCACCACCTCTTCTGGCTAATTTTTGTATTTTCAGTAGAGACAGGGTCTCACCATATTGGCCAGGCTGGTCTCAAACTCCTGACCTCAAGTGATCTGCCCGCCTCGGCCTCCCAAAGTGCTGAGATTACATAAAATGAGGTCTTTAGTGGGGGCTCTAATCCCACATAATTGGTGTTCTTATAAGAAGAGGAGATTTGGACACAGACATGCACCAAGGAAAGACATGTAGAAGACCCCCACTTGCAAGCCAAGGAGACAGGCCTCAGGAGAACCCACCCTGCTGACACCTTGATCTCAGCCTTCCAGCCTCCAGAGCTGTGAATAAATAAACTTCTGTTGTTTCAGCCACCCATTCTGTGGTACTTTGTGATGGAAGCCCTAGAAAACTAATATACCACTTCTTCTAAATGGCATGTTTGGGTGATAAAAAATTCAGAAGTTCTTTTTTCCTCAATGGAAGCTAAAATAGAAGACAGCCAGCCAGGCTGGGGGTGTTGGCTCATGCCGTAATCCCAGCACTTTGGGAGGCCGAGGTGGGCAGATCACGATGTCAGGAGATCAAGACCATCCTGGCCAACATGGTGAAACTCTGTCTCTACTAAAATACAAAAAATTAGCCAGGCGTGGTAGCAGGTGCCTGTAGTCCCAGCTACTCAGGAGGCTGAGGCAGGGGAATCGCTTGAACCCGGGTGGCGGAGGTTGCAGTGGGCCGAGATTGCACCACTGCACTCCATCCAGCCTGGAGACAGAGTAAGACTCCGTCTCACAAAAAAAAAAAAAAAAAAAAAAAAAGCCATAAGCATTTTCCAGGTTGACTCCAATTTGCCCCCTAGTTTTGAAGGAAACATTCTGTTTTGAAGTGACCATGGTCAACAGACAAACCTGGCACAGAGAGAGGCCGGGAGCTCCCATGTGCTAGCATGGCTGGACCCAACTCCACAGATGCATGTATGCCTGCAGTTGTGGATTTTAAAATCCACATGGGATCCCATCCTTCACCTGAATGTAGGAGGAAGAACACAGCACCTTCCTTTGGCTGTTCCTGGAATACCCAGTAGGAGCATGAGGAAAGTCTTAGAATCAATGATACAAACCAGTCATAGATTGCTTTATTCCAGCCAATTCCCCTATTACAGAGCATGGGAATATTACTTGGACTCTGTTTCTGGAACTCAATAAAGTGGTAAAATCCATTATCTTTATTCAAATACAAAAGAAACCTTGAGATTTTATGACTCCATAACGACTTTTACGACTCCTGGCATTTGAGTCACTTTGGAAATCCGTCTCATGCTCCAGCCTCCCTGACCTGTGGCAGGCTCTACCACATTTCTACAACCAAGCGGCCAGTAAAGATGAAAGCAATTCTTTTGTCTGAGGAGCTGGCCATGGGAGCGTATCAACCACAGACATGACCTCAAGTAGGAGCGGGGTTGCCAAAGAATTACAAATGTGTGTGTGGTGTGTGTGGTATGCGGGTGTGGTGTGGTATGTGTGTGAGAGGGTATGTGAGTGGTATAGGGTGTATGTGATATGTGTGTGCGTTGTGTGTGTGGTATAGTGTGTGTGGCTTGTATGAATAGTATGTGTGTAGAGTGTGGGTGTGTGATTATGTGGGGGACTGAGTGGGTGTGTGGTGTGTGTGAGACTGATGTGTGTGGTGTGTGTCATGTATGGTGTAGGGTGTGTGTAGTGTACATTAGGTGTGTGAGTGGTGTAGGTGATGTGTGTGTGTGGTGGAGGATGGGTGTGGTGTGTGTGGTGTATGTATGTGAGGTGTGGGCGTGTGGTATGTATGTGTGTGTGGTGTATATGGAGTGCGTGTATGTATGGTATGTGGTGTGTGGTGTGTGTGTGCGGTGTATGTGTGTGTGATGTATGTGTGCTGAGTGTGTGGTGTGTATATTGTGCACACATTCACATGTGCATAATATGTGACTCACTTATATGTGAGTCAGGAGGACACAGGCATGGTTTTCTTGCCTATATACACCACATACACCATATACCTATATACCTATACACATGTGGTGTATATAGAAGGGAAGTGTATGTGCTGTGTGTGCTGTGCATACTGTGGGTGGTGTAGTGATATATGCATATGTGGTGTGTGTGGAGTATATTGGGTGTGTGATGTGTATGGTATATATTGGGTGTGTGTGGCATATGCTGTATGTGGTATGTGTGGTGTGTGTAGTGTATATGGGTATTGTGTGTAGCATACATGGTGTATGTGATGTATGTGTATGTGGCATGTGTGGTGTATATTGGGTGTGTGACATGTTATGTATGTGTATGTAGTATGTGTGATATGTGGTGTGTATGGTGTACAATGGGTGTGTGTGATATGTGTTGTGTATGTAACGTGTGTAGGTAACGTGTGTACATGGTGTTTGTATATGTGGTTTGTATGTGGTGTGTGTAGTGTATATTAGGAGTGTGTGTGTCGTGTGGTGCATGTGATGTGTGTGTGCTGTGTGGGGTATGTGGTGTGTGGTATATGTAACATGTGTGGTGTATGTGATATGTGTGGTGTATATTGGGTGTGTGTGGCATGTGTGGTATACGTAATGTGTGTGTATGATGTGGCGTACATTGGGTGTGTGTGTGATGTGTGGTGTACGTAACATGTGTGGTGTATGCAATGTGTGGTATATGTGTAGTGTATGTAATGTGTGTATGTGTGTATATGTGGTGTGTGTGGTGCATATTGGGGTATGCGTGGCATGCAGTACGTGTTACATGTCTGATGTATGAGGTGTGTGTGGTACGTGTGTTATATGCAACATGTGTGGTGTAGGCAATGTGTGATTATGTGTGTGGCATGTGTGGTGTATGCAACGTGTGTGGTGTATGCAATGTGTGTGTATGTGATGTGTGTGGTATATATTTGGTGTGTGTGTGGTGTGTGGTGTATGTAATGTGTGGTGTATATGATGTGTGTGTATGTGGTGTGTGTGGTATACATTGGATGTGTGTGGTGTGTGGTGTATGTAATGTGTAGTGTATGCAATGTGTATGTATGTGGTGGGTTTGGTGTACATTGGGTGTATGTGTGGTGTTTGTGGTGTGTGTGGTGTGTGGTGCATGCAACGTGTGGTGTATGCAATGTCTGTGTATGTGGTGTGTGTGGTATATATAGGATGTGTGCATAGCATGTGTGGTGTATGTTACATGTGTGGTGTATGTGATGTGTGTGTATGTGGTGTGCATGGTGTACATTGGGTATGTGTGTGGTGTGTGGTGTATGTAACATGTGTGGTGTATGTGATGTGTGTGTATGGTATGTGGTATATATTGGGTGTGTGTGTGGTGTGTGGTGTATGTAACGTGTGGTGTATGCAATGTGTGTTTATATAGTGTGTGTGGTGTACATTGGGTGTGCATGTGGTGTGTGGTGTATGTAACATGTGTGATGTATGTGATGCATGTGTATGTGGTGTGTGGTATATATTGGGTGTGTGTGGTGTATGTAACGTGTGGTGTATGCGATGTGTGTGTATGTGACGGGTGTGTGGTGTATGTGAGTGGCTGCTCACACTCAGAAGCTATCTGCTGTCCCCTTCCTAAGGAGGGCAGTACACCAATTGCCCAGGGCAACTTTCTGGGTGCCCCCGCATCCTGCACTTTCCCTCAGCTGGGAAGCAAATGGCAGGAAGGGGAGGGGAGGTGGAAAGAACCTGGGAGACAAAGGGCCTCTGTTGCCCTTCCTCACTCAGGCACAGTCTGGGGAAGACTTTGGCCACAGCCCACACTACAAGGCTGTTTACCAAGCCTGCTGGAGCCTCTGAAGGGCAGCAGCCAGCTCACCCCCCATGCCCTGGATGGCAACAAGGCACAGGAGACCGCAGAGCATACAAACAGGGCAAGAGGAAACCATCTATCAATGACCAGGGACCAGAGGAAGCAAAGTTCTAACATCTCGCTCACGTTCTCCCAAGGCCCAGAGGTGAGTCTCCCTTTGCTGTGCTCAGCACTGGATCTGGGTTCCAGGGGAAGTTATGGATCATCTCAAGCCTCAACTCCATACTCTGATGACTTCCCCTCATGATAAGGTCAAGGGCTGTGCAAACGAAAGGGACAGACTTGTTGACAAGGATCTGATCAGAATGTATTACCATGGGAATCAAAACCAGGTCAGTTCAACAAACACTCTGTGAGTCTCTACTAAGCATCAGGCACTGGGTCAGGTGCTAGGTACTCAGGAACAAATAAGACAAGGTCGCTGCCCAAGAAAATTTCACAAGAAGATGGGTGCATAATCTCGAGATTAGTGTTAATGTGGAATAATGCCCAGGGTGCCTGGGGATTAACCCAGGAGTTTAAGAAAAGCTTCCTGGAGAGTATCATGTCTGAATTCATACCTGAAAGATGAGTAAGACCTGGCCTGATGATGACAGGTAAAGAGGAGAATCCCAGGAGGAGGCAGGATTGTAAATAAAGGCGTGGAAACCTAGAGCCCTAGAGCGTATGGGGAACTGCCAGCAACTTGATCTTATAGGAGCACAGTACGTGAGGTGGACAGATAAAGAGTCTGTGGAGTCAATAGATGGATCAGAGCATGGGGAGGAGTGTGCAGAGTTGCAATTTAGGGTATTGGTGAGACTGAATTGTGGCAGTTAAGAAGACCAACTGGAAGGCATAGGAGCTTTCTGGGTGACAAAGGTAGCAAACGTGCTCAGGTTCACCTGGATACAATGGAGCATTAGACTGCAAGAATTGATGCCTCAGTTTGGATGTTCCTGGAACAAGGGATCAAGTGCACAATTATCCCCACTGCCTTGGGGAAGAAACTCCGTGAGAGGCATGATGCATGACATCCTCTAAGCTATAATTGTACAGACTCCAGACACCTCAATTACTCACCCACAAAGACTGGTTCAACTACTGTGTGGGAGAGAACTGCCTGATCACAGGGTCTATTGCAAATTAGCCAACAGAGGCATCGTTCCCATTTAGAACAGGCAGAGAGGAAGGCTCACTTTAAGCCAAGGGGAAAGGCTGACATAGAGAGGGGATTAATGGTATCTCATAAACATAACAATATCTCCATGATGTGAGAAGGAGTCAAAGAACTCCTCAGTAAGGCGATTCCCCGTTGCCTAAAGCATCCCTCTGGAAAGCCTCAAATATTAATAGAATATTTCTCCTCTCTTTCTCTGTGAGTCCACTCTCCTCTCCATTTGAGATGCCTGAGTATTGGCCCTGATGCCTGAAGAGTGATACATACCACTAGCTGATGCAGGGACATTACTCTGAGCCCTTCTTTTCACCTGCTTTTTCTTTATGTTTCTGGAATGATTCTGGAATCCCCTGTAGCTTCTCTCTTAATCCCCCAGGAAATACTGACCTTATCTCTCAGTCTCTATTTTTACTATTTAGTCAAAAAGAGGCCAGCTTTTCTTCTTTTTTTTTCTTTTTCCAAATTTATTCCAGTGGAAAATGAACATGTAACAAGGGATAAGTGTTTATAGTCATGTAAACCAAGTCCATAGGACACAAGAAAAACGCCAGTGTTTGGTCATGTTGCTAAAGAAATAATGACACCAATACAAAGAGGTGTCTAAAACACCCGTCTTTCATCCAGGTAAAACAACAACCCCAATCATCGATTGTCTACCTGAACAAAAAAGTTACTGATTCATTAGTATAGTTCAGTCAGTTTGTGCGATACATACACGGCCTAACCCTCTCTACTGGCCTTTGTCTTGTGATTCCTTAATGACATTCAACAGAAGACCAAGTGGCTTTGACTACGCGAGACTCTGAGCACCTTCAGAGAGGGAGACAGTCCCAGAGATTAAGGCCATGACAGAGTCAATGGGTGTGGGGGAAGCCAAATTAGTCACTGATAGTTTTGCTGTGTCCCCACCCAAATCTCAAATTGTAGCTCCCATAATTCCACTGTGTTGTGGGAGTGACCAGGTGGGAGGTAATCGAATCATGGGGGCAGGTCTTTCCTGTGCTGTTCTCCTGAGTGAATAAGTCTCAGGAGATCTGATGGTTTTATAAAGGGGAGTTCCCCCGCACGTGCACTTCTTGCCTGCTGCCATGTAAGATATGCCTTTGCTTCTCCTTTGCCTTCTGCCATGATTGTGAGGCCTCCCCAGCAATGTGAAACTGTGAGTCCATTAAACCTCTTGCCTTTATAAATTACCCAGTCTCTGGTATGTCTTTATTAGCAGCATGAGAACAGACTAATATAGGCATCAAGAATGCCAACACTTAGAATCCTTCAGGGAGCCTCATGTCATCATGGCAAAGTTGCCATTTTCTGCTTGCCAGCCCCATCCCTACTCAAGCTTCACTGTCCGTCATTTGAGTGACAATATTAGAGCCTTGTAAGGAAGTGCCAGGCATTTTCTAGTCACGGAATCTTGAATTCACGGCCTTGCAGTTTTAAAAATCAGTGTAGAGTTTGAAAAGTCAATCACATTACTTTTCTGGGGGACAACCAATATCTTCTTGTGGCTGTGTCAAGCGTGAAAGAAGCTGAGCATACGTGGCACCGTGAGATACCACAGCCGTGAGAATAATTGCACCTGTGTTCTGGGCTCCTGCACTTGTCAAACACCACCCAGAGGTTTATATTTATTAGCTTGTTTGACCCTCATCACAGCCCGGCAACAATTATACTATTATATTCTGCACTTTATAGACCGGGAAACCGAGTTACAGAAAAGTTGAGAAACATGCTAAGCCTACACCTTAGTCAGTGCTGGAGCAGGGATTCAAAACCCTACAGTCATGCTCTCAACCAGCCCTGGTTTATCTGCTGCCTCTGCCATTCTCCAGGTGTCACCTTGAGAAATGTTCATCGTTTCAAGCCTCTATTTCCTCACTGACATCACCAGATAATTAAATTTCCCTCATTGATCAATTGTTAGGATTGGAGGGGATTATACATGCTTGGGCACAGGGGGCACCCCCCATATTGACCACTCAATACGTTGCCTGTTTCTATCACTGTCTCCAGCTGGCCTTTCCAGAGCACCCAGGCACATCATGGTTAAGGTGAATCACAGTGATGAACCGTCCTGACTCCACGCAGCTGGGTCACAGTGCCTGCTGTCAGTGGGGTTTGGTCCTGTGACTTCCAATCCCAGCATGAGTATGAAACCACTAGGCTCTTCCTCTCTACTGGCCCAGCTTAGGGGTCACACCAGCCTCTAGCGATGTCTTAGTGTCAATGGGGGATGCTGCCTGTCCTTTTAAGGGGCTTCTTTAAAAAACCTGAAAAAATTTGGGAGTTATGTTCCAAAGCCTATAATTTTAAGTTAGATGGTCTCAAAACTCAATTTCTGAATTTAATAAATTCTTTCCTTCAGTTCCAGCTGCTCTGAAATGACTCCCATGTCTCCTGATACAATTTCTGGCTCACTAGATAGCCTGAATATTTTAAGTACATCTATACCTCTAATACTCCCCAGATTTACTGAGAATCCATCCAGTCATTTGTGTATGATGATAAAATATTTATTTATATGAATAAGTTATTTATATAAATATGTAAGATAAGTACCTTACAATTTTTCTCAGTGGGCTTAGTAGAGATGAACAGAGAGAGTTGGTGACAGAGCCTTGTATAAATTCTGTAATGAAGTTTGTAAAGACCCGACATTGGTTCTTCCAAAAACAATTATTTAAAAATAACATGTTCTTCCCATAGGCATCTTTTCCTTCCCATTTTATGTCACTGTAATTATTTATACTCCACAGCACTCCTCTTCTTGGTGGATACCAATGCACTTTGAGAAGAAGCAGGAATGCATGTATTTCTAAACAATGAACTTTGGAGAAATTAACAGGCAAAGGATCAAGTACTACTAATATAAAAATGAAAAGGTAAATTAAACCCAAAGAGAGATAGCTGCTTGGCTGGTCTGCCTAAAAGGGAGTCAATCTCACTTTAAATCAGATCACTCATTTTTTCTTCAATATTTCAAAATGTAAAAATTTAAGATACAAATTCAAAGAAGTAAAACAATCTAACTTTCAGCATCCCACTTATATCTTAGCCTATTTTAAACTTACTTCTAACTCTTTACAATTTTTTTTAAAAATTATGCTTTCTTAAAAAATACACATAGCTAAAAGAATTCAGACAATTATGGAAAAATATGTACACAGATAAAAGTGAAAAAAATATTCCTTCTCTTAGAATTGGCCACCATGAATCTTTAAGAGGTCACTAAGCATGTCAGCAAAGAGCAGGAGACAGGCAGGAGCCAGCCTGACTGCCTCTGGGTCTCTCCTGGTCCACTCACACGTGTCCAGGCAGGACACAAATGGTGTCTCAGTTTCCTTATCTGTAAATGAAGATGATGATGATAGTACTTACACCACAGGGGTTACTGTCATGAGCTAACCCACATAAAACACCTAGCATATACATGACATAAATGTTAAATATTATTACTACTATTATTACTATTATTATGACTATCGTTATCTTTCTATGCATATACAGAGCTAAAAGGATAGAGAGCTAGTCAGGAAAACTGTTATAAATATTAGAACATTCCATAGATTGTATTTTTATAAAAATTATTGTATTTAATTTTAGCTGAATTTGAATTGAAGTTGAAAATGAAAAGACTAACTAAAGAGACACTTCACTTTGAAATAAATGTCTCTTTACCACACAAGTGTTATTTCCAAAAAGATCTTTCTAAAGTAAAAAATGAAGATTAAGGAAAACAAAGGAACAGTCAGATCCATTTTAAACAAATCTTTATGCTTCAGTTTTAGACGTGGGCTCTTAGCAATTCTGCCAAGACCCAATTGTTTGTTATTTTAGAACATTTTTAAATGATTTGCAGGCACATCATGTCTGCAAGATGATCTGGACCCATAATTCTTATCATTATTAATAACAAGTTTTATACTTAAATAGATTCAATCCTCACTACAAAGCCATTTAACACATTTTCTCCTGCTCAGTTTACTTTTTAAAAAACCCTTTGGTTAGATGAGACTTACACAGAGCTATTTGCTGTTTGTTTTGGTTTTTATTTTTATTTATTTTTAAAATTTGTTTGTTCATTTTTTTTTTTTATTGAGACAGCGTCTCTGTGTCCAGGCTGGAGTGCAGTAGTGCCATCTTGGCTCACTGCAACCTCTGCCTCCCGGGTTCAAGCAATCCTCCTACCTCAGCCTCTTGAGTAGCTGGAACTACGGGCATGCACCACCATGCCTGGCTAATGGTATTTTTTGTAGAGACGGGGTTTCACCATATTGTCTAGGCTGGTCTCGAACTGGGCTCAAGCAATCCACCCACCACAGCCTCCCAGAGTGCTGGGATTACAGGCATGAGCCACTGTGCCCTGCCTTGTTTGTTTTTTAATTTCCAAAATGGTTCAAAGATGTTCACTTGAGTTATTTCATGTTTGACAATATTTCCTTATTACCTTTAGATTTTGAAGGCACCTTGGCTATGAATAACCAAGTGACTCTTTTAGTGAGTCTTCTTGCCTTAAGACTTCATGTTTTTTTGGTACAGGCAATCAGTATAGAAAAGTCTGAGGCCAGCTGAATTTTCTTCTTTGTAGTAGCAATTTTACTTTTCTGCCTGGATTCATGGGAAAAAGAGTATTTATAAAACACAATAGCTTAAGTAGTAAGTGTCTAAGTATTAAGAATTCTGGAACAATTTTTTTAAAATATGGTATGGTTATTTGTTCTTTCAGAAAATTTTAAATATCAAATATATTTTTCCATTTGTAGGGTTTTTTGTTTTTTTTCCAGAGACATCACTTTACCTTATGTTGAATGGTGCACAAACATATTAGTTTCTCTCCTATTTTAATATTTTTGCCTTTATCACTTACAATACTCAGTGATTATATTAGGACTTTTCTTCACATCACTAATTTGATTTTTTAGACTTTTCCCTGTTCTTGGTGTTTCTAATTTTTTTACATTATTTTTCATTTTCTTATTAAGGCATTATTTACATGCCATAAATTCACCCTTTTAATGCAGAGTTCTTCACGTTGATAAACAGTCATGTAACCACGACCACGATCAACATGCAGAACAATCATTCATCTTCAAAATATTTGCTCACACCCTTTTGTGGGCCCTGGAAACTACCAATCTGTTTTCTGTCTGTATCGTTTTGCCTTTTCCAAAATATTATATAAATGCAATCATATATAATGTAGACTTTGGCTTCTTTCATTTAGTGTAATACATTTGATATCCATTCATGCTGTTGCTGGCACCAGTAGCTTGTTCTTTTTATTGCTCTATACTATTACATTTTATGGATGTACCACAGTGTGTTTATCCATTCCCCTCTTGAGGGACATTTGAGTTATTTCCAGTTTGGGTTGATTGCAAATAAAGCTTCTATAAACATTTGGCTTTAAGTTTTTGTGTGAACACAGTTTTCATTTCACTTTGTAAATCTTTTGCCTATTTTACAATTGGATTTCTTGTTTTCTTATTCAATTTTGAGTATTCTTTACATATTCTGAATGTAAGTTCTTTACTGCAGAAATGATTTGCAAGTATTTTCTCCCAGTCTGCAGTTATCTTTTTATATTTTTAACCAAATTTATGTTTCAGTTCAGTAACAACTGGGTTTTTGCTTATGTCCTACGATCTGAAAGTTCTCTTCTATTTAACTGCCTTTGACCATTTTATCTTGAGCTAACCCGAATTTTCATTCTTACTAAATTGCTCTGTAACATAAAACGATTGCTAATAATTTCCTTTCATCTCGTATTTTCTTCTAGCTTGGCTTCCTCTTTTTTTTCACACCATGATCCTCTGGGCCCCCACCCCCACATACATGGTACTTTTGCACCTGAAAGAGGTCGACTTGGTCATCATATTGCATTTTCCATCTGGCTTATGTTTGCCCAACTCTGATTAGGCACATGTTTGCTCTGATAAAGTCTGGGTCACTGTTTTCTCACTGATCCGTGATTTTCAGATGAGTGAATATATCATAGTCCACTCATTTTCTCTACCCCAAGAACATGTTAGAGGTTCAGGGAATGCTAAACGAATGCTGCTTTTTAATTTTCCTTTCTTGTTTTAAAAAGAATGCCTGCATTCAGCTCTCCCTCCAAGCATTTGTTAAATATTCTTTACCAGGACTCATTTCATCTGGTTGGTGTGGGAGTAGGGGGTGGTCCCACTCCCATTGGGAATACCCCCAATTCCCTGTGTAGTTGCCATGTCCTCTCTTTGGATAAAGAAAGTGACTGCTCTGTTGATCACATGTCTAGTTTCATACCTGTCTCTCCAACAGCCATCTCCACTTATCTCTTAGATAAAGAAAATGTAAAGAGCTCCTTTTCTTTGGAGATGGGGGTACACAGTGAGAATTTTAAGGGCTCTGACCACTTAGCGTGGCTTCTGAGGGTGGAGAGGGGTTATTAGGAACCATCCCCACTGAGGTCTCTCTGTCCTCTCCAAGACCTTCTGTTTTTTCCTTGGCCACCAGGCTTTGGACTTTGTGGCTCCAGGCTAAGCTTTTCTTCATTTGGTTACTGTTGGTCCAAAACTTCACAATAATTTTTTATTACTCTTTTGTGCCTTTTATTAGACTTAGGAAAGGAAAATAGCAATTCACTCCTTACTTCTGACATTAATAAATTCAAGCCAATGCTTAAAATATTAAAATACTTCTGCACCTACCGGAAATAGTCACTGTGCTAACCCCACTCATGCAACCCCCCAAATCCTTCTCCATAGCCCTGGCTGCCCTGGCTTTTGCCCCCTAGAAATTCTCTACCTCATCTCCTGTTGATCCAGTTCCCAAAAGACTGATGCCTGGACCATCAGAGGACTTCTAGGGCCCTGTACCAGTACTGCTGGTCACTGCTGAGTGTGCCTGCATTGGTTGGTACCCAAGTGAGACAGGCTGCTAAACATTTTCAGTGTCACCCCTACCTGTGATTACCTCTCTCATGACACTATTTTACCCAATTCTGTCATCTCACAGTCTGGAATATGAGTTCCTTGAGGGTAACACTTCAAGTAAAAAACATTTATTTAACGTCTTTTACATGCCATGTTCATTTTCCATTTAACCTTTCCCAAGATATAGCAAAGTTGGTATCCTAACCCCATTTTACAGATGAAGAGCCTGAGGGCCAGTGAGTTTTGGCAGCCTGTGCAAAGTTACTTTGCTAATAAGGGCCTAAAACAAGATTTAGTTTCAGCCATGTTCCATCAATTGCCTAGGAAAGATATTTCCAGTGGAATGTTTTTATAAATAGTACTGTGGAATAGGAGCGACCTCCATATGATAAACGGGGTGACATTAATTTCTTATAACATGCATGCACCTGAGGTTTTTTTTGAGGACTTAAAAAAAATCTTTATATCTGTTAGAACATAGCAGACTGCTTACTTTGGGAGGCCAAGATGGGAGCATCACGAGGTGAGGAGATCAAGACCATCCTGGCTAACATGGTGAAACCCCGTCTCTACTAAAAATACAAAAAAATTAGCCGGGCGCGGTGGCGGGCGCCTGTATTCCCAGCTACCCGGGAGGCTGAGGCAGGAGAACAGCGTGAACCCGGGAGGCGGAGCTTGCAGTGAGCTGAGATCGCGCCACTGCAGTCCGGCCTGAGCTAAAGAGCGAGACTCCGTCTCAAAAAAATAATAATAATAAACAAATAAATGATTGTAAAATTAAGGCAAGCAAGGATGAATGAATGGATGGATTAACTGATTAGCTGATTAATTACTGTTTCACAAGGCACATTATTGGGAATATGCAAAGGCAGTGTAGTTGAATGAGAGGCAGTATGTACAGCATTTTAGAGTGCAGACTATGGACTTTCACGTAGTATGAATAAAATAGAATTTACTTGATAATTCTCTATTAATAGACACTTAAGTTGTTTCCATTTTATATTATTCAATTAATAATGATGAATATCTTGTATATATTTTGGGAAGCATGTGTGGATGTTCACATTAGGTTAGATTTCTAGAAATAGAATCATTTGCTCAAAGGCATATGCAAGTTGAACACACTTTGATACTTTTCAATTTCCTTCCAAAGTGGCTCCTACCGTTTTATACTGCTGCAAACAATTTGTAGAAGAGCCATTTACCCACACCTTTACCAATGATGAGTACATTTTATCTGTACAACTTTTGTTAAAAATATCAGTGCTTCTTATACCAGTCAGAATGACAAGTAATAAAAAGTTAAAAAATAACAGACGCTGGCAAGGTTACAGAGAAAAGGGAACACTTGTACACTGTTGGTGGTAATATAATAAATTAGTTCAACCATTGTGGAAGGCAATATGACGATTCCTCAAAGAGTTAAAGCAGAACTGCTATTCAACCCAGCAATCCCACAACTAGGTATGTACCCAGAGGAATATAAATCATTCTACCATAAAGACGCATGCACGCAAATGTTCACTGCAGCACTATTCACAACAGCAAAGACATGGAATCAACCTAAATGCCCATCAACAACAGACAGAATTAAGAAAATGTGGTACATATGCATCATAGAATACCACTCAGCCATAAAAAACAAGATCATGTCTTTGCTTGAACATGGATGGAGCTGGAGGTTATTATCCTTAGCAAACTAACGTAAGAACAGAAAGTAAAATACTGCATAGTATCACGTATAAGTGAGAGCTAAATTATGAGAACTCATGAACATGAAGAAGGGAACAACAGACGCTGGGACCTACTTGAGGGTGGAGGGTGGGAAGAGAGAGAGGAGCAGAAAAAAAAATAACTGTTGGGTGGGTACTAGGCTTAATACCAGGGAGATGAAATAATATGTACAACAAACTCCCATGACATGAGTCTACCTATATAACAAAATAAACTTTTATTTTATTACCTATATAACAAAATAAAACTTAAAATATACCTATGTACAATATATGTATATAATATATAATATATATGTTATATAATATATACTATCTATATATGTATATTATATTCTATATAGCTAATATATTTCTACATAGCTAAATATATATAATATACATATGTTAGATATTATATCTATTACATATGAATATTATATATACACATATATTCATGCCTTATAGCATTCATTTACATTTTCTGGTTTACCAGTGAGGCTAAGCAAAATTACCACTATTAATAGTTGTCCTTTTTTGCTGTGAATTGCCTATTTATACCTTTTGTTCATTTTTAATTCAGTTATCATTTTATTAATTTATATTATGGATGTTAATCAGCTGCAACCAATTCGTTGGCCCAATGATGCCCCTGATTATTACTGTTATTTTACTTTGTTAAAAAAAAAAGTAAACATTTTTAATCTAATGATTGTTTCAGGGTGCAGAAGTTTTTGGTATTTTTTTTGTAGCCAGTTGATCAGTTTTTTCCCTTGTGGCTTCTGAGAAAAATAGTGATTATAAAAGTATTCTTCTAAATTTTCTCCTAATAGTTTTATAGTTTTGGCTTTCATATTTAGATCTTAGATCCATCAACATCTTTCTTTGTGAGTGTGTATGTAATGAGAGCAAGAGGAAAAAGAGGAAACAGATGTGTACTAATGTCTAACTTTATTTTCTAACTTGTTTCAACACTGTATACAGGTACTTTTGCTTAGAAAAAAAATCAAGAATCCATGGAAAACTAACTAGAACCTTTTTTTTTTTTTTTTTTTTTTTTGAGATAGAGTCTTGCTCTGTCAACCAGGCTGGAATGCAGTAGCCCAATCTCAGTTCACTGCAACCTCTGCCTCCCAGGTTCAAGAAATTCTCCTGCCTCATCCTCCCGAGTAGCAGAGACTACAGTCATGTGCCATCATGCCGGCTAATTTTTCTATTTTTAGCAGAGACAGGGTTTCACTATGTTTGGCCAGGCTGGTGTTGAACTTCTGAGCTCAGGTGATCCACCTGCCTCAGCCTCCCAATGTGTTGGGATTACAGGTGTGAGCCACCGTGCCTGGCCCTAACTAGAACTATCTAAATAAGATGGTTTTTTAATGTATCTAAATATAAAAGGCTTTCATTAAGCAGTCATAAGCAATCTGTAATTAATGAGAGTGTTATCTCTGTCCAGTATCTAATTATTTTGTTTTGTTTTGTTTTTTGAGGCAGAGTTTCGCTCTTTTTGCCTAGGCTGGAGCTAATTGTTATCTTTGTAAATCTTGACTTACTGCCTTGACCAGGGCTCAGTACAATGTTAAACAACAGCACTGGTAGTATACCTTTGATTTATTCCCCTTGGATGAGAAGGCTTCTGTTATCTCATCAGTACATATATTATTTGTTGTAGCTCACTGATTAATAACCTTCACCCAGTTAAGAAAGTTCTATTCGATTCCTCTAAGGACTCCAAACTCAGAAAGCCCTATTCCTGACTACAAATCCTACATCTGGCCAGGTGCGGTGGCTCATGCCTGTAATCCCAGCACTTTGGGAGGCCGAGGCGGGCGGATCACAAGGTCAGGAGATCGAGACCATCCTGGGTAACACGGTGAAACCCCATCTCTACTAAAAATACAAAAAAATTAGCCGGGCGTGGTGGTGGATGCCTGTAGTCCCAGCTACTCGGGAGGCTGAGGCAGGAGAATGGCAAGAACCCGGGAGGCAGAGCTTGCAGTGAGCCGAGATCGCGCCACTGCACTCCAGCCTGGGTGACAGAGGGAGACTCTGTCTCAAAAAAACAAACAAACAAACAAACGTCATACATCTACACTGGCCTCTCTGAAAATGGAAGAATAGAACAGTTTTCTCATAGTCTTCAATTAATTGCCTATTGAAGACCTACTCTCCCAGGGCCTCCTGAATTCTGGGATAGGAATTAATGAGAGGTTCTGTGGGAGGGCTTTTCTCCCACCTGTAGGGCTCGTGTGTCCGCAGCTTTGCTGTTTTGTGTTCCATCTTCCTTTTATGTCTTCTAGCTTCAGAGATTCCTCACTGTCCTCATCTGCAGGGAACATACCTCACAGCTTTTGGCATGGCATGACTGTGTGTTTATTTTTACTCCTACATTGCTTCTGTGACAAATGGTGGAATATGATTTAACAGTTTTATGTATTTTAAAAATGTAACAAAGTATTCTAGATCTCTCTCTTCTCACAATGTCTCTCAGAAATCTAACTACATAAGAACTGCCTTGTTCTTTTTAATGACTACATAGTATTCCCTTGTATAGCTGTCTCATAATTTATAATAAAACCAGTCTCCTACTGAGAGATCACCTTTAGGTTTCCTCCAATATTTTGCTATTACAATCAATCCTGCCACAAAGATTCCTGGGTAAACATTATTTTGCACATGTAGAAGTTTATTTGTGAGAAAATATCTATAATGAAGATTCTAGGAAAAAGGTATATGCATTTTTAATTTTGAAAGATATTGCCAGACTGTCTTCCATGTAAGTCATACCACTTTAGAATGCCTATCTGGGAACATTTTTTCATTTTCTCTTTTAGGTTGTCTTTATCTTATTGATTTGTAAAAGCTTATGTATTTTTGAAATTAGCTCTTTATTGGTCTTATGAATTACAGACACTTCCCCTGTATTTTTTAATGTTTTGATTATTTTTAGCTATGTGGAATTTCTCTACTTGTATGAAGTTGAATTTATCAGCATTTTCATTTGGGGTCCCTGCTTTTGTGTCATGCTCCAGAAGGTCTTCCATACCCCAAGACTGCTTTTAAAATTTCTTCTGTGGTTTACTTTAAAACCTTTATAATTTTGCCCTTTAGCATTTAAATTTAATACATCTGGAATTCACTGTAATATAAAGTACAAAGCATGAATCCAACATTTTCTCATCCCCTGAGGGACAGCCCCAATACATTTATTTTGAATGCTTATAAGCCATTTGTACCAGCCCCTCCCTTAGCCAGGTGCTCTCCATTTACAGGAGTTCTTGAACAACCCCAACTCCTCTCTCTTAACACATGCAGTGACTGCTAATTAGTCCAACATGTGAATGGTCTAAGGTATCACTCCTACATCACCAGTGTGTCTTTCTCTCCAGAATGAATCCCATCAGCATAAAAAATGTGGTCATACTGCCCACTAAAAACCAAACACATTTAAATGAACTCCGCCACCACCCACCCTCTACCCTCTCCCTACCCCAGGTTTCCTCTGAGTGTCCACGCACCTTTATAAGATGACTCCTTGAAAGAGTTGCCTGTTGTCTGCACTGGGCTGTCTGTGATTCCTCTCCTCTGACTACACTCTGTCTCCTGGACCCAGAACCAAAACAGGGCTTGGCAAGGACACCAATGACCTCCCTAGGCTAATGGTCTCCAGTGGCTGGGTCTCAGTGGTCTCCACGCTACTTGATCTATTGGAAGATCGGCAGCATAAATCTCTCCTGTAGAAATGCTTCTTGACCTGATTGTAGGTCATGGCTCTCCCTTAGCCCTCTTTCTCTTGCCTGCTGTTCCTTCTCAGTCCCCTCTCCCAGTTTCTCCCCATCTGCCTGTTAATTATCTATGCTCCAGGGCTGAGTCCTCAGACCCTCTCCCTCTTCTATCCCTTCCCTCTCCCTTGGTGAGCTCATCTAGCCTCCTGGTTTTAAACAGCATTTAAATGCCAAGGACCCTCAGGGTGATGTCTCCATCCCAGACCTCAACACTCAGCACCAGACTCCTGTATAATTGTCTATTTGGCATCTCCACTCTGTGTCTAATTGAACATCTCAAATTAACACTTTCAAAAACGAATCTCTATCTCCAGCTCCCAAACCTGCTCCTTCCTTTCTTCCTCCACCTAAATAAATGCCAACTTCATCCTGGCAGCTGTTCAGGAAAAACCCTTGGAGCCGTCCTTGGCATTTGTCTTTGTCTCACATCTCATATTCAATCAATCACCAGTCCTATTGTGTCTACCCTGAGAATGGATTCAGAAACTGACCACTGCTCACCATGCCTGTCCTAGGCCCCAGGCCCCAGGTCCCAGCCTCCAAATTGGTCTCCTGCTTCTGCCCTTCCCCACGGCCAGAATGTGGTCCTTTGCAGGCAGGTCCCAACCTGTCATGGCTCTGGGAATGGCTCCCTCCAGTGGGTCCCATGCAATTCGCGTGGCCTCTAAGGCTCTCGAGGACCTACCTCAGAGGTCTCCATTCTCACCTCCCACCATCCTCCCCCTGCTCCCTCTGCAGCCACCACACGGGACTTCTCCACACTCCCTGGATATACCAAGCACCTCCCTGCAGCAGTGCCTTTGCACCTGCTGTTTCCTTATCCTGGAATGCTCTCCTCAGGTGGCCACGACTCACTCCCTCACTTCCCTTATATAAAATCCCTGATCTCTGCTCAGCATCAGATTCCAGTGGCCTTCCCTCATCTCTCTAAAGCAGCAGCCTCCACCCCAACACAGGCTATCCCCTCCCCAGCTCACGTCTCTCCATAGCACCTAGTCCCTTCTGTATCATGTGCCGGTCTGATTTCTCTAACTCCGCACCCTAGATGTGAGCTTCTTGAGAGCTGAACTTCCACAGCTGAATTCCTAGCATCTCAAGCTTGCCTGGCTCAGGGGAGGCATTCATAAGCATGCGCTGAATAAGGGAAGGAATTCTGTCCAAGGAGCATCTGCTATATATCCTGCCTTCTAAGGCACAGTGAGTAGATGTACAGTCAAAGGGACTCAACTTTCATAGTTCAGTTAAAGGAACTCTGTGCTAGAGCAAATAAAACTCCAGTATATTCCCATATTTGGTATAACCAGGTGGAAGCCTTGGATAAGTCCATTTATTGAGTGTCTAAAATTCCTTGCCAGAAGATAAACTTCATCCTACAATCATACCCAGTTCACTGGAATTTGGGTAGAAAGTGTGGGAAAATACATATTATAAAAGCAGACTTTTCAACTCTCCCCTGACCCTAATCCTCCTTTTAGTCTCACTACCTTGTGAATGGTGCCTGGATGGAAACAGCGACCCAGACACCCTTCTCCACACCTCTCCAACATCCAAGAAGACACCAATAGAAGCTCCTTCATTTCTCTCAATTCTATTTCCTTCCCACCTTTCCGGGTACCTCTGTCTTAGAGCAGCCTCATTTGTGCGGATTGCTGAGAGAGCTCTCTAAATGGCCTCGTAACCTCCAGTGGTGCTTCCTTTCTGTTGATGCTTCACCCTGGAGTGCAAATATGTCCCAGTCCCTCCCTTGCTTGGAATCCATCAAATGTTCTTCCCTTCACGTCAGGTTCAATCTCCATGAATGATCACACAAGACTCTCCATGTGGCTGAAGCTTCACTGTGATCATGTACTGGACTCATTACCTACGTTTCTCAAAACCCATGGTGCAATTCCAGACCTCGGTGCCTCAGCCTGTGCCACTCTCTCTTCCCAAAGCAGCCCGGCTTGTCTCACCTCCCTCTGATGTCTGCCTTTGCTGTCCCCTAGCTCCTGTATTTCCTTCTCTCAAAGCCCTTTCCAGAAGGCTATAACGCTAGCTGAAGTGTCTACCTCCCCCAGCTAGACTCTGAAAGGAAACAGCTCTTTCTACTCCCAGCCCTGCAACCAACCATTATGAGCACTTGATAGGTGTAAAATGGGCCGGTGAAGGTGTGGAAGCACTTGGAAATGTTTATAAAACACTAAACAGGTATCACCAAGGTATTGTCACTGCAGTGTGGAAGACTGTGCAGAGGAAAAAGATTGGTCCGTGTGCCTTTAGTGCCATGCCTCACGTGCTTCCAGCCAAAGTCACATTGTCCATTTTGCACTTATCACCTCATTCATTTCACGACTGCCCCTTTGCCAAAATATCCCCGGGATGCTGTCTGCAAATCACAAAAGTGGTTATTCAGCTTATTTTGGGACGCCAAACAGAAGCCCATTTCAATTTCACTGTTCAAATAAACATTCTACCTACTGGACTTTGATTCCAGCTGGAAATGGACCAGGTAGCTATGTATTCTCTCACATTTGCAAGAGGGGAAGTTGCTGGCCTTGCCATTTACTCCTTTAGGTCAGCCAAGGACCAGGACAAATGTACATTACACACTGAGCATACATCTGGAAAAAGCAAATATCAGAAGAAAACACTGTGACCTTAAGAGCAATCCAAAGCACAGAGCCCTGAAAACCTCCTTGCAATTCGGGTTTTTTCCTACAGAGCAACACATTAAGTTGGACCATTAACCCAAATGAAAGGTTTCAGATTTATTTCATTGGCAGATGGAAATTAAGTTGCAGAAACATATCCAGCACAGGCTAGAGTATATTTAATTTCATTTATTTTTAATTACACAAGTAATACATGAATATATTGTCACTATAAAAATTCAAACAACACAGATAAAGTTAACATCACTCTTGACCAGTCACTACTCCACTCATTCCCCCTGCCTGAGAGGTACTGCTGCTATCAATTTGAAGTGTCATGAGACACACACAGTACACACACACATTCACACACCAAGATATGAAAAATAACTATTTAATCTTAGCTTTAGCTGAGGCCCCAAGATACTAAATACTATATTCTAAAGTAAAATACAAGATCATTATGGAGCACACCAATGGAAGTGGCCAAAAATTGTTATGTGACTCTTAATTCCTGAACTATGTCAAGGACCTGAAAGGACTTTGAGAAGGACATTAAGTGGAGAGAGGTTTTGATGAAAGCTGTCAGCCATCCACCTCCATGGAGGCAGTGAGAGATGATGCATTTTTGTTCTGCTCAAACCAAGAAAAGCTTCAATGGGACAATTTTGAGAGCTTGATATATGTCCCTGACACGGTTATACTTGGCCATCTTTTTCTGTATAAGTTTTGCATTTTTGTTTCTCAAAATCCCTTTCTTATTCTCAAGGTTAGGAATATACTCTATTTTTCTGGTGTTTTTATTGTTTAGGCATTTGATTTGCCTAGCTTTTTGTTGTCATGGTGTGATAAAGTGACCTAAATTTACTTTTTGCCAAAGGGATAACAAATTATCTCAACACCGTTTATTAAGTAAGTAGCCCTTCATTACACTCTGGCTTGGAGGCCACTTTTATCGGGTACTAAAATTCCAAATATTCACTGGTCACTTTCTGAATTGTGTTCCGCAGCATTGATCTACTTGTTTATTCCTTTAAGAGTGCATTTGTTACAATTCAATTGTGCTTCCTTTTCTAGAGGTTGAGAACAGCACAAAAATAATGTTATACTTATCATTGTGTGTTTTCCAGATGATACCAGGCAAAGTAAAACCTGGGTTGTGGTGACAGCAGCACTCGTGTCTGACGTCTGATGCAGACCCTTCCATGAAGGCAGGTCACTGACTTGCTCTCACCCTCAGCCCCTCTGCATATAATTCTCAGTTTCTCCAGAAAGCATTTTACCTGTGCTTCAGAGGGACTATTTAACAAAGACATTTGCCATTTTCCACTCCTTCTTTAGCCTCCCTAGGAGATGCCCGGTGGTAAGTCTATGAAGCTAACACGGTGCACCCACACCTCCATCCCTGTCCCTGTCCTGCCACATGGCTGCCTCTTTTGAGGACTCCACCTGGGTCATTGAATATACTCTGGAGGGCACAGTGATCTAGCCTTCCCATTGTTTCTTACTTCTTTTTGCAGCACTGTCTTCCTTAGAATCAGGCATAAAATCATGGGACTCCAATGGAAGACTCAGGGGACCCTGACCCACGGCCAGGCAGACAGCCCCTCATGGGCCCAGATAACCCTTCATCCATATGAATTGAACACTGTAAGATATCCACAGCTTCAGTTCTCATAGCTGGGACCTCTGCTTTATGCCATAAAGTTTACTGAGAAACAAGCATTTGTTCACTCTTCTGGGCAGTGGGCACAGTGCTGCATCTTTATGAGGCTTTTGTGAGGACTAAAGAGACCCTATATGCTCAGTTCATTATAAGGGCTTAGCAGGTGCTATTAACCTTTCCTTCTCACTGAATCAGGCTGACACCCAGAGGAAGCACAGCCTCCCCTCTGAAGCTTCCTCTACTGCAGTCTCTGTGCTCATCGCAAGGATCTCTCCATATTGACTTATATTTGTTTCTGGTCTTATATTTTTCTCTATGGACAGACTTCTATTTTCAGAAGATAGATATTTAAGTCACAATATTCTGGACTCTGGCTTAGTTAGACCAACCGTCTCTTGATCGTCTGTGGAAACTGAATCAGGAACACCCCAGAGAGCTGGCTCTGGATGTAATTCACAGCTTCATTTAATTATTATCATCAAAGTTAATGAAGGCCATAAACTGTTTCATAACATACCAATGGGAAGTGTGATTGGAGGGAAAGCTGGACACCTCACCATAAAACTGGCACAGCAGAAACGGCTCGACTTAACAAAACCTTCTTATGAAGAAAAAGACAATGAAACCATGTTCAGTTTAGTGAACCTTTCACACTTGGCAACATGAATGTTAAGTCAAAAGAACAATGGAGCTATGAGTTTTTTTAATCAAATTTTTATTTTGGGTCAAATAAGCCATTTTGTTTGTTTGTTATTAAGTGTAAAGAGAGCTTTCGGTTAGCTATTTAGTTATAACTTTATCTCACCCACTTCTAAAAAAGCGTTGAGGCTACTTGAAGTAAAGTCCTGTAGACGAGAGAGCGTAACACTAAAAGATAGAAAGAAAACTTAGAAGATGGAAGAGAAATAATTGCACTAGAAACCTGGCCAATATCATGAACAGGCTCCATATAGGGACTCCTGTATATAGATCGCTGTGTGTGTGGATAGTACGTTCAATAAATGTATTATCTGAACTGCTTTTAAAGTTCTACTCTTGGATTCCTGAAATACTATCTCTATGGATTTGCCTATTCTGGATGCTTCATATAGATGGAATCATTCATTACGCAACCCTTTGTATCTGGCTTCTTTCATTTAGCATGAGGCTTTCCAGGTTCATCCATATCATAAGAAGTATCAGTATTTTACTCCACTTTAAAGTTCTGTAATAGTTACTATCTATCTATTTGGTATACATACATGTATATATTAATTTTGCTTATCCATTTATTCATTTATGAACATTTGGATTGTTTCTACCTCTTGGAATTGTAAATCATGCTGTTATGAACATGGATGTACACATACCTGCTTGAGACTCTGCTTTCAATCCTTTTGGGTACATACATCAGGGTGGAATTACTGGATCATATGGTAACTCTATGTTTAACATTTTAGAAAGTGTTTTCCCCACTCTTGGTGGAAAAAGCACAAACACAAACTGTGGAAAACACAAACTACTTTTCCTCTGCTCCCATACCACAACAATTACACAGAAGGCTTCTGTGTCCAAATGCGTGTGTGGTTTTCTCCTACATACCAAGAAAGCAATCAGTTCTGCAGCAGACACTAGCTGGGAATCCTCTAGTTCAATTCAGTACTGACACTATCTACAGAGAGTTAGCATAGCTCCCACAAGTTAAGGGCTCAGTCCTACAAAACTGCTTCCATCCCACTTCTGATGCCAATCAGAAGCACAGGTTGTTTTGCCCATGCTTCTGAACTGCTGGCTATAAATCAAGTCACATGATCCCCAACTTAAATTTGAGTAATTTGCCAGAGTGGCTCACAGAACTAAGGGAAACACTCATGTTCACCAGTTTACTTTTAATATAAATGATATTACAAATGATACAGATGAAGAGATATATAGGTCGAGGTATTAGGGAAGGGGTGCAGAGCTTCCATGCCTTCCCTGAGCATGCCATCCTTCAAGAACCTCCACGTGTTCAGCTATCTAGAAGCTCCCCAAAGCCAGTCATTTTGAGATTTTATGATTGAGGTAAACCATTGGACACTGGTGATCAACTTAGCCTTCAACCCCTTTCCCCTCCCAAGAGGCTGGGAGATGGGGATGAAAATCCAACACTCTAATCATTTCTTGGTCTTTCTGGGGGCCAGCCCCCATGATATGGTTTGGCTGTGTCCCCACCGACCCCCCCAAATCTCACCTTGAATTGTAGCTCCCATAATCCCCACATCATGGGAGGGACCTGGTGGGAGGTCATTGAATCATGGGGACAGGTTTTTCCTGTGCTGCTCTCATGACAGTGAATAAGTCTCATGAGATTTGATGGTTTTATAAAGGACAGTTCCTCTGCACATACTCTCTTGCCTGCTGCCATGTAAGATGTGCCTTTGCTCCTCCTTCATCTTCTGCCATGACTGGCAGACCTCCCCAGCCATGTGCAGCTGTGAGTCCATTAAACCTCTTTTTCTGTATAAATTACCCAGTCTTAGGTATGTCTTAATTAGCAGCATGAGAATGGACTAATACACCCCATTTGAAGCTACCTAGGGACTGTCTGCCACCAGTCATCTCATTAGCACACAAAAAGACATTATTTTGGAGATTTTAAGGATTTTAGAAGTTGTATGTCAGAAAACAGGTCAAAGACCAAGTATATATTTTACAGTATCACACCTACAATAAATACCTAACAGGCAATTAATCATAAAACAAAAGTATGGAAAAACAAAAGTTTATAAGTCAATGTATGTCACACACACACAGGCTGCCATCTGCCTTTTTTTTTTTTTTTTTTGAGACAGAGTCTTGCTTTGCTGCCCAGGCTAGAGTGCAATGGCATGATCTCAGCTCGCTAACCTCCATCTTCTGGAAAATCCTAGTGATTCTCCTGCCTCAGCCTCCCGAATAGCTGGGATTACAGGCACGTGCCACTATGTCTAGCTAATTTTTGTATTTTTGGTAGAGACGGGGTTTCACCATGTTGGCCAGGCTGGTCTTGAACTCCTGACCTCAGGCGATCCACCCACTTCGGCCTCCCAAAGTGCTGGGATTACAGGCGTGAGCCACCGTGCCCAGCTTGTCATCTGCCATTCTAAATGCCCATGACGGTGACAAGTCCCCCTGGTGTTCTAAGACTAGCACACCCCAGCAAAAGGAACAATAGGGACGGTCTGTTCCACTAATCTTTCATTCCCTCCCAGGCACATCTGATGCCAAACTTGGGCTTTTGATGATAAGAGGCATGTACTGACTTTCCCTGCTGCCTCGAGTTTAGCTAAGAGTAAACTCCAACTCTCTTCATTGCTTCCTACTAACTAAGGGATGAAATATACAGCATGCTCGCATAGGAGACTGGCATGCTTCCCAGGGTCATTCTAAATGGTACCCTTCTAGATATGCAGACACCTAAAAAGAAACGGTAGGGGTTTCTCAGGCCAAGGGTTCTAGGTTGGCATGTGACCTCACCCAGAGAGCAGAGCCCCCTGTGCGGGCTGCATGCAGGTCACAGGGTCAGACAGAGTTCGCTGTGAAGCAAGCTGGTGAGGAACGTGTTGGGGAGTCCTGGAGAGTCTCCCAACACCTCCACAATCAGGCCACTAACTTTGCTGACTCAGGGAACATTTTAATTACAATAAACATCCTTCCACTTAATGTATTTTGGGAGTTTCTTTCAGCAAATGTATTAGAGACAAAATGAAAATCACAGCCTTCAGAGAAGAGAATTAGTCATATACAAAATTTTGATCCTCATTCTTAAGCTGCTGGGCCACAGTTGGAGGAAAAGCATCAAGTGCCAGATGGAGAACCCCCCGCCTGGGCAAGCATGATCAACAAGAACTGGATATGTCCAGTAGCCAGAAATCACTAATACATTCCTATCCCTCCGTTTTTCTTATTTCCTACATAGCTAACTTCCTGCTCCACAGGCATCTTAAGAAAAGTAGACCCTCTCTCAAAAACCATTGTGATTCCTCATTAAGAAAGACTAAAGGGAGTTGAGTCATCTTAGAATCTCATTACAATATGATAGAGAATCTTACCTTAGTTCCCCTAATATATTTTTGTGTATTAGAAAGTAGATTTTGAAATGTGAGAGTTATTGTCCTCTTTTTTTTTTTTTTTTTTTACATGAATGCAAGCTCTTGCATTTCTCAAAAAAGCAAGTATGTAGACAGGTGGTTTCTGGATCTCAGAATATACCAACAGAGAAAATAATTAGAAAAATAATTAGAATCAAAGTTTGATGGACAGGTTATTTAAATTAAGTGCCCTTCCTCTGACTCCAGGCACTGTGTAGACTCACAGTGGAGAAGCTGGTCTTACAGCTGTTACAACATTGGCCAGCCCATTTCACAGGGCCTGGCCTAGTTTTTATAGGAAATGAAGCAGGTGAATGTCAGTGTTTAGGAGCCAAGACTCCACTGTTCTCTTCTGTTGGGAAAATCTCTGAAGCATTGTTTAACAATATGCAAAGTGGAATTTCTTTCTGACTGAGTCATTCTTTTGTTGAGTCCAGGAAATTAAAGAGAACATTATTCGTGTGCTGAAAATGCGGAGTGCATAGTGACTACATGATACATCAGGAGGCTTTGAATTTGTTGATGTGAAGGTAGCAGATGACCATATTAATGTGATGTAGTTACAAGTAAATACAACGCAGAGGGCTAAGTCTATTTGGGATATACAGGTAAGCTTCGAGGACTCAGCCAGGAATCTTAGAGACCTCATAGATTCCCCTAGGAGAACAAATGACAGAATCTGACCAGCTTCCCTGGGATATCGTATAGGAGACATGTCTCCATCTCTGGTCTTCTGACATGGTATCCAGACTTTTGTACTTTGCCACATTCACCTTTTTATAAGGAGATTGTTTTTTTCTCAGATCTTGGAAAGTTGGGGGGAGTAAGTGATGGATTCAACACACTGTTGCCTGCATTCTTCCCTTTCCCTTCCACATCCCTGTGGGACTGATTCTCCGATCTCTACTGCAGTACTCTTGTATTTTTGATGTGATGATATACCCATAAGAAGCAGTGTTGTGCTAACTTCGGCAGCACATACTGGAATGGTAAGAGAAAATTAGCACAGCCCCTGTGCAAGGCTGACATGAAAATGTGTAAAGCATTCCATTTTTAAAAGTAAAATAAAAACATAAAAAATAGCAGTGTTGATTAGAGAAAAGAAGTACTAGTAACAGTAGCCAGGATAAAAAATAACTATACAAAAATCAGTAACATTCCTACACACCAACAACATCCAAGTGGAGAGCCAAACCAGGAACACAATCCCATTCACAATAGCCATTAAAAGAATAAAATACCCAGAAATACAGCTAACCACGGAGGCGAAAGACCTCTACAAGAATTTCAAAACACTGCACAAAGAAACCAGAGTTGACACAAACAAATGAAAAAGCATTCCATACTCACAGAGAGGAAGAATTAATATTGTTAAAATTGCCATATTGCCCAATGTAATTTACAGATTCAATGCTGTTACTATCAAACTACCAATGATATTCTTCACGAAATTAGAAAAAAACTATTTTATCACATGGAACCAAAAAAGAGCCAGAAGAGCCAAGGCAATCCTAAGCAAAGAGAACACAGCTGGAAGCATCACATTACCCAACTTCAAACTAGACTATAAGGCTACAGTAACCAAATCATCATGGTACTGGTACCAAAACAGACACACAGACCAATGGAACAGAACGCAGAGCCCAGAAATCATGCTGCATACCTACAACCATCTGATCTTCGACAAACTTGACAAAAATAAGCAATGGGGAAGGGAACATCCATTCAATGAATCGTGCTGGGATAACTATCTAGTCATATGCAACAGATTGAAATTGGACCCCTTCCTTACACCATATACCCAAATCAACTCAAGATGGATTAAAGACTGAAACATAATATCTAAAACTATGAAAACCATGGAAGATAACCTAGGCAATACCATTCTGGACATAGGACCTGGCAAAGATTTTGCGATAAAGATGCCAAAAGCAATTGCAAAAAAAAAAAAATCAACAAATGGGACTTAATTAAACTAAAGAGCTTCTGCACAGCAAATAAATTGTCAACAGAGTAAACAGGCAACCTACAGAATGGGAGAAAATATTTGCAAACTATGCATCTGACAAAGGTCTAATATATTTTCAGAATCTGTAAGGAGCTTAAAGAAATTTACAAGTAAAAACAACACTATGAAAAAGTGGGCAAAGGACATGAACAGACACTTCAGAAGAATACATACACACGGCCAAAAAGCATATGAAAAACTGCTCAACATCACTAATCGTCAGGTAAATGTAATTCAAAACCACAAAGAGACACCGTCTCACGCAAGTGAGAATGGCTATTATTAAAAAGGCAAAAAATAACAGATGTTGACTGGATTATGAAGAAATAGAAACTCTTATCCACTGCTGGTGGGAATGTAAATTAGTTCAGCCATTGTGAAAAGAAGTCTGTCCATTTCTCAAAGAACTTCAAACAGAACTACCATTTGACCCAGCAATCCCATTATTAGGTATGTACCTAAAGGAATATTAATCATTCTACCATAAAGACACATGCACATGGATGTTCACTGCAGTGCTATTCACAACAGCAAAGACATGGAATCAACCTAAATGCCCATCAATAGTCAACTAAAGAAAATATGGTGCACATACACCATGGAATACTATACAGCCATAAAAAAGAATGAGATCATGTTCTTTGCTGCAGCATGGATGGAGCTGGAGGCTGCTACCCTAAGCAAACTAACACAGGCACAGAAAACTAAATACTGCATGTTTTCACTTATAAGTGACAGCTAAACGTTGAGTACATGTGGACACAAAGAAAAGAACAGACACTGGGACCTACTTGAGGGTGCAGCATGGGAGGAGAGTGAGGACCAAAAAGCTATCTATTGGGTATTATGCTTATTATCTGGGTAGTTAAATAATCTGTACACCAAACCCCTGCAACATGCAATTTACCTATGTACATACCTGGACATGTATGCTTGGACCTAAAATAAAAGTTTTTTTTCTTAAGAAACAGTAGCATCTACCTACTGAGTACATACTCTGTGCCAGGCTAAATGTTTCACAGACATTCTGCAACCAGAAGGTAACTAGAAAGCTAAGTCCAATGCTGTCAATATAAGCATATAAAACTGCACCATTGAAAACCACTTCATGAACTACTAGCACATCACACTACGAAAATGTGCTCCAGTTGAGGCCTCTCTTTTATTAATTGTCCTCTATTTATCAGAGATGTTTTAGTGAACCTACAAATTCATTTTATACTAATGCCTTAAGTACTGAATGTAAAATGATTATTTTTGCAATTCTTGGAGGATATTCAGAAAGTCAATTCCAATGCATCTGGTAGTCTGAATCTGGCTGTTGATGCCAGTGAGCATCTCTTGTATACACTGGATGGATCA
This sequence comes from Homo sapiens, assembly GCF_000001405.40. Taxonomy (NCBI): domain Eukaryota; kingdom Metazoa; phylum Chordata; class Mammalia; order Primates; family Hominidae; genus Homo; species Homo sapiens. The sequence goes on from NC_000015.10 coordinate 98,028,453, forward strand.
GAGATTACTTAATTTAATCTTCAAAATGCACTGGTTTTCAGATGAAGAATCAAAGGTTCAAACAGGCTAAGTAACTCACCGCTGATCACATCAGTAATAAATGATAGAGTCAACCCTTCCACTCACACTTAGGGGAGCAGTCCTCTCTTCAAGGCTGGCTGAGGAGCCCTTCTCTGAGTTTTAGCTAGCTCTCAGAGACCCTCTTTGCCAACCCTAAAGCCAAGAGGTTAAGCATAGCTTGCATTTGGGGTCTTGTTGGAGTCTGACCACCAAAAAGCAGCCATTGGCTCTCCCTGACTAAAAGCTTCTCATTTTCTAAGACCACTTATTTGGGTTTCATTGCAAAGACCAGCTGGGGCTAAAACAGGCAAACTCATGCTCCACAAAAAAAATACCATCGGATTATTTTAAAAACTCAAGAAATAAGAAGAGGAACCACATTTAATAGAGAACAATTAGCAATAACATTTGAGAAGGCCTTTGACCTGAATTTCCTAATATATCCAGACAGAACTTGGTGACTCATGACTCAGAATCATTTTCTTTGGAAAAGTATTTCAGGTTTTTTCCAGAAACATTTACTTAACTTTTTTTTTTTTTTTTTTTTTTTTGAGGTGGAGTCTCACTCTGTCACCCAGGCTGGAGTGCAGTGGCATGATCTCGGCTCACTGCAAGCTCCGCCTCCTGGGTTCAAGCCATTCTCCTGCCTCAGCCTCCTGAGTAGCTGGGACTACAGGCGCCCGCCACTGCGCCCGGCTAATTTTTTGTATTTTTAGTAGAGACAGGGTTTCACCGTGTTAGCCAGGATGGTCTCGATCTCCTGACCTCGTGATCTACCCGCCTCGGCCTCCCAAAGTGCTGGGATTACAGGACTGAGCCACTGTGCCCGGCTGTTTTTTTTTTTTTTAAATGTACTCCAAAACACATAGTTTGAGTTAATTTTGAATGTCAAGATCAACCCTTCTTTGGATCTGTGGGAAAACTCCATATAGCACAGGATGGTAGAATGTGCTTTCTTCTCAGGATCATGGAAAGGCTTTTCTCATCAGCTTCTACATGACACACATCACAGAAAAGACATCCAACCCACTGATTCACTAGGTCTCCTTAAGCGTCAGTAGATAGCTGCCTCTATTTTTGAAAATTCTATTGTGAAATATTTCTGACGTACAAAAATATGGAGGAAATAATATTATAAATGCAGGGATACCTGTCTCCAAACTTAAGAAATAAAGCTGTACAAATACACTTGAGGTGCTATTTTTTTTCCATCCCATCCCCCTAGGGAATGTCCAACATATCTATACATGTCTTTATGCTTTTACCACATTTGTCTGTATACCTAAACAATATTATTATTTTTGTACAACTCAAACATTACATAAACAGTATATCAATGACATTGTTCACAGGTATTCTTCAAAAATTTTTTTCCCTCGACAATATGCATGCAAAAATTTTCTACGTTGATGTTCATTTATTTTCACTGTAGTATAGTATTGTAATACACAAATATACTTCAATTTACTTCATCATTCTCTTGTCAATATTCATTAATTTATGTGTTAGTCCATTTTCACGCTGCTATAAAGAACTGCCCTAGACTGGGTAATTTATAAAGGAAAGAGGTTTAATTGACTCACAGTTCAGAACTGCTGGGGAGGCCTCAGGAAACTTACAATCATGGCAGAAGGCTAAGGGGAAACAAGGCACCTTTTTCACAAGGCAGCAAGGAGGAGAATGAATGCAGGAGGAAATACCTAACACTTACAAAACCGTCAGGTCTCATGAAAACTCACTCACTATCATGAGAACAGCACAGAGGAACTGCCCCCGTGATTCAATTACCTCCACCTGGTCTCTTCTCTGATATGTGGGGATTATGGGGATTATGCAAAATTATAATTCAAGATGAGATTTGGGTGGGGAGACAAAGCCTCACCATATTAATTTGTTTCTAATTTTTTGCTATTAGAAATAAAGATGATATACACCTTATTGTATGTGTTTTCTTGGATGCATATGTGAGATTTTCTCTAGCATATATTCTCAGAAATGTAATTGCTGGGTCACAGGGCTTGCTTATTTTCATCTTTGAGATACAGCTCCACTGCTTTACGAAGTGGTTGTACAAATTTTCCTTCCAACCTAAAAAGTTTGAGTTTCTGTTTTTCTATATCCTCACCAACACTTAGTATTTTCAGTCAATTTCTGCCAATCTAATTAGTATGAATCATTATCTCACTGTCTTTTCAATTTGCATTTTCTGATTATAATGAGGTTGAGGGTTTTTTTAATGTCTTTGTGAAATATTTGGGTATTTCCTTCTGCAAATGATGTGTTTATATCATTTCTCCATTTCTCTAGTGGGATTATTGGGTCTTCTTATCCATTTTTAGCTATCCTTTATATACTGCATGTAAACATATTGCAAATCTCTTATCTATGTCTACAATTTTCTTTTCCTTTTTTCTCTACTATGTCTTGAAGCACAGTCATATTTTAAAATATTAATCAAGTTGAATTTATCTTCTTTATGTTTGTTCTTTGTACCTTTTTTAAAAAACATGTCCCCTACCCCAAGATCACAAAGATAATTTCCTATACATTTTTATAAAAGAATAAACATTTTTATTTTTATATTTTAGATTCTTATTCCCCATAGCATTGATATTTGCATATAGCATGAGATACAGATAATTTTTTATAATAGATAACCAGTTGTTCCAAAATCATTTGTTAAACAGACCATCCTTTCAACATTGATTTACAATACAACCCTCTCAGATATCAAGTTTCGTATAATTATGAGTAAATTTCTGGGTCATGTATTTGTTTCATTGGTTTGTAGATCTGGCCTTGTATCCAAATCACAGTGGCCCAATTACCATAGTTTCAAAATACTTTTTTTTAGATGCAGTCTCATCTGTCACTCAGGCTGGAGTGCAGCAGTGCAATCACCTCCAGCCCAGGAGTTTGAGTGGTGCAGCCTCGAACTCCTGGGCTCAAGCAATCCTCCCACCTCAGCCTCCCAAGTAGCGAGGATTACAGATGTGAGTCATGCACTGGCTAATTTTTTAAAATTTTATGTAGAAGTGAGGTCTCATTGTGTTTACCAGGCTTGTCTAGAACTTCTAGCCTCAAGCAATCCTCCCACCTTGGCTTCCCAAAGTGCTGGGATTACAACAGGTGTTAGCCACCTCCCCAGGCTTCAGAATAATTCTTGATTTCTGGTAAAACATGTTTTTCTACATTAGTTTTCAAACTTGTCTTCAAAAAGTGCAATTATTAACACTTTTCCATGTTTTAAAATCACCTTGTCAATTTTTACATAATCTTTATATTTCAATTAGGGTCACATTAGACTTTTAGATTAATTTGGGAGGAGTAAAAATTTTTGTGATTTTGAGTGTATCTATAAACATAGTTCATCTCTTCCATTGATTTTTATTTATCAAATAAATTTCAGTACTTATTTATATTTTCTTCATAAATATAATTTCCAGCTCTTCTTAAATTTATTTCTAGAAACCTTATATATTTTGTTGCTATTATAAATGGTCTCTTTTTAATGGTAGATTTTTTGTTATTAATATGTATCACTGTGACTGCTTTTGTAAACAATCTCATTTCCATCAAAATTTCTAAACTCTCATTAATACTAATAATTTGGAGTGTGTCTTGAGTTTTTATGTAGGTAATAATGTCATTATAACAATACTATCATATTGTCATAATAATAATAACAGCTTTGTGGGTTTTTTCTTAAGCTCTTATATAACTTTTTTCTGATATGAGGCTATGATCTATAGAACAATTTTGCACAGTAAGAGTGATTCTAGGCACATTTTTCTGATGTCTAAAGGATTTTTGAGCAGGTGTTGAATTTTATCACATGATTTTTAAAGTTAAGATGATTTTATTTATATATATATTTCTTACAATTAATTAGCATCACAAATTACATTAAGAAATTTTCTAATGTTCAACAGTCCTTGTATAGCTGAGATGGATGCAGCTTGATCATGTGGATGGTAGTTCAATATCTTATCTTTATTGACTGTATATGTGACAACTGACTGGTTGCCTACCAGACAGACATCCCCCCACCCCTGAAAATTTTAATTAGTCCAAGTCAATTCTTGTATTTTTATTTTTTTTAACAAATGAAGGGAAATCTATTTGGGAAGAAAGAGGGAAATGTTTCTGAGGGAGATTACTTTGAGGTTAAAAAAAGAGAGAGAGGGTCTCTCTTCTAGCCTGTGGACATTGTGATATATGGATGTGATGCCTGGAGCTGCTGCCACCTTCTTTGCTGTCATACATAACTCTTTTGCTACCTTTTGATAAAAGCAAACAGGTGAAGGATAGCACAGGAGGAGGACAGAATGGACCTGGCTCCTTGAGAACTTTGCTGAGGTGCTGAATGAATCCATCCCTGGAACTTTTCCCACCTCTGAACTATTTTTTGTCAAATAATAAACATCTTATTATTTAAACCATTTTGAATAGTATCTTTACTAACCTGAGGCTAAAAGTGTTCTTATGAATATTCTGGTCTCTCTTGTTAACCTACAGTTTAGTTAATTCATTTATTCACATATATCTAACAAATATGAATGAAGGCTGACCACGTGCCAGACACTGCATCCAGGGCTGAAGACAGAGGTGGTTGGGCTCTCCCTTCCAGGAACTCACAGCTTGGGAAGGGAAACAGACTTTAAGCAAATAATCACAATTCTATATTATACAGTAAAGGAAAGAGATAGTTCCATGGTATTATGGGAGTATCGGGGGCGGCCCTCTTATTTTATACCAGGAGAGCTAGAGGAAATATCCAAAAGAAAGTTGGGCATTGAAGGATAATTATTGTCCTCCAATTGTTAAACATTTACAAACTGTCTTTATTCACTTAGTGTTAATACAAACAAATACTTGAGGCTGGGTAATTTATAAGGAAAACAGCGTTATTCATCTCATGATTATGCTGGCTGGAAGGTTCAAATTTGGGCATCTAGTGACAGCATCAGACTGCATCCACTCACAATGGAAGGTAAAAGGGAACTGTCTGTGCAGAGATCACATGGCACGTGAGGAAACAAGAGAAAGAAAGGGGAGGTGGCAGGGCGGGGAGGTGCCAGGCTCCTTTCAACAACCAGCTCTTGTGGGAACTAATAGAATGAGAACTCACCACCATGGAAATGGCAAGCTGTTCATGAGGGATCCACCCCCTAGAGCTAAATACCTCTCATTAGGCCTCACCTCCAACACTGATGATCAAATTTCAACCTAAGATTTGGAGGGGACAAACTTCCAAACCATGGCACCAACATACTACTGCATGGATTGGTATAGGGCGCAAAGCTTCCAGAAAGGCCTGACTCCTCACTCACCACCCTGCTACATTTCTCTTCCAGAGAGGTGGGCGAGTTCATGCAGAGCACATAGAACTTAAGGATTAGACACTGACCATCTCTCCACAGGCTGGGTGGCTTACGTGAGCATCTTCAACAACGATTTGTGGATACCACGGAAAATTCAGAAGCAGCAGGTTACAGAGCTCACTTCTGATACTGGCTCCTACTTGACACCTGGAGATGGGGCTACAATGATTAAAAAACAAGGGAGCACTCCTGTGCCAATGTCTGGAACACAGCGAATCTTCCTCTCTGCCTTCCTACCCGAGGCTTCTTTCCCAGAACTCACCAGTGGTTCTGGGCTGCTCTGGCTCAGGCACATTTAGTCATCCTTTGGGATTGATACGGGAGCTTCTTGGGCATCTTTTTGTGTCATGGAGTGAGGGGTTAATAGACCCCCTGGGACTCTACGATCAAGTTCCTTTATCTCTTCTTCTCAATTTCTTCAGTTAAAAAAATTTCAGTATCTATTTCTAGGACTTTCAATCCCCCTCCTGCTGTTAAAGTCTTGACCTCCTACATGATGTGAGTTTTTGAACTTACCCAGATCTGCTGTCAATTCGGTTCCTGAGAACTGTGCTATGTTTTCCCCTGGGGCTCTCTCCAGTCTCACTTCTTAACTCTCCTCAAGTTCCCTTTACCACCAACCCTAATAGAAAAGAAGGGATGGGACAGGCCATCCTCTGGGGATCACCAGAATAAGAAACTTCAATCCACAAATGATCAAAGACAATTCACTCTGCAAACGTCTGGACAGACATGAGAAGGAACAAGAATAAAACTACCACTCATCCATTAGCATGCATTTTTTTATGATTAAGGTGTTTATCATAGCAACAAAACTAAAACAAAATGAAAAACGAACCAACCAAGTGTTCAGTAAAAAGGGATGGGTTAAGTAAATCCCGATACATAATTACATCGTAATGCTATGTACCACTCAAAGCTATGATATGGAAGAATATTTAATGGCATAGAACAATGTTCATGATGTATTGCTAAACAAAAAAAAGTTTACAATACGAATCCTACACACACATGCAGGCACATGTGCAAACATGCATGCACACACACAAGTATGCACACGTGCAGACACAGGCATACATAAGTAGCTATGTAGTTATAATATACATAAAGAAAACAAAAGACTGGTAAGAGCCACACATCAAAATGTCAAGTGCTTATCATTACATATGATTTTTGCTAATTTTACTTGATTTTTAATGATCAGATTATATACCATTTTCTTTTTTTTTTTTTTTTACCTTCAAGTTATGAACTATTGTGACATATACCAGTTTTGTTTTGTTTTGTTTTTTTCCCAAGACAGAGTCTTGCTCTGCCACCCAGGCTGGAGTGCAGTGGCCCGATGTCGGCTCACTGTAACCTCTGCCTCCCAGGTTCAAGCAGTTCTCCTGCCTCGCCCTCTGGAGTAGCCGGGACTACCAGTGCAGGCCACCACGCCTGGCAAATTTTTATTTTTGTAGTCAGAGTTTTGCCATTTTGCCCAGGCTAGTCTCAAACTGTTGAGTTTAGGTGATCTACCCACTTCAGCCTCCCAAAGTGCTGGGATTATAGGCATAAGCCACCGTGCCAGGTGCCTGACATATACCACTTTTTAAAGGTGATTTTTTTAAAAAATGAAACTTCAGAGCCGCTCATCCCCCTACTTCCTTGCCTCTCTGAAAAATCTCTTGTGCTTTGAATCTCTGAGCTAAATGATCTTGTCTGCCCCTGGGCTATTGCTAAAGGACAGTGACCTCATTATCAATCACAGAAATCAAGGCACAAACTGCCAGCAGACTGAGCTTTGAGCTCAGAGCTTCTGCCTGGTTCCCTGTGCGTGAACACAAACTACATAACCTCATGTTGGGTCAAGAGAAGCCCACTTTCTTTACTCAGTCATTCTAGACAGCAGTAAGCTGCTTTCTATGCATGATTTCCAGTTACCTTGCAAGACGGTGCAAAACTGACTGCTTGGGCAGGCCTAGGCCAGGTGAGGAGAGAGAACCTTTAGTCCAAACCACATTGTTTACCTCTGATTCACATGCAACAGAGCCTGCTGATCATGCAGAAATGAGTAGTTCCATTACAAGAATTTTCTAGTTAAAAGCTAATCTATGTTTAATTTTAAATTTAATTTCAAATTTTAAAAAATTCAAGAGAAATATTTTAAAAGTTATTTTACACTTTCTTGCCTTGGTAAGCAAATTAAATCTAGTGCATTTATTTTGATGAATACTAATTATAATTAATTCTTCTCCACTCTAAGCGATGCTAATGTGGTGTACAATCTTATACCATGCAGGCCAAAACCCCTTGCCTTTCATGTCTTTTCTGCGTTCATCTCCTCCTTCACTGTTAAGAAGACATTTCATGTTCTGTTTCAGTCAGATGGAGCTGCTATGACAAGATACCATAGGCCAGGCAGATTAAACAACAGAAATTTTTTTCTAGAAATTCAGGGGGTCTAGGAAGTCCAAGGTCAATGTATGGACAAATCTTATGTCTTTTGAGCGATCGCTGGTGGAGACAGTGAGCTTTACTCTTTCTCTTCTTATAAAGACACTGATTTCATTATGGTGGCTCCAGTCTCACAAACTCATCCAAACCTAATCACCTTCTAAAGGACCCACCTCCTCTGCAGGGTAGGGCTTCATCATATGCATTTTGGGGGCTGCAAGCATACAGCCCATAACACCACCTACAGAGGGAAAGTGTTAATTTCTGACCTCCTTTATAATTCTTCACTTTTGATATTATCTTAATTGTGACAACAGAGAAACAACTCCTTAATATTGTTTTAATGGATAAGTAAATAAGTTCTGAATAAATCTTTAAGGTTTTGCGTGTTAATGTTTTCACCTATGGGTTTTTGTCTATACGTTCAATCTGGTTTGGTCAGAATTTTTTTTTTATTATTTACTGGCTTTTGTTCATTCTTCAGCTAAAGTAGAGGATAAATGATCTTCAAACACAAGGTGTCCACCTGTCTTTTAAACATGGACTTTACTGTTGGTTTGCTTTTATTTTTCATCTTTCCTTAAATAAAATAAATGTTCTTCAATGGGAAAATCTGCGTCCCGTATTTGGTCCTCTACTATTCTGAACACAGAGCAGATGCTTGATAAACACTGCGCAACTGGCAATTCACAGACCTCAAAGACTCTTAACTGTGTAGGCCAGACGTGAAGCCATGAAATAATAAATCAAAGGCACAAGTGTGCATAGCAATATGATGAAAAATTAAATTTCTACGAGAAACTATAATTCCTAAAACAGTGTTTTTTAAATCTGTTTATCTGGGGACTCCCTACCAAAGAACTCTAAAAACTGCATACTAAGTGGTGCATTTATAGATGTACTTCTAAAATGTGTCATGGTTAAGTTTACAAAGTTACAGAGAATATGCTTTTTTGATACATTGTAACTATTGACTTTTAAAAATAAAGCTGATCCTTCATTTTAAATATATCTAATAGAATCTAGATATCACGGTGATTAATCCTTCCATCATCCACTTTAAAAATCTACAAACAAGTTCCTCTTAATAGACAGAAATTTCATTTTTTCTTCTTGAACTCTTATTTGTATTCCACTCACTTGGCATAATTTTATTTCTCTAGGTTGACTTATTACAGTTATTGATAGTATACAATACATAGTCTTCATAAAATTTTACTGAAATGCATATTTAATGAGATAAAGTTTTTAAATTTGTTTTACATATTGCTAAAATGGGATAGAATTAGCTTCCAGGGACAGGGCACAGTGGCTCATGCCTGTAATCCCAGCACTTTAGCAGGCAGATCACTTGAGACCAGGAGTTTGAGACCAGCCTGGCCAACTTGGTGAAACCCTGTTTCTACTAAAAACACAAAAATTAGCCAGGTGTGGTGGCGTACACCTGTAATCCCAGCTGCTTGGGAGGCTGAGACAGGAGAATTGCTTGAGCCCAGGAGGCAGAGGTAGCAGTGAGCCAGGATCATGACACTGCATTCCAGCCTGGGTGACAAAGTAAGACTCCATTAAAAAAAAAAAAAGAATTAGCTACCAGTACTATTTTTTACTTTGATAGATCTACTGAGTAAATGTTCTTTATATATGTAAGTAAACAGGAATGAAATGAGTACTGTTATAGCAGTGTCAGTCTTTTTTTTTTTTTTTTTTTTGAGATGGAGTCTTGCTCTGTTGCCAGGTTGGAGTGCAGTGGCACCATCTCGGCTTCAAACCATATGCCAAAATTCACAAAATAATCCATTTTCAAAAAATGTTTTAATGATCTACCAGCTCTCAACTCAATGAGATCCTTCTTCATTGTTGAGATCAGGGAACTAGACTCGAACTACGTGCAAAAGGATGTGTTACCCAGACATTTGCTTGTCAACACCAATAGTTTACAGTTGTCCTTGCTTGGTGCCCCTGAGGGTTTGCCATACTGGATCCGTGCAGCATGGTAAGATTCTACATGGATGATGGGTGGACGATCTCCTGTCTTTTGAACGATCGCTGATGGAGACAGTGAGCTTTACTCTTTCTCTTCTTATAAAGACACTGATTTCATTATGGTGGCTCCAGCCTCACAAACTCATCCAATGTGGATGCAATGTGGGAGAAGGGTGATTTTGAAAGGGGTGTTAGGAGAGGGGCAACAGAAAACACATTCACAGGCAGGTCACTTTGTGAATGGTGCAAGGTTAATTTTTTTTTTTTTTTTTTGAGAGAGAGAGATAGGGTCTTGCTTTGTCACCCAGGTTGGAGTGCGGTGGTGCAATCATACCTTACTGTAACCTTGAATTCCCAGGCTCAAGAGATCCTCCTGCTTCAGGCTTCCCAGGAGCTGGGACTACAGGTGCATGCTACCACCTCTGGCTATTTTTGTTTGTTTGTTTGTAGACATGGGATCTTGCTATGTTGCCATGATAGGCTAGTCTCAAACTCCTAGCCTCAAGCGATCCTCCTGCCTCAGCTTCCTAAAGTGCTGGGATTATAGGCAGGTACCACTGCTCCTGGCTAGTTGATGTGTTTGTTGTTGTTGTTGTTTTTAATCAATTCCTACTCCCTTTGAAAGTTCAGGTGTAGTCCCTTGAGGAAGATCAATGAAGTAGAAACCTTGGAGAAAGCTTCAGGAAGGAATCTTGAGTTGAGCCTAGTGACAGATGAGATTTAGATAAGCAGAGAAGAGTTGGGAAGATTATCCACCTGAGAGGCACAGAAGGAGCCAAGGCCTTGACTGTAGTGTCCTAACGGAAGGTGCCTGAAGAGACTGGCCTGGAAAAACCCACCACTAAACCCTTTGGCTGTCTAACTCTCATCACAGAGTCTACAGAGATAAACAATATGAACATGACTCTAGATCAGAGATTTAAAAAAAAAAAAAAACTCAAATGCTTATAGGAGCCAGGCAGGTGACAAAAAGTGGAGCAGCTACCGGGAGTATGTCATAGTGCAAAGTATGCACCGAGGGAAGTTGTTCCAGCCAAGTGGTCAGCCTCTACTCAGCAATAGTGGAAAGATGGATGCAGCATCGCAGTGTTTCTATGTTTTCAAGAGAAGTGGAAATCTGGACTGGAATGTAAATCTTCCACAATGGCAAGACGCAACATATTTCTGCCCTGTATCTGTCCTGTGAACATCACTTTGGTACCTCTGCTCTGAACTCTAAATTTTAGCCAAAGATCAAGCCAGAATATCAGAAAGCATCAAAGCTGAATTATTTTGCCCAGTATTAAGGGGAGATGCCAAGAACAAAATAGATGATCAATCCATATTTGACAGCTGAATGGAAGTCTACCTTTAGAAGGCCCTCCTTGACTTCCTTCTACTTGAGAGGTGGCTTGAGATTCATGCTGCTGAAGGGTAGAGTCTACAGTTGCTGCACTAAGTGTCTTTTGCCTGCAGCTGTTCCGTTTTCCTCTCCTTTCGACCAGCAGGAAGAACAGCTGCAATTACACCCACCTTCAGCTCTTCTGTAGGAGCTTGTTCTCTGCAGTTCCTATACTAACATTTCCACAGAGCTACATGTTTTCTTCTTACTGTTATTTGCCCCTGCCTTGGATTTCCTCATGTATTTATTTTATCCCGATGCGCTCTGTGTATTTTGCAAGGCTGCTTGAATCCTTTTTGGAATGACATAGGGTATAAATAAATAAAAGCACTATCTCTGGAGCCCATCTCTTTTCCTACCAGAATTTTCAGGCCCTGGGCCTATGGGGATGCCACTTAATAAATTACTGATTGCATGTATCCTGAAGGTGATGGAGCTTCCAAAGGTGCAGAACAAACCACGAGAGAGTTGTTTAAGCGCTAGGAAAATCTGTCCCGATACATTATTCCAGATCTATATTTATGTTCATGGCTTGCAAAGCACCCCGGGGTCTTTTGGGATAAAAGAAACCGCATGAATCTAAGAAAATATTATTATATAGATTTATTTGGGGTTGCTAAAGAGCATGAGGCCCTCTAGAGAACCACAGGAGGAGAATGAATTATTTTCTGCAATTTCCAACACTTGTCTTCTTAAGAGTCTCTCACTGAACCCCTGGTGCCTACCCTAATAGTTCCAGCTAATCTTGTTGCTATAGTTACAACAATTAATGATATGCTTAACTAGCCTTACTAGTACACTGCAGCAATTCAATTAAAATCTGATTTTATTCTTCTACTTTCAGGGTTTTTTTTTTCAGCCTCCAGCTCTGAAAATTGCCCATAATATGGATTCAAAGGGTCCCCGAAGCTGTTCAGTCCATTTCCCGGTGGCATCTTTGGCTAGAACTTGATGGAACAGGGCACTGTTGCCCTGACATAGACCTTGCTATAAGAGCCAAGACATTGGGGAGCTTGAACTCAACAGTGGAGCAAATCGTAAAACGATATCCGATGGGTGTAAGGCTGGTATGAAGAGATTTTTTTCCCCATCCTTAATTTTAATAATGTATTTAAATTGGAATGGAGAGACACAGGATTCCTAAATTAGTGACTGTGCCCAACCACTGGTTTGACATCTAAAGACACTTCCAGTGGCCCCAGAAGCTGTGCCATATAGTGGGGAGCACCTCTCCTGGGCAGCCCTGGAGACCAAAGGGGGACTTAAGAGGCAGTAGGATCAATGTAAGTTCCAAAGTGCATGGAGATTGTTGGTCTCCAGGTATCTGATGGAAACACATTGATTGGAAATGCTGGATTATTGCCTCTTCTGCTGGCTACCAGTGTCACAGTAAAAGCCCAACACGTTCATTTACTAGGAGAGAAACAGACCTTGAGAGAGGTCTTGTTCAACTGTGCATGCTTTCAAGGACAGAGCTGGTGGTAAAACCCATTCAGGTAAACCTCTAGAGGTTGCAGTTTTTTTCTTTCTTTCTTCTTTTTAATTACAAAAGTCATTCTGTCAATGTGACTGACCCTATGGTTTTCTGATACGGCTCCATATTTTTAATTGTTCTCCTTCCTTTTTTAGCCCCCTAATAATGACAGATAAAACTGATGAATTTCTACGCACCAGGTACTGTCCTAAGGGATTTCCCACATTATCTGATTTTGCAGATATGGAAACTGAGGACTGAGAACCCAAGGACACAGAGCTAGTAGCAGGATAACTGCCACACTCTGACCTGCCTGGCTCCCATCTGAGTTCTGAGTGTTTGTTCTCTCAGCTCCTCCCAATGCCTTTTCTACACTGACCCTCTTTCCTGAATTCCCTCATTACTGTGGTGCTTCAGTCTCCAACTCTGGAGGGGTCCCCCATCTCCAGCCCTGACCCTCCTTCACCAGCCTGCAATACAACCCTTGTCTTCCTATTGTCTCTTCAAACTCACTGTGTTCCCAACAGACCTGGAATTCCCCTCCCTAACTCCCCAACATCCATCCTCTTTACTGCTCTATGTCTGGGATGTGACCCACTGTCCTTACTGCTCTATGTCTGGGATGTGACCCACTGTCTTTACTGCTCTATGTCTGGGATGTGACCCACTGTCCTTACTGCTCTATGTCTGGGATGTGACCCACTGTCTTTACTGCTCTATGTCTGGGATGTGACCCACTGTCCTTCCTGTCATAGGACCCTGAAGCCTCAGAGTTCTCTTCCATCTTCAACTCCTCATCTGCTCCTAGGGCCAAAGGAGCACACTGGCACATGGAAGGGGACTGGTTCTAATCCCTTTGCCATGAGCCAGAGTGTGGGTTTGGCAAGAAATGACAACACACACGCCAGCTTTCTACACTGCTGTGGTTTTCCCGTGTCATGCATTCCCTTCCATCCCTCCTGGGGGTTCAGGGGTTTTGTGCCATCCTGCAGGGCAGGTATGCGAAGGGAACACCCATACCCATCTGTCCTTCCTGGATACTGGCCTTCTTCTCTAGACCGTTATTGCATCCCACTCCCTCGATCAAACATGACCTTTCTGTGACCACACAGGGACAAGACAACCACCAAAGTCTTTTGGAGCTATATCTTGTTCCAAGTACAAAGTCAGTACGTGGTAGGCATTTCAATTCTAAATTCAAATTTGCTTCTTTAGAAAGTTTTTTTTCAGGAGACATACCCCAGTTGAAAGGAATGATTCCAAAATATGGGCCGGGCATGGTGGCTCATACCCATAATCCCAGTACTTTGGGAGGCTGAGGCTGGCAGATCACCTGAGGTCAGGCGTTTGAGACCAGCCTGACCAGCATGGCAAAACCCCAACTCTACTAAAAATACAAAAATCAGCCAGGTGTGGTGCCAGGCACCTGTAATCCCAGCTACTAGGTAAACTGATGCAGGAGAACCTCTTGAACCTGGGAGGCAGAGGTTGCAGTGAGCCAAGATCTTGCCACTGCATTCCAGCCTGGGCAACAGAGCAAGACTGCATCTCCAAAAAATAAAATAAAATAAAGTAAAACAAAATAAAATAAAAATGTGTGTGTGTCCGTGTGTGTGTGTGTGTGTGTGTGTGTGTGTGTGTGTGTGTGTAGATAGATGAGAGTGGGGAGAATATTTACAGACACAGACACAGAAGGGGGACTGTGCTTCATGCAGTATTTGGATTTTCCCAGTGCCAGGCAGGCACAATGTAATTTAAAAGATATTGATTGTTTTATATTGGCAAGGCACCGTGTTAGGTGCAAATATTATGTATCCCCCAAATAAATGTTCATCAATGGGTAAATGAATGGGTGAATGAGAGAATGGATGTATCTATTTATTTATTTATTCATTCATGTATTTATTCATCGTGGAGACCACATTGGGCTCTGAGAACAAAGTGTTATTTTCATTGTTCATGCATTCCACGAATGTTTCACAAATGTCTTGTATGTGCCAGTCACCGTGCCGGACCCTGAGAATATGAAGATGAACAGTATTATGTGTACTAAATCACTAGGGAAGGAGGTAAAGTCCAGTGATGTGGGCTGGGAGGTGGAGGCCAATGACAGTGACCCCACCGGGGCCTGAGTCGTCCCAGAGCTCTGCTGGCTCTGCCTGATGCAGGAAAGGCCCGAGGATACTGCAGCTGAGAGACGCTTCCCTCAGGGTTCCTCTTGGAGCCTGCTGACCCCGTGTGGCCTGCCACTTGACTCATCTATGAAACTATGACCCCGATTTTATGAACACCACAGCCCCCACAGTTCAGTAACAAAGAGACACATCCATGAGCCGACAGAGAATCCTCATCTACCCCACTTAATCCACGGAGGTGGTAAAAACAGCCCATCACCATCCAGGCTTCCCTGGCAGCCGGCCGGCTGTCCCTGGGAAAGGCAGTGAGAGGATCTGCCTGGGTAAACTCAGTGATGCCGGTCACACCACCGCGCTGTCCTCACCTACTGCAGATGCTGCAAAGGGGCTCGAGTCCCACATTTAGCTTTCATTAATCGATCCTCATTCGGGAACAGACTTAATCTGACCAACTCCACTAAAGGAAAATAAAATATGAAGAATATCCCGGGAACAGCTATTCCTTACACAATCACCATGGAAACACTGCCGTCACAGGGGCTGTCTAGGCCAAAGCCGTGCAGAAAAGAGGATGGTTGTGGTGTGCTTGGTGCCCTCACCCTTCAGGGCACAGCAGCCTGGGGACATGAATAGGGTCACAGGCAAATTATAGTATTCGCCTGCCTCTGCCCCAGCTGCTACTAGAAAACCTGGTGCGCCTTCACATACCTACCCAGCCAGCTTTCAGGATGCTCAGGAGTGTCTCAGCCGAGATGAACTCACCCCTGGACCTTTTCACAGTCATTGCTGGGATGGGACCTGTGCTAGCACCTCCCAAAGACACCAAGCAAACCAGAGGCAGAGATGTCCTTCTGGCAGCAGGCTCGGCTGTTGTCTTGTGGCCCAGAATGTCCCTTGGGCTAACACTGAATCCAACTTAGAAACTGGCCCTGTAGCCCATCTGTTCTCCTCTCTCCGTGCAGGAGCCACAGTCCAAGCTCCTACTTGATGCCAGGGTCTTAGAAACAGGGTAAGCCCCCTCCTTCAGCCTTTTCTGTCATCATACATCCACAATCCCCCTACTCTCACCCCCAGATGCTGAGGGATGCTCCCCAGCTAACCCCCTTCTCCCTGCCCATCTACCCTGAATCTTGAATCAAGGTTCCTTGAGTCCATCTGCCTGTGCCTCTCTGCTCTTGCTTCTCTATTGCGAACTCCTTCTCAAGGGGACCCCCAGTTTTTCACATAAATAAGCCTCTCAGAGGTCTTCCCCTCCTTTTCCACACCTGCTGAATCCCTGGGTGAACACATTTGGGTAACTTTTGGCTTAAAGACAATTAATTCAAGCGAAGCCATGCAACTGGGTGATTTGTAGGAACTTCCATTTGTTCACTCAATTTTTTACTGCCTGAGCTTCACAGAAGGCTTGGCTCCTTCACAAAGACATGGGTGGGAGGCTGGTGCTGGATTGAATGAAAGGTACTGCTATGGACTAAATTGTGTCCTCTCACAAAATTTATAAGTTAAAGTCTAATCCCATTATCACTGTATTTGAGGTAAAGAAGTAATTAAGATTGAAGGAGGTCATAAGGGTGGAGCCCAAATTTGACAAGATTCATGTTTCTATAAGAGGAGGGAAACATCAGAGAGCACACTTTCCCTCTCCACCATGTGAGGACATAGCAAAAAGACTGCTGTCTACAAGCCAGGTAGAGAGCCCTCACCAGAAACCAAGTCAGCTGGAACCTTGATCTTGGACTTCCCAGCCTCCAGAACCATGAAAACATAAATGCCTGTCATTTAAGACCACCAAACAAAGGTATTTTTTTATGGTGGCCCAAGCAGACTGAGGCATGTACAAACGGCTGCTCAGACAGTAGGCAACGTTTATGGACCATCTGGAAGACAACATGCTGTCTGGGTACAGCCACTTGCACTGTTTATTTAATCCTCACAGCATCTTCCAAGACCTGCGTTGATATCCTCAGTCTACCCAGGGAACCCAGTACCCATGAGGTTTAGCTATTGGCCCAAGTGGCAGGGCTGGTATCCAGACTTAGGTCTAGAGAATTCCAAATGCTGGAGTGAGGGGAAGGGAGAGAAAATGTTGGAAGGTTCACAGTCTCACAGAAAGGGTCTGGCATGGCTCACTATCCATTTGCTCATTGCCCTTGTTCCCTGGGACAGTCCTGGAGACTGAGTGTTCTCATTGCCAGACCCAGAAGGTAGTGGAGCATTGGGCTTGGCATTATTTCCAGCTTGTATATCTCAGGGACAGTAGAGCTCTCCATCTTCCTTATCAGATGATGAGCCAGAACAAGGAGCCTCACTCACATCTATCCACCCCTTGGCTCTAGTCCTTCCTTTCTGCATATCCCTGGAAGCATTTTCTTGAATTCCTGGGCCATCTGGCCTTTTCATTCATATCAAACCCTATCCCTGCTTCTCCTAATGTATTGCTGGAGCATACATAATTTATGACAACAGTTGTGTCTTTAATTTGTGGCAGGCATGAAAATGCACCACCCAGATCACCTTTAAGAAAAGACTCGCCACCAGCAAGGACAGTAGTAAGCTGAGAGCTTCTAGCTCCTTCAAGATCTGCCTCAGCTTTTGAGCCATGGTCATGCTATTCTTGGGCTGCCTTCAAAAAGTAGCAGGAATGGAGGAGCAAGAGGCTAAGGACAGTTACCCCAATAAAAAGTCACCATCTCTTGCTCAATTTCTGGAAGTGTGATAGTTTTCAAATCTGAAACTTACTCTAAAGGCTGGCAGTGTCTTCATGGAGAAAGACTGCAACACTATGGCAAGTATCTACTGTAATTATTTCCCCAGTCCTTCCCCCTTTTACTAGAGTAGCAGAACACAGAGAAAGGGGACTATTCATATATTCTGGGGATCACTGGACACAGGCCTAGGTTGACACTGATTCACAGAGACCTGAACTATGCTGGCTTCTGGTTAGAGTGGAGGCTTATGTGGAGGTAAAGTAACAATGGAATTCTGGCCGAATTTCAGCTTACACTATGTCCACTGGGTCCACAGACTCACCTGATAGTCACTTCTTCAGTTTCCAAATTTATAATTGAATTCGACATATTTGGCAGTTAGCTAAATCCCTATCTTGGGTCCTAGGCCTTTGTAACAATAGCTGTCAGAGAGAAGACCAAGTGGCATTGGCCAGATAGTAAATCGAACATGGATGGTATCAAACCCAGGGGAGGGAGGATAGCAGGTAGTAGTACCACCTTAAAGGCATTAATTGGGTTAGTGGTTTTTACATATCTCCATGTAATTCACCAGTCTGTCCCTGAAGAAGCAATACATTCTGGAAAATGATTGTGGATAATCTTGAGCTTAACCAAGTAGTAGACTCACTTACCTGAGATATGGACACTGATGCGGCAAATTAATTTTTTTCCATCTCACTCAAGGAAGAGGATCACAGTTTACACCTACATGGAATAGACAAAACATATGTTTACAGTTTATTCCTCGGGGCTACTTTAACTTTCTCTTCCTCGATTTTATTTATTTATTACTATTAAGTTCTAGGGTACATGTGCACAACGTGCAGGTTTAATACATAGGTATACATGTGCCATGTTGGTTTGCTGCACCCATCAACTCATCATTTACATTAGGTATTTCTCCAAATGCTATCCCTTCCCCAGCTCCCCAGCCCGACAGGCCCCAGTGTGTGACGTTCCCTGCCCTTTATCCAAGTGATCTCATTGTTCAGTTCCCACCTATGAGTGAGAACACGTATTTGGTTTTCTGTCCTCGTGATAGTTTGCTGAGAATGATGGTTTCCAGCTTCATCCACGCCCCTGCAAAGGATATGAACTCATCCTTTTTTATGGCTGCATAGTATTCCATGGTGTATATGTGCCACATTTTCTTAATCCAGCCTATCATTGATGGACATTTGGGTTAGTTCCAAGTCTTTGCTATTGTGAATAGTGCCACAATAAACATACATGTGCATGTGTCTTTATAGCAGCATGATTTATAATCCATTGGGTATATACCCAGTAATGGGACTGCTGGGTCAAATGGTAATTCTAGTTCTAGATCCTTCAGGAATCACCACACTGCAGTGATGGGCAATAAACAGTATGGAGATTCAGGCACCTGCAACTTCAGAGACCTGCTGCATCTTGCATACTCTATCACATCAAATGCAAAGATACTTTGCTAAATATCATAAAGGGAAATAAAAGGATGAGTTGGAGAGAATATCAACGAAATTTTGATTAAAACACCATCAGATTCATTGAATCTATAGATCAAATTGGAGACAATGAGCATCTTTACAATTTTGAGTATTCTAATCCACAAATATGTATGTTAGCTTTCTAGGGCTGCCATAAAGTACCACAGACTGCATGGCTTAAAAGAAACAAATTTATTTTATCACAGTTCTGTAAGCGAGAAGTCTGAGAGCAAGGTTTCAGTAAGGTTGGTGTCTTCTGAGGCTTTTCTCCTTGGCCTGTAGTTGGCCGCTTTCTCCCCATGTCCTCACATGGCTTCCTTTGTACCTGTTGGTGTCCAAATTTCCTCTTAAGGATAGCAGTCATATTGGATTAGGATCTATCCTAATGGCCCCATTTTAACTTAATTCACTCTTTGAAGATCACCATCTCCAAATGTAGTCACATTTTTACTATGGGGGTTCTGTCCTGGGGGTTACAACTTCAACTTAGGCATTTTGGGAGAAGCCACAATTCAGACCAGAATAAAATATTCCTCTATTTATTCATGCCTTCTTTCTCTCAATTACATTTTACAGTGTTTAGTGTGTTGAAGTGATGCCCTTTTTTCCCTAGGTATTTGATTTATTCCTAGGTATTTGATGTTTTGACGCTCTTATAATTGGTATCATTTTTAATGCCATTCTCTATTTGCTGCTGGTATATTAAAGTATTGAATTTCATACATTGACCTTTTATTCAGTGACCTCATTAAATTCATTAACTGCAATAGTGTATTTGTGAATTCCTTTAGATTTCTCTACTTCACAACCATATGGTCTGAAAATAATGTTATTTTATTTCTTTCCTTTTAGTCCTTGTACTTTTTATTCATTATTCTTACCTTATTGCACTGACTTGGACAACTAGTACAATAATGAATGGTGTGATTGTTAATATTGAGTGTTGATTAGATTGGATTGATGCAAAGTATTGTTTATGGGTGTGTCTGTTGCCAAAGGAGATTAACATTTGAGTCAGTGGACTTGGAGAGGCAGACTCACTCTTAATCTGGGTGGGCACCATCTAATTAGCTGCCAGCACCGCTAAAATAAAGCAGCAGATAAAATAAGATAAAAGCAGAAGATAAAGATAAAATAGGCAGAAGAAGATGGAAAGAGCTGACTTGCTGAGTCTTCTGGCCTCCATCTTTCTCCTGTGCTGGATGCTTCCTGCCCTCGACCACCAGACTCCAAGTTCTTCAGCTTTTGGACCCTTGGACTTAGACCAATGTTCTGCCAGGGGCTCTGAGGCTTCATCCACAGACTGAAGGCTGCGCTGTTGGCTTCCCTACTTTTGAGGTTTTGGGACACTTTGAGCACTTGGGACCCTACGTTGAGGTCTTGGCTTCCTTGCCCCTCAGCTTGCAGATGGCCTATTGTGGGACTTTACCTTAAGATCCTGTGAGTCAATACTCCTTAACAAACTCCCCTTCATATATATATCTATCCTATTAGTGCTGTCCCTGTAGAGAACCCTAATACAAACGGAAATGATAATAAACACTTTGTCCTATTTCCGTTGTTTAGAAAATGCCTCCTATGTAGCACTATAAATTATAAAATGTTTGATTTATTTGAGCTGCTTCTTATCAGCTTAAGGAAGTTCTTTTTGCTGTTTCTTGTTTGCTGAGCATTCTTATCAGCAATTAGTAATAGATTTTATTAAATTATGATTCTTCACCTGTTCCTTGTAGGAACTTTAATTACATATTAAATTTATTTAATAGATAGTAGAAAGAAATAGTAGTATTTAAATAGTAGAAAAACAGACTTTCTTTCTCCTATTTTTAATTCTGTTTGAGAGGTTTTTCTTTTTAATTAGAGTATTTGGTTCATTTACATTTAACATAATTGCTGACATAGTTTGGTTTTTATCTGTTATCTACTACTGTTATCTATTTTATCTGCTCTGCATGCCTTTTATGCCTTTCTTGAAACATTTTGAACCAATAAGACATTTAAAAATTTCTCCCCAGTTCCTTTTCTCTTGTTAACTGTAATTTCTTTTATCCTCCTTTAAGGGTTGCACAGTGATTACACCAAACATCGTTGATTTATTAGATTCTAATAAAACTTGGTACTTGGATCACTTCCCAGGTAGTAAAACAACTTCACAAATTTTAATTTCATTACCTTGCTTCCATCTTTTTGTGTTGTTTTGTATATTTGTTCTTCATGTATTTTAAATCATTATTGTTCTGTATAGTCAGTATTTATTTAGATCTATCCATATATTTACATTTTTCATTTCTTTTTTTCTTGTATTTCCATGTTTACATCTGAAATAGGTCTTTCTCTATCTCAGGAAATACTTCAGTATTTCCTTTAGTGTCTGCCTGAAGGTAACAATTGTTTAAATTTTGGTCTGTCTGATAATGCCCTTATTTTTCCTCCATTCTTAAGGAATGGTTTTCCTGGATAGAATTCTAGCTTGGCAGTTATACTCAGAAAATCTATTCAGCAATATTTGTCTGGTACCTAATATTTATCTAAAAGGAAATACATAACTCAGTTAACTTTGCTTATCTATAGGTATAAGTGTTACAGGTGGTTATTTTTTGTTATGTAATTGGAATAAATGATTCCCATTTTTAACTACAGTAGCTTCACTATTCTTCTTTTCCATTTAAAATTATAAACCAAATTAATGGTAAAATTATAGCTCATTTAAGGAACATTTAATTTAAGAGGTTTAAGTTGTCCTGTCTTCTACACAGAATTTTCCATGAGAACAAAACATAGAAATATTATGAAGAGACCTGTTTAAACTGTCATAAATGGTCCCCACCCTCAAATCACTGACTAAAACTTACCTTACACAAGATGCCTGCTATCGACTAAATTATTGTGTTCCCTCAAAATTCTTATGTTGAAATCATAATCCCCAATGTGATGGTATTAGGAGGTGAAGTCTTTGGGAGGTGATTAGGTCCTGAGGTCTCCCTCATGATGGGAGCTGCCTCAGAGAGCTGCCTCATCCCATTCACCGTGTCAGGATGCAATGAAAGATGGCGTTTACGAACCAGGAAGTGGGCCCTCACCAGACTCTGAATCCGCCAGTGCTTTGATCTCGGATTTTCCAGCCTCCAGAACCATGAGAAATAAATCTTTATTGTTGATAAACCACTCAGTTTTTGGCATTTTGTTATAGCAGCCCAAATGGACACAGACTGTGCCATAAACACATGATCCTTAAGCATAATTCTGTCGAAAATTGCATCCCACACACATTTCATCCAGAGTGAAAAGAAGAGTATCCACCATCCTTCATACACAGTACTAGTCACTTCCTAAACCTCATTACGGCTGGTAATAATGCTTCCCCAACAGGAATTAATTTTATGCTAATCATATATGTCAGTGACTCTCACAGCTGCTCCACAGAAGCAACGGTTTTGCAAATTAGTTGCTTTCTTATTTGGGAAAGGTGTGGGATGGGCCAGAAGGAAAGGCATCACTGGAACTCACATAATGTTTTTAGACTTGTTAATTAGCCTCGCAGTCTCGTTTTATCATTTCATCCGAAGATGGTTTGGGGCTTAAAACAGTCCTGAGGTCATCAATTCTGACTCAGCTTATTAACACTGGGTTTGTCAGATAATTGGAAAGGTCAAAAAACAGTGTCTAGTCTTTCTCCTAAAGCTAAAATTACTGTCAGAAAAATTTCTAAGAGATATTCCAGCCCTTGCAGGAAGGAGCTTAGGAATTAAGTAGATCTTAACTTAGATCTTTGGTCCCTGCTGCCTTGCTGTGTGGCCCTAAGAACACAGCTTATCTTTGTGAATCTAAGTCGTCTTCTCTGTGAAAATGAAAATTAAAATGCCTCTCACATAGGGAGGAACAAGAAGCATAATGTCCAGCACACAATGGGGTAAAGATAAATGTTCATCTACTCAAATCTTCTTTCTACACTTACTAGAAATCCTTGTTTATTCGGGAGGATCAAGATTCAACTTCAAAACTAATTGAACATTTTTCACTTTGAAGGTAAAACTGATTAGGTTACTTTCAGCTTAAAAGTGGAATGTGATAGAGACATGGAGGTCATGTATGGGTGGAAATGGTGGAGGGAGTTAGGCAGACACCATGAGAATCCAGGCAAAGCACGAAAACCTGAAAAGGAGCCCACAAAAGAGATAATAAAGGTTAGTTTTATTCATTCGTGTAATTAACATTTATTGAGCACCTACTACATTATAGGCACAGAGTTTAATGTCGAGGCTACAGTGGGGAACAAGATAATCTCCCTGTTTTGTCAGAGAGCTTATACTCTACTGGGGCAAACAGGTATGGAGACAGAATGGTAAGGGCTGTGATGCTGAATCCCCTGCTCCCCACTCTAGGATAGTCAGCCTGCCAACTTTCCACCAGCAATGCTTGTACTGGCAGACTGTAGAGCCCTTGGGAACAGGGCCACAGCTGGCAGGGCTGGGAGGTAGCAGCATGGCATTATACAGGGCGGACATTAGATATTTTATTCTGTTATGACCCAGTCTTTGGAGAGAGGTTGCTGCCTTTTCCCAAGACACAAGTAGTGACCACAGAAGTTCACAATTGTAACATATACCAATCGCTGGAGAGTCACTGAGAGCAGCAGCTTCTGCCAGGAAAGCAGAAGCTAGGGAAGGATTCTCTAGGGAAGCCTAGCTTGCCCGTATGTCAGACCCAGCCTTTCCCTGAGTGCATCTTCTCTGGCCTTCCCTATGATTCCTCTCCAGCTCTCACATGGCCATGCCAGGATGGTCACTTGCCTGCATGCCTTCTGGGAGGTTAGGATCAACTGAGGGCAGTGGAGACTTCAAAGAAGCACAGTGCACTTCTTCCCAGGATGGTGGATCACACAGAGCAGGGAGGAGAGATCAGACTATACTCTAAATATATTGAAGACCTTGCTGGTTTAAGAACAGAAAGGTAAAGAATCCCCTCATGCTTCCCTTCATTCACTGCACAAATATTTGATGAATGCTCATTATGTGTCTGGCATGGTGCTAGTTGCTGGAGGTACATTGGTGAGTTAAAATGTACTCACCAATGGTGAGAGTGGTGAGTCCTAGTCCCCACTCTCATTGAGTTTCAGATCAGTGAGGTAGAACTTAAGCAAATCAAGTCAGAAATTAAATGTGACAACCATGACTGGTGTTATGTAAGAATCACACAGGATGCCATGAGAGGGGGATTTTACCTGGTCAGGAAGGGCATCCGTAAGGAAGTTGCTATGGTTTGGTTCTGTCACCACTCAAATCTCATCTTGAATTGTAGCTCTTATAATCCCCACTTGTCATGGGAGGGGCCCAGTAGGAGGTAATTGAATCATGGGGGCGGGTTCTTCTCATGTTGTTCTCGTGATAGCGAATAAGTCTCATGAGATCTGATGGTTTTTTAAAGGGCAATTCCCCTGTACACGCTGTCTTGCCTCCCTTTAACCGTTCACCACGATTGTGAGGCCTCCCCAGCCACGTGAACTGTGAGTCAATTAAACTTCTTTTACTTTATAAATTACCCAGTCTCTGGTATGTCTTTATTAGCAGTGTGAAAATAGACTAATATAGAAGTGATCCATAAAATAAGGAGTTGAGCAAATGAAGAGAGGAGAAGGCAAGAGAAACAGTATACGCAAAGGCCCTTGGCAGGAGAAAGCACAGTGTACAAAAGGGAAATAATTCAGTGCCACTGCAGTAGAAAGTCAAGGACGAGGGAGAAGTGGTGCCAGGTAAGGCTGCAAAGATGAGGAAATTTACGGTGGGAACTTGGGGATCTTGACGTCAAACTAAACTCAACTTCTGAACTCCCTGGTTTTATAAACATTGATTATTGTATCTCATATTCCTTTAAAGCTTTTTAAGCTTTTTGAGATAATTGAAGATTCACATTTGTAAGAAACGATACAGAGAGAGCCCCTGTGCTATTTACCCAATTTCCCCCAATGGTGGTGTCTTGTAAAACTATAGTACAGTGTCACAACCAGGGTACTGACTTTGACACGGTCAAGACACAGAATATTTTCTTCCCCACAGGGATCTCTCATGTTGCCCTTTTATTATCACAGCCACTTCTTTCCTGCCCCTAACTCCTCCTTAACCCATTATTCTCCATTTCTATGATTTTATTATTTGAGAATGTATATAAATGGAATCAAATGGTATGTAACCTTCCAGCTTTTTTCACTCAGCCTGATTTTTCAGAGATTCATGTGGGCTATTGTTGTATCAACCATTTGTTCCATTTTTATTGGTGAATAGTGTCCCCATGATATGGATTTGCCACAATTTGTTTAACCATTCATCCATCGAAGGACCTCTGGGCTGCTTCCCAGTTTGGGGCTACTGCAAATAAAACTTCTATAAACACTCATGTGCAGGTTTCTGTGAGAATGAATGTTAAGTCTTCATTTTTCTAGGATAAATCTCCAGCAGTGCAATTGCTGGCTCATACGGTGGTTGCATATTTAGTTTTATATGAACCCACCAAACTGTTTTCCAGAGTCTCTGCACAATTTTTCAATTCCATCAATAATATGAGTGATCCAGTTTCTTCACATCTTCTCCAATATTTGGTGTTATCAATATTATTTTAGCCATTCTGATAGGAATGTAGTGATAGCTCCTTGTAGTTTTGAATTCTATTTCCCTAATGGTTAATGACTGAACATCGTTTCATGTGATTGGTCGCCATCTGTATGTCTTATTTGGGGAGATATCTCTCTTTATGTTTTTCATTCACGTTCTAATTAAATTGCTTCCATTTTCACTTGAGTTTTGAGGGTTCTTTACATAGTCTAGATTCTAGTCCCTTATTGGATATGTGGCTTATACAAATATTGTCCCAATCTGTAGCTTATCTTCTTATCCTCTAAATAGGGTCTTTAACAGAGCAAAAGTTTAAATTAGTGATGAAGCCCAACTTATTAGTTTTTCCTTTCATGGATCACACTTAAGGTTTCAAGTTTCAAAACGTTTTGCCTAGCCCTAGATCCCAAAGATGTCATTCTTTTTTAAATGAAAGTTTTACTTTTAACTTTTGAGTCTGTGATACATTTTGAGTTAATTTTTGGAGAAGACATGAGACTTAGATTGAGGTTATGTTTGTTTATTTTCCATGAATGTACAATTGTTCTAGCACCATTTGTTGAATCATCTTTGCATCTTTGTAAAAATCATTTGGGCATATATGTGCAGGACTATTTGGGATTCCTTATTCACTTATGTTTATCTGTGTGTCTATTTATCTTTCCATCTTTGCCACATAGTCTTGATTAATGTAACTATATAATGTCTCAAAATCTAGTAGACTTATTCTTTCCACTTTATTATTTTTCCAAATTGTTTTAGCTATTGTAGTCCCTTTGCCTTTCTGCAAAAAATTTTCAAACAATCTTGTCTGCAACTACACAAAAATCTTGCTAAGATTTAGAACAATTTTTAAACTAATATATTTATGGGCTACCTGTAGTATTTTGCTACATGCATAGAATGTGTAATTATCAAATCAGGATATTTAGGATATTGATAACCCTAAGTATTTACATTTCTATTTGTTGGAAACATTTCAAGTTGTTCCTTCTGGCTATTTTGAAATTTACAATACATTGTTGTTAACTATAATCACCTCACTCTGCTATTGAACATTAAAACTTACTCCTTCTATCTAACTGTATATTTGTATTCATTAATCTCTTCATTCCCCCAACCCCTCCCACAAGCATACTCTTTCCAGCCTCTGGTAACTATCATTCTATTCTACCTCAATGAGATCAAGTTTTTAATTTGCACTTATGAGCAAAAACTTGTGATATTTATCTTCCTGTGCCTGGCTTATTTCACTTAACAAACTAACCTCCAGTTTCATCCATGTTGCTGCAAATGACAAGATTTTATTCTTTTTATAGCAAACAGTATTCATTGTGTGTGTGTATATATACACGTGTATATATACACGTGTATATATATACATATATACACATATATATACACGTGTATATATACACATATATACATATATACACATATATACACACGTGTATATATACACATATATACATATATACACATATATACACACGTGTATATATACACATATATACATATATATACATATATACACACGTGTATATATACACATATATACACACGTGTATATATACACATATATACATATATACATATATATACACGTGTATATATACACATATATACATATATATACATATATACACGTGTATATATACACATATATATACATATATATATATATATATATATATATATATATATATATATATATATATATACACACACAGCATCTTCTTTTTCTATTCATTTGCTCATGGACACTTAGGTTGATTCCATACCTTTGCTACTGTGAATAGTGCTACAATAAACATGGGGCTCCAGGTACATGTTTGATGTATGGATTTTTGTTTGTTTTTTGATAAATACTCAATAGTGGGATTGCTGGATCATACAGTAGTTCTACTTTTTTATTTTTGCGAAATCTCCATGCTGTTTTCCATAATGACTATACAAATTTACATCATCCCCCAACAGTGTATAACCATTCCCTTTTCTCCACATCCTTGCCAACATCTGTGATTTTGTGTCTTTTTTATAATAACCATTCTAACAGGGTAAGGTGATATCTCATTGTGGTTTTGATTTCCATTTCTCTTGATGATTAGTGATGGTGAGCATTTTTTCATATACCTGTTGGCCATTTGTATGTCTTCTTTTGAGAAATGTCTACTCGTGTCCTTTGCCCACTTTTTAAATGGGATTATTTTTTTGCTGTTGAGTTCCTCATATATCTAGATATTAGTCCCTTGTTCATTGAATAGTTTGCAAATATTTCCCCCATTCGATAAATTGTCTCTTCACTCTGTTGATTGCTTCCTTTACTGTGCAGAAGCTTTTTAGTTTAATATGGTCCAATTTGTCTTATTGTGTTATTGTTGCCTGTACTCTTGAGGTCTTAGCCATAAAATCTTTGCTAAAACCAACGTCCTGGAGTGTTTCACTTATGTTTTCTTCTAGTAGTTTTATATGTTTGACTCTTACATTTAAGTTCTTAATCCATTTGCGGTCAATTTTTGTAAATGGTGAGAGATAGGAGAATAATTTCATTCCTCTACACATGTATGTCTAGTTTTCCTGGCACCATTTAGTGAAAGGGGTGTTCTTTTCCTACTGTATGTTCTTGGCACCTTCTTCAAAAATCAGTTGGCTGTAAATACATGAATTTATTTCTGAGTTCTCTGTTCTCTACCATTGGTCTATGTGTCTATTTGTATACTAATGCCATACTGTTTTGGTTACTATAACCTTGTAATATATTCTGAAGTCATGCAGTGTGATGCCTCCTGGTTTGTTCTTTTTGTTCAGTATTGTCTTGGTTATTTGGATTCTCTTTTTTTTGTTTGGTGGTTTTCTGTCATTGTAACATTTGAGTACTTTCTCTTCTTCATTTGTATGTTTGCTCCACCAGTGAGTTTTACACATCATGTGTTTTCACGAGGGTAGATATTGTCCTTTCACTTCCAGGTATAGGACTCCCTTAAGCATTTCTTCTAGGGTTGGCCTACTGGTAATGAATTCCCTCAGCTTTTGCTTGTCTGGGAAGGAATTTATTTCTCCTTCATTGATGAAGGATAACTTTTTTGGCTATAGTGTTCTTGTCAAACAGTTGTTGTCTTTCAGCACTCTGAATATGTCATACAATTCTCACCAGGCTGGTAAGGTTTCTGCTGAGAAATCTTCTGCTTGTCTGATGAATGTTCCCTCATATGTGAATAGATGCTGGTCTCTTCCTATTTTCAGGATTCTTTGTCTTTAACTTTTGACAATTTGACTATCATGTGCCATGGAGAAAACTTCTTAGGGTTGTATCTATTTGAGAGTTTGAGCTTCCTGTATCTGGATGTCTAAATCTCTTGCCAGACTTGGGAAGTTTTCAGCTGTTATTTCATTAAATAGACTTTCTAAGCCTTTGGCTTTCTCTTAATCTTCTGAAACACCCAAAGTTTGAATATTTGGTTGCTTGTGTCCCACCACACGGGTTATTTCTAAAGACCTGTCTTTAAGTTCTAAAATTCTTTCTTCTCCTTTAGCTCATCTATTGTTGAAATTCTCAAATGTATTTCTTATCTTATTCATTGAATTTTTCAGTTCCAGCATTTGTTTCTTTTGTTTTGTTCTGTTTTGTTTCTTTATTATGATAGCTATCTTTTGGGTCAATTTCTCCTTAATATCTTATTGTATACTAAGACACTAATATCTAATTGTATACTAAGATATATTGATATCTTTAGTATACTAAGTATTATAATCTGTATTTGGACATTATTTGATTTCTTTCATCTGTGTGTATAGTTTTGTCATAAAAGTCTTGTACATGTTTTGGTATATTTACACATAAATATTTCATCTTTTTGTGATTTTAAATGGTATTGTATTTTTAGCTTTAGTTTTCACATGTTCATTGCTAGCATATCAAATTTCAAGTGATTTTGTATGCATGTCTTGTATCTGGTGACCTTGCTGAAATCTTTTTACTTTTAGAAGATTTTTGTAGATTTTTTGAAATTTTTGATGTAGATAATCATGTCATCTACAAAGAAGGATGGTTTTTACTCCTTTCATAATTGGTATGCCTTGTGTTTTTTTTCTTGCTTAATTGCACTGGCTAGAATTGTAAATACTATATTGAGTAAGATTCATGAGAGCAGATAATCTTGTCTTATTCCCAGTCTTAGGGAGAAAGCATATATTCTTTCACTATTAAGTATAACGTTTGCTTTAGGCTTTGTAAAAACTTTTTATCGATTCAGGAAGTACTCTGGTTCCTATTTTTTCTGAGAGTTTTTGTCATATGAGTGTGAAATTTTGTCAAATAATTTTTCTTTATTCATTGATATAATCATGTGATTGTTATTCATTAGCATATTAATATGGTGGATTACACTGACTGATTTTCAAATATTAAACCAGTTGGAACATTATTGAATATACTGCTTAATATTGCTAACATTTTATTAATGATTTTTGGGTCTATATTCATAAGGAACATTTGTCTGTAGTTTTGGGGGGTCTTTTGGATTTTGTTTGTTGTAGTTTTGTATGTGGGAGTTCTTTGTTGATTGATTGTACTTTGTATGATTTTGATATCAGGGCAACATTAGCTTTATAATGTGTATTAACAAATGTCTCCTCTTGTATTTTCTGGAAGAGATTATATCAAATTGTTGTTAATTCTTCTGTAAACATTTGATAGAAATATTCAGTAAAGTTATCTGGGCCAGGAGATTTAGGTTGGGAGGTGCTTAAATTCATAATTCAATTTCCTTAGTAGTTACAGGATGATTCAAATTACTTAATATTGGATGAGTTGTGATAGTTTGTGTTTTTTAAAAGAATTGGTGATCCATTTCATCTAAGTTGTCAAATTTACATATACAGAGTTGTTTGTAATAATTCCTTATACCTTTGATATCTGCAGATTCTGCAGCAATATGTCCTAATTTCTGATATTGGTGATCAGAAAATTCTAATATTTTCTTTTTATCTTTATCAGTCTTTGAGATCTGACAATTTAATGATCAAAGCAGCTTTTTCTTTCCATTTTTCTGCTTTCAATTTTATTAATTTCTACTCCTATTATGTTTGCTATTATGCTTATTCTTTATTATTTCTTTATGATTCTTTATTCTTTACTCTTCCTAAGTTGTTGAGGTTGGAGTCTAAGTTGTTGATTTGAAATGTTTCCTCTTTTCTAGTGTAGGCAATTAGTGCTATAAATTTACCTTTCAGCATGCTTTATCAGTATCTCACAAATTTTGATATTTTATATTTTAATTTTTCTTCCATCTAGTGTAAATTTTATTTTCCTAGAGACGTCCTTTTTGTTTCATGGGTTCTTTAGATATATTCTTTATTATCATTTGTTTGGATATTTTCCTATCTTTCTGTTTATTGGTTTCCAGTTTGATTGCATTGTGATCAAAGAACACACTTTGTGTGATTTTGTGTCTCCTTAATTTGTTGAGGTTTTATAACCCAGGATATCTTCCAACTTGGAACAAGTTCTGTGGGTGCTTTAAAAAGAATGTGTTGAGTTTTTCATCAGTTTTTGTTTTGCATATTTCAAAGCTCTGTTGGTTGGTGCATACACATTTACAGTTACTATGTCTTCCTAGTGACTTGACTTTTTACCATTCTGTAAGGTTCCTCTCTTCTCTGGTAATTTTATTTTCTCTGAAGTCTACTTTATCTGATATGAATATAGCCATTTCTTTTTTTCTTTGACTTCTTACATGACATATCATTTTTAATCTTTTTTACTTTCAATTTGCCTATGTCATTATATTTGAAATAACCACGTCTTTCCCCCAACATTAGGGATTACAATGTAACATGAGATTTGGATGGGGACACAGAGCCAAACCGTATCATTACTCCCCTGGCCCCTCCCAAATCTCATGTCCTTCTCACATTTCAAAACACAATCATGCCTTCCCAACAGTCCCCCAAACTCTTAACTCAAAAGTCCAAGTCCAAAGTCTTATCAAGACAAGGCAAGCCCCTTCTACCTATGAACATGTAAAATAAAAAACAAGTTAGTTACTTCCAAGATACAGTGAGGGTACAGGCATTGGATAAATGTTCCCACTCCAAAAATGGGGCTACAGCCACCATGTAAGTCCAAAACCCAGCAGGGAAGTCACTAAATCTTAAAACCACAAAATAATTTCCTTTGACTTCATGTCGTCTCACATCCAGGTCACACTGATGCAAGGGGTAGGCCTCCAAGGCCTTGGGAAGCTCCAACCCATGGCTCTATACAAGGTACAGCCCCTGAAGCTGCTTTCAAGGACTGGCATTGAATGCCTACAGCTTTTCCAGGTGTGTGGTGCAAGCTGTCAGTATCTCTACTAATCTGGGGTCTGGAGCATGGTGGCCCTCTTCTCAAAGCTCCACTAGGCAGTGCCCCAGTAGAGGTTATCCATGAGGACTCCACCCCTGCATCAGACTTCTGCTTTGACTTCCAGGTGTTTCCATACATTCCTTGAAATGTAGGCAGAGGCTTCTAAACCTCAACTCTTGCCCTCTGTGCACCTGCAGGCTTAGCACCATGTTGAAGCCACCAAGGTTTGGGGCTTGCACTTTCTGAAGCAATGGCCCAAGCTCTACCTTGACCCCTTTTAGTCACAGCTGGAGCTGGAGCGGCCATGATGCAAGATGCCAAGTCCCAAGGCTGCACAAAGCAACTGGGGCCTGGCTGCTTCTAATAGCATACACTCATATGCATGAAGAGATTATCTGAAACTGGCACTTAAATTTTAAAGGGAAGCAGAGCATAAAAGTTTGAAAAATTTAAAGCCTTCCTATGTAGTTGAAAAGAAAACTCCATTTTCTGGGGGAGAAATTAATGCCTGCTGCAGAAATTTGCATAAGAGGAGCCAAATGTTAATAGCCAAGACAACGGGAAAAATGCCTCCAAGTCATTTCAGAGATCTTTGCAGCAGCCTCTCCCATCATAGGCCTGGGTCTAAAAGGGAAAAAATGTGTTTTTTTTGTATAGCCAAGCCTCATCTTGAATGCTTTGCTGCTTAGAAATTTCTTCCACTAGATACCCTAAATCATCTCTCTCAAGTTCAAAGTTCCACAGATCTCTAGAGTGAGGCGCAATGCCACCAATCTCCTTCTTTGCTCAAGTATAGTGGGAGTGATCTTTATTCCTTTTCCCAAAAAGCTCCTCATCTCCACCTGAGACCTCCTTAGCCTGGACTTCACTGTCCATATCGCTATAGCATTTTGGAGACAACCTTTCAACAAGTCTCTAGGAAGTTTCAAACTTTCCCTCATCCTTCTGTCTTCTTCTGAGCCTGCCAAACTGTTCCAACCTCTGCCTGTTACCCAGTTCCAAAGCTGCTTCCACATTTTCAGGTAACTTTATAGCAATGGCCCACTTCTCTGGTACCAAATTTTGTATTAGTTCATTCTCACACTGCTATAAAGAACTACCTGAAAAACTGGGTAATTTATAAAGAAAAGAGGTTTAATTAGCTTATGGGCCTTCCTTCTCTGATCCTTCCTAGGCTTCCATAACCTAAATGTTTGATCTTTTGTGACAATATCCACAGGTCTAAGGGGCTCTGTTTGTTTTCTCAATTGCTTTTTTCTCTATGGGTTACATTAGATAGTTTTGATTGTTCTATCTTCCAGTTCACCGATTCCTCTTTCTCCTCTGTTCTGCCATTGATCTCATCCACGGATATGGTTACTTTAGCTTTTGCACTTTTCATTGCTATAATTTTCAGTAGTTTTTTTATATCTTCTATTTATTTGCCAAGTCTCTTTTTTTTTTTTTTTTTACCTAAAGATGTTTATAATTGCTCATTGAAATCATGGCTGCTTAGAAATCTTCATTAGAAAAAAAATGTTGTTAGATATTTCTAACGTCTTTGTCATCTCAATGTTAGCATTTATTGATTGCTCTTTTTCATTTGGTTCAAGATACTTCTAATTATTGACATAAAAAGCAATTTTTATTGAAACCTGGGTATTTCACATTATGTTCTGAAATGATTTCATTTAAATTTTCTGCTTTATATGGCTCTCTTTGACACCACTCTGTCAAGGGAAGGGTTACTGCCACCTTGTTACTGCTAGGTAGGAGTAGAAGTCCAGGTTCTCCACTTTGTCTCCATGACACTCAAGGCAGAGAGGGCTCCTCACTCCTGACAAGTGGAAATAGAAGTTCTGTCTCTCCCCAGGGTCTTCACTGACATTGTGTTGGGTGAGAGCTCATTTCCAGTGAGAATGAAGGTCCTGGCTTGCTATTCGGCCTTTTCTGATGCCACCATGGTGAGGCTGTTGGGCAATCTAATTACAGCCTCATGAGAGTGAAAGTCTAAGCTCCCCATCCAGACTTTGCTGGAGTGGTTAAAAGTAAAGCCATTGTTTTTGCTTGGTGTTTGGGTGGGGTAGAGTGTTTGTTGCCCAAAACATTTTTGTCTTGCTAGGTCGCCCTGTTTCTGGTCCTTTGGTTAAAAACAGAAACCTTTTCTTGGAACTATTTTATCTGTGCCTAATGGTGCCCCCAGGTTACCA
The DNA here is from genome assembly GCF_000001405.40 of Homo sapiens. Lineage (NCBI taxonomy): Eukaryota > Metazoa > Chordata > Mammalia > Primates > Hominidae > Homo > Homo sapiens. Next base: position 98,062,641 of record NC_000015.10, read on the forward strand.
GCTTTTTCAGTTACAATTAAAGGACATATAAGGCAAAAAGAACATCCAATAAACTCACCACCATGTCATTCCTCGGGTGCCAAAGCCACTTTTCAGAGTCATCTTATGCTTGTTTTATATACAACATCCAAGGTACTTAATACATTTATGGCAGAAGAAGAAAAGTACATCTACTCCATCTCCTCCTGTATCATGTATCATTGGAAAATCCTTGAAAATGAGACCTGAGGAGATTTTGACATTTATATGAACTCACTTTGTTTTACGTAAGTAGGAAGCTAGAGAGACGTTGAAAGTTTATCCAAATTACACAGCTGGTCACTGCTGGATTTGTTGCTAGAAGCCAGGTGACCTGATGTTTAGCCAGAATTCTGTTATCTTTAAGTCCCACCCTGAGATAGCTCTTCACCACTAGACATGTTTGTGATATGACCAAAACCTCTGTGCTGACCTCAGCAACTCTAATGAAGTCAGACTAAGGTGATTTGACTTCGTGGTACCAAGCTCTAAGCATCCAAGCCAAGCAAAAGCCTGTCTACACTCAGCCTTAGGTGTTCCTGGGGAGAGTCTTAGGTTGGAAGACCCCTGGAGGGGAGAAAAAGGAATCAATGATTATTTTTTTCAGAACAAGAGAAAAATCACTTCAATGTGCCCTGTGTCTCCACCAGTTCTAAGGGTCTACCAGTTGGTGATTACTTTAATGGTCATAGATGCCAAAGGCAGAAAATTCAACAGATCCTTCTGGCCTTGTAGAGATATTAGGCAAACTTTTTTCGTTAAATTTCTATTCTCTGCTTTGGTCAGAGTTTTCAATATTCCAGTGAAACCATCTTAGCTATTTTCAGACAGACAAACCACAAGCCCAAAACCACAGAAGATGTGGGAAATGTTACAAGGGTGTGTCTCTTAATAGCCCTTCCTAAAATTAGCAAGGGCTCTTGTTGGAGTGACCATTTAAAATTATTTCTGCATTAATCCAAACAAAATGGCAATGTCGAAACTTTTAAAAATGCAAAGTTGCTGTCCCCCAAAGTAGGAGTTTCAGAGGACCAAAGCAAAAATACAAAGATTAGTTGTTCTTTCTGTACTTTACAGTTATTCTGACTCAAGGAATCATAGAGTTGTAAGGGTCAGGGGAGTCTTTGAATCCCCAACCTAGAGGTGAGGAAGGTGCAGGAGCACACACCGTTATGGCATCTGCAATGACTCTTCCCAATTACAGTGAGGTGTTAATTTCTTTTTGCCCTTCCTGTACCTCCCTTAGTCCAGCAGATAATAAGCCAATGCCCACAGCTCTTAGTCCAGCAGATAACCAGCCACAGCTTTGGGCAGAGCAAAGGTATAGCCCTTCTGCAGTGGTTCCTGGCAATTTTTCCCTAGGGATTGGAGAGTGATTCAGAAATAGCAGTGTCTTGACCTGAAACATAAAAAAACAGATTTCCATGAAACTGGTCCAGGACCAGTGGTGGGGGTGGTCAGGATATGAGGAACAGAAACCCCTTTGTTCTCTAAACACCAGGCAAGAGAAAGGGTGACTGAGGGTTTTTCTGGGCACAAAGGGTCCCAGGCACCTCAGAAAAGTCCCAGTGTTCCAAGCATGGCTTGGAATAACAGAAGCTCTGGACTGGAAGGTGCTTTGTACACCTGGATGACAAATCATTCCCTTATCCTCTGATTCCAGAGACCTGGTGCTATTTTGGAAGGGGTAGTCCTACAAAGGATGGTTGGATGAGGGATTAGCATAGAAATTGCTATTTTAGAAAAGGCAGTGGTGTTTGTTACTTCTCCCCTGGGTTTGTGGCCTGTAATTTATACCACAGAGGATATCACAGCATACTCCCATTAATCCTGACAGCATCCTGTGATGAGAAAAGTCAGATTCACAGAAGTTACATGATTCCCCTGAGGTCCCATGATCAGTCTGCAGAAGAATGGGATCTGCAACAAAATCAGACTCAAACCTACACGTTTTGCTCCACTCAAGTACCTTACTAAGGGGTAGTTAGTTTTTGCCAAGTTTAATCATTAGTTCTTGGAGAGCTCCATGGATGCAGAGACATGTCCAAGGGACAGGGGCAAAGAAACTCACTAGGTTTTTCCCTTTGCTCCTTTAAGAAATAGCTGCTTCTCCCAAGCCCCTGCTCCTTTGTACTGGATGAGAAGAGGAATGGTGTCTCTTTAACAATCTGCTCATTGCCTCAGCTCATTTCAACTCATATGCATTTGCATGTGAAAATTACCTTCCTCAGCTCCCAAATTGAGGTTTGCATGTGCAAGGAGAGAGGCTCCTTTCTTTGAAGCTTGAGAAGACATTGGTATAAAAAATAATTATTATTTCCATTCTGATGCTCACCCTCTGGCCTCTTGTACCTCACACATCAGAGCGTGCCGACAAGAAACCACACACCCCGGCAAACATTTGTTTTATTTTAAGTGTGGGGTCTAAGAGAGAAGCAGGTATTGCTTACCTCGAATTTAGTCTGACAAAACCTATACCCTACAACTGAATTTCTCATGTTTTCTTGTTTTGTGTCACTTTCTGATATCAGCGGTAATTTGATTTCATTTTTACAGAACCATTTTACCAAGAGGTGGTAGGATTCATCTTTTTTCTATAGATTGAAATAAAAATAAGGCACGAGGTACAGGAAGAACTTGGCTAAAGTCACTAACACCATAATCTGCTGACTGATGCAGGTGCAGAAGGCTGCTTCCTCCAGGTGCCAGAACATTCATTCAGAAGCCACTCTGGACCCCACAAGCTCCTGAGAGGTCCCAGCCTCTGCCTTCCCAACAGCGGGACCACAGACCCTACCATTTGGCTGAACAGCATCCTGAAGCGTTGTTTTCCTCCCTAGTAACTAGCCAGCTACTGGTATCCTCCTTTCCAAGACCTGGCTCTCACAACCTGGCTCTCTTGACCCACAAATTGCTCTGGATTTCACCCAAGCAAACAGAAAGGCAGGGACTAATTTGTTAGCACCACCTGCCTATGGTGATGAATCAATCACATTAACAGGCCCTCACTTTTGGATTTACAAAAATGGCTTTTAACCACGGTACTCATTTTCAGATTTAATTCTAACAACAGTCACTGGGTAGACACAGCTATCCTCATTGGAAATATGGAAAACCAAGGCTCAAAGAGTAATTTTTTCAAGATTCACAGCCAGTAAGGTGTAAAGACATAATCTTGGCAAACTCCCCTGAGGATAATGCAACTAGGGGAAGCAAGGAGTGTTCATACATTCACCCCACACACCATGCCTTCCCAAAGCAGGTCCAGAGGGTATTGAAGGCCCCATCCCTCCTCCCTTTCTGCCCAAGTCTCTGAAAATCATGAGGTACCAAAGAAAGGAGAATGAGCAGCTCTAGAGAAGGAGATAGCACCGAGGCTAAACAAGGGATCATCTGTTTATCACATCACATGTGGCTTCATCGCTTTTCTACCTTCTTTAAACTCCTTCTTTTGACTGGAGAGGCTGGGAGCCACAGCCCAGAGGGCTCTTTGCCTTTAACAAGGCTCTGAACATCCAGACCATGTAGCCAACAGCCCCTTGGCCACATTAAAAATCATTAACTGGGAGGCCATTAGACTAAAGCAGCTCCAGCTCCCTGGGTTCCTACATGAGCAAACCAAAACCTAATTCAGTGTAAATGGTAAAACTAACCTTAAGCTTCACCACTCAGAAACGGCCAAGCAACCTCTCACCAGGCAATCTCCACTGGAGTAATCCAAATAAGGCTATGGCTCCACATTAATTAATCAATCATTTTCTTTGACTCACTTCCAGGTTCACCCTGTAAGTCTTCCCCCCTCGTGCTCCTTCAGCAGAGCCCCCAAATGCTTGCAGTCTGGAGTTACCCAATTAATGAGTCAGTCTGCTCAAATAAAGTCTTTACATTTTAATGTGCTTCAGTTTATCTTTTAAAGGCTACCAAGAGGAACTGAGGAAGAATCAGTCTCTGCATAGAAGCAACACTCTTCAACAGGCATGCAACAGCAGCAACTGGGCACCTGTCAGACGAAAGCACTATGAGCTGTGTGGGACTCCAGAAACTAACAGCAGCACAGAACACTAGTGATGCTGTGGGTCCCCCAGAAGCATTTCCACAAGAGGAGCTTCACTGGACTCTCACTGAATGCCTCCGAGAAGTCTGTTGAGCAGAAACAATTACCCCCAATTAATACATGAATATAACTGGGGCTCAGGGAGTTTACATAAATAGGTAGGTAGATATCCTTCATTCAGTATTCTCCACAGGACAGGCATTACAGTGTCCATTTCCATGAATAATCTTTCAATCCTCACAAGAGTCCTATGGTGTCCACCTTAAAGAGGAAAAACTCCGAAGTTTGGAGAGATTATGTGATGTGCCCAAGGTCATTAAGCCAGCAGTGGGATGGGGTCCCACACTCAGGTCTTCTGGCCTCAAGTCCAGAGCTCTGTCTACAACTCAGCAAAGGCCAAATTTTATCCCCAAGCCTCCTAGAAACTCCTAAGTAGTCACTAACACAGCATATATCCTTTATAGGCTTGTCAGAGCCCCCAGATAGACACAATGACACAACATGTTAAGTGGCATGCTTCAAAGAAGGAAAATATGAGTCTGCATGTTAATTTGGGAAAGCCTATTCCCAGTAAATAAGTGTTTAAGGCCTGGACTTCAGGGAGTTTCCAGGATGGATGGTACATAGAAATAGGCAGGGGTGGGAGGTCAGACTTTCCCTAGAGTTGAATTTTTTCTTGAATATTTTGGTCCAATTTATGGTAAATTCTGTTTATACACAAGGCCTTCTGAAGTGGATTTTAATCTCTCAATCTGGAGTTAGAGCACGCAGCAGCAACTGCCTTATAAACTGCAGAGGAAGTGAAAGATGATAGCTGTAATATAACCGTTTCATTCAGCATAATAGGAAATAAAGTGGAATGGGTGATTGGAGCAGATACGGCACAGAGCAAGTACCAAGCATTACTCACACTCTTGAAATGATCACAATTACATGCATCTCCTCATGACTTGGGCAAAATAACCCATGAAAGAATATCTGCTGAATGTGAAGTTGGGGGAACAGGAGGTTTTTAGGAGGGGAACAGGATTCATTACACTCTACATCTTAAAGACACAAATCCACTTGACCAAGGGATGTCTGTGCATTAGCTCCAGTGCACCTCGGAATCCCTGGAGGATGATACAGCACTTCACAACTGAGCCATGGGATGAGAGGCTGGTTTGGATCTCTGTCCTGGACAAGAGAGCCTGCTACACCCAGGCTGGTTAAAGCAGTAATCCTGGAGATGCCAGTAGGAACTCCCACATGGCCTCTGATTTCTTTACTCTTTATACTGAGAATGGGTATGACTGAGTTATCCAAATGAGGTCTCTTCTTGGAAGATGCAGCATCTGCTTTGAGTGTGCCTGCAAGCCCTACCCTCCTGCACTCCTGTAAATAAAGTGCAGCACCACATACTCTGGTCAAGGAAGGGCTCTGTTCGGAGACAACTGCTGTATTGCATCTATGGTGGCATAAGAGAAGTCTCTAAATTTCCAGCAGTCCTAAAGAGCAGATGATAAGGTCACAGAAGACAGTGACTCAAGGCCAACGTCATGCAACTCGCAGGTCTTCCCTACCCTGCAGCCCTGAGCTCTGGGCTTATCCCCAGAAGTCCCACCTCTTATAAGCTTTACCGGGAGCCTAAAATCATGAGAAACCTCAGGCTTCCTGGATAAAGACCAAGAGAGCATGCCAAAGAGGACACCGTTTCTCTAAACCCAACCTGTGAAGGAAGACCTGGGATAAATTACTTGACCCTCTGCTAAGGAAATATGTCCAGTGGGGGAATATCTGTCACCTGCCAACTTAAAGCCCTTCAGAATCTGTCTGCCACCTTGGGTATGCAGTGCACACCCCACCAAGCACCAACCCCAAGGGTGCTCCACTTCCAAAAGCCTCTGTGGTTCAACTTGTTTGAGATGCACTCCCAGGTCCAACCTCCTCTTGGAGACTCACAGTGCATGCAAGCATTGTAAAGGCTCTGAGAAGTCCCAAAGTACATAAATCCACTCCTCCTGCAAATTCCTTTTGATTTGAGCATCCCGTCATCAATTTTGCAGAGCATGGTGAGCTAATTTATTGAGAGAATCTGATACATTTCCATGCTGGTGGAAGAGTCCAATAAAAGAGAGCTCTGCTCCCCATCTTAGGCCATTGTGTTGCAGACATGGGACTTCCTTTGTGTCTAAGGTCAAGTTTAAATATCTTTGCATTTAAAAAAATTAACTGGCACAAGAAGTAGAGTGGGGCTCTAGAGTTTGAGGGAGGTAGACTTCAGCATCAAGTCCTAATGAGAAGAGATTTATCGAACAAGAAGAGGCCTCTAGCTTGGAGTTTAGAGTTTCTGTCTTGAGAAGGGACAGTCTCTGAGTGAGGGGATGGTGGACATACAGGTCCTGTGCACCTGCAGCTAAGCCTCAGGAAAGACTCAAATGGACAAGTCTGGCTGGAAATGGGGAAGCTACCCCCCGCCACACACAAACACACACCACCACCACCATCAAAAGGGGCCATGCTGGCTTAGAAACTGAGCATGAGTGGAATTTAGTGTGCACCAATTACAGAAAGCCCTCCTCAAGCGTTCCAGTATGTGTCAGTTCCCTGCAACCTTCCCACGGTGGGTGAGTAGGAGGACGATGCCCCTTAGATAATTATGCTTAAATTTTCTACCTCACAAGTGCATGGTAGGTTCAGTCAGATTTAATTAGATTTGCAGAAACAGAGTAATAAGACTTTCCTTACACTTCAGTCTCACTGTGACTGCATATTCAAACTGCACCCCAGGAGTTACACATACCAACACTCCATGGAATTTGTTTCCTGCATATTACTCATTAGGAAATGCTTGAGAGGTTTGACTTTGTTCTTTTCCCCAAATCTTTACCTCCTTTCCATCCCTCTGTAAATAAGTTGAGGAAAAACGTTATTCTAGTAATTAAATAAATATGACCTCAAATAGAGCTGAATGTCAACATTCTTTCAAACATCTGCACCAAAAGTAAAAACCTGATTTGGCCTTTTTCATTTCACATTTTGGAATACCTGGATATTTGACCTCTCACACAGACAGCCAAATTTTCTTCCATTAATTTCTTCACTACTTTGACCTGAACGAAAATTTTTGAATCTATTCACCCGTTTTATGAAAGTAAATTACCATGAATTGAGTTTTTAAAATAATCTTAGGATTAAAGTCCTAGAAAAAAATGTTCATGATATATTGATAAGCAAAATGTAAGTCAACAAACAGAATGCTCCACATATACAGTCATGTTCTATAAAGTTGCTGCCAACACTGAATTAGCAAATATCGAACCACTGCTCCTAAAGGAAACAAAGGATTAGGTTCCTGTGAGCCTCTGGTCACAATATTTTTATTAATAGATTAATACATAATCTTTGTTTCTTGTGTTTCTGCTTAAATAAGCCTTATTTAGTATACATTATTGCTTCACTAACTGGAACTCACTACTGACAGCACTGTAACTTGCTTAGGTCTGAAGGAAACTTATCTAATACACATGACTTTCTCTGTGCAGTACACTACAGCCATCCTGAGTGCAGGAACACTAGCCAGCACTTCAGCACTACTCTTGGGGGCCATTTCAAAAGGCAAGAACACCAGCAAAAACACAGAAATGCAAAATATGCGACACTAAACAGACAATGAAAACCACATTTGTTTACAATATGAGAGCTCCAACAGTAAGGCAGAGCTTCTCTGTATTCAGCCTCAGCTGGGAATGTGGTCCTCAGAGAACTCAAACATTTTGCCTCTCTGCACATGTCTGTGAATGGCCATGACAATGGCATGAGTATTGATTTGGCGGCTACAAAAAAATTTCAATAAGTGAATTTGCAAATACAGAATCCACAAATAATGAGAAACAACAGTACTATTTTTATAATCATAAAGAATGTTATTAAACTTAAAATCTTGGCCCTCATGGGATGACAAGAATAGTGATTGTAGTATACACATACTCAGTGTGTTCTGAGCAGCACAATCCAAATTTCTCTCCTTATATTAGACACAATTGCTCCATTTTGCTGATAATGAACACAATTGGATTTTCCCTTCTGATTCTACCCTTTTCCATTGATCCTATAGACATCACAAGAAACAAATGTGGCCCCATTTTCTTTTATCATAAATTTATGATTATAAGAAGACACTCCCCCATTTTCCCAATGTGAAAATTTTAATATAGGATCCTTAAATGATGCAAATAAGCTTGCAATATTTTAGAACAAGTAGCCAATGTAGTTGCACATAATTTTAACCTTACAAATCACAGAATAAGGTGTTATTTTTAAAAGATTGCTTTTTTTTGCTAAGTATTTCATAAGAGAATTTTATTCAAACTGCTCACATATTTTAACGTCCATTTCTCCAGCATCCCTGGAACCAGATTTTTAACCATTATATGCCATTTTGCATTTATGTCCGCTTCCCTTCTAAGTTGCTATACACACTTTTAAAACATATAAATGGGACAATCACTCTAATTTTTATCCCAAGCTTCAAGTATCCACTGGCACAACATTAGGATAGTGCTATGCCTCAAATCTCCTGTGGCGATCTGACAAAATATTTCTTTTTAACGTGTCCTTCAAAAGCTAATCTACAATTAATGACATTTCAAATGCTGAAGTCTTCTTCCTAAGGATGATTACTACTCAAGTATTAATATTCTTTCCCACTCCCACTCTTCTTCTCCCATTCTTCCTGGTGACCTATGAGAGTATCCTAAACTAGAATTGATTGAAATCATTTAAGGCTAAGTGTGTCTTCCTTACACAATTCATATTGTTCAAAGTAAAACAACTAAGATACTGTCCTATAATAGAAGATAATTTGTAAGGATTTGAATATTGGGCAACTCCTTCCTTTCGGGAAAATAATTCAAGGGAGGGGAGGAGGAAAATCTTCCTTACATCTGGGCACATATTATAATTTTATTCCAAGAAACTAACAAAGCCTCTCCATAGGCCATGGGCCCCTCCTAGAAAATCTGACCTCCTATTTCCCAAACCTTGATAAACCATGCCTTTATCCATGTATCTGGTGGTGAGGAAAAGCTAGCAGGGAATTAGTACACAGGGTGATGGAACTGGATATTAGATTTTTGTCAGGTAATAGTTTGCAAATATTTTCTCTCATTCTGTGGGTTGTCTGTTTAATCTGTTGATAGTTCCTTTTGCTGTGCAAAAGCTCTTCAGTTTATTAGGGCCCACTTGTCAATTTTTGGTCTTGTGGCAATTGCTTTTGAGGACTTAGTCATAAATTCTTTGCAAGGCTATGTGCTGAATGGTATTCCCTGGATTTTCCTCTAGGATTTTTATTGTTTGAAGTCTTACATTTAAATCCTTGATTCATCTTGAGTTAATTTTTGTATATGGTGATAAGTAGGGGTCCAATTTTACTCTTTTTGGTTTCATGTGAATTTTAGAATAGTTTTTTTCTAATTCTGTGAAGAATGACATTTGTAATTTGATAGCACTGAATCCATAGATTGCTTGGGGCAGTACGGCCATTTTAACAATATTAATTCTTACAATATACAAGCATGGAATGTTTTCCCATTTGTTTGTGTCATCTCTGATTTCTTTCAGCACTGTTTTGTAGTTCTCTTTGTGGAGATTTCACCTTCTTGATTAGATGTATTCTTTGGTATTTTATTTTTTGACACTATTGTAAAAGGGATTGGGTTCTTAACTTGGCTCTCAGCTTGAATGTTATAGATGGATAGACATGCTACCAATTTTTGTACATTGACTTTGTGTCCTGAAACCTTGATGAAGTCATTTATCAGGTCAAGGAATTTTTTGGATGAGTCCTTAGGGTTTTCTAGGTATAGAATTATATCATCAGCAAAGACATGATTTGAAATCTTATTTTTCCTATCTGGACGCTTTTTATTTCTCTTGCCTGATTGCTCTGGCTAGGACTTCCAGTACTGTTATTTAGGAGTAGTGAGAATGGGCATCTCTGGCTTATTTTTGTTCTTAAAGGGAGTGCATCCATCTTTTGCCTGTTCAGGATGATGTTGGCTATGGGTTTGTCATAGATGGCATGAGGTATGTTTCTTCAATGCCAAGTTTGTTGAGGGTTTTTATCATGAAGGGATGTTGGGTTTTGTGGAAACTTTTCTCTGTGTCTATTGAGATAATCATATGGTTTTTGTTTTTAATTCTTTATGTTTGTGAGTCACATATATTTTCATATGTTGAACCAACCCTGCATCCCAGGAAGAAAGCCTACTTGATTGTGATAAAATAACTTTTTGGTGTGCTGGTGGATTCAGTTTGCTAGTATTTTGTTGAGGATTTATGCATCTATGTGCATCAGATTGGCCTGTGGTTTTCTTTTTTCATTGTGTCTTTGCATACAATCAGTTAGGGAAGAGTTCCTCCTCCTCGATTTTTTGGAATAATTTCAGAGTTCGTACCAGCAATTTTCCGTTATGTCTGGTAGAATACAGCTGTGAATGTATCTGGTTCAGGGCTTTTTATGGTTCACTTCTGACTGATTCGATTTTGGAATCTGATATTGGTCTGTTCGAGATTTTAATTTCTTCCTGATCCAATCTTGGGAAGTTGTGTTTCCAGGAATTTGGCCATTCCTCTACATTTTCTAGTTTGTATGCATAGATGTGTTCATAATAGTCTCTGAGGACCTTTTGTATTTCTCTAGAATTGATTATAATATCACTTTTGTCACCTCTGTGCTTATTTTTTACAGTCTATCAAGCTTGCTTATTTTTTCAAAGAGCCAACCTTTGGTTTTATAAACCTTTTGTATGGAATTTTGGGTCTCAATTTCATTCTGTTCTGCTCTGATTTCAGTTATTTATTTTCTTCTGCTAGCTTCGGGGTTAGTTTGCTCTTGCTTTTTAAGTTCCTCTAGGTGTGATGTTAGAGTGTTAATCTGAGATCTAAATTCTTAATGTAGGCATTTAGAACTATAAACTTTCCTCTTAATACTTTTGTTGTATCCAGAGATTTTGCTATGTCATGTTTCTGTTTTCATTTATTTCAAATACTTTTTTAGTTTCTGCCTTAATTTTGTTGTTTACCCAGAAGTCATTCAGGAGCAAGTTGCTTAATTTCCTTGTAATTTTGTGGTTTTGAGAGATCTTCTTAGTCTCTTCTTCCTGGTATTGATTTCTACTTTTATTCCACTGTGGCCCAAAGTATGGCTGGTATGATTCCGATTTTTTTAACATATTGAAATGCTTTATGGCTTAACATGTGGTTGATCTTACAGTACGTTTTATGTGCAAATGAGAAGAATGTATATTCTGTAGTTGACGGATGGAGTGGTTGGTAGATATCTATTAGGTCCAATTAGTCAAGTGTCGAATTTAAATCTAGTATTTCTTTGTTAGTTTTTTGCCTCAATGATGTGTTGAACACTGTCAGTGGAGTGTTGAAGTTTCCCACTATTACGGTGTGGACTATATAAGACTTTTCATTGGTCTGGAAGTACTTGCTTTATAAATCTGGGTGCTCCGATGTTGGGTATTTATATATTTAGGTTAGTTAAGTCTTTTTGTATTGAATCCTTTATCATTACATAATGCCCTTCTTTGTCCTTTTTTTACTGTCGTTAGTCTGTTTTATCTGATATAAGAATAACGATCCCTGCTCTTTTTTCATTTGTGTGATAGATCTTTCTCTACCTCTTTACTTTGAGCCTATGGGCATTGTTACAAGTAAGATAGGTCTCTTGAAGATGGCAGATGAATGGGTCTTACCCTTTTTTTTTTTTTTTATCCAACTTGCCACTGTGTGCCTTTTAAGTGGAGCATTTAGACTATTTACATTCAAGGTTAATATTGATATGTGAGGTTTTGATCTTATTGTGGAGTTGTTAGCTGGTTACTTTGTAGTTTCTATTGTGTAGTTTCTTTTTAGGGTCTATGGACTACGTACTTAAGTTTCTTGTGTGAAAACCCATTTTTTAAAAAATATGGAATGCTTCATGAATTTGTCATCCTTGTACAGGGGCCATGCTAATCTCTGTATTGTTCCAATGAAAACCCATTTTTGAATGGCCAAAAAAATTACTCTATGAACAGCCTCTCTAAAGAAGAGGTTCATATGGCAAAGAAACCTACAAAGAGATGCTCAGAGTCATGAGGAAAATAATCAAAACCACAAAGACATACCACTATATACATATTAGAATGGCTAATTTTTTAAGTGACAATACTTAGAGCTGGTGAATACATGAAGCAACTGGAACTCTCCTAAATAGTACTTAGTATTGGTAGGGATGAAAAATGGTGCAGCTACTTTAGACAAGAGTTTGGTAGTTTTTATAAAAGTAAACCTCCACCTGCCATATGACCCAGAAATCCCACTACTAGGTATTTACACCAGAGAAGTAAAAACATACATTCACACAAAGATCTGAATGTTAATGCTCATACATACTTGATTTGGAATTGCCAACAATTAGTAAATGACCCAAATGTTCCTCAACTGGTGAATGGATAAACAAATTTTGATATATCCATGCACTAAAATGTTACTAAAATAAAAAAAAGAAGAACTTATGCTGAAACCACATGAGTGAATCTCAAAGCATGTTATGTGAAAGCAGCTAGATACAAAAGCCATCATGCTATCTGATGCCATTTATACAATCCGGAAAAAGTAAAACTATAAGGAGAGAAAATAGATAAGTGATTATCAGAGGCTGGGAATGAAAAAAGGAGGCTGACTACAAAGAGGCAAAAGGTAACTTTATAGGGGATTCAGTGGTTATTACACAATTGAAAATTTTACTGTATGTAAATGATTCCTCAATAAATCTGACATCTCAAGGTTACTATGGGCAGCATAGCAGGCTATCTAAACTGTTTATCAAACAGAGAAGAAAGAATAATGAAAAACTCATAACTTCCTGGAAACATGTCTGGCCATCTCCCTTCAAAGATGCTAAAGTCTCTACAAGTTCAGACAAGGCCTTGGTTGAACTGTTTCTTATGGGAAAAGCATTTAATATTATCATCCACCCCAAATACTAAGTGATGATATTATCTTTCCCTACTAGGGAGAGATATTTCAAGTATAAATGTGATTTTAATTAGATGCTCCTCTTTCCAACCCAGTTATGAATTCAGTTTCACCCATGTAAGAAGTAGATGGGAGAACTTGATTAAAGCCAGTCACTGGGAAAACAGCATTAGCATAGATGTGGAACCTCAGAAGCATATAACAGGTATACTTTTATAACCTTGTCCATGACATTGACAATTATGATCTCAATGGGCATTTCTATTTTGCCTTTTCAGTAAGTTCATAATATACTACAAAAAGTCCACTTGATTAATGTTCAATTTTAAAATATGAGATCAAAGAAACACAAAAACCTATTCAAATGCTGTGCTAAGATGCTCTGTCTTCAATAATACTGAATTAGTACGAGCTTTTGGCTATTGACTTCATTACTTTGACAGCTGAAATAACATGTTCATGCCTTACGTCTGTCTTGACTGTTTGGGGTTAGAAAAAGAATGCCAGGTTATGCATGGTATTTTCTAAATTAACTTGAGCTCTGCATTTGTCTACAGGCCTACGAGGTTCAATCCGTAGGCTTGGTACCTGAGGAGGTGGCAGGCACAAGTGGAAGTTTCCGCTTGGCTAGGTGCCATTGTCATAAGAAGCCAGTGTCACCTCTTGTAAAGGAATTATTTAATCTTTTAAAACAGATTCAGTAATAAATTCTACCCTGAAAGAGATAAATTAGTGCATAAAGTACAAAAAGTAATCCCTTTGATAAGCATGCTATCATGCTTATCTATTTTCTGTCATGACTGTGAAATCAGAGTGAAAATTTAACACTGATTATAAACATCTTAAAATTTAAAGTTGCAAGAAAAAAAAAGAGGTAGTGATGGTGATGAAAATTGCAGTGTCATGGCTAGTTCAGAAAAACTTCTTCAGAGTGCTGCAGGCTTCCAGGAACAGCAGAGGGAGGGGCCGTGCCTGTCAGACCAGAAATAGCAGCAGGCCAAAGGGCCTGTTGTCCATTCCTCCCAAACCTCCACCAACAGAAAACCCCCTGGATGATCCGAGTAACCCGAACATCTTTCCTTTATTTCACTTATAAAAGAAAAGGCAAATTTCAACACAGGAAGTTAACCGTGACCTGGTGAACTGAACCCAGAAGATGGACTGCTCAAAATACCACGAAAAGACTGAAATGATTTAAGAAAATGACAAAGAAAAAGAGAAGGAGAGAGGAAGCCACGATGAAGGAGAGAGAGCGATAAAATTTTGGAATCTGCAGAGCCCTGGGCCAAAAATGCAGGCACTCAATTTGGAGGGTGGGGGGCAGGAGCACAGCAGTTCTTCTCCTCTCTGACCCTTCCTGAGAGCTCAGGGCCTGAACACACCTGTCATGGGTGGGGAAAAGGGCTTACGAACAGGTGTGCATTTCAGCCTGCAACAGAGGAGCTGTGAACCCCAGGATCCCATCCAACCCCATGCAGCAACTACCACCCTCCAAGCCCGCAGGGCCCATTCTGGAACAGCTAAAACAAAGAGGTCTGATCTGCTCTGGAGATCAGGGAAATGGATACAGAAGTATAAGGCAGATGACTGGAAACAGGGATCAGGGAATGGTAGCGAGATCTGCCTTCCCACCCCTGTGAGTCACTGGCTGTGCCCCACCTACACACCAGCACGCATGTGCAGCCAGGCAAGAGAAACGACGCGCATGGGATTCCCTCCTCCAGAAGGAGGGAATTTCACAGTATTTCATGGTATTTAACTTTTTCTCTGATTTGGTGAATTTATGAAAAGTGTCATCACGTGTCAGGAGCTGCATGGAGGACGAGGCTGTTTAGATTATGTAATACTTGATAGAGACAATAAAACAGATATAATGTATGTCAGAGTTAAGAGGCATACTCACAAAACCAGTACCCCAACTCAACCACCAAGCTCAGAAAGAGACCACGCCCAACATAGGGAAACCCCTTAAGACCCCCTGACTGCATCCCTCTGCCTCTGCCTCAGAGGGAACAATTATTTCTAGTTTTCTGCTTATCCTTCTCATTTTTTTTTAAGAAAAAGATTTTTTTCAGATTACGTCTGTATTCCTAAACAATATACTCTTTAGCTTTGCTTGCATATTAGCGTGATAAAAATGGTATCATCCCATATTACTGACTCTGAAGTTTTGAGGCTCACTGTCACCCATCCATTTCATGATGGTGGCAGCTTTGGGTCATTGATTTTGACAGTTGTATCATATCCCACTGAGTAAATATACCCAGCTTTTATTCATCTATTTTCCGATGGTTGGACATCTACATTATTCTCATTCTGGCTACTACACCAAGGCAGCTAAAGACATTCTGTTGTACATGCTTTTTTAGTACTCAGCGGCAGGAATTTCTCCTGGGTATATAATCAGTGGGTTCATAGGACTTACTTACATTTAAGTTTATAAGATAGGCTCTTTGAAGTGCTTGTATCAGCTTACACTCATGCCAGCAGTGTAAGTTCTTTCTGTTTTTATATTTCTGAGTACTTGATCTTATCAAATTTCTTAATTTTTATAAATTGAAGAGTATTTAAAAAGTATCATATGATGTCTTAATTTTCATTTTCTTGAAAATTAGTATTTTTTTTTTTTTTTTTTTTTTTGAGACGGAGTCTCGCTCCGTCCCCCAGGATGGACTGCAGTGGCGCAATCTCGGCTCACTGCAAGCTCCGCCTCCCGGGTTCACGCCATTCTCCTGCCTCAGCCTCCCGAGTAGCTGGGACTACAGGTGCCAGCCACTACGCCCGGCTAATTTTTTTGTATTTTTAGTAGAGACGGGGTTTCACCGTGTTAGCCAGGATAGTCTCGATCTCGTGACCTCGTGATCCACCCGCCTCGGCCTCCCAAAGTGCTGGGATTACAGGCGTGAGCCACCGCGCCCGGCCCGAAAATTAGTATTTTCAATTAAAGGCAGCCAAGAAATTTCTAAGAAATGTAGTCAAGAAAATAAACTCAACCCATACTATTGAGTTTTTCCTCTTTTTTACTATTTATGTTTCCACCTATGAGAAATTTCCTCTTTTTTACTATTTATGTTTCCACCTATGAGAAATGTCTATTTGTATCTTTTTTCCTCTTCCATTAGGTTGTTTTTCTGAATTTATAATGGTTCTTTATACACGCTGGATACTAATCCTTTTCCAGCTGTACATGTTACATCTACATGTTTTAGATTTGTCTCTTCCTATTTTATAGTGTCTTCCAAAGAATTTTCTTTTTTTTTTTTTTTTTGAGATGGAGTCTCACTCTGTCACCCAGTGTGGAGTGCAGTGGTGCGATCTCAGTTCACTGCAAACTCCACCTCCCAGGTTCAAGTGATTCTCCTGTCTCAGCCTCCAGAGTAGCTGGGATTACAGGCACCTGCCACCACACCTGGCTAATTTTTGTATTTTTAGTAGAGACAGGGTTTCACCATGTTGGTCAGGCTAGTCTCAAACTCCTGACCTCAAGTGATCCACCTGCCTCAGCCTCCCAAAGTGCTGGGATTACAGGTGTGAGCCACGCACCCAGCCTAAAGAATATCTTAATAATTAAAAAAGTAATCCATATTCAAGGTGAAGAACTCTCAATATCATAAAAATGTCAAGTCTACCAAAAGCAGTCTATAGCTTCAGTCAACTTCCAGTCAAAATCCCAACTGGTTTTTAAGGTAAGTTACCTTGTAATTCACCTTCCTGTTTGAGTCAATAATTATTTTGTGCAAAAATCAACATGGAATGGAATAAGCAGCCTTTCCTACACCTGGAATAGTGGAGCAGGCCTGAGTCACATGGAAGCAGGTTTGAGTCTGAGTCCTATGTTCACCAGCTCTGCACTTGAGCAGAGTACTTCTCAAAGTGTCTATTTTCCTGTTTTTATTGGAGATAAGAATAACTAATGATAGCATCGCTAAGCGAGATAACATATACAAACTCTTCTAGAGTCATGGTACATAGTAGGTGCTCAGTAACGTGCAGACTGCCTTCTTCCCCATGCTTCCCTTTGTCTCACCATCCTCCCTTGAAGCATAGGGCTATATGGGCTTCCTGAGCCCAGCAGCCCAGCCCCCGTTAGAAAAGAGAGGCTCCCAGAGACCCTGCCCTTGGCTGGACACCCTGAAGTTCTCATGGGGGACTGAGCTGCAGATGCCTGCAGGGACTGGGTACCTGGGCATGGAGGAGGCAAATAGTCAGGGCCCACAGGCCCAGGTCATCCTACCCCCATCCACAGCCATGGAGACTGATTTAATAGTAATATTAAACATAATGAATAATAATAAATAATGCTATTTATTGTAAAACCACTTAGCAAAGTCGAAGTAGACCCTAAGATTAGTGTCACTTTCATTATTGTTATTTTTACATGTCAGTTGCTTTACATGGATTATCTCATTTAATTCTCGTAACGACCCTATGAGATCAGTCTTACAATTTTTTTTTCTTGGCTTTTGACAGCCCAAGATGCAGAGGCTCAGATGGGACAAACAGGTTCCTTGTGCAGGGTCATGTGGGTACCAAGTGTTGGAGGCAGGATGAGAAGCAAGCAATCCACTTCCACTGAGGCCCCACCTCCCACTGTTGTTAGCTCAGTGCCAATAGCTGCCTTTTACTCCACGTCATGGACAGTCTAGCCCATGGTACGCCGCTAACTGGCCTCTCCATCTTGACCAAACCTCCACAAGGCCTCAGGTTTGCAGGGTCCTGTAGACACAAAGTCTGCACCTCCTATTCAGACCTGAGCCTTTCCCTGCAGTGTGGACACTCCGCAGAGCACCTGGTAGGAACAGGCCCCTTTCCCTTTTCCTAGGCAGAGTGCCCTATGACTCTTCTGCCCACAAGCCCAGTCCTGTAGTCCCACAGTTTTCACGACCCCATCCAAGGCGCACAGAACCCATCCACAGCTGAACCTAAGCAGAGTAGACTTTTGCCAGGTGTGCACCTGGCCAATACACTGCCTATCTTGTGGCATGGTACTGTGGGTCAGCAAGGGGCATGTAACCCACAGACTGGAGAGAATAATGACTAACCAAAACAGGTGTATATAAAGAATTCAGTGCAACATTTTACAGTAAACCTTCAATGTTTGGCTTCACTGTAAATGCCATTGTTGCTTCTAGACATCTGCACCTATATTTGCTCCGTGTATTAACTCACAATGACTTCTGATGAGACTTTAATTGCTTACAGTCATGCAAAGGCAGAGTGTACTAGTGCACCTTGCCATGGGCCTCAGCTCTGTCATTCACTGCCACCTTCAGACAGTCATTCCCCTTCCTGGCTTTGCTATCTGTAAAAATGACTAATCAGTGATCACCAAGGGCCCTTCCTTGTAAAACATATCTCCTTCCATTAGCTTTCCAATTATGCATCCAGTTCAACCAATTAACAAATATTGATTGATGTTCCACGACCTGCCAAAAGTGAAAATGCTTTTCATCTCTATCTAGAACATGATTTAAATCTGTTTTTGTATCATGCAGAATGGAAAATACGAAGCACTAAGATCAAAGTTAAGAGCCATAAGGCCTTGACTGTCTCTTCCTTTCCCCTGGAATGTGATACCAGGCAATACCTGGCCCTTTCCTGAGCAGATGAAACTTACACTTCCGGGCATCTCACTTGCACTCACATAGGCACCTTGCATGGCCCAGGGAGGGGCTTCAGCAGTATATGCACATGGTCATATGTTTTTGTCCTATTTTCAAAAGTAAGACATTTTAGCTGCAATCAGTGAAGGCTGTGTCTCTTCCCACTGCTGACGCCCCCCTCCAATCAGGCCTTCCATCATGTTAAGTGGAAGGGGAGTGAGACTCCCCATGAGAACTTTTGGGGTCTAGCTAAGGACAAATTGAGTTGGGGGCACATTGACTTGAGTAGAATATGTGCATGTGGTTCACAGTAACTTCCTTGGAGAGCTAAGTTATTGCTGTCCTGGTGTAGGAATGACGTCCAGGGATACTTCTACTACCCTCCAAGCAGACTCACTGAGAGCCATGACACCAAGATAGATCATGTCCTGATATGGTCATGTGCTACTACTGTCCACACCACCAGTAGCATGTGATTAGAGAAAAAAATAGATACAGAAGCTGGTCTGAAATATCCTTCCAAATCTCACAACTCATATATGACATATGAAAGAAAATTGATGGAGGAAATTTAAAATTTGGCAACAATTCTAAATATTTACCTGACATGAAAGTGCTTTTTATCTGTATAGCAGGTTGAGAAGCTAAAAGAAACATCTCAAACTATGAATAACACCAAAAAATGTTTAATTAACCACAACAGAGTAGACTCCATTATCTTGAGTCTCTCTATAAAAAGCAATATCAAAAACACTGCTATCAAAGACGATGCAGGCAAAAGATCAAAAAAAAATGACAGAGTATTCCAGGCAGATAATTAATTTAAAATATCATATTATTTTGTGATGTTCGTAGTTTTGTCAACTTAAAAATTGTGTAGCTTGTGATTTTTCTTTTCTACATATCCTCTTGCATACCTAATTTTATTAATTCACAAATTGCATTACTATTCTGAAAGAGGATCCTCCAACTGCAGAACATCAAAGCTCCCCCACCACCAGGACCTGCCCCCTAACTGCACCTGAACTTGAGAATCTTCAGTTTTTCTGAGTGGCCTGGGGTCTCAGAGTGGACATCATTCACAGGGCAGTCAAGGGGATGGCAAAGGGATGGCCACCAGGCAGCCAATCCTAGGAGACATGGGCAAGCCAAGCATGGCAGCAGGCCTGATCCGACCCACTTCTATTGTCTTCATGAAACTAGATGCTGGGGAGACACCTGATCACTGCTCTCTTGCCTCATTTGGGGCAAATAAGCACGACACCACACACACACACACACACACACACACACACACACACACACGGCAAGCCAGCAGGGCCCATCCAAAGGCCTCAGGCAGGAGCTCTGCAGGCACTTTCTGTCCTCCTCTTCTGGAGCCTTACAGCCCACCTTTGACAAGAGATTCAGACACCTTGAATTCCTGTGCTTACCAACGGCCAGGCCAAGGAGAGTCCAGGAATGCCACCTGCTTCCCATGAGAAAGGAATTTCTCACATGACACAGGGAAAGAGTATGCCCCCCAACTCCCGGAATTGGGAGGATGACATGAGACAGGAGGGATGGGAGCAGTGTTTCTAGAATGCTGTGTGTAGGTGCTTATAGAGTCCACATGAAAGATAGAAACAAAGTCCAGACCCTGCACTTGATCTTCGTTTAACCAGTACAATTTATCTTTTCATCTGAGCAAGCTCCAGTTCTGCCAAGTAGTCGCCACTCTATATCCCTGACTCTGGGCCACTGTAGAGTATTCTTGTTACCGGCCAGGACTCAAACTATTTAAACTTGCAAATAGGCTACTTGAGTCTGCAAGGACTTGGGGTGATGCAGCCAGAGAGGACACGAACACGTTACCTCCACTACACTCTCAGACTCTCAGACCATTTGCTTTGGTTCTCAGGAGCTTCTGCCCAGCCCGACTCCCCTTTTGGCCCTATGGAAGTTGAACTTGAGGCTCCAGAGGCAGGCTACACAAGGAGCTCCTTGCTGGCATGCCTCCAAACGGTATCCACCAGCGCCTGCTCCGATTCACGCCAAGGTGACATGCACACATTTGAGCTGGTGAGGTACTTAAGAGGCAGGACTTCTGGTTCATTAAGCAGCGCCCTCCAGGACTACATACCTGATAGGAAGGATAAACAACTCAGTTAGTAAAGACTGTCCGTCATCTCCAGCTTGCCAGGGAAACAACTATCAAGAGCTTTCTTCTGATGAAATATCAATTTCTGTGCATCACTATGCAGCAGTGACTTCCTCCGCCCACCCTCACCCCCCGGCATCCATCAATCTTCCTTACAAAAATGATTACAGATAAATGGACAGTGAAAATCACAACTGCCCCGGGCATCTCTAACTCCCTGTTGCAGTTTTCACGTGCAGCATGCAGTGTGAGTTTTGCCCTCAGAGGGGCTCTGTGTGCAGGCTGCTCTTGCCTTTCCCAGTGGGAAACGAGTGGAGCCTGCCTCTGTTATTCGCTAAATCTTTCCAACATGCAACATAGCCTCACCTTAGAGAATGCTGGACAACTCAATGTCAAAAATAGCCTGTTTCATTGCCAATACGCAAGGCCAACCCTAGGCAACAAGAATGAAGATTAATGCCAAATCTCAATTCCTGGTTCCTCACATCCTCCTTGATTTTTAAAAAAGTGAGGGAAAAAAAAAAAAATCTGAGGTGGACAAGAAGCCTATTTGGCCTCCTGCTGAAAAGATATTAGTTTAATACACATTTTATTAAACATTATTTTCATACATGCATTCTGCACCTAGCATGTACGAGGCCATATACTGAGCATTTTGCACACGTTACCTTTTGTAATCCTTGCAATAACCCTTGAATTAAGTAGTGAGCTAAAAAGAAAGAGGCAGAATGGGCCAGAAATCCAACTTTCTCGGATTCTGATTCTGTGCTGTGTCTTGGTGCATAATTTTAAGAATCATGGGTATCTCCCTTCAAGAGCCTTCCCTACTTCCACCACTTCGGAAGTACATCCTGGAAGGGACCAGGTAGAGGCAGAGCCAGCGGCCAGCTGCTGGGAGGAGAAGTAGAGAGGGCTACTTAGTACTCCTCTTCACCTCTCGGGCAGAGATGATAAAAAGGAAAATTAAAAGGATAAAGGCTTAGATATTCCCAGGCTAAGAAAGGAGAAGAAAACCCAAAGTATATTAATATTAACCAAAAGGTATAAAAATATATCCCTGGCCGGGCACAGTGGCTCACACCTGTAATCCCAGCACTTTGGGAGGCTGAGGTGGGTGGATCACCTGAAGTCAGGAGTTCAAGACCAGCCTCATCAACATGCAGAAACCCCATCTCTACTAAAAATAAAAATTAGTTGGGCTTGGCAGCGCACGCCTATAATCCCAGCTACTCGAGAGGCCGAGACAGGAGAATCACTTGAACCTGGGAAGCAGACATTGCAGTGAGCCGAGATCACGCCATTGCACTCCAGCCTGGGCAACAAGAGCGAAACTCCATCTCAAAAAAAAAAAAAAAAAAAAAAAATATATATATATATATATATATATGTATATATATACATACACACACACACACATATATACATATATATGTATACATATATGTGCGTGTGTGTGTATATATATATCCCTAAATCTGGGATGCTTGGCTCAAATCTGCCCTACAAAATTGACCCAAGTTCCCAAGTTGACATTGTATCTCTTGAGAAAGGGGTCTATTCAGTGTTTAGAACTGTAATATATACACACAAATACAAAAAGTACAGAAGATAATATAATACACACCATGCATTCCCCCTCCAAAAATGAGAAGTATTGTTTCCACCTCTAAAAATCACAGGTTTACTAACTTCTTCTAAGAATCTAGACAAAGAGGCCTTCTAAGAAATGTTTTCGATGGTGCCACCTGGTGGATTCATCCTAAAAGTGCTATCTGCTCTTGCTCACAATTAAACTGACTTAAGAGGACAAATTCTCATACATAATGAGATATTTGACCCACTAATTTTTTCCCCCAGCTTTCCTTTATTTTCTCTCTAGGCATCCTCAGCCTCCCTTCCATTCCACTACAATCAACTGATCCTTGGAGTTCCCATTTCATTTCATAGCCTTTCTGCTGCATTAGAGCAATTTTACAGCAAGATTTACAACAATGTCAGGAATAAAGAAAACTGTTGTAAAATAGCCATGGACAACATTACAAACTGGCAATAAAATCGACCATAATGCACAGCTGGTATTTATGTAAGCCACCTGTTCCATTTTTAGCTACTCCTGATCCCTGCTTTTATCCCATTCACTGTGCTTTGAAATACCTTTTACTTGTCTCCTTCTCCTCTAAAGGTCTTCAGAACTGATAAGTTCCAGAATTTGCTGAGCCCTCATATTGGGGTACCCTTGCTCATCTATGAGCCCAAAGGCCCAACATGGCTGAACTTTGCTTCCCAGTCTTTGAACTCTGCCAAAACCTGGATATTGAACAGAAGAAAAGTTTCAGCAAAACCCTCATGCAACTGCAAGATACATTTAAATATAAATACATATACTCATCTAAAAAAATTAAACAGTCAAGGAACTATGTACTGTTCACCCACTATGGAGAAAATACTAGAGCCATAATTTGTAGGACTGGTTCCCATTGAATGAGCAGCATCTAAGTATGAGCTTAAAATTTTACACATTATCTCTAATTCATGCAGCAACTCTTCAAGGTTGCTTGAATCAATTACTCACTACCTCTGTGACTTCAGTAAATAATTCTATCAATCTCAGTTTAGAAGTTGGCCTATCAGGGCCAGGCGCAGTGGCTCACGCCTGTAATCTTAGCAATTTGAGAGGCTTAAGTGGGCAGATCACTTGAGGTCAGGAGTTTGAAACCAGCCTGGTCAACAAGGTGAAACTCCATCTCTACTAAAAATACAAAAAAAAAAAAATAATTAGCCAGGCGTGGTGGTGCGTGCCTGTAGTCCCAGCTAGTCAGGAAGCTGAGGCAGGAGAACTGCTTGAACCCAGGAGGTGGAGGTTGCAGTGAGCCAAGATAGCGCCACTGCACTACAGCCTGGGTAGCTCGGTTGAAGAAGAGGAAGAGGAGGAAGAAGGAGAGGAAGAGGAAGAGGAGCAGAAGAAGAAGTAGAAGGAGAGGGAGAGGAAAAGGGAGGAGGAGGAAGAGGGAAAGGGGAGGGGAAGGGAAGGGGAGGAAGAGGAGGAGGAAGAGGAGGAGGAGGAAGAAGGCGGCGGCCTATCAACTGTGTGGAATTGTAGTGAAAATTTAGAGTAGCTGTTTTAACAGGTAAGATTCACCAAATGTTTATTCTGTACTAAGCATCCTTATAGGAACTCTCCACATATTAACTCATTTTATATAGTCACAACCAACCTATGAGATGAGTACTATTAATATGCCCAGTTCATAAAAGAAAGCTGATACACAGACAAGTAACTTGCCAAAGGCCACAAACCCGTAAGTAGCAAAGCCAGGATGTGAACCCCCCCAAAAATCATATTCCAGAGCACTCTGTTCTTCATACAGAGAGATATGACTATTATTTAGATCATTAATTTTTTAAAAATCAAGGAGTGAAGTCAGCATAAATGATGGAAATAAAGACTAACAAAACTTCTGTTCTCCACAGAAACAAGGAGAAAGTTGGCAAAGATTATTAGAATCAACTTTTCCAGAACTCTAGAAATTGACCTCTAGAAATTGACCAAAGACTTGTAGCAACTCAAGAAGCATGTATTTAAGAAAACCAGCCAATTCTCAATAAGAACAGTAAGCTTTGTGGCATTTTACCTTGATTCACTCTCATGCCTCACTTTCCTTTCCTGCAGTGGCCTTGAAAAATGACACCCCACATTCCTGGAGCGGTACTGGAGCCACCAGAGTGAGCAGAATGAAGCTGTTTTTAAAGCCTCATTCCCAAAGATTTGTCCTTTCGGAACTGTCTCGTCAGACCTGTCTGGTAATACTCTGGAAGACTCCACATGCAAGATTGTCTGTATTTGACCTGACTTGGAGATTTACTGGTTTCTGGTATTTACAGAAATCTCTGTCCTATCCTTACTCAACAACCAAGCTAACCAAATAGAGACTTCAGTTGCCACAAGTAACAAAGAGTACAGACTTTGTAGAATTAGTTCAAAAAAATTATTAAATATACAAAACAGCTAAAAAATTGCAGCACCAACAATATACTCTGGGGAGGGAGATAATGATTTTAAGAGGTGTCACAATGTATTATTTTAAGTAGTCATCAACAGAAATTACAAGGCATGTAAAGAAACAAAGTATGGCTCTATAATAGGAAATTAAGCAACTAATAGAAACGGTTCCGAGAAAGTACAGACTTTAGTCTTACTAGAAAATACTTTAAAATTGGTTATTTTAAATGTGCTCCAAGAGCTAACAGAATGTGTGTCTAAACAACTGCAGTAAATTATGAAAACAATGTCTCACCAAATGCAAATATTCACAAAGGGATCGAAATTACATATTTTTGAAAAATTTATAGAAATTCTGGAGTTAAAAAGTACAACTAAAATGAAAATTTCACTATAGGAGCTGAGCACAAAATTTGAAGAAGCAGAAGAGAGTATAGCAAACTTGAAGATAGGTCAATTGATATTATCTAGTTTGAAGAACAAGAAGAAAGAAAATGAACACAGCTTTGGAGGCCTTTGGGACATCAGCAACAAAGCAAGATGTAGATTAGAAGAACTTCAGAAAGAAGGGAGACAGAGAAAGGGATAGAAAGAATATTTGAAGAAATAACGAATCAAAACTTCCCAAACTTGATGGAAAACATCAATCTACATATCTAAGAAGCTCAACAAACTGCAAGTAGAGTAAACTCAAAGAGATACACAGTCAGACACATCATAATCAAACTGTTGAGAGAATCTTGAAAGCACGAGAGAGAGACAAGTCATGTTCAAGGATCCTCAGTAAGCTGATTTCTCACCATAAACCACGGAGGCCAGAAGATACTGGATGACATATTCAAAGAGCTGACCAATGTCAACAAAGAATTCTATGTCCAGCAATATTATCCTTCAAAAATAAAGAAAAAATTGGGACGCGGGGGCCCAGAGCTTTCGGGCAGGCCCAGCCATTGAAACCCGAGACGCGGGGAGGAGCTGTCGCTGCGCTCCGGGAGGAACGAGGGCGGCCCTGGGCCTGGCCAGAGCGGCTCCCCTTACCTGTGACTCAACAGGCGGCCTCAGCCTCCATCCTCGGGCTAGGCTGGCGCCGCGCCCCGCCCCGGAGGCTGTCCCTGTGCCCCTGGCGTCCTCCTCCCTCTCCCATTCCTCCCCAGGGGCTGCCCCCATTCCCCGCTCCCCGGCCCCTTCCCCTCCCCCAGGGTCACCACCCAAGTCTTCCCAGCTACCAACCCCTGGCTCCCCAGAGAGTTTGCAAAGATTGTGGGCTCCACCTTCCCTCCTGATTCGCCACCCGCAGGAGAATTTACTATTTCTCTTTCATTTGTGGGGAGAAGACACCGTTAACGCCCCCACCCCCCGCTCACACGCCCACCCTCGCCGGTGCCCCGGGCCTGAACGCGGCACATCTCAACCCCCTCCCACGCCCCTTCACACTTCTATTATTTCTGTTTCTTTGGACAAGAATCATTTGCGTTAATGATTTTTTTTTGAAAACGTTCAAGTTTCACTCCAGTAAGCTTCCTAGAAGGAAGGAGGAGGTGAGGGAGGAGAGAGAAGGAAGAGGAGGAGGAGGAGGCTTTGGCTGCAGCTGCGGCGAAGGCGGTTTTGGCGACTTTGGCGGCGAAAATTTAGACAGTTGAAAAATAGGCCAAAGCACACTGAACCTGCAGGACATCCCGTAATCTTTTCTGCCCATTTCAAAGTCTTTCCCTGTCCTCACCCAACTATTACAGGCCGCTTTTGCTGAAACCTGACAATGTCATTTAGTAAATGTTCAGCTAGTATTCATTTGAAATAGAAATAACCAACAGCAGGTAATTTCTTCTTGGCCTGTTTCTGCGTGTTATCCAAGGGGAGGTGGAATACAGTGGTGGTTTTAAAATGCCAGCAGCCTAGGAACCCAAAGGCCTCAGCAGCCTGGCACCTCCCCACCCCCCTGCGGCTCTTAGGGGCCGAAAGATTGAGGGTCGTGATCAACTCAGTATACCACTGGAGGCCACGTGAGTAAGCAGCAAACTGTTTCTCATGAGAGCAGGGTGTTGGCAAACTGACAACCTGTGTCTGCCGCCCAGAAGGACTGCTGAGGGCAGTCACCACCCAGGTGCAAGTGTTTAGGATTAGACACAACTGAAGCCTGTTAGTAATGAGAACTTGTGATAATCAAACAGCTGACCAGTCTTAGGGCCTCCTCCCTGCTCATTCTCCCAATGAATGCGAAGGGCTGTGGAAGCTCGGGGGGCTGCCTTCGCTCACTAGAAGCAGGGAGCTCCCTTCTTCCCGGTTTCCCCTTCCTTTAAAACAGATTTTTTTAATCATTTCTACGTTTGTCCTTTCGTTCAGTCCTGTAATGACGGTCTCAAGTAGTAACAATAACTGTCGTAGTGACGGTCTCAAGTAGTAACAGTAATAACTGTCATAGTGACGGTCTCAAGTAGTAATTGTGGCAGTCAGCCACAGACACACAGGACTAAAGGTTCATTAATGTCTGCTGTAAAAATGTAGAATATATTTCTTCAAGGTCTGAAGAAGTATACATTTTTTGATGTACGTTTTTGTCACATTTTTTAAAGTTCTCTTGTTTTTAAAAAATAACATGTATAGGGCCGGGCGCAGTGGCTCACGCCTGTAATCCCAGCACTTTGGGAGGCGCAGGCGGATGGACCACCAGGTCAGGAGATAGAGACCATCCTGGCTAACACGGTGAAACCCCGTCTCTACTAAAAATACAAAAAAAATTAGCCGAGCACCGTGGCGGGTGCCTGTAGTCCCAGCTACTCCGGAGGCTGAGGCAGGAGAAGGGTGTGAACCCGGAAGGCGGAGCTTGCAGTGAGCCAAGATCGCGCCACTGCGCTCCAGCCTGGGCGACAGAGCGAGACTCCGTCTCAAAACAAATTACATGTATAGTGAACAGTTCCTTTAAAATACGTGTGTGTGTGTGTATACAGCATATATAAAGAATAATGAACTGAAAAGTTCCCTGCTTCTCATTCAACTATTTCCAAAGTCAGTATTAGTCAAATACCTTCTTTCCTTTTAGTTTGAGTTTTGTGTCTCACATGAGTAACTTTAAACTACTCCAAAACTAGAAAATAATTCTTCTAAATTTACCTCCAGTACTTTTACTGTCTTGATTTTCAGATTTGAATTTTAATCCAATCATAATTCACTGACCTATATGGCATAAGGAATGGATCTAGCTATATCTCATGGTTCCCACACCATTAAATGGTATATTCTTTCTGCTACTAATTTGAATTATCTCTTTAACTATATATTAAATTCTCATACACATTCTAGCTATTTGATTGACAGTTTTCCTATTTCTACAACAATATTGCACTATTTTAATTACCCTAGCTTTTAACATATATTTGGATATCTGGGAAGGCAAGCCAGTTGCATCTAGTCTTTTAACATTGGTTTGCATTAACATTTTTAAAGTTTTGAACCTTCCCATTACAGAACATGGCATCCTTTCATTTATTCGGGTCTTCTATGTTTTTTTTCCTAAAGTTCCAGGTTTTTTTTCTTTTTTTTTTTTTTTTTGGAGACGGACTTTCGCTCTTG
This sequence comes from Homo sapiens, assembly GCF_000001405.40. Classification (NCBI taxonomy): domain Eukaryota; kingdom Metazoa; phylum Chordata; class Mammalia; order Primates; family Hominidae; genus Homo; species Homo sapiens. The sequence continues at coordinate 98,091,035 of NC_000015.10, forward strand.
TTGCCTAGGCTGAAGTGCAAAGGTACAATCTCCGCTCATTGTAACCTCCGACTCCTGGGTTCAAGCCATTCTCCTGCCTCAGCCTCCCAAATAGCTAGGATTACAGGCACGAATCACCACGCCCGGCTAATTTTTGTATTTTTAGTAGAGAACAGGGTTTCACCACGTTGGCCAGGCTTGTCTGGAACTCCTGACCTCAGGTGATCCACCTGCCTCGGCCTCCCAAAGTGCTGGGATTACTAGCGTGAGCCACCGCACCCCGCCAGTTCCACAGTTTTCCACAAAGGCATCTCATACATTTCTTGCCATGTTTATTCCTAGAGATTTCTGATATTTGCAGGGCATTGTGGATGGGCTCTTTTCCCCAATTACATTAGAATTAGTTATTGCTGATATATAAGAAAACTCTTAGGCCCCGAGAGGTGGCTCCCACCTGTAATCTCAACACTTTGGGAGGCCAAGGCAGGAAGCTCACTTGAGGCCAAGAGTTCAAGACCAGCCGGGGGAGGAGCCAAGATGGCCGAATAGGAACAGCTCTGGTCTACAGCTCCCAGCGTGAGCAACGCAGAAGACGGGTGATTTCTGCATTTCCATCTGAGGTACCGGGTTCATCTCACTAGGGAGTCCAGACAGTGGGCGCAGGCCAGTGGGTACGTGCACTGTGCGCCAGCCGACTCAGGGCGAGGCATTGCCTCACTCGGGAAGTAAAAGGGGTCAGGGAGTTCCCTTTCCTAGTCAAAGAAAGGGATGACGGACAGCACCTGGAAAATCGGGTCACTACCACCCGAATACTGTGCTTTTCCACGGGCTTAAAACACGGCGCACCAGTAGATTATAACCCGCACCTGGCTCGGAGGGTCCTACGCCCACGGAGTCTCGCTAATTGCTAGCACAGCAGTCTGAGATCAAACTGCAAGGCGGCAGCGAGGCTGGGGGAGGGGCGCCCGCCATTGCCCAGGCTTGCTTAGGTAAACAAAGCAGCCGGGAAGCTCGAACTGGGTGGAGCCCACCACAGCTCCAGGAGGCCTGCCTGCCTCTGTAGGCTCCACCTCTGGGGGCAGGGCACAGACAAACAAAAAGACAGCAGTAACCTCTGCAGACTTAAATGTCCCTGTCTGACAGCTTTGAAGAGAGCAGTGGTTCTCCCAGCACGCAGCTGGAGATCTGAGAACGGGCAGACTGCCTCCTCAAGTGGGTCCCTGACCCCTGACCCCCGAGCAGCCTAACTGGGAGGCACCCCCAAGTAGGGGCAGACTGACACCTCACATGACCCCGTACTCTAACAGACCTGCAGCTGAGGGTCCTGTCTGTTAGTTTTCCTTCTAACAAACAGAAAGGACATCTACACCAAAAACCCATCTGTACATCACCATCATCAAAGACCAAAAGTAGATAAAACCACAAAGATGGGGGAAAAAACAGAACAGAAAAACTGGAAACTCTAAAAAGCAGAGCACCTCTCCTCCTCCAAAGGAACGCAGTTCCTCACCAGCAACGGAACAAAGCTGGACGGAGAATGACTTTGACGAGCTGAAAGAAGAAGGCTTCAGATGATCAAATTACTCCGAGCTACAGGAGGACATTCAAACCAAAGACAAAGAAGTTGAAAACTTTGAAAAAAATTTAGAAGAATGTATAACTAGAATAACCAATACAGAGAAGTGCTTAAAGGAGCTGATAGAGCTGAAAACCAAGGCCCGAGAACTACGTGAAGAATGCAGAAGCCTCAGGAGCCGATGCCATCAACTGGAAGAAAGGGTATCAGTGATGGAAGATGAAATGAATGAAATGAAGCGAGAAGGGAAGTTTAGAGAAAAAAGAAAAAGAAACGAGCAAAGCCTCCAAGAAATATGGGACTATGTGAAAAGACCAAATCTACGTCTGATTGGTGTACCTGAAAGTGATGAGGAGAATGGAACCAAGTTGGAAAACACTCTGCAGGATATTATCCAGGAGAACTTCCCCAATCTAGCAAGGCAGGCCAACACTCAAATTCAGGAAATACAGAGAAATCCACAAAGATACTCCCTGAGAAGAGCAACTCCAAGACACATAATTGTCAGATTCACCAAAGTTGAAATGAAGGAAAAAATGTTAAGGGCAGCCAGAGAGAAAGGTCAGGTTACCCTCAAAGGGAAGCCTATCAGACTAACAGCTGATCTCTCGGCAGAAACTCTAAAAGCCGGAAGAGAGGGGGGCCAATATTCAACATTCTTAAAGAAAAGAATTTTCAACCCAGAATTTCGTATCCAGCCAAACTAAGCTTCGTAAGTGAAGGAGAAATAAAATACTTTACAGACAAGCAAATGCTGAGAGATTTTGTCACCACCAGGCCTGCCCTAAAAGAGCTCCTGAAGGAAGCACTAAACATGGAAAGGAACGACTGGTACCAGCCGCTGCAAAATCATGCCAAAATGTAAAGACCATCGAGACTAGGAAGAAACTGCATCAACTAACGAGCAAAATAACCAGCTATCATCATAATGATATGATCAAATTCACACATAACAATATTAACTTTAAATGTAAATGGACTAAATGCTCCAATTAAAAGACACAGACTGGCAAATTGGATAAAGAGTCAAGACCCATCAGTGTACTGTATTCAGGAAACCCATCCCATGTGCAGAGACACACAAAGGCTCAAAATAACAGGATGGAGGAAGATCTACCAAGCCAATGGAAAACAAAAAAAGGCAGGGGTTGCAATCCTAGTCTCTGATAAAACAGACTTTAAACCAACAAAGATCAAAAGAGACAAAGAAGGCCATTACATAATGGTAAAGGGATCAATTCAACAAGAAGAGCTAACTATCCTAAATATATATGCACCCAATACAGCAGCACCCAGATTCATAAAGCAAGTCCTTAGTGACCTACAAAGAGACTTAGACTCCCACACATTAATAATGGGAGACTTTAACACCCCACTGTCAACATTAGACAGATCAAGGAGACAGAAAGTCAAGAAGGATACCCAGGAATTGAATTCAGCTCTGCACCAAGCAGACCTAATAGATATCTACAGAACTCTCCACCCCAAATCAACAGAATATACATTTTTTTCAGCAACACACCACACCTATTCCAAAATTGACCACATAGTTGGAAGTAAAGCTCTCCTCAGCAAATGTAAAAGAACAGAAATTATAACAAACTGTCTCTCAGACCACAGTGCAATCAAACTAGAACTCAGGATTAAGAATCTCACTCAAAACCACTCAACTACATGGAAACTGAACAACCTGCTCCTGAATGACTACTGGGTACATAACGAAATGAAGGCAGAAATAAAGATGTTCTTTGAAACCAATGGGAACAAAGACAACATACCAGAATCTCTGGGACACATTCAAAACAGTGTGTAGAGGGAAATTTATAGCACTAAATGCCCACAAGAGAAAGCAGTAAAGATCCAAAACTGACACCCTAACATCACAACTAAAAGAACTAGAAAAGCAAGAGCAAACACATTCAAAAGCTAGCAGAAGGCAAGAAATAACTAAAATCAGAGCAGAACTGAAGGAAATAAAGACACAAAAAACCCTTCAAAAAATTAATGAATCCAGGAGCTGGTTTTTTGAAAGGATCAACAAAATTGATGGACCGCTAACAAGACTAATAAAAAAAGAGAGAAGAATCAAATAAACGCAATACAAAATCATAAAGGGGATATCACCACTGATCCCACAGAAATACAAACTACCATCAGAGAATACTACAAACACCTCTACACAAATAAACTACAAAATCTAGAAGAAATGGATAAATTCCTTGACACGTACACTCTCCCAGGACTAAACCAGGAAGAAGTTGAATCTCTGAATAGACCGATAACAGGAGCTGAAATTGTGGCAATAATCAATAGCTTACAAACCAAAAAGAGTCCAGGACCAGATGGATTCACAGCCGAATTCTACCAGAGGTACAAGGAGGAACTGGTACCATTCCTTCTGAAACTATTCCAATCCATAGAAAAAGAGGGAATCCTCCCTAACTCATTTTATGAGGCCAGCATCATCCTGATACCAAAGCTGGGCAGAGACACAACCAAAAAAGAGAATTTTAAACCAATATCCTTGATGAACATTGATCAAAAATCCTCAATAAAATACTGGCAAACCAAATCCAGCAGCACATCAAAAAGCTTATCCACCATGATCAAGTGGGCTTCATCTCTGGGATGCAAGGCGGGTTCAATATACACAAATCAATAAATGTAATCCAGCATATAAACAGAACCAAAGACAAAAACCATATGATTATCTCAATAGATGCAGCAAAGGCCTTTGACAAAATTCAAAAACCCTTCATGCTAAAAACTCAATAAATTAGGTATTGATGGGATGTATTTCAAAATAATAAGAGCTATCTATGACAAACCCACAGCCAATATCATACTGAATGGGCAAAAACTGGAAGCATTCCCTTTGAAAACTGGCACAAGACAGGGATGCCCTCTCTCACCACTCCTATTCAACATAGTGTTGGAAGTTCTGGCCAGGGCAATTAGGCAGGAGAAGGAAATAAAGGGTATTCACTTAGGAAAAGAGGAAGTCAAAATGTCCCTGTTTGTAGATGACATGATTGTATATCTAGAAAACCCCATTTTCTCAGCCCAAAATCTCCTTAAGCTGATAAGCAACTTCAGCAAAGTCTCAGGATACAAAATCAATGTACAAAAATCACAAGCATTCTTACACACCAACAACAGACAAACAGAGAGCCAAATCATGAGTGAACTCCCATTCACAATTGCTACAAAGAGAATAAAATACCTAGGAATCCAACTTACAAGGGATGTGAAGGACCTCTTCAAGGAGAACTACAAACCACTTTTATTTCCTCAAGGAAATAAAAGAGGATACAAACAAATGGAAGAACATTCCATGCTCATGGGTAGGAAGAATCAATATCGTCAAAATGGCCATACCGCCCAAGGTAATTTACAGATTCAATGCCATCCCCATAAAGCTACCAATGACTTTCTTCACAGAATTGGAAAATAGTACTTTAAAGTTCATATGGAACCAAAAAAGAGCCTGCATCACCAAGTCAATGCTAAGCCAAAAGAACAAAGCTGGAGGCATCACACTACCTGACTTCAAACTATACTACAAGGCTACAGTAACCAAAACAGCATGGTACTGGTACCAAAAAAGAGATACAGACCAATGGAACAGAACAGAGCCCTCAGAAATAATGCCACATATCTACAACTATCTGATCTTTGACAAACCTGCCGAAAACAAGCAATGGGGAAAGGATTCCCTATTTAATAAATGGTGCTGGGAAAACTGGCTAGCCATATGTAGAAAGCTGAAACTGGATCCCTTCCTTACACCTTATACAAAAATCAATTCAAGATGGATTAAAGACTTAAACATTAGACCTAAAACCATAAAAACCCTAGAAGAAAACCTAGGCATTACCATTCAGGACATAGGCATGGGCAAGGACTTCATGTCTAAAACACCAAAAGCAATGGCAACAAAAGCCAAAATTGACAAATGGGATCTAATTAAACTAAAGAGCTTCTGCACAGCAAAAGAAACTACCATCAGAGTGAACAGGCAACCTACAGAATGGGAGAAAATTTTTGCAATCTACTCATCTGACAAAGGGCTAATATCCAGAATCTACAATGAACTCAAACAAATTTACAAGAAAAAAACAAACAACCCCATCAAAAAGTGGGCAAAGCACATGAACAGACACTTCTCAAAAGAAGATATTTATGCAGCCAAAAAACACATGAAAAAATGCTCACCATCACTGGCCATCAGAGAAATGCAAATCAAAACCACCATGAGATACCATCTCACACCAGTTTGAATGGCAATCATTAAAAAGTCAGGAACCAACAGGTGCTGGAGAGGATGTGGAGAAATAGGAACACTTTTACACTGTTGGTGGGACTGTAAACTAGTTCAACCATTGTGGAAGTCAGTGTGGCAATTCCTCAGGGATCTAGAACTAGAAATACCATTTGACCCAGCCATCCCATTACTGGGTATATACCCAAAGGACTATAAATCATCCTGCTATAAAGACACATGCACACGTTTCTTGTGGCACTATTCACAATAGCAAAGACTTGGAACCAACCCAAATGTCCAACAATGATAGACTGGATTAAGAAAATGTGGCACATATACACCATGGAATACTATGCAGCCATAAAAAATGTTGAGTTCACGTCCTTTGTAGGGACATGGATGAAACTGGAAATCATCATTCTCAGTAAACTATCGCAAGAACAAAAAACCAAACACCACATATTCTCACTCATAGGTGGGAATTGAACAATGACAACACATGGACTCAGGAAGGGGAACATCACACTCTGGGGACTGTTGTGGGGTGGGGGGAGGGGGGAGGGATAGCATTGGGAGATATACCTAATGCTAGATGACGAGTTAGTGGGTGCAGCACACCAGCATGGCACATGTATACATATGTAACTAACCTGCACATTGTGCACATGTACCCTAAAACTTAAAAGTATAATAATAAAAAATTTAAAAAAAAAAGACCAGCCTGAGCAACATAGCAAGACTCCCTCTCTACAAAAAAGAAAAAGTTAAAAAATTAGCCAAGCATGGTGGCACACACCTGTGGTCCCAGCTACACAGAAGGCTGAGGTGGGAAGATCGCTTGAGCTCAGGAGTTTGAGGATTCAGTGAGCTCTGACAGTGCCACTGCACTCCAGCCTGTGTGTCGTCAGAGGGAGACACTATCTCTTTAAAAAGAGAAAACTATTAGCTTCAGTATATACCAGTCTCATATCCAACCATTTTTAAGAGGTCCAGTAATTTTTAAAAATCAATGATCATAAATATTATAATCGGATTGTCTATAAATAAGCTGGATCACTAAGCCTTTCCCAAACCTACTCAGCCACTTAGCACTCACTTCTGACACGAAATTTACCCTCGGCCCCAATCAAGAAAAAAAGAAAAATGCCTCTTACATGTGTATACCGGAAAATAGTGGCCCCTTGAAGGCCTGGTGCATGTTTTAGTGTGGCCCCTCTTCCATTCCAAGAGGATATTAAGCTCTCTGCTGCACCCTCCATCTGGCCTCATTTGTCTACACAAGAATTTCCTCAGTGTTAAGAACACAAATGTTCCAGTCATTCCTAAGATATTTGTGAAATTTCAAAGAAAAATCCAGTATTTAAACAACAGGGCTAACAAGCTACTGGATTTTAACAAACAGAAAACTTCCCGCTTCAACAGTTGTTACTTTGCAGTCAAAGAGCTGTAGTCCCTAAAAAAAAAAAAAAAAAAAAAAAAAAAAAAGGCTTAGCAAAAATCTAAAAGAAAAATGTAAGACAGAAGAAAAATAAAGACAAATCCTTCTACAAAATATAAGAATTATCACCTTGTGATATAGCATAGAAAACTGCCAGGAATTTTATTTATTTATTTATTTTATTTTTTTTGAGACATCGAGTCTGGCTCTGTCACCCAGGCTGGAGTGCAGTGGTGCGATCTTGGCTCACTGTAATCTCTGCCTCTCTGGTTTCAGTGATTCTCCTGCCTCAGCCTCCCAGGTAGGTGGGACTACAGGTGCACACCACTACACCCAGCTAATTTTTGTATTTTTAATAGTGATGGTGTTTCATGATGTTGGCCAGGCTGGTCTCGAACTCCTGACCTCAAGTGATCTGCCTGCCTCAGCCTCCAAAAGTGCTGGGATTATAGGCGCAAAGCACCACACCTGGCCCTGCCAGGAATTTTAAAACAGCCATTTTCAAAACTATTAATTCAAAATTCACAGGTGAAGTTGTAAATTCCATTATCTTCAATATCAGTTTCCCATGGCATATTGAAGATGATACCAGCATACCAATTTCTTGATGGTTTTACAACCATTTTGAATGATTGTTTCTCGTCTTTTTTTTTTTTTCATTTTTAGAGACAGGGGCTTGCCCTCTCATCCAGGCTGGAGTGGAGAGATCATAGCTCACTGCAGCCTTGACCTCCCAGGCTCAAGCGATCTTCTCCCATCAGCTGGGAGAAGCTCCTATGTAGCTGGGAATACAAGAGCATGCCACCATGCCTGGCTTCAAGTTTTTAATTTTATTGATTCTCACTCTGTCGCCCAGGCTGGAGTGCAATGGCACAATCTTGGCTCACTGCAATGTCTGCCTCCTGGGCTCAAGCGATTCTCCTGCCTCAGCCTCCTGAGTAGCTGGGACTACAGGCACCTGCCACCACGCCTGAGTGTTTTTTTTTTGTATTTTTTTTTTTTTGTAGAAATGGGGTTTCACCATGTTGGCCAGGCTGGTCTTAAACTCCTGACCTCAAGTGATCCACCTGCCTCAGCCTCCCAAAGTGCTAGGATCACAGGCATGAGCCACCGCACCCAGCCTCAAGTTTTTAATTTTAAAAGAAGTAAATGGTGTAAGCATTTGAGAAGCATCCTTTAGTATAAAGTTCAAAAACATGAATGTATAGTGTCCAATACCTCCAAGAAGATGAATTAGAGCTTTAGATTCCTAACCTACCTGGGCACAGCAGCCAGATCCCACCTTGAACAACCAGCAAATTCACATCCCGGTTGGAGTGGTGGGGTGTGGGAGAATGTTTTTATCAAATTTTTAACAGATTGTACTAGGAAAAAATTGTAAAATAATTGTAAAAAATTAGTGGTGCTAACTGCTTCTGTTAATTCCTAGTACACATCATAAAAAGTATAATTTTGAAAACAAAAATGTTGGCCATGCCTCTTCATAATGCTCTTCTAACTATTGTGAATAGTGCCACAATAAACATATGTGTGCATGTGTCTTTATAGCAGGATGATTTATAGTCCTTTGGGTATATACCCAGTAATGGGATGGCTGGGTCAAATGGTATTTCTAGTTCTAGATCCCTGAGGAATTGCCACACTGACTTCCACCATGGTTGAACTAGTTTACAGTCCCACCAACAGTGTAAAAGTGTTCCTATCAGCAGCCATACCATGTCCCCTGTTAAGAGAAATATTCAAATGCAAGATTTTGCAAATGACAGCTCACAGCCCCACTAAGCCCATTGCCCATTTTTGAACAGCCTGAGAGCTAAGAATAGTTTCTACACTTGCAAATAGCTGAAAAAATCCAAAGACTATTTCATGACACATGGGCATTATATTAAATTCAAAATTCAGCATCCATAAATAATTATTGGAATGCAGTCACACCCATTCACTTACATATTATCTATTGCTACTTTCACACTGCAACAGCCAAATTCCAACTGGCCCACAAAGCCTACAACGTGGGCCAGGTGTAGTGGCTCACGCCTGTAATAACAGCACTTTAGGAGGCTGAGGCAAGCAGATCACTTGAGATCAGGAGTTTGAGACCAGCCTGGCCAACATGGTGAAACCCTGTCTCTACTAAAATTAGCCGGGAGTGGTGGCGTGCACCTGTAATCCCAGCTACTCAGGAGGCTGAGGCACGAGAATGGCTTGAACTGGGAGGCGGAGGTTGCAGTGAACCGAGATTACACCACTGCACTCCAGCCTGGGCCACAAAGTAAGACCCTGTCTCAAAGACCCTCCTAAGAGGGTCACATCTTGCTCTCTTAATCCTAGAGTCAAATCTGATTACAAACATTTTCCTCTCTGGAATCCCGCTCGTAAAGAAGATCACTGTGCTCTCTGTTAAATAAAACAGCTCCATTTAGTTGCCTTATTCGTTCTCAGGCTTACTGTATTTTATCGGCCTGAAGACTGTTTGACATCAATTTTTAGAGAGCGTTTGTTTTTACAAGGGAAAAAGAAATAAAAGTGCAGATGTTGAACCTCAAAATCCATACTTCTCGGAGCTATTTTCATTCCAGAAAGTAGGAATGTGCTGGGGGTTTCTTGTGTGGGGAGAGGGGAGGTGAATGAATACAAAAATAGACATATCACTGTGACTAAGTAAAATATTTTATGTCTGTTGTTTTTCCTATTAATTTCAAAATTAGAGAAAACTTTAGAACAAAAAAAAGTGAATTATGGGAAAGTGAAAACTCCAGGACACAATCCAGTTTAATTAAAATAGGAATAGCTCCTGTCAAATCAAAAAAAAAATGATGAAAATTTCAGCTTTGTTATCAGAAAAGTAGTATGGTTAAAGATGGGCAGTCTTTGCACTTAAGGAGTCTGCTTAAACACAAGTTCCCATTCCCAGACCTCATCGGTGAATGTTGATAGCAGAGTTGGACCCTAGCAGCAACCAACTTTACAAATGTGGGCATTTCTGGCCGGGCGCGGTGGCTCATGCCTGTAATCACAGCACTTTGGGGGTTCGAGGCAGGTGGATCACGAGGTCAGGAGTTCCAAGACCAGCCTGGCCAAGAAGGTCAAACCTTGTCTCTACTAAAAACATACAAAATAGCCAGGCGTGGTGGCAGGTGCCTGTAACCCCAACTACTTGGGAGACTGAGGAAGAGAATTGCTTGAACCTGGCAGGCAGAGGTTGCAGTGAGCCGAGATCGCACCACTGCACTCCAGCCTGGGCGACAGAGAGAGACTATGTCTCAAAAAAAAAAAAAAAAAAAAAAAAAAAAAAAGACACAAAACGGCTGTGATGGGGGGCATTTCTTAATGGCCCACTCTCTTCCTTTAACTGTGCAGGGGAAGCCAAGACCCCATGATGCAACTAGGTAAGTGATAGGAGCCAGGAGAGCTGCTCACCAGAAGAGGTTGAGACCAAGTCCACAAGTGCCTCCAGGAATATGAGAAACTGGGTAACTTCCGTGAAATGAGGCGAAGTACAAAGCCCTCTGCATCCCACTCAACACAAGGTGGGCTCCAGCTTCTCAGGGCAGGGAGTGGGAGACCAGTGGGAGCAAATGGCACATCCCACCTGTCCTTGGCTATAAAGAAGCCTGCAGCCCACACCAGGAGCCAATTAAAGGGAATTGTACCTGGTTCAGAATCCCAGAAAGCCATCAAGTGGGGTCTAATCCCCTGGCGTGATCCCAATTAAAAGGGAGCGCTATCAGGAGAACAATTCAGCAGATGGAGCCACGTGGTCCTGCTGTTACACTGAGCTCTCTAGAGGCCGAAGGGTGCTTGAGAGGCTCTGCCTGCTTCCCTGAAAGGAGTTTCTCCTCCCCAGACCTAGCTAGGGACAGAGAATTATGGCTCTTATTATACAGCTTTGGAAAAATAGTATTTTTAGCTTAAAAAAAGTTTTTAAGACTATTTTGAGAGACAAGGTCTTGCTCTATCACCCAGGGTGGAGTGCAGAGGTGCAGTAATGGCTGACTGGGCTCAAGTGATCCTCCCGCCTCAGCCTCCCTGAGTAGCCAGGACTATGGGCGCACACCACTTTAGAAATTTAACTGACGCAGTCTTGCCATGTTGCCCAGGTTGATCGTGAACTCCTGGCCTCAAGCTATCCTCCCACCTTGGCCTCTCCAAATGGTGAAATTAAAGGTATAAGCCAATGCACCAGGCCAAAAGTTCTTTTTTTTTTTAAACAGTATTCCCTGAAAGATCAAGATATTGTATAACAGTTTCTTCAATAGAGGAAATAGCCCCAAATGTTAGCTTTTTCAGTTATTCTGACACAATTAAGAGGAGGACTGTCTGCAGAGCCAGATGGCATGCCACGGCTGTGGCTCACTGTCAGTGGCACATTTAACGAGTCCAGCAGTGTCAAGCAAGCACTTTTCACAGGCAGAACGCAGAGTCGTGAGCACAGAGCTAGCAAGCCTGCACAGACACTAGCTAGGTGGCAAGCCTCTATTCCTCAGGGCCAATGAAGCTGGGTAAAGCGCCTGGGACACAAAGAATCCATACAGGATCCGGTGTGCGATCCTCGTTTCTCAAGACAGGAAACCTGAGCACAGAGGTTAACTTCCCTGAGGACCCACAGCTTCTAGACAGCGGTGCTTGCAATCAATATTTTAAAGGTAGGCGCCATAAGATTCATCTATGGTTTTGTTTTGTTTTTTTTTCTGCTCACATCGCACATGTGGAATCAGTTTCCAGAGCAATCAAATTTTACCAAATATAACGGCCAAACACAATGAGGAGCTCCGGCAGGGAGCAGAAATTCCTAAAGAGGAAACAAAATCTAAGTAAACGACTTGTAGGGTAGCCCACAGTACCCAGGACGGTACCCCTTTGAGCACGTTCTAGTGTCCCGTCCCAGACACCCCTCCATCCCAGGCAAACCAGGACAGCTGGCAGCCAAGCCTTTAGCTCACCTTTGAACCATCCTGAACAACTAACCAACTCCGAGCCGAATGTCCAGAAAGTCCCTGCTAGTATTCCTATGTCCGGAATTGGTGGGTTCTTGGTCTGACTTCAAGAATGAAGCCGCGGACTGTCGCAGTGAATATCACAGTTCTTAAAGGCGGCGTGTCCAGAGTTTGTTCCTTCTGATGCTCAAATGTGTTCGGAGTTTTTTCCTGCTGGTGGGTTCGTGGTCTAGCTAGCTCAGGAGCAAAGCTGCAGACCTTCACAGTGAGTGTTATAGCTCTTAAGGCACCACATCTGGAGTTGTTCGTTCCTCCCGGTGGATTCGTGGTCTCACAGGCTTCAGGAGTGAACCTACACACCTTTGTGGTAAGTGTTACAGCTCATAAACGCAGTCAGAACCCAAAAGAGCGAGCAGCAACAGGTTTTATTATAAACAGCAAAAGAACAAAGCTTTCTTGATCTCAAAAGTGACCCTAGCGCGTTGCCACCACTACCTGGGGCAGCCTGCTTTTATTCTTACCTGGCCCCACCCACATCCTGCTGATTGGTCCATCTTACAAACAGCCGATTGGTCTGTTTTACAGAGAGCTGATTGGTCCGTTTTGACAGGGTGCTGATTGGTGCATTTACAGTCCCTGAGCTGGACACAAAGGTTCTCCACTTCCCCACCAGAGTACCTAGATACAGAGTGTGGATTGGTGCATTCACAAACCCTGAGCTAGACACAGGGTGCTGATTGGTGTGTTTACAAACCTTGAGCTAGATACAGAGTGCCGATTGGTGTATTTACAATCCCTTAGCTAGACATAAAGGTTCTCCAACTCCCCACCAGAGTAGCTAGATACAGAGTTCCATTGGTGCATTCGGAAACCCTGAGCTAGACACAGGGTGCTGATTGGTGTATTTACAATCCCTTAGCTAGACATAAAGGTTCTCCAACTCCCCACCAGACTCAGGAGCCCAGCTGGTTTCACCCAGTGGATCCTGCACCGGGGCGGCAGGTGGAGCTGCCTGCCAGTCCCGCGCCGTGGGCCTGCACTCCTCAGCCCTTGGGTGGTCGATGGGACTGGGCGCCCTGGAGCAGGGAGCGGCGCTCGTCGGGGAGGCTCCAGCGGTACAGGAGCCCACAGAGAGAGGGGGGAGGCTCAGGCATGGCGGGCTGCAGGTCCCGAGCCCTGCCCCGTGGGAAGGCAGCTAAGGCCCGGCGAGAAGTCGAGCACAGCAGCTGCTGGCCCAGGTGCTAAGCCCCTCACTGCCCAGGGCTAGCGGGGCCGGCCGGGCGCTCCGAGTGCGAGGCCAGCCGAGCCCAGGCCCACCCGGAACTCGCGCTGGCCCGCAAGCACCACGCACAGCCCCGGTTCCCGCCTGCGCCTCTCCCTCCACACCTCCCCGCAAGCTGAGGGAGCCGGCTCCGGCCTTGGCCAGTGCAGAAAGGGGCTCCCACAGTGCAGCGGGGGGCTGAAGGGCTCCTCAAGCGCAGCCAGAGTGGGCGCCAAGGCCGAGGAGGCGCCGAGAGCGAGCAAGGGCTGTGAGGACTGCCAGCACGCTGTCACCTCTCACTCCCACCCGCTGTCCTCAGCTGCATCCTTGTGCTTTCAAGGGGCATCGCCTTATCACCCTCCCCTAGATCCTTGGCCTTTCCGGGCCCAGAACGCTAAGGAAGCCCAGCAGCCAGGAGGAGTTGGGCTCCCGCTCCACAGTGGCCCGGCAGTCAGCACGCGACCAGGCCCGCAGAGCGCGCAGAGCCCGGCCGCTGGGCCGCCGCCTGACCCAGGAAGCGCAGCGCGAGCTCCCACTCCGTCTTCATGGATTCCCAGCCCAGTTGCGTGGTGGTGACTGGGTAAAACTATATTATTTTTTTCTCTCCTATTTGTTGCCGCTTTTAGCCTGCCCCTGGAATGCGCACTGGCCTGATCCTGGGTCTTAAATAGTTCCCTGAGGGAAAAAAAGAATGGCAACTGGTGGTGCTAATAATTCCAGATGGAAACGAACTTGCTGCTGTGCCCCATTAACAAACAATCAGGATCACAGGCATTTCTGCTTCTGTGGTTCATTCGCTTCAAATAACTTGAGTGGCGGGCACGAAGGTGCCACTGGTGGCTTAGGCTCAGACCTTGCCTTTCAACCCAGCAGGGAGGAAGCTGAGGCTGGTACCTGTTTTCCCTGAGTGGGGCCCGAGGCACGTGAGGTATCCCTTGGGGGTGCAGGCTCATAGCAAGGAAGAGGGATCTATACGCCCAGAAACCACAGGGCCCTCACAAGGCTTGCAAACCCATCTACAACAGCCACCCGCAAAGGAACACACAGTCCCCACTCCCAGAGTAAGAACTTCCATTTTTCAGGGAGCTGTGAAGCACCCCCTGAGAGCCACTAGCTGGAGACCCTGAGCCCCAGAAGGTCAACTTGGAAGGAATGGTGGCTGCTCACTCCTGCAAACACCAGCACATCCAGAGTCACCCCCACCCACACGTGCCTCACCAAGTCAGCATCCCAGCTGGTCCCTGGGGGCCTGATCTTCACAAAGCTCTTTATTTTTATTAATTTTTTTTGAGACAGAGTCTCGCTGTGTCCCTAGGCTGGAGTGCAGTGGCACAAGCTCAGCTCACGGCAACCTCCGCCTCCCGGGTTCACGCAATTCTCCTGCCTCAGCCTCCCAAGTAGCTGAGTCTACAGGTACGCACCACCACGCCCAGCTAATTTTTGTATTTTTAGTAGAGATGGGTTTTCACCATGTTGGCCAGGATGGTTTCGATCTCTTGACCTTGTGATCTGCCCGCCTAGGCCTCCCAAAGTGCTGGGACTACAGGCATGAGCCACTGCGCCTGGCCCTATTTTTATTTTTATATTTTTAATTTTTCTGAGACAGTCTCCCTCTGTTGTCCAGACTGGAGTGCAGTGGCTCAGTCATAACTCACTGCAGCCTCAAACTCCTGGGCTCAAGTAATCCTCCCACCTCAGCCTCTGGAGTAGCTGGGACAACAGGCACTCACCACCACACCCCACAATTTATTTTATTTTAGTTTTTAGTAGAAACAGGGTTTTCCTGTATTCCCCAGACTGGTCTCTAACTCCCGGGCTGAAGTGATCCTCCCGCCTTGGCCTCCCAAAATGCAGGGATTACAGGCATGAGCCATCATGTCCAGCCTTCATTTTTAGTTAGACACATTTGGCCGGTTTTAAGTTTTCTGAATTGTGTTGGATGAAGAGGCAGGGTTTCCTGGATGAATGGGAAATTGAAAGTTGTGTCGCTTAATCTTTTCAGACTATAATTCTAACTCCTGTCGACCTTCTGAGAAAAAGTTCTTTGGGAAACCTTTTATCTCCCTTGCTCTTATTTGTGTTATTTTGGTTCTGGAGATTGAATGGTTCAAATTACTCTTGAATTCCTAAGGAAACTGTACTCTAATGCATGCAATGCTTGTCATGAATGAAATATGAACATTGAAGCACCATCTTAGAATCACACTGACCCCTGCCTTTGTCTTGTCAGCCTGTGGTTTGCTGGCAAACTGGAAATTGTTTGATGAAATACCTGATAATCAGCCATGATTCGGGAATGCCCGCTGGATTCCAGAGCGTGGCCTTCCTGTGTTAGAAATGCTTAGAGCTGCCAGGGGCAGTCTCTTCATTTAATTGGATTTGCTTCGTGTGTAAATCTCCTCAAGACAATTGGCATGTAGACAGATGGTGGGAGAACCAGGGCTCCGACAAATTGCTTTGAGATCAAAGTGTTCAGACTGGCACCAACGATAACCACAAGAGTGAGAAAACGTGCATCCCTCCCACGGGCCTCTCAGAATTCTAAGATTTCTCCAGCTCCGTTTGCAAGTTGCACTGGGGGCCGACCAAGTTTAAAGTGAGGTTTGAACTTGAAACACAAGAGCTTCAAACCTTCACTTGCAGAGTTGATTTTTCTAATTTAAAACAGATAAGAGATGTCATATTTGCTGATACAAATATGATTCTAAAGCAGAATGTGATTTTTGTGTGTGTTGCTGCATTTTTATTGTATTTTTATTATCCCAGGAGGTACCTGGCTTCTCAGTGCTTTTTTTCTTAATCTCACTATTTTCTATAACTGCCCTTTTTTTTTTTCTGGCTGTTTCCAAGGGCAGCTAAAGTCTTATTTATTCTAAAGAATTTGGTCAAATCAGAGGACACCATGGGCTTTTTGGGACATTCTGTCCAAAACTTTTTCATTCCCTGAGAAAGTTTTTACTCCCTCATGAGCCAACCCTGTTTGTGGGTCTAGACCCAGATGTTCAGGAATTGCAAAGGCATAATTCAAGTTTCTCTCCGGAACTGGTTCCTAGTCTAAAGGTCTGAGGTCCAGGGAGCTGGGTTCTCAGAGACTGACATTTAGTCACAGCCCTTTCCTCATCTAAGAATTTGAATGACTTGAGAAATATGTCACAGGAATCAGAGATGGAACTGAAAACCTCAGCTGTACTCTGGGATAAAGCTGAGTTAGAGAATTCCACTTGTATGTGCAGCCCACTTAATTGAGCACCTGACTCCATCACAGGCATATCTGGCACTGGCTAGTCTCCCACACAAGAGGCCACACAGTTTTAAAACTTTTTATTTTGAAATAGATATTCATAGGAATTTGCCAAGAAGTGTACAGAGAGGTCCCCTGTACCCTTTACCCAGCCGCTCCTGATATTTCAATATAAAAGCCAGGATATTGACATTGGTGTAATTCAAGTTTGTATGTGCATGCAGTGTGTGTGTGTGCATGTGTGTGTACCTTCAGCTCATGTGTAGCTTCCTATAACCACCACCACAATCAACATACCTAGCAGTACCACCACCACAAAGCTCACTCATGCTCCCTTTGGGAAAAGGAGTATTTACCCAATTCCTATACCCCCACTGTATCTTGGAAGTAACGAACTTGTTTTTGATTGTTACAAGCTCATAGGTAGAAGAGACTAGCCTTGTCTCAGATGACTTTAGACTTTGGACTTCTGAGTTAATGCTGGAATGAATTAAGACTATGGGGGAAGGTTGGGAAGGCATGATTGTATTTTGAAATGTGAGAAGGACATGAGATTTGGGAGGGGCAAGGGGTAGAATGATATGGTTTGGGTTTACGTCCCTTCCCTAATCTCATGTCAAATTATAATCCCCAGTGTTGGAGGAAGGGCCTGGTGGGAGATGACTAGATCATGGGGGTGGATTTCCCCTTTGGTGCTATTCTCATAATAGTGAGTTATCACAACATCTGGTTGTTTAAAAGGGTGTAGCACCTCCCCCTTTTCTGTCTTCCTCCTGCTGCAGCCGTGTAAGACATGCAGGCTTCCCCTTTGCCTTCTGCCATGATTGTAAGTTTCCTGAGGCTTCCCCAGCCATGCTTCCTGTATAGCCTACAGAAATGTGAGCAAGTTAAACCTCTTTTCTTTATAAATTACCCAGTCTCAGGTATTTCTTTATAGCAGTATGAGAACAGACTAATACTACTGGCAACAGTTGACCTGCTGGGTAATGCCCAGCTTCCCTTGCAGAGGCCCCCATGCTGCTAGAAGCCAGTTCCAGACAGTTATGTAGCATCTTCTCCTACCATCCAACTCGTCTGTGCTCCAGCCACATAGGGCAACTTGATGATCTGCAAGGTTCCATGCTCCTGCCTGCCCCAGTGACTTGCCCATGCCTTTCTCTCAACTGCTCCTCTCTCCTCCTGGATGAGTCCCCACACCCACTCCTTATTGGTCCTCTGCAGAATCTCTGGCCAGTCCCCAGCAGAGCTGACCTTTTTCCCCTGAACTACCCTGGAATGCCCTTGGAATTTTATTGGCTCCTATTCTGCTTATCCACTTGTTTTTAGTCATAAATTTAAGAGTCCTTTGAAAATGGGAGTTTTTGAGGAGAAAGATGATGATTTTCTCTATTGTTATTTCCCTAGTGCTGAGAGTTGGTGCTCAGCAAATGTTTGAGTGAATGAATGAGTGAATGAATGAATGGATGAGTGAATGAAAAGTGGGGTCCTCTCAGAGGTGAGCAAATGCTTTATTTTAATTGTGTTCAAGTGTCAGATGTCCCAGAAAAAAAGCACAGACCCTGAGGCTAAGTCCGTGTGCTATAATTCTTGGAGATCCAGGAAGCACATAAGCAGGTAAAGCTGGAAAACAGCATCAGTCAAGAAGCTCATGGAATCCAGCCTTTCCCAAAAGTGTTGGCCCTGGCTCCAGGGCAGGTGGGCTATGCAGAGCAGGCACCATGGCAGCACCACTGCAGGTGCTGACTGCAGGGCCCTCACTGCAGGGCCACACATTTCTCTTAGATAAGGCTGACAGGAGGGGCTGTGCCTGGCCTCAACCTCATTCTTCTCTGCACCCACCATCTTCTCTCTCACTTCTTCCTTCCCCTCTGCAAGGCAGCATGTACCACAGGCACGTTCCCAAATCTAGACCTGCCTCACCATATGTGAACGTTATGTCCCAGGCACCAAAGGTCAGTGTCCTTAGCTACAAAGCTCTACCTCTCACCCCATTCATCCTCCTGTTACCCCACATGGCCCCATCACCCCTCCCCTACATGGACTCAGTGTCCCTTGGCTCCCACAGGGATACCCCTATCCCATGCTTCCAACACATCACTGCAATTGCCCCTAAGGCACCCTCCTACAGCCCATCCCAATGCATACATTGAGGTGGAACCCCAGTAAGATTCTTCCCTGAAGGTGCTGCCAGTCAGCATCAAGCCAGTTAAGCCAATTACACCAATCCCCACATGTAAAAAGGTTCGTGGATCTGTGTCTGAGTTTCTTGGCAGCTCAGGTCTTAACCCAACAATGGACTTCGTTACCCAAGTGCTTGGGGATCCCTGTTTCTTACTGGATTTGACAGGGAGACCAATAGCTACTTTTAAGTACTAGAAAAGATCAACTAGAAGAGTAATTCACAGAAGATGAAAATGAAGAAAACAATGTCCAAACCAGACTCCCCTCCCAGTGGGCTCTATCTCCAGTTCCTGGGGCTCTTTAAAATGTGCCATGAAATAAACAGAGCTAGGTGCCTTCAGGCATCTCTGAGGTCACTCAGATTTGTTCAGTCTGTGAGGGTCCATATGGGGAAGTGGCTGACAGTGGGAGGCAGCCACGCGGGGGCTGCAGGGAGCCTTGCTGCAGCCACAGTATCTCAAGGCAGTCTTTGGCCTTCAAGAGATGTTCTCTTCTGAACTGGAACCTTGCCCTTCTCCTTAGCCTCCAGCTCTGATGAAAACAGGCCATCCTGTTGGAGGGACCTCCCCACACCTGGCTTTCTCCTCTCCCTGATCTGAGCTCAGGCTCCTACCAGCTCCCTTGCAGCTGGATCAGGGGAACTTCAAGGGACCATCCAGGGTTCTGCACCTCATGACAACCCCAAAGGCCGGGGTTCCCTTTGGAAAATGCCTGAGGCTGCACAGCAGTATTTGGGCCAAATTCACTTACAGGCACGAACATCATGCCTTTAAAACTCCTAGTGTAAGTTTCCTAAGTTTCTTAGAAACTTGGAAATCGTAGAGTAGAATGAATCCTAACTGGTGGGGGCTGCATCACTGCGAAAAGTGAGATAACTTCAGTGGACGGTGACGTGACATCAAATTAAGTCTTCACTTTAAATTTAAAACATATTTTAACTTCATTTTAAGTTTAAAAGAAAGTAAATTACATAGGGAGAACACTTTCAGTCCTGCTTATTAGGGCAAGAAGAGAGTTCCAGTTTGCTGACGCTATTTCTCTAACACCCCCACACCACACACTGATCTTCCTCTTCAACAAACAGGAATGAGGCTTCAGGCTCTGAACCTTGATCAGGTCACTACATCTCACCTGATGTTAAGGATACTTTCTTATTTTTATTTTACTTGGGTTTTTCAACATATAAATCTCTCTGTCTATATATAGATTTTTTCAATATATAAATATGTATTTTTTCAATATCTAAATCTCTATATATGTGTATATATATAAATGTATGTAACTTATACATTTAGAAACTTAAATAAAAGTATCCTAATGTCAGGTCAGATGTAGTGACCTGATCAAGGTTCAGTGCCTGCAGCCTCCTTCGTATTTGTTGAATAGGAAGATCAGTGTGTGGTGCAGGAGTGTTAGAGGAATACATACATATATATATATAAATTTCTCTCTATATATAGAGAGAGTGAATATATAATACATATTTAAGCTTCTAAATATATGTTACATATGTGTGTGTGTAGATATATATATGTGCATATGTGTGTATATATATATATGTATATATATATATATATATAGACAGAGAGAGAGAGAGAGAGAGAGAAGCTTAAAGGGAGAGTCCCCTGGAAGAAAACGGACTGATTAAATCACGAGTGGTACACAGACAGCGGCCTTGATGAGGAGCATTGACCACAGCTGTAGACATGGCTACACAGCAGAAGCATTATTTGAATGATGGACATTTGGGAAACATGGGGAAGTAAAACCTCCTTGTTTCAGAGATGACAAAAGCAAACCAGAGTGAGGCCAAGCACTTTGTTTCATGGAGGTGTGATGGCCCTGTGAGGCCCAGGCACATGGCATAAATTAGGTTCTTACTTTTATTAATAGGATATAATCTGGGGGGGAGTCACTGCTAGCTTCCTCTACAATGTCTGTCTTCCTCTTCCCTCCAGCTACTTGCCCTCGCTATCTGGCTGGATGCAATGCTATTCAGACAAAACACTCCCTCTTTGGTCACCCTCCACACTAAGTATGACAGACGACTATGTTCTAGTCAACAAGCTGAAAACAGAAATGTTTTGTGTAACTTCCAGGAAATCTCTTCACGAGACAAGCACATGCTCTCTTTCCTCCCCTTCAGTCATCTTGCTCTCTGGTACCAGCATGTGATGGCTAGAGCCCTAGGAGCCATCTTGGGCTGTAAGGATGAGGCCACATGTAGCAAAGGTGGAAGCAGCCTGGGAAGCTGATGAATTTATGGACCTGCTGCACCTGCATGTGAGAGAAACATTTGTATTGTGTTTCAGCCCTTTTGATGTAGGGTTTTTCTTCTCCTACGTGCCACCAAACCTAATTTAAACTCATATGTAATAGATCTATATATAGATATATACATATATATGTAATTATATAATATAACCTTTGCCTCTTAATGTAGAATTCTTTAGCATATACAAAAGCCTATAACATCCACTGTTTTGTTTGATCCTCACAAGACCTTAAGAAATAGGCACTTACAATTCTTTTTTAAGAAGCAGATGAAAAAGCTAAGGCCCAGAGCTGGCACAAGACCAGAGGGGTTGATGAGGACTAGGACTTATGGACTAGAGCCCACGCTCAATCTCTGCATCCAACATCCCTGAGTTGGTGAGGCTTATCCTGGGCCTGACTGTTCCTGAGACAACCCACTCAGGAAATCCCCCACCTCAAACAGCATCTGGATTCTCCAAGCAGCATCCTCGGGTGACTTAGGAGAGAACTCTGTAGAATATTCAGTAAAGCAATCCCTCTTTACCTGCCCCCCTCCTGACACACACAGGCCTTTCCTGAGTGACGGTTTAAAGCCATGCTTTGTGCTTTCATTGAGTATTAGAATAAGAAAGTGCCAAGTGCAGACTTCGCACCATTTGTTTTTTACAAATCCACAGTGGCTGCTTCCATACCAGTCACTAAGGTCATGGAGGCTGCTGTGTTTTTCTACCTGAACCAATGAACGTAATTCCTGCAGCAACACTTCTGGATGGGTGGGGATGGGTGGCTAGTGCAGGGCCAGAACAGCCCAATGATTGCACACTCTGGATAGAGCTGGAGAGCCCAGCCCCCTCTGTGTGGCTCAGCAGGTATGGAGCTGCGCTGAGCATTTTTGCTGCTGAGCTTGATAAAGCAATGGAAAGTTTGTAGATTGTTAAGTGAGACTAAATTCCAGGCAGATCTTGAAAAATAGAAGAGCTTCACCCAAGCAGACACATACAATACAAGGCAGCCTGATCAGAAGCCACACCAATCCAAGGAGGCCTGTGCTGCAGAATAGTAGGCCCATAAGCAGCACAGCAGTGAAAGCATGGTGGGTCATTGAGGACCACGGTCTCAAAGCAAGGGAGCCTCCTAGACATGACTTTAAAAGCTAGGATAAATTAGCAGCAGATGCAGGGGCCGGGAATCAATCCTTCTAATGGACTCCATATTGTTGCCTTCCTCATTAGGGTTTCTTACCCAGTTTGTGGTCTCTACATTTTAAGAGAGATGTCAAGACCTGGAGATGGGCCAGAGAAATGCAATAAAAATGATTAAAGGGCAGGGTAATAGGTCTTGGAAAAGATGAGTGAAAAATTAGTGACTGGAGAAGACAAGGCCACAAGTGACTCTAACCATGGCCTTTCCCTGCAAAAAAGGTCAGAAGCATCCGAGCTCCGGAAAACTCACTCCGCACCCTGGCTGCGTCCAATGAATCCAAATGTCTAGGCATTTTGAAATAGCATCTTTTAAAGCTTTTAAAAAATTTTTTCATCCAGCTGGTGTTGTGTTAACCCAGCCTGAATGTAAATCAAGCACAGACATTTGCCTCCGGAAAGATATCTCTACCATGTGTTGGTCTCTGGTTTGGGGTTTCATCAACTAAAATTAACAAAGGAATTTACTGAGCCTAAAATTTTAAATAAAAAGGGCAAGAAGGAGACATTAGAATTCCCAGAGAGGTTGGCGAACAGGCTTCAGAGGGGACATAAGAGAAAAGGAGGGGAAAAAGGCAAAGTCAGAAGTTTTATGGGTCAACTGTGGTTGATGAGCTGCCGTCTTGGGTGAGAAGCATGGCCACCATGGATGAGTAAGCTGTGGTACCTGTCCTCAGGGGAGTCCAAGGGAGTCCAGTGCAGAATGAGAAGTGTCAGGATGGAGTCTGAAGCACAGTGCCAGAGGCATGAGGATAAGAAGCACCCAGCTCCTTCTGGGCAAGGACTCTCTCATTTAGTCCAATGAGGTAGTTGCTTCCTGACCCTGAGTTGTTTGAAATTAAGTCCCTTGCCCCAGGTTGCATGGTCAATAGACAGTGAAATGCCAGCTCCAGGGCCATGTTCCATAGCAATGCAGCCAGGATGAATTTGAGAAAGCAGCTTTAAAAATATCCCTTTTTATCCATTTAAAGTATCATCTCTTAGCTACATGAAGAGAAGCTTACATCATAGAAACCAACCAGAGAGCACTTACTAAAAACTAGCCTCATGTGACATAGTGTAGATGCCCCTGGGGAAACCAGGACATGTGACCACAAGTGACGAAGATCCCCTTGAGGAGAATCAGACATGGAGTGTCATGAACACTTATGGCTCCGAGGCATCACAGAGATTCCACATCACCCACCTCCTCGCCTCCACTCAGTTTTACAAAGGTCCATCTGGGGCCCAGAGAGGTGAAACGACTCAGCCCACAGCAGAACTTCTGAGGGAAGATCCTCTGCTCCAACTGCAGTCTTTTGACTCCAAGTCCAGGGCTCTCTCCAGCACCCAGCATACCTGGCTACAGATGACAGGAACCAAGGAAGGGTGTCAGTCATGAGACAGAAAGCTGTTTCTACCTGGAGAAGGCACAGTGGCTCTGGGAGGAAGACCAGAGGTAGAGAAGAAAAATTATTATACTGAGCTGATGAAAACCATGGGGAATGAGGAAAAAACAATGTCATCAATGAAAATCTTTCCCTCTTGGCCTACACATATTAGAGTTAATCATTAAGAACATCAATATATGCCTTAGAGAAATCAGCCATGATGAAAGCCACTGTGAAACTGATAAAACACATACACACGCACATGCAGCTGTGATCTCTCAGGTTGGCTGGCACTAGGAGAACCCAATAATGCAATGTTCGCTATTAAAGGATGTTAATAACACTCTAATACAGCATTGTGAATAATGCAATACTGACTTTAGAAGTGGAGTCAGAAAACTTGAAAACAGCAGAAAAGGAGGGAAAACCTTCCTTGCAGAATAATTCTCACCCATTCCCACAGGATCCCATGGGTGCTTCTGTGACAGGCCCTAGTGCTTGCCTGCCTAACAGCCATTCCCCTGCCTCCTTGCTAGCATAACCCTGGCTTCATATCAGGACCATGCACTCTACTGAGGGCATGACTCACCATGATCTGGCCTAGGATGGCAATACCATTCCCCGTTGCCTGATGGCTAAGCCCCCAATCTCCCTGGTAATTAGGGGTACCCATGTGATCCACTTCTTACCAATGAGACTTATGGAAACATTCTCCAATCTGGAGGGCTGCTTCAGGTGCACCACATAAGACTTGCCCACTTCTGAGTGAAGCATAATACAGAACTATGTTATTTCTCCTATCGTATAGATCGAGCAAGGCTCTGGCCGGTTTTCCCTCCATCTTTCCTTATGAGACACCATGTTCTATTTATCACCTCCTCAGCTCTCTGCATATTCACCCATCTCTGACACCCCCGCTATGACCATACTGATCATTAGAAAAGTCAGGTGTGCACTCCTATTCAACATAGTGTTGGAAGTTCTGGCCAGGGCAATCAGGCAGGAGAAGGAAATAAAGGGCATTCAATTAGGAAAAGAGGAAGTCAAATTGTCCCTGTTTGCAGATGACATGATTGTATATCTAGAAAACCCCATCGTCTCAGCCCAAAATCTCCTTAAGCTGATAAGCAACTTCAGCAAAGTCTCAGGATACAAAATCAATGTGCAAAAATCACAAGCATTCTTGTACATCAATAACAGACAAACAGAGAGCCAAATCATGAGTGAACTCCCATTCACAATTGCTTCAAAGAGAATAAAATACCTAGGAATCCAACTTTCAAGGGATGTGAAGGACCTCTTCAAGGAGAACTGCAAACCACTGCTCAATGAAATGAAAGAGGATACAAACAAATGGAAGAACATTCCATGCTCATGGGTAGGAAGAATCAATATCGTGAAAATGGCCATACTGCCCAAGGTAATTTACAGATTCAATGCAATCCCCATCAAGCTACCAATGACTTTCTTCACAGAATTGGAAAAAACTACTTTAAAGTTCATATGGAACCAAAAAAGAGCCCGCATCGCCAAGTCAATCCTAACCCAAAAGAACAAAGCTGGAGGCATCATGCTACCTGACTTCAAACTATACTACAAGGCTACAGTAACCAAAACAGCATGGTACTGGTAACAAAAAAGAGATACAGACCAATGGAACAGAACAGAGCCCTCAGAAATAATGCCACATATCTACAACTATCTGATCTTTGACAAACCTGCCAAAGACAAGCAATGGGGAAAGGATTCCCTATTTAATAAATGGTGCTGGGAAAACTGGCTAGCCATATGTAGAAAGCTGAAACTGGATCCCTTCCTTACACCTTATACAAAAATTGATTCAAGATGGATTAAAGACTTACATGTTAGACCTAAAATCATAAAAACCCTAGAAGAAAACCTAGGCAATACCATTCAGGACATAGGCATGGGCAAGGACTTCATGTCTAAAACACCAAAAGCAATGGCAACAAAAGCCATAATTGACAAATGGGATCTAATTAAACTAAAGAGCTTCTGCACAGCAAAAGAAACCACCATCAGAGTGAACAGGCAACCTACAGAATGGGAGAAAATTTTTGCAATCTACTCATCTGACAAAGGGCTAATATCCAGAATCTGCAATGAACTCAAACAAATTTACAAGAAAAAAACAAACAACCCCATCCACAAGTGGGTGAAGGATATGAACAGACACTTCTCAAAAGAAGACATTTATGCAGCCAAAACACACATGAAAAAATGCTCATCATCACTGGCCATCAGAGAAATGCAAATCAAAACCACCATGAGATAACATCTCACACCAGTTAGAATGGTGATCATTAAAAAGTCAGGAAACAACAGGTGCTGGAGAGGATGTGGAGAAATAGGAACACTTTTACACTGTTGGTGGGACTGTAAACTAGTTCAACCATTGTGGAAGTCAGTGTGGCGATTCCTCAGGGATCTAGAACTAGAAATACCATTTGACCCAGCCATCCCATTACTGGGTATATACCCAAAGGATTATAAATCATGGTGCTATAAAGACACATGCACACATATGTTTATTGCGGCACTATTCACAATAGCAAAGACTTGGAAGCAACCTGAATGTCCAACAATGATAGACTGGATTAAGAAAATGTGGCACATATACACCATGGAATACTACGCAGCCATAAAAAAGGATGAGTTCATGTCCTTTGTAGGGACATGGATGAAGCTGGAAACCATTATTCTCAGCGAACTATCGCAAGAACAGAAAACCAAACACCACATCCTCTCACTCATAGGTGGGAATTGAACAAAGAGAACACATGGACACAGGAAAGGGAACATCACACACCAGGGACTGTTGTGGCGTGGGGGGAGGGGGGAGGGATAGCATTAGGAGATATACCTAATGCTAAATGATGAGTTAATGGGTGCAGCACACCAACATGGCACATGCATACATATGTAACTAACCTGCACGTTGTGCACATGTACCCTGAAACTTAAAGTATAACAATAATTAAAAAAAACAAAATTTTCCACAGAATAGCTTCTGGTTCTGTATATTGTAATAACCATTTCTCCTTTACTGACTATATACTTCTAGGACTGGGTGCTGTAGGGTACATTCATAATATAAAAAAAAAAAAAGTCGGGTGTGCTTTGCTCTGATGGTTAAGCACCACCGTCCAGCCCAGTGCTATCAGTAAGCCCATTTCTAGAACAGTATTTATCATCAGCCATGGTTTACAGAAGACAGCTACTATGGAGTTTATCAAATATGCTGCTGCCTTCTCAACAGGGCACTCCTTCATGGCCTTGGTAGGTAAAATGTTCTCATGTTTGTATATCTGTTATATTTAAGGGAAGTTAAACTAGGAAATGTTTTTATTTTATAGACTTCCAAGTATTTTTTATCATCTAAGAAATCTTGATTTGTTTTCTTCTCTTGCATAGAAAGGAAAGATGCTGAAGGATGGGAGATTGTTCAGAGAGGAAGATCTGTTTGTTCTCAAGCAACAGCAGTGATGCCAAAAGTTTCATTAGCAACAGAAGCCTTAAGATCAAAGGATGACAGTAATAAAGAAAATGTATATCTTTTACCTAAAGTACTTTTTTTGGAACATGGGATTTTGGAGTGGCAGGCCTACATATTATATACATAGTATATTCACTCCAGGATGCCTGCTTCTTTGAGCCCTTTTTTTTTTCCTTGAGACAGAGTTTCACTCTTGTTGCCCAGGCTGGAGTGCAATGGCGCAATCTCAGCTCACTGCAACCTCCACCCCATGGGTTCAAGCGATTCTCCTGCCTCAGCCTCCCAAGTAGCTGGGATTACAGGTGCCAGCCACCACGCCCAGCTAATTTTTTGCATTTTTAATAGAGATGGTGTTTCACCATGTTGGCCAACCTGGTCTCAAACTCCAGACCTCAGGTGATCCACCCGCCTCAGCCTCCCAATCACGCCTGAGATTACAGGCGTGAGCCACCATGCCCTGCCTCTCTGAGCCCTTTGATCCTTCTTGTCTTCCCCTGACATGGCAGTGCTAGGACTCCTCCTTCACTTGGTGTATGCTTTTGCTTTCCCCAAGCTTCAAGCGTCATGCTAGCAATGTATTAGCACCGTCTCCCAGGTTCCTAGCCAGAAGGCTACTCCTGTATCATGGACAAATGCTCCCCTATCCATAAACCATTCCTTATCCAATTTTATGTTCTACCTCTAAGCATCTGAGGATCCAGTCCCATACATATTCTCCTACATCCTGCAGTTTCAAGTTGACTAGTCCTTCAGCTCCTTCAAAATATAGTTCCTTTCTTCACTTTGCTGGCCCATCCCTTAGCCAGCCATCTTAGGTTGTGACTGAATCCTATATATTGGTCTGAAGGACAAGACAGAAGGTGGAGGTAGATCTTGGGGGTGGTGGGCAGAGGGGACATTTTATCTGCAAGACAGAGGCCTTTGCATTATCTTGGAGTAAGGGAGGAGAACTAATCTTTAACATGGAAGAGTGGGCTCATACAGGCCCAGAGGGTTGAGGGGATTTTTCTTTTTTTTTTTTTTTTGAGATGGAGTCTTGCTCTGTTGCCCAGGCTGGAGTGCAGTGGCAGGATCTCGGCTCACTGCAACCTCTGCCTCCCAGGTTCGAGCAGTTATCATGCTTCAGCCTCCCCAGTAGCTGGGACTATAGATGCATGCCATCATGCCTGGCTAATTTTTGTATTTTTACTAGGAATGGGGTTTCGCCATGTTGGCCAGACAGATCTCCAACTCCTGGCCTCAAGCGATTCGCTTGTCTCAGCCTCCAAAAGTACTGGGATTACAGGCATGAGCCACCGTGCCCGACCTAGGAAACAGGATTTTTTAGTACATCAATGCAGATGTCCCATCCCAATTCTCAGGGAGCCTAACCTAATCGGGACCCTGACTGTTTCAAACCAGACCTGTCTTCTCAGTGCTTCCTCTACTCTCATAATAAGTTCCAGGTCTAATCCTGGGTTTTTTTCTGCCCTCTGCCTAGAGCAAGTCTCTTTAAAAGCTGTCAGAGATGCCTTCCAGTTTCCACACTGAGCCTTAAGTTGGTGATTGATCACTCACAGCCTTTCATTGTCTCGCTGCAATATATTGATGGCCCCATCCATTGATAACCATCCAATCCCATAGTCCTTATGATTTCTAACTTTTAAAGTTTGACTACACTGTTTAATGCCTTAGACTTTGTGCCCACCATGCATTCCCTTCCTCTGGCAGCCCCACCGAGGCCCCTACTCTGCCAGAACCACACTACCCCATGCCTGTAGCAATCAGGACTCCATTTACCACCAGGAATGGGCTTTCATTACCATCTGATCCAGCTCCAAAATCCCATTTTAAAATCTGCTTCCTCATCCCACTGCTGGCATCAACTGCTGTTGCTCAGATTCCCAGGAAACAGGCTTTGAGATGGAGAGTCAGGCACAGAGGCTTTGGGAGCAATTGCACCAGCATCCTCAGAGGATCTCACAAGGAGCTGTGAGGCTGGGGTGGCTCTGAAGCTGAGTTATCCTAAATCAAAGCAAGGTCACTGATATAGTTTGGCTGTGTCCCCACCTAAATCTCATCTTGAATTGTAGCTCCCATAATCCCCACATCCCTGAGGGACCCAGTGGGAGGTAACCGAATCATGAGGGCGGGTTTTTCACATGCTGTTCTCATGATAGTGAATAAGTCTCATGAGATCTAATGGTTTTATAGAGAGCAGTTCCCCTGCACAGACTCTCTTGCCTGTCACCGTGCAAGATGTGTCTTGCTCCTCCTTCACCTTCCACCATGACTGTGAGGCCTCCCCAGCCATATGGAACTATGAGTCTATTAAACTTCTTTTTCTTTATCAATTACCCAGTCTTGAACATTTCTTCATAGCAGTATGAAAATGGACTAATACAGCCACCAGGCCTTTGTGCCACTCCATCAACCAGTCTTTGGATGCAGGCTGCCCCCAGGGAGTGGACTAGCCTCCCTTGGATGAGACAGCTCCAATTAGACAAAGACAGGGCAACTCCTGCTGAGGCACACGCTATGAGTCATCAGCAGGCAGTGGTCAGCTGGAGCGATGAGTGCCTTGATTTTTCAAGGGAGATTCAGGCAACACACAACAACATCCACTACAGCCTCTTAGTCTAAAAGACCTCGATGAAACACAAAATCCATACCATGGGGTGAAAATAAGTAAAGTCAATCAGAACTACAGGGAAATGAGGAAAGAGGAATAAAATAAAATCACATTTGGCACACAAAATTTACCCCAGGGATGCTACACATCTATAAAACATGAGCCACAAACATGAATCTAAGATTCCCAGTGACAAGAGGGAAATGCGGTCATTTCCAAGAGTTACAAGATCCACAAAACAAAAACCTTCCATATGTTTTTCTTGACACTAAGGTCTGAGAGGTGTTTGTTCTCTGGGTCCTGCTACAGTGTGAGCCTTGTGATGTGGACGAGAACACCAACATCATCCCTGTGGTCAATACAATAGCAAGAATGTCAGAGCAACTTCTCAGAGCACACCTAGAAGCTCACCTCAGATGCAGCCCCAAAGAGCAGCGGCTAAACAACTTGAAAAGTCTGTGCCTTCCCTTAAACAGCCTTACTGTACATGAAACATTTCCCAGGCAATTTCGTCTTAGATTCCACCTTCACAGAGAGAAATGTATGAAAACATTTTTAGAACACCTGTCCGTCCGTTGGTAAATTTTTTTTAAAGTGGGTACAATAATTGCAATAATCTATTGCGTTTTTGAAACATTTGTTCAGCAAACAGTCTTTTTAAAAAACAAATCATTTTCATTTGGCTGGTGATAAATTAAGCCTTTTATGCTCATAGAAAATGTTTTTTTGTTTTATTTCCAAATCTCTCCCTGTCGACATTCAGAGAGACATATTTATGGAGAAAGCAAAACAGATGATCTGGCCACGTTGCTGAAGGAGGGCCACATCTGTCTCTAAGTACCCTGAGCCACTAACCGGGATAAATCTTTCTACCACAGAAACATTACAACACCAGGCTTCTGAGCCTCCTTTCCAAATGGCCTGCGTTTCCAGCTTCCTTTTCCTCCTACAGACACTCACCTGGGTCTCAGTCACTCTCCCAGCCCCCAGCATATCGTGACCCCTGTTCCTCTTTCTCCTTGAAATTCTCCAGAGCTCACTCACTTGCATCTGCTCTTCCTTCACAAAAGAACATACCTACAGTCCTTTCCAATTTGAGGTCAAGTTCCTTCTCCATAAGCAGTATTCTCCCAATATTTTGCTGCTTTTCAAATTCATATTTTCCTACTTTGAAAGGACTCTGACCTCCACCATGAGTCCAAGCGTACATGATGAAATTTAAAACATTTCCCCATTCACCCGCTCCTTCACCTTTCAGTGATGTCACATAAACAGGCACTCTAGAGACAAGCCCAGGGCCTTGCCACTCCCCATGTGCTCTCTCCAGGAGACAAGACCAAGGCCTGTTTATTCCACTTAAATCAACAGAAGAGCTATCCTCAGGCTGCAGTCCTGCCCTGGCCAGCCAAATTTGGAATCCACATGGCATGCAAAGTCTGTTTAAACGAGACAGCCAGAGGGATCATCTTCAGGCTATATGGGGGAGAGGAGGGCCGTGTGGGTGGAAAAGAGCATGGATGGGTCTTGGATTTAAACAAGACTGATTTTGAAGTTTCCCTTATCTTTATCTTTCTAGGTTTCACTTTTCTAATCTGTTAACAAAGATGTTCAAGCCTACCATTCAAATTTGTTGTGAAGATTAAAGGAAACACTGTCTTCTTAGTTTGGGTCCTACTTTAGCAGATCATGAGACAAAGATTCACATGCAAGTAGTTTATTTGGACATAAATTTGTATTTGCTTACTAGGGCTTCCATAACCATGTACCATGGATTGACTGGCTTATATACCGAAATTCAGTGTCTCACACTTCCGGAGGCTGGAAGTCCAAGATCAAGGTGTCCACAGAGTTGGTTTCTGCTGATGCCTCTCTCCTTAGCTTACAGATGGCCATCTTCTCTCTGAGTCTTCATAGGGTCCTCCCTCTGTGCATTTCTGTGTTTAAATTTCTCTTATAAGGACACCAGTTCTATTGGATTAGAATTCATGACCTCATTTTAATTTAATTACCTCTGCAAAGATGATATCTCCAAACACAGTCACATATGGGGGTACTAGGGGTTAGGATATCAACACATGAATTTGAGAGGACACAATTCAGCCCATAACAGCTCCCTAACCCCCACCTCCCCACAAACAAACAAATGGTAGGGAATGTGGAAATTAAACAGGGAACAGAAAGATGCCACACTGAAGTCTATGCTATGGAGTCGGTTACTGCTCTCCGCAACTGGAATTCAACCTCACTGAAGAATCTTAAGAGATGGCAAGTCCATAATTAGCCTGAAAATTATCCCAACTCCCTGCTTCTCATGGGTTGAAGGTAGTGTTTCCATGTGGGAATTCCCTCCTGGAATTTCTCAGAAGGTTTTTATATCCTAAACCCCAAATCCCAAGAAAAATCATGTGAGAGTTCAAGGACATGGGAAACAGAATTGTAAATATTAACAACCAACAAAGAACTATCACTGGTCCTAACAAACCCACTGAGTCAGGTCTAAAGCAACAGCAGGGAAGGCTGCCATGGAGAGTGGAAGGTGAAGGTCACACTTCCTGGAACCAGGACAGGAGCACGCAGCGGAGAAACATCACATCTAACCAGTCAGCAGTCAGCCTTCTTCACACAGTGGCCATGTGACAAGGGTGTGTTCCTGGTCCTGGTTGCTGCTCATGCCATTCTTGCAATTACAATAAATATTAATCAGTTCTTATGCTTCATGTGCCTCATTCAAAACATATGAGTGGTGCTGGTGTTTCAAACAATAACGAGGAAGCAATCAAAGAAGTCCTTAAATTGGCCATTTTGACATGTGGTTCTGTGTAGTGCTGTTAACCCTGCTAGAACGTTGAATGTTGTGTTACACAAACACTACCCCATGTTTTCTAGCATTTGAATATTTGCCATAGGCTATGATTCTTTGTAGATACAACTAAAGCACCTTTAAAAATACTATTAAAATACTAAATACTACTTTCACTTTGTAAACACAACTATAATGCAGAATAATTTATGATTTTAGGAGTTCCCAGGAATTTAGATGTCTTATCCTCGAATCCCTAAGATAAGTAATGTGTCAGGAATTTAGATGTCTTATCCTCGAATCCCTGAGATAAGTAATGTGTCAGGAATTTGGAAATGCTAGTTACTGGGTATGCCCAGAGCCATTAATCCCCTGGCTCAGAGCTCATCCTGTGGGCGAGTCTAGACCTGCTCCAGGAGGCAGATGAACATCCCCTGACAGGGGCTCTGGCATTCTCAGGGAGCACCCCTAGGTGGACAGGGGATTCTGGAAGAATCCGGCAGGACACCAGCAGCACTGACTCTAAGTGCCTAAGACGGTACCAGGCACAGGTCTCAGGACCGCCCTGGGCAGTGCTCCATCACAGCTCGGTATCACCAGGGGATCCTTGGCAATCCTTCCCCTGGGGCCCTCCTCATGTTGTCCGGCAGCCCAAACGTGTTTTGATGGGTTCACACTCCCCTGCCCCTATGCCATCCATATCTGACAATCTGCCAACCTGCTTCAGCCTGATAATCCTGCTGACTCTGGACCATTTCATCCTTAAATCTCATGCAAAGATGCTTCACCTTCACCTGCTCCAGGAGGTTTTGCGGGCTCAATCAGAAATGGTTTTTTTCTCCCTCATTTTTTCTTCCAAAATAAATCCTTCCTCACTCCGTTTCTAAATCTAGTGTTCACAGCAGCGTCTTCAAACTCAGGCATGGGAAACCCCCTCCTCACTTGTAAAATCGCATTTCTAGGGCACATGCCCTCATGAGCCCTGGAGCTGGCATTTGAGAAACTTCTCCAGGTGCTGTCTGATCCTTTGAAAGGGCCTTTGGTGGGAGACCTTCCCTGAAGCAGGGGGTTGCATGCTTTTCATGTGATTCAGAATGCCCTTGGGAGGATTTGTAAGGCAAGATTGCTAGGGAACACTCTCAGTAATGCTGACTTAAAAGGTTTGGAGCATATTTAGTGTTTTATCCCACTGCACTGGTGGTTCTCAGGCAAGTGGCCAGGAAGCGTATGGCCCTCCACGTGGCCTTCCTTTGGCAGCGTCCTCATTTGCTCTTCGAGAAATCGGCAGCCACCATGCCCAATGCCCCTTCACCTCCCTGCATCCTCCCACTGCCGGCTCAGTCAATGCAGCTATGGATATACTCTGCCTCCTTCTAAGGGACTTCCGCTTGCAGGTGACAAGCTTTTCCCCATCATGTGGATAACTATGCCACAAACATTAATCATTAAAATCTTATCCTACATAGTGCTTAACTCTGAAACTCAGTGCATCAAGCTGGGTCCAAGAGGCAGAAACCTGATGAGTAATGGAAAGATGCTGAGAAGATGGACTGTCCTGTATGGGACAAGGAGAAATTTAATATAAAGAATTGTTCTCTATGATACCAGAGTGGCTGTAAATATGAAATGAGGACTCTAATAGGACCCAAGGAAGGGCAGATTTCCCTCAGGCTGGTGTTCAGGCCTCATAGGAGAAGGTGTGGCTGCAGCCAACTGGATGATGGAGGAGTTCACCAGGATGCCTAAGCCAGAGCTGCCCCACAGCTACCAGGCAAGCGGGAAGCAGCCCTCCAGGGTGCAGGCTGGTGGATGGGCACAGAATGGGTCACGGTGCTGGCAGTCCACCCATAAGGAGAGAATGCAAGGCCTGGGCATGTGTGTGTGTGTGTCTGAACTGGGAGTGCTCTGGGAAGGTGGTTGATGGGCCAGGACAGGCAGCAAAGATGCCAGGGGTCTGTGCACTCTGGCCGCAGGGCTAGGGCACACCAGATGGCCCCGACAGCCACATCCCTGACTGATCCTTGCAGTGGGAGCCAGGAAAAAACAACAAAAACGCAGCTACTGGAACCAGAAAGAGGTGCCCTTCCTCCTGCAATGACCCTCCAGTCCCCTCTGCTGACCAGGCTCACTATGGTGTTCACTGTGAAGGAAAAAACATCCATTATGGCCCAGGAGGGACTGAAGAGAGAATTTGCAATTGAGAGGATGTAAGGTGATGATCACCACAGTTACGAAAACGCTGAAGGAATCTGCATCCTGGCACTTTGAGAATTACCCAATCCGAAAATATTTGATTTTCTTTTGTAAGACTGCAGACCCCATAATGCAAATCTATTATATGGGGAAAATAGAATCCAGCAAAGGGTTCCTCTTCAAATAGGGCTCTGGTTTAAAAGGGGTTCCTCAGCAGCTGTGCCAAGACATAATTTTTCTAAGATGGAGAATTTTTTTTTTTTTTTTGAGACAGAGTCTTACTCTGTTGCCCAGGCTGGAGTGCAGTGGCACAATCTCGGCTCACTGCAACCTTAAGATGGAGAATTTTAATCAAAATATTACCTCTCTCTTCTTCAATCTCTCTCTCTCTCTCTCTCTCTTTCTCTCTCTCTCCTCCCACTTCCCCCTCTTCCCCACCACTGCCCCCCCTCACACACACACAGCACACACACCACAGGTAAGCCAGGAAAGGAGTCCTGGGCCTAGAAATAGGAAATCTGCTACCCTCTCAGTGAAACCAGTAGTAAATCCAGAGGGTACTGCGCCACATTCTCTCATTTGAAATGCAGGCCTGGCTTCAAACACCGGATGGTTGGACCCTGTGACCAAATGTACACATTAGGCAGCTGTTGGTTTCAAGTAACAGAATACTTAACTAAGTGTGGCTTGAAATCCAGAGATCTGAGGGCAGGCCCTGGGAGGACTGATTCTGTGACTCAAAAATATCAGAGCACTGGGTCAACATCTCTGGAAAAAAAATGTCTTGTTCCTCATGTCATAAGATGGCTACAGATCTCAAAGCATTACATCCTCACATACGATTGCTCAAAACGAACAGGATGGGAGCAAGAAGTGTCTTCTTCTGGACTCTGCTTTATTGCCTTAGGAGGAAGAATTTTACCCAGAATACCCCAGCTGACTTCCCATAACATCTCATTAGCCATGATGGGGAGGTCACATTTTCACTTCTACACTGATCGCTGGCCAAGGGCATGGCATTGTCATGACTGGCTGACACCGTTCATGACTCATGTCTGAGACACGGGCACATTCACTCCAAACAGTAATAAAGACCCATTGGTAAGCAAGAAAAGAATCAGCTGACAGGAGGCAGCCAACAAGACCTTACACACATTTTTGGTTTGTTTCTTGAGATAGGGTCTCCCTATGTTGTCCAGGCTGGTCTCAAGCTCCTGCGCTCAGGGTCCATAGCAAACATTTTATGACACCCTCTCCTCTCCTCTCTACATTGTGAAAGTGTTAAGAGAGCAATTATGTGCGGAAAGTCAATGCCACATTTTAAAAACTGAGTTTTCAATTACATGAAAATACTGCTGTTGGAAATTAGAAATCAAGCTCCCTTCTGCAATCCAGATAAGAATCCCTCACAAGCTATAAATAGTTGCTCATAGAAGGGCTCTGAACTGGATGCTTTAGTCAGTTTTTTAAAAACAGTACTTAATTCTTCAATGAATTATAATAACTGTCCCCCAGAGATAAAGACGAAAGGCAGGAGAAACCAAAATAAGTGAGCTCAAGAGGGGCTCTCTTGCCTCTTTCTACAGTGTCCTTCCTGGGGTTCCTTCATTCCTCTGAGATCACAGTTGTAGTCATCCACCCATCTGTCTAGTGAAGGA
Source organism: Homo sapiens (assembly GCF_000001405.40). Lineage (NCBI taxonomy): Eukaryota > Metazoa > Chordata > Mammalia > Primates > Hominidae > Homo > Homo sapiens. Next base: position 98,127,516 of record NC_000015.10, read on the forward strand.
AAGCCCTGGAGAATAGGGTCCTTGCTTTCTTCTGTTTGAAGGACTGACTTGTAGAGTATCTTCATCCTTCCTGGGGGAGATTGCAGCAGAAGACGTGGCCTCACCACCTCCTCTCCCAAGTACTTTATTCCTCTTCTTGGCTTCTTTTCTTTAACTCGTTCCCTCTCCCCTTGCTTCCCCTTCCTCATTAGCATTGGTCATTAGCATTTTCCCTGCAGTTCTGAAATACTGCTCTCCTGTCAAGCCTGAGGCCCCCTGCAGCATGAGCGATGACATCGGTGTCCCTTTCACCCAGCAGGAAGTTGGCACTTGCCCTTCTCATTGCCCCACCCTGACACATTGTGGGGTGTCATCTCATAACACTCTTGCAGCTGCCTATCTATTTACATGGTGACCCGGGGTCCTGCTCATAATTAGGAACCCTGTGGCCATCATACACAGGATGGTGGCAGAGACAAAGCAATTTAGGAAAAAAGCAAGGATTTTGAAGTCAAGCAAATCAGCTCCAAGTCCCAGTTCTGCCTCTCACTAATTATGGGTATGGTAGATTAAAGATGGTTGAAATTTTTTGCTCTCCTCCCATTGAGAGATGGAGTCTAATAACCCTCCCATCACGTGTGGACTGGCTTGAGTGATCAGCTTGATCAACAGCTTATTGTAGATGTGACAATCTCAAACTTCTGAGGCCAGGTCATGAGAAGTCTTGCAGACTTTTGCAACTCACACTCTGGGGGAAGCCAGCTCCCATGCAAGAAGTCTGATTACCCTGAGACCACCACACTGTGAAGCTATAGGGAGAGAGATTGAGGTCAGAACAGCCCAAGCACATGTGTGAAAAAAGTGCACTTGAATTCCAACCCCAGCAAACCTGAAATGAAGAAAACCTGAGGAATCTAACCGGCATCCAGAACCAAGCCACCAGAACCACTTATCTGGTTGACACCTCCACGTGACACCTCCAGGCATTTGAGCCAAACTAGCTGAGACCTCAGTCACTGTGGAACAGAAATCAGCCACCCCATTGTGTTCTGTCTGTGTTTTTTTCTAAGTTGAATGATCTTCTTGGGCAGCCTCCTGAGCACAGACTCCTGAGCACAACAGAACGGTAGTTGTTTTACACAGTTAAGTTTGGGACACACATTTTGCCGCAGTAGATAGCCAGAACTAGGGGCACTAGCCAAATCCTCAACCTCTCTGAGCTTCCATTTCTTCATCTATAAAACGGGGCCAAGGATAGCACCTACCTTACTTGTATTATCTATGGATTAAGTAAAACAATGACCCTCAAAGAGTAGCCCAGTGCTTAGTATATGACCGGCAATGATTCTACACTGGTGCCTTGACATAAGATAAAAACATATTCTAAGCACTATGTGTTAAGCTCCTAGTTAGGAGCTATGAATGACGGCTCATAACGCCTCCTCCATTCTTGGGAGCTGACTGGCTTATGAGTGTCTCCTGAGATGTTGAGCACCAATCAGGCTGCCCAAGAGATCATTCAACTTAGAGAAAAATCTCTGCTAAACTGGAAAATGAGATCAACAGGAAGTACGGAAGATGACAACATGTATGAAGTAGCATTATCTACGACTTCAAACCCTTTAGTACTGTTTATCATGAGGGCTAATTCTATGTGTTCACTTGGCTGCATCATGGTGCCCAGATATTTGTTCAAACATTATTCTTTATGTTTCTGTGAAGGTGTTTTTTAGATGAGATTAACATTTAAATTGGTGGACTCTGAGTAAAGCCGATTGCCCTCCCTAACATGGTGAGTGTCATCCAATCATTCGAAGGCTTTAATAGAACAAAGACTGACCTGCCCCAAGCAAGGAAGAATTTTGCCACCAGGCGGCCTTTGGAGTCCAACTGCAACATCCACCCTTCCCTGGGTTTCTACCCTGTTGGACTACTCTGCAAATTTTGGACCTTCCAGCATCCATTATTGCATAAGCAATATACACATATATAATATATACACATGTAACGTACACATAATGAGTCTGAAAGCCGAGGTGGAAAAAGCATTCAAGTCGCAGGAATAGCATATGGAAAGGTTTGGGACCAAGAGAAAGCAGAGTATATTCTAAAACCTTCTGCATTTTAATAGGCAGGTGGGAATGGCAAAAACGATGTGGGAAAAGTAGGTAGAAGGCAGATAATACAAGCCCTTTTGTGGTAGGTAGGACTTGCAATCTTCAGTACCAATAGGGATCAGGCAAGTCATGAAGAATTATATTGAAAACAGAAAAGATTAATGAAATCTGTAACCAATGTGCTGTTCCCGTTTTAATGAAAAAGCTTCCAAAATTCATATTACAAATGAATATTGACCTGGTGAAATAACAGACATCTACTGGTCAGAGGGTATCTTCAGGCCACCGGTTTAGATGATGAGAAATACTGGAAGTTTTTGAAACAATAGAATCATAGGATCAGATTTGGGTTTTGGGAAGACCATTCTGGTAGAGATTGCTAAGATAGAGGCAGAATAGGGTGGGCTTAAAGGGAAGAAGAGCCACTCCAAGAAGGGGCTATTGAGACTTCCAGGTAACAGATGCTAAGGTCTAAACCAAGGCAGTGGTGATGGGCGTGGAAAGCAGGGACAGATTCTACAGCTCCTTCAAACTTAGAATCAGTGACCGCAGAGGAAGAAATGCAATTCTCATAAAGATTTCTATTATGTCCAAATTTGCAGCACATCATTTGAAGGAGTCATAGGCATATTTCTTTATATATGTCAAAAGCATTAAGACATGCAGCCTTTTCTGCAGTTCAGCCTGAATAAAACAGGTTGTTTTTAAAGACCCAATGTGTAAAAAACACTATCTTTTGAAGCATTAAATCAGATTATAATGTAACCAACTCTCTTCTCCAGTTTCTAGTTTTCCTAACCCAATCACTGTTTTGCTGGGTGAAACATCTCCATTAAGTCACCCATTTCTCAGCCTAGAGATGCAAGAAGTAGATGGTAATCAATGTTGCATAACTGCTGAGTGTAATAACAGAATGAAGAAAGGAGTCCCATTAGCAGGGCCACCTCATTAGCATTCATTATAGCCAACAATGCCATGCTCCTCACCTCCTCTTTATTAATGGGTTAACCTACGGCCATCAGCCTGCGTATATCATTGCATAGTAGCTTTCTGTAAGGCACAGCTAGCTCATTTTTATCATTTCACAAAAGTTCTGCTAGTGGCAATAAAGTCCTTTTGCTGACAGCCCTTGTGTTTTATTAAGGCAGTAAGCATTGGCAGACACATGAGGCTGGAGTTCTATGCCCAGTGCAGATCACAGTAGGACAGGTGCCAGGCTGGGCAGCAGGCCCCAGCTCATCTCCTGCAGGACACTCAACCAGTCATGGCTGAGCCCATATGGAGCCTGTACTCATCTGCTATCCCAGGTGACCTTAGTGACCTGAGATGTAAGCATCCTATTAGAGCTTTACCTCCATGGTCTCCTTTTAAAAGAAAAAAATCAAAAAAGCTAGAACATATTATTGGTATCTACCTACATCCCCCCAGCACTCACCACCTGGTATATGCCCAGGAATTCTTACTGTTAGCACCTTTGATTCTTTGCATAGGGCCTTCCTTGGCCACAGGAGCTTGCCACCTGATTGCTATTAATCTTCTTACTAATGGAACCTGTTTGTGGGAAGAAATGTGTCTAGCTCTAGGGCAGAATGGAAATGTCATGGAACTAATGTTCCTCCCTGTGAACAGCTCTCAACAATCCCACATGGAAGTTGGAGGATAAATACCCCAGCTCTCTCACCCTTTGGATGAGACAACCTGGGGGCATGTTCTACACAGTATCCCAGAAGACCACAGTGGGATGAACTCTGGCTGCCCAGAGTGGTAATTTGCTTCTTAAGGCATCCTACAGTGTATTCCTTCCCTTTCCGGTCTTACTTACAGTTAGGGGAGGACTTGGAGGTCCTGACTCAAGGAAATACTTTGTGCTTCCTGAGATCTCCTCCTAAATGAACAACTTGCATCCAAACCTTCCTTTCAATGTCATCTTCTGGGGAAGCCCAACAACTAGAGCTATGAAGAGTTTTTCATTGACTTCAGATCCATTCCTGCTCTACAATTTTGCTTCCTAAATATTGCACAAATGTGTCTCCTTCTCTACCAGCCCACTGTTTCTGAGTTCAGAACCTCATCCTTTCCCACTGTGACACAACAATGGCCCCTTAGTTTATCCAACTCTCCTCTTCTATGGTCCCTTCCCATTTACCTACCCTACTGCTGCAAGAGTGATTTCTCTGGCAACAATAGAGTATACACATGGTTCAATCTTTCAACATTTTCCCACTAACTATGGGAAGACTTTCAGACCCCACAGCCTAGCCTACAAGAGCCTCATTGATTTGGTCATGCCTTCCATGTCCAGCCATCATACTCCCATCACAGAAGTTTGGAGTCAGATGTTCTCCACTGAGCCCTTTATTTTTCCCCTATTGACGCTGTCTTATGATCCCACTGGCCATTATTTATTGAGAGCCAGCTGGGAACATACTGCTGACTGCCTACATTGTTCTAGAAAGCTTTGCCTTTCTCCTAGTGGCCATGTAGGTTTTATGGAATGCTGAGCATCTGTTTGGTCTTTTGCTCTTAAACCTAGGAGAGGATTCTACTCCAAACTGTCCGGCCGAATGATGCAAGATGCTGAGTGTCCCCACGGAGAATATCAGAAGGGACATCATAAGACAAGCATTTCTCAACAGGGGCAAAGTTCACAGTGGCAGTCTCAAGGCTCCCCTGTTAATGTCTAAGGAGGTCATAGTAGTAACAGAAGGCTGACCTTGGAAAAAGAGTTGTAAAATGCTTTGATGGGTGAGGGCATTTTTCCCCCTATGATTTCTTTAAAAACATGGTAGAAAGGATCAATCCCTTGCTCTCAGAATGTGGCAGACTTGGCAATATCAACAAAATTACTTAAAGACTTTCTAATCAGGCAAGTTTTATTTCTCTTTGTTACCTTGGAATCTAAAGAGTCATGGTTCTGAACAGAGAGTCCTGAGAGCATATTTTCCACATACACACACACACACACACACACACACACGCACACACACACATGCACACACACACACACACACATGCACACACACACGTTTCTTTTCATTGCACCATCACAATAACTTGTTGAGGTACTTTACTCAGTTTCCTTGTCTCTAAAACAGAGAAAACTATCTAACTGGAGCATTTTGAAGATTAAGGGAATTAATGTAAAACACTTAGAGCAACATCAGGCACATAAGGGCTACAGCTCACCTTTTTTATTTTTAACATCATCATCCTCAGCAACAACATCCCAAGTTCTAAAATAAAGAAACTAACACATTGAGAATGAAATAATTTGACCAAAATCAAAAAACTGGTGAGTGTCAGAACAGGAATGAACCACACCCATGCCTGTCTGCGACATTGCCCCTCCAACCAGAGCTGAGCTTGTCACAGGCCAATGGCCTCCCAGCCCTTGGCACCTTTTCACAAGTTACTCCTTCTGTCTGGCAAACTCGTACTGATCCGTTAAGACAGCTTTTCTGTGTTCCTGCGGAACCATGGTATCTGATTGACTACCAGAAGGTGAACTGTTTTGGAGTCCTTCCCTGCTCTTTCTTAATTATCTTTCTATTCCCAGGTCATTGAAGAGTACCAAGCATATGGTTAATCTCCAAATACACATTGGATAAATGTGTATATGAATATATAAGTATATGTATTTATCTCATGGTGAAGATGTTGGCTTCATGCAAGAGAATGAGATGAAAATTTGTTTCATTTAGGAACCCTGGTGGAAACGTGGGATTAAACTACTCTAATGGCCACAATTTACCTCATGACTGAGCTGTTGAGTGTGAGAGCCAGGACTATGGAGGCTTGGTGGTAATGGGGGAAAGGGTTTAGGGCCAGTCATTCTGGAAGGCTCTATAATAGATTATTTCTAGAGAAGAAATGAATATTTCTACAGAAGAATGAATATTTTATTCATTCACTCACTCATTCATGTGTTTATATTTGTTCGATAAATATTTATATCTCCTACAGTTAAATCCTCCTAGAATATCTCTGCCCTTCCTGGTTGCAGAAAAGGCTTGGCAAAAAAAAATAAAAGAGACAGACTTTGAAATAATTTGAGACATGGAATCAGGTCCTTGGGTAAATCATTTAACCTCTTTAAACGCTGGCTTCTGAATAACAGCTTCCATCTACTGGGGGCCCATGAAATGGTCCTGGGGTATTTGCACACCAGCTGTTTGATCCTCTTAAGCCTTTGATGCCTATCTATCAAGGATATTTGTGCCAGGACTAGGGACAATGAACTTACGGCACTTAGAACCAACCAGGCAGGTAGGGAGTATTCATCTCCTATTATTCAGAAGGGATGTCAATCAGTATGCAAACTGTGTCTCCAGCCCACCACTACTAGCTTGCACCCCAGGGCTGGTCTGTGCCATGACGTCTTGAGGGCCAACACCCACCCCGTACTTCCCACCAAAGAACCATAATGAAATCTAAATTGAACTGTCCTACACACCTGCTCACGGAGCACTCATTGGCTCTGTTCTCCCAGGTTGGGCTTCTATTGAGTCTTGGCAGCTTTTGTTAAAATAAATGTTTCTCCTCAACTCAGGTGGATAAAGAATTGAATGCAACAGTTCACGAGTTCATGGTTGCTTGAGGTCAAGTCCAATGGGAAGGGCAGGAGAAGTTCAGGAAGACTCAGCAGGAGGAGATTCCAGGCAGCAGAAATTCTCACAAACCCAAAGTGGGCAATGCCACAGAGCTCACAGTCCTGGACAGACAGGAGACCCAGGCAGGGCTGCAGATATGGGCTTCAGGGTCCAGACCTACTCTCGCCCATGAGCCCAAGAGACTCAGAGAGAGGTTTCCAGTGTGCCACAGGGAAAACCAACTAAGCTTCGAGTACTGACTGTGTGCCAGGCAGTGGGTGAGATGTAATACGTGCACTACATTTTATTCTCCTTAACAACCCAATGAGTCTGAGTTTATCGCTTTACAAGGACCACCCCAAAGTTCAGAGAAGTGAGAAACTTGCCTAAGTCCCACAGCTAACAAGCAACCATGCTGGGAGTGAATCCCAGATCTGCCTGACTCCACAGCACACACATTTTCCACTGCACCAAGTTATTTTCTGGACAGGCTGGTTAGCATTTGGGACAGAATTCCATTCTGAATAGGGCATTTATTGACAACTGAGACATAGTGGGTATTCAATAAGTGATAGCCGCCATGGTTACTGTTGTTGTTTCAATAGAGTAATAGCAATCATTACCATTCTGGCCAGTCATGGTGAGTTACATAAATGTACTCAAGCTTCCAGGACTTAATTCAAACCCACTTCATCACCCATGAAAACTAAGATAATGGGAAAGATGACTTCACCTTGAATGGCTGCCCCAAGGATAAGCCCTGTTGGAACATCTCCCCTGCAAAGATACACAAGATTATTTTTTACGAGTGAAACAGTGAGCCCTGATCCTGCAGTTACAGGACCACGTGTGCGAGTGAGCACTGTGGCAGATCTGAGCTTTAGTTAAGACTTTACAACAGCACAATGTTATAGGCCCCCAGAGGCTCTGGCTTCTGACCTCCTTTGACTGCAGACAAGCCACTGGCTCACTGGAGGAAGACGATTTATCTGACGGCATGCAGAGCCAGCCCTGTATTGCCTTCAGGCTGGGGTGGGCTAGCTTAAGCCAGAAATGTCTAGTCAGGTGTCTTCAGTGCGGGATTTGTTTGGCGACTATCCACATCTACGAGAATGTGAGACCCAAGCCGACTTTGTTGTCTTCTTTACTTCCTTACTCTTAAAACCTAGTATGGAGCCTGACCCATGGTGGGCACTCAGTGAATATTGGCAGAATAAATACATTGCAACCATTATCGAGTGGCCCCATGTGCTGAAGCACCAGGGACAAAGACATGAGTGAGTCAGAGGACAAGCCTAGCCCTCTTCTCCCAGAGCGCCTGGTCAAGGAAGTGTATCAGAAGGAAGCAGATGATTCTGCTGCTTGCACATCAGTATCAGAAGGAAGTCATCCCAGGGGGTGGCTTTGAAAAAACAGAGAAGGGACTCTCACAAGCCCAGGAGGTCAAACAAGATCCTGGAGAAGATGAGGTCCTACCTCAGAGGGTAAGTGTGAGTCAGGCCAAGAAAAAGAAGAGTACATTGAGGCAGTAGCAAAAGAACAAAAATGGATCTCAGAGAGCACAGGAAAACTCAAGTGGCTCACACAGGCTGGAGCACAGGATGTGGAAGCAAGAGGCCTGGATGAGGTTAGAGACATAGGAGAAGCCGGATCACCAAGGACCTCACTGTGTCATTCACAGGTGTTCTTTTTACCTAGAGCGGCACTTCCCAGTTAGTTCTCTGGAAGACTTGTTTAAGTGGGAGCGGAACAGTGAGAACACTTGGACACAGGGAGAGGAATAACACACACGGGGGGCCTGTTGGAGTAGGGGATTGATGTGGGGTGGGGAGGGAGAGCATTAGGATAAATAGCTAATGCATGCTGGGCTTACTAACTAGGTGACAGGTTGATAGGTGTAGCAAACCGCCATGGCACACATTTACCTATGTAACAAAACTGCACATCCTGCATGTGTACCCCAGAACTTAAAATAAAAATAAATAAATAAGTTAGTCTCACAAACTGAAAAAAAAAAAAAAAGGTTGCTTGGCAAACACAAGCCTCTGTGCTCAAACAGATGAGGGAAGCAGTGTGTTTAATTCCCTCCCCTACAATGCACATTAAACTTCAGAGGTCCAGAAGAGGCCTGCGGTGAAGAACCCTCCGTAGTGCCCTGTCATAGTCCAGACCCTGCATACACACTGCAAAATGTTTCCCAAAGGCACTCGGGAGTGATGGAAATGTTTTAAGCAAATCAGTGAGCTGATTTGTCATTATTTATATGTTACAAATGATCATTGGCAACAGGCAACAAGTGAGAAGGCTGAATTCACAGACTACCTCCTTTTGGTGATGGTGGACTGTATAGTCCTCATCAACCCTCTCTGAAAGTATGTGGAAAAAGGTGGGCGAAATAAAATAACAAGGTATCTTCTTGAAAACATCAAAGAACTACCAAGGTAGTAAAGAATTACAGGCCAGGATAGATGCCCAGAGAGAGGCAAAATTAACACTCAGAAACACTTTGGTGAGGGGTGGGGCCTGGAAGAGGTGGGCAAGGAGGTATCTGCTGATTCCCGTCAAGGCTGAAATGCTGAAAATTGGCTATTCATGTGGGAGACAAAAGAAATTAACTCCTGCTTCATAACATGTAGAAAAATTCTATGTGAATTACAGATCTAAACGTGAAAGGCAACATAGTAATTAATCATAATGACTTCAAGGTTGGAAAATGTTTTTTTAAAAGACGTAAAAGGTACCAGCCATTAAGAAAAAGGTTGTTATTTGACTGCACTAAAATCAAGAATTTCTGTTTATCAAGAGACACCATTAAGACAGTGAAGAGGAAGATGGTAAAGAGATATATGCGACAGAGGTAACTGACAAAGGGTTTATATCCAGAATGAATAAAGAAATTTTGCAAATCAACAACAAAAATGACAGTCAAACCAATAGAAAAAAAATGTATAACAGGAACTCCAAAATAAAGGATACCCAAATGGATATTAAACAAATGAAAATTGCTGAACATCATGAGTAGTCAGGGAACTGCAAATTAAAACTACAATAAAACATCACTTACATCACCAGAATGACTAAAATTGAAAAGACTGATGAAACTAAGTACTGGCAAGCACATGAAGTAATGGGAGCTCTCAAATGCTACTGGTAGGATTGTAAATTGGTACAAGAAGTTTGGAAAACCGGGCCAAGCATGGTGGTTTACACCCATAATCCCAACACTTTGGGAGGCCAAGGTAGGAAGATCTGAGTCCAGGAGTTCAAGACCATCCTGGGCAACATAGTAAAACTCTGCCTCTACAAAAAATTTTGTTAAAAAATTAACTATGTGGGCTGGGAGCAGTGGTTCATGCCTGTAATCCCAGCACTTTGGGAGGCCAAGACTGGCAGATCACGAGGTCAGGAGATCGAGACCATCCTGGCTAACACGGTGAAATTCCGTCTCTACTAAAAATACAAAAAAATTAGCTGTGCGTGGTGGTGGACACCTGTAGTCCCAGCTACTTGGGAGGCTGAGGCAGGAGAATGGTGTGAACCCAGGAGGTGGGGCTTTCAGTGAGCAGAGATTGGGCCACTGTACTCCAGCCTGGGTGACAGAGCAAGACTCCATCTCAAAAAAAAAAAGAAAAAAGAAAAAATTAGCTATGTGCAGTGGCACATGCCTGCAGTACTAGCTACTCAGGAGGCTGAGGTGAGAGAATGAGAACCTGGGAAGTTGAGGCTGCAGTGAGCCATGGTCCTGCCACTGCACTCCAGGTTGGGCAATAGAACAGGACCCTGTCTCAAAAAACAAACAAACAAACAAAAAGTTTGGAAAACTGGAACTAGCTACTAAGATGGAAGATATGTAGACCCTACAAATTATGAATTCCAATCTGAGAAATAGGCTCAACCAAAATCTGTGCACATGTGCACCAACAGACATGCATGAGAATGTCCATAGCAGCATTATTCAGAAAGGCCCCAAACCAGAAGCAATCTACATGTCCATCCACAGAAGAATGGGTAAATAAAATTGTGGCATGTTTATACAATGGAATTCTAAATCACAGTGCACTCAAAATATGGATAAAGCTCTTGAACACAGCATTGAGTGAAAGTAGCCAAACACACAAGAATGCATACTGTGGGAACCCCTTTATATGCAGTTAAATTAAAAAGGTAAAATCCAACCATAGTGTCAAAATTCAGATTATTGGGAAAGGATTGAGGACATAATGATTGGGAGGGCAGAGAAAGTTTCTGGGGTCCTGGCAAGGTTCTAATTGTAGCACTGAATGTTTACTTGTTGATAATTCATGGAGCTCTACAGGATGCTTTGTGCCTTTTTGTATGTGTTCAATGTCAAAATAAAATAAAAGATTTTAAAAAGTATTGAAGGAGAAGTGAGAGAAGTGAGACTAGAATTAGGAAGACATCGGCAATATCTGGACCAAAAATGAGCCAGCGGCAGTGAAAATGGAAAAGGAAAGTCAATCTGTTCGATAACAAGAGTTTCTTACTTTGAAAGCTAACATTGAGGAGAGCTGCCACAATTTCAATGGATCTAACCCATCAAGTATTTTTACATCCGTAAGTTCATAATCACTTTAAGGGAAAATAAATCACTCTCAGAGGCTGACAGGGAACCAACTTGTTATCTTGAAAACTGGTAAACAAAGAGAAACAATCAGTGTTTATTTTGCCTTTTTTTACATGAACTGGACAAGTGAGTCACCAAGAGGTAGATGGGGGCAGCCTCTCATTATAAAAGAAGTCCAACTTATAAATGGCAAAGAAATTATAAAGTTAGAATATCACTTTTTGTGCAGCCCCCTATGAAGTAATAAACCTAGAAATTGCACATCAATGGCAGTTTGCGTCATAAAAAAGGGACAACCGGAAGTCAGGTATCTTCTGTGAAGAAACACAGCGCTGCCTATCAGTCTGGCTAAAGGAGTCTAGCCTGAGTCTGAGCAAGCCTCAGGAGCCACTGCTTGTGCAAGAAACGCAGACTGGAGAGGAGCATGTTAGTTGCACCATGCGTGTACAATCCGCAAAAGCCTGTGTATGGAAAATTGCAGGTCAAAGGAACCAGTTCCTTCACCAGATAAACTGCAAAAAGAGAAAATGTAGATTTAAAAGGGTCTTAGAAGACATGTAGCTTTTTTAAGGGCAAAATTATATCATAATGTCTGGTGATGCACATCTACGCAATAAAATAAAAGAAAACACAAGGAAATAATTTCTACAAAAGTCAAGACACTGGCTACTTTTGTGGGGAGAGAGGGGTCTGTGATAGGGATAGAGCAAGTCGGGGGCCGGGCTTCTAGAGAGGATGGCAAAGATCTATATCTTGCCTGGGGTAATGCTTACAGGAAGTTCACCTCATGATAATCCATTCAGTCATACATTGGTGGTGTGCGGTTTTCTGTATCTGTGTTTTTCTTTTCAGTAAAAATATTTTTGTATCCTAGCATTAACTTGTCATATAGTACAATAAGCTACCTAAACAGAAATTTAAATTCTTTGAGGTTCTAAAAGAAGGAAATATTAAACACACAGTATTTACATAGCATGTGATAATTTTACAGAAACGTTCATCTTCATTGCCTCCTGTCATGATTACACAAATTGGTGGTGGTATTATTCTGCCCACTTCACAGATAAGGAACATACGGGTTCATGTTTGCCGTGTTTCTTTTGCCCATCTTTTTTCCAACTCCAAATTCCATACCTTTTCTTCTAATAGTTATTAAAATACCCTTTTACCATGGATTCTGTGGCCCATCTATTCCAATCATTACCAATGGAAATTCCAATAAGACAAAAACTCAGTTATACAATAGAAAAGTAATTCAATGAGAAAAAATACTTGAGAAGAAGACAAAATTTCAAAACCCAGTGAGCAACTCATAGGGTTACTAGTAATAACCTTTGGTCACATACAGACATTAAAATCTATGGAACTGTGCATAATTCCGTGAAAGGAACTGAGGAAAGAATATGCAGTTTTTATCCATATTTAGTATATTCCATAATAGCAAAACAACCTAAATTATCAGCAGAATAATGAATGTACATATGGGTATGTTTATATGATGTATTATTATTTAAAAAATAATAAATCTCAAAAATATATTGTGAAAGAAAAGCATCTCCCTCCCAAAACATCTCACCCTCCTCTTCTTTCTGCTTCCTAAGATATGTCACTCCATCTCCTTGTCTTTTCTTTTTTAATTTTTTTTTTTTTAAGTTCGGGGATACATGTGCTGAACGTGCAGGTTTGTTACATAGGTATACATGTGCCATGGTTGTTTGCTGCACTTATCAACCCGTCATCTAGGTTTTAAGCTCCACATGCTTTAGGTATTTGTCTTAATGCTCTCCCTCCCCTTTCCCCCCTACCCTCCTACAGGCCGCAGTGGGTGATGTTCCCCTCCCTGTGTTTATGTGTTCTCATTGTTCAGCTCCCACATGTGAGTGAGAACATGTGATGTCTCGTTTTCTGTTCCTGTGTTAGTTTCATGAAGATGATGGTTTCCAGCTTCATCCACGTCCCTGCAAAGGACATGAACTCATTCTTTTTTATGGCTGCATAGTACTCCATGGTACATATGTGCCACATTTTCTTTATCCAGTTTATCATTGATGGGCATTTGGGTTGGTTCCAAGTCTTTGCTATTGTAAATAGTGCTGTAATAAATATACAAGGAACTTAAATTTACAAGGAAAAAACAGCCTCATCAAAAAGGAACTTAAATTTACAAGGAAAAAACAACCCCATCAAAAAGTGTGTCAAGGATATGAACAGATACTTCTCAAAAGAATACATTTATGAGGCCAACAAACATATGAAAAAAAGCTCATCGTCACTGGTCATTAGAGAAATGCAAATCAAAACCACAATGAGATACCATCTCACACCAGTTAGAATGGTGATCATTACAAAGTCAGGAAACAACAGATGCTGGAGAGGATGTGGAGAAATAGGAATACTTTTACACTGTTGGTGGGAGTGTAAGTTAGTTCAACCACTGTGGAAGACAGTGTGGCAATTCCTCAAGGAGATAGAACCAGAAATACCGTTTGACCTAGCAATCCCATTACTGGGTATATACCCAAAGGATTATAAATCATTCTACTATAAAGACACATCCTTCTCCTTTTCCATATGGCCACTAACCTAGCCCACCAACGTGAGCTCTTAGCAAGATTGTTGTACAAACCCTTCACTGTCATCTTTGTTTTGAACTTTGCCCTGCTCCTCTGCAAAGTCATCTTTCCAGGGGGACATAAAGAGAAAGCTTCTAACCAGAGACTTCCAGGGCACACATACCTGTAACTAAATCCTGTCTCTACCATTTGTAGTCATATGAACTTGGGCAAATCATATAAGATCTTTGAGTCTTCATTTCATTATCTGGAAAATGGGAATAATCATTGTTCTGACCTAGAGGAAACAGATCATTTATCTTCTAAACCAGAGTCACTATTCTAACCACATAGGGTTTTGAAGGCACATGGGATAATAACAGTAAAAGTACCCAGTAGAGAGCTTGGAACTTTGTAAGCACTCAGCAAATGTGAATTATTGTTAATACATCACTTCTCTGCCTGTTGGGCTCCACTGCCTTGAGAATCAAGTCTAAACTGCTTAGCATGGCCTACGAGGCCTTGCTTATCTCCCCAGCCCACCCCTGCCACTGCCCCTCTTGTTGTCCAAGCCACAGCCACACTTACTGAAACTCTCTGAATGTCCCGTGTTCCCTCTAGTCCGGATCGTTACACAGGATCTTCACTTTACCTGGAACATCTCCCATCCCCTTTACCTGGGCAGCTTCTTTCCATGCTCCAGGCCTCAGCTTATTTGTCACCTCTTCTTGCTTTTCATTTCCACAGACACTTGTGTTTCCGCTGTCATTATGCATCACACTGTATTGATTGACAAGAATCCATCTTTCCCTTGATGTGCAACTGCTCATCTGCCTTGCTGATCAGCATATTCCCTGTGCCAGGCACAATGTCTGGGACGCAGCAGGTTCTAAATAATCCTTTTGGAGTGGATGAATGAATGAATGAACAAAAGCTGAACATTTATAGGTAAAATGGCCTCTCCACCTTCCCTGTAACTTCACTCTAAGCAAGAGACCTCCTCAATTTGGTTCCTTGTGAGTAGGGGTGGGGTGAGGTAGCACTCTCTTCCCTCCTATGTCTTGAAGAATTTCATTATCAGTCTCACCCCAGGCTCATTCCACTGTCTGTTTATTCTGGAGGTGTCTCTCTTCCACTCACTTCTTATTCCTAACTTCAGAAATCATCATACAATGTGTTGACCTTTCCTGATATCCTGCTCAATCTCTTTTTAGATCCTTGCCCCTTTTACAAATATAAAAGCTCAATACCCTATCCCCAAGATTCTGAAATCCCTTCAAATTCCACCAGTTAGAAAGCAGAAATTTGCATTAATATTGTAAATCACATTCTGAACATATTTTTTCCACTTTTCCCAGTACATGCACGTCCACCCACCATCCTGACATAGGCCTCCTGGAAAAAGCATGCTCCCTCTCTCCCCTCCCCACTACCACCAGGGGGAATCCCTGCTCTAACCTTCCGTCTTGTGGCCTTTTCAGCAACCATTTAGGATAGGCCTTTCCCTGTCCCAGTAAGACTGAAAGGGCATTCAGAGAGCTGTGGCCCAAGAAGATTTGATGTCCACCCAAATGAACTGATATTATATCTCCTCCTAAAAGTATAGGCTCTTCTCAGTGACCCTACCCATGCCCCCATCCAAAGCAAGAAGGTCTTCTCTATGATCTGGCCAAGTCAGGCATCTTTGCAAGAGCTGGGAACATGTAAGGATCTGCGAGGTGCAATAAAGTGAGGTGTACCTGCATTATGACTTTCTAGGTCATAAATTCTCCTTTGGTTTGAGATTATTTCTGTAGATTCAAGTCCCTGACAATTGCAGTGGAATTTTAAGCAGAGATTTGGCCATACTTCTGGAATCAGATTAGCTTCCGAATTTGATATGACCAGGATTACTTCAAAGGCAGCTGCGGTTTCATAAAATAGAGGCTCCCTGCTGTAGGCACTTCTTGTAGAGCTTAGGAATGCACCCCTGGGGGATGGCAGGCAGTCTGAATTTCTTCCACCAGGTCAGAGAGTCAATGTCACAGCTAAAATCTGCACCTGGGGCGGGACAACTGGAAACAGCCTCAGGAGAATGAGGGCAGATTGTCAGCGTGTAAAGGGAAAGGATTTCTGCCTTGGAGAGTCACTGCTCATTTTCCTTGCAAAAAAGGCCCAGGCTCTGCTTTTGCCCATCCAGTCTTTACCCCTGGTGTGAGAGTGGGGCCAGCTACTGACCAGACCTCCTCACCTTCTGCTCTTACCTTCTGTCCCCTGTTGGTGAGAAGTAAGGTCTCTGGCCTTTGCAAAGTGGGGAAGCTAGTTCCATGCTAGCGGTTCTAAAATGGGATACTTTTTAAATAGAAACGGGGGGGAAGATTTGCTGAAAGAGTCAGAAGACCCAGGAGAAGCCCATGAGTGTACACCCTTCCTTTTCTGGGCCCCACAACACGGTTCACATCACCCTCCACCCCTTTGCTAATGTTCCTCTCTCCCTGAACTTCTTCAGCACACAATTCAGGTCTCCCCTTGGACTCTGGGTTCTCCCCAAAGCAGATTGTGTTAGTCAGGGTTCTCCAGAGAAGCAGAAGCAGAAAGATTTAAAGAGGTAAGACAGAGGAGATTTATTTATGGTGAGAGCTAGTTCACGTGATTGTTGAGTCCGAGAAGTCCTACAATCTGCCACCAGCAAGGTGGAGACTCAGAAAAGCCAGTCCAAGACCAAAGGCCTGAGAACCAGGAGGGCCACTCGTTCTTGGGTCTGAAGGCCCAAGAACTAGGAGATTGGATGTCTGAGGGCAGGAGCAGATGGATGTCCCAGTTCCAGAAGAGAGAGGGAATTTACCCTTCCTCCACCTTCTTGTTCTATTCCAGCCCTCAACAAATTGGATGAGGCCCACCCACATTGGTGAGGGCAGATCTTCTTGACTCAGTACACCGATTCAAATGCTTATCTCCTCCAGAAACACCCTCACAGACACACCCAGAAATAATATTTTACCAGCCATCTGGGCACCCCTTTGTTCAGGCAAGTTGACACATAAAATTAACCATCACATAGACCCCAAGACCCCAAGGTCACCCCAGGAAGCACTGTGAGGAAGCGAGGGAGTGAGACAAGGGAGGGAGCAGAGCAAGTTGTCATTGCAGGCAACTGGGGTTCAACCCATTGACCTCTAGGAGCCAGTGTAGGCAGGCCCCTGAACTGACTCATTGAGAGTTGAGAAAAATAGGGTGTTTATTCACCAGCTTTTATCCCTCACTGGCTGGGGGTTGTTCCTGGGGTGTTGATTTCCTGGCACTAGCACTGGCCCCACCCCTTCATCAAGCCCGGAGGCAGCACCCAGGCTAATAGATGCAGAAATCCCTGGTGACCTGTAAGGGATGTGTCTGCAGGTATCTAGAGTGCTTCCAGGGCAGACAGACAAGACCCCAAGGTGTCTATTCCATTCCCTTTGTCTTTGTAGTCCCCCTGCTTTCTCTTTTGTGGGTCTGGGGGTGGGGGTCTAGCACACAGAGGATCAATATGTATAGACTGAAAAATGGAAGAGTGGAGAGAGGTGGGAAAAGCTGATGAAGTCCTCCCTTCTGCGGCCTTAAAGCTGGGCTTAGGCCACTCACTTCAAAAGTTCCCAGTGCACTCAAAGCACAGGTAATGAGGAGCCTCTGTGTACCTGGATGGCCTGGCCATGTCTGCACGCCAGGCTTCTGCCCCTTCACAGGGTGAGCAGCAAAACTGCATTGTCATGCCATCTAGGGGACACTTGCATTCCACTCGGGGGCTCTCCATCATGGTGGCCCTGAGAACCAGCTCATACTCCTGCACACTGTGGTCAGTTGTGCTGGGTGCATTTTACAATTCCTGGTTTCCTGAAAAAAAAAAAAATAGCTGCTCATACACCCATTTCTGGTAGTGATGCCTCTCTCCAGCCAGCTCCTATGCCATCTCCTCGGGCTAGACACTCTCCAGGAAGTCACATTTCATTTCATCACAGAGTATTTTTAAAGTTGGAGTCTGAGGATGAAGACAAAGAAGTCCCCTGTGCCACAGGAAGAAAAATTAATGAATCTGTAAATTTGGGGTTCATTAACTTTTTGGAAAAATTTTATATTTTTAGATCTATTTTGTAGATTACGAGAACCGATACTATTACTAAACAAGTGTGAGTTTTGAAGTCTTTCAAATATTTAAATATAAACTCTAAGAAAAGTTTCAAAAAGAAAGAAAGAAATGAAGTGGGGCCACTAATATTAGCAAGCAATACTTAAAGGAGATATAGCAAACGTGAAGCACAGAGCCGGGAACAGAGTGGACGCACAGCAAGGGCTGTCGTCTCAAATGGGGTGTTGTGGGTTCCTTTGGATAACAAGGAAAACTGAAAAGGAGAAACAGACAGAAAGCAATAGAGGAAGTGGGTGGGGGCAGAGAAAAGAAAGGAGAGGATCTGCAGGTGAAGGAGAAGAAAGTGGATGAAAGATCAATGAGGGAGATGAATAAAAAAGGAAAATGAGCAATTAACCCACAAGGAAATTGGAGACCCTACTCAGCATTTTCTTTGACCTCTTCAACGAGAGTTGGATGTAAAAGATCTAGGGTGATGGGCAGAATAATGCCTCCCTCCAAAAGATGTCCACCTCCTAATCCAGGAACTTGTCAATACGTTACCTTACATGGCAAAAGGGACTTTGCAGATGTGATTAAGCTTAAGAACCTGGAGACGGGGAGCGTATCTGGAACTACCCAGGTGGGTCCAATCTAGTCACATGAGACGAAAAATGGGCAACACTTTTTGGCTGTGGTGAGAGACAGGGGTAGTCTGAAAAGGCCTCCACATCCCCTTGCTGGTTCTGAAACGCGAGGCTCGGTGCCAAGGACTAGAGAGAGGCCTCTGGAGGCTGGAAATGGCAGGGAAACGCACTGTCCCCTTGAGCCTTCAGGGAGGAACTCACCCCCGCCCACATCTTAATTTCAGTCCCCGGAGACTCAAGTGGGATTTCTGACCTCCAGAACGGCAAGATCATAAATTTGTGTTCTTGCAAGCCACCAAGTTCGTGGTAATTTTTTACAGCAGCAGAAGAAAAACAAATACACCTAGGGACATCAAAAATGGGAAATTATCAAATATTGCTCTCCGACTCTCTGGTATTCTGCCTGTAATCGGTTTCCCATTTAGGTTGGAATTGTTTTTCCTCTCTGCAGAACAGAGGGTGGCTGCTCACAAGACTCATTAATATGCATAAAGGGTGGCATAATTAGTTGCCACAGGTAACCCTTCTCTGGCTGTGTGAAGTGAGTTAATGTGCAAATGCATGCTGCACGGGCGAGCAGAGCGGTGTAAGTAAAAGTCCCCGTTTCATAAAAGGAAATATTTGAATAATATGCAAATGCACTGGATGTTATTAGCAGGATGTCAGGTTTGACAGTCTGTGTTATTGTGAAAATAAATGAGTTTTGACACAAATAACTTAGGTATGCATTGATTTTTTTAAAAGCAAATCTTGTAACGAGATGTTATGTATTGTGCTGTAGGTTTTATAAAGATTTTGATGGCTATGAAAAGAAAAACATGGCGAAGGATCGTTTATTAATGTATTCATTAAGCTGCTCTAAGGTGTAACAATAATTACTTTCCTCCAAAATGTACAATGTTCCTCTTGCGTATTTAATTGACTTTGGCAATCCATATTTAAGACAATGAGGGGAGTTGTCAGCAATGTGAAGACAGAAATGAAGAGAAAGCAAATCGCCGTCATTGGTATCTAAAACGTGCTGCGTATTTTAACTCCTGGGAATATTTTCTCTGGTTGGTCTTCATCTTGAAGCAATCTGCCTGATGAAATTTTTCTGGCCCACCGTGTTTTCTTTCTTTTGGGCCTTTCTCCTCTTGATTTTTTCTTCAAGGGCTCTCTGGTAAATGGCAGGACCCAGTGTTGAAGTCAGCACTTCCTGTCACTGGGCAGGGGCTGGGGGTTTCTGTCATCGGGGCATTTATCCTTGAGAGGCAAAGGAGTGAGGCATCCAGGAAACATCTCCGCCTAAGGACAAACACCTGCTGGAGAAGCTCCTGGGACTGGTTCACAGGCTCAGTGGAGGTTGCCAGCTGACCCTCTCTATCCTCTGAGGTCTGAAGGGGAAGAGCTGACAGGTCAGGGAACACTGCCCCAGCTGAGCTGATGGCTGATCAGCCCTCCTTCTCCATTCAGGCTTCCAGATGTTCCCTATGCAAAAGAGGAAGGGCCGCCGTGAAACCAAGTTCTGAGGTGGTTCCCTCCCCACAGGGGCCAGGTTTTATTTGCAGTCAGGAAGCAAGGGAGCTTTGGGGCGCAGGGCTTACTTTGAGAGTGGGAGGCAAATACCACCACCTTGAGGCCGGGATGCAATGGTTTTATGGGTATTTGACACCCAGAGAGCCTGCATTGCACAAAGAATTTGGGTTCTCAGTTCCTCTTCTGTCGCCTCAGAAAATGAGGACAAGCTCCTGGGGCCAAGATGAAAACAGCTTCACCTGGAATAGGGGAGACGAAATGCCCTTGACCAGCGGAGTTCAGACCAGTCAACTGTTCTCACCCAGGGCGGCCTGGGCACCATGAAGCCAAGAAACACGGAAGCCTCTGGAAAAGTCTGGAGATGTCCCTGGGAAAAAAAGGTCTCAAATACGGCCATTAATGGCTACAAAAGATCACCGGCTTGGGCAAATTTCCCCCACTCTGCAGACTAGGAAAACAGAGGTCAGAACAACACAATGCCTACCCTCAGTGGATTTCCGGGCTAATGGAGGAGACAGATATACAGAAAGAGAAGGAAAGGCTGTGCAAAGGCCTGGGATAGCTATATCAATAGGAAGTTCAAAGCATGGAAAAGGGCCACCACAGGTCATCCAAGCAGCTCACCCATAATTTCAGTTTCACCCCTTCAAGGCACATGGCAAGGTCCTGCTTCCCTGTCCTTGAGGATGCAGCAGCCTTATGATTTGCTCTGAAAATCTGAAAAGTGAGGAGCAGTGCCAAGTGCCACACCACAGCAGAAGCCGTAAGAGCAGTGCCTGCCTCATCAAGCCTCAAGGCACAGAGTTGGAGCCCCTGCTCTAACATTCTCATACAGTATAGGACCACACCACCTGCACTGATGTCCCTCTGATGAAGGAGCTACTGATGCTGCTTCTGGAACTGATCTAGCTACTGCAACAGTTGACATTCTCACCAAAATAAATCCCAAGAAAGCCTCTGCTTCCTTGCACCACTCATTCCTGAGTCAATGCCTGGCATGGATGAGTCTGACTGGCAGAGCCAAAGTCACATAACAGCCCACCACCCTCCCTGAAAGAGAGGCTGGGAAAACAAGTTGTGTCACTTCTGTTTCTATAGCTGGAGTGGGTTGCTGCCTCCCATCTTGACTGATAAAGTAGAGAACCTCCCAAAGGTAGAAAGGGCATGCATATGTTGAGTGGGTAAAAATACTGACAAATGTTTCCTAGAGTCCAATTCTCTGGCTTTCTTACATCAGTACATGCTGTTCCTAGCAAACTTTATAAGGATCAAAAACACTGCCTGCTGAACACAGTGCACGTCTCCAACATACAACCAAAATCATACCCATTCCAGAAGTTGGACAACCTGAAGGATTATGGTTACGGCATCTGTGTTCAAGACCAGCATCCAGGGGTAATGTCCATTCATCCTCTAGTTCCTTCATGATCTAGCCTCAGTATTTGATAACTGTAAAGTGTACCACCAATGACATGCCCTATAAACAGGGTGGAAGAAACAGGGGAAAAATAGGAAAACAAATAGTTTAAATGTGTTATATGTACATGATACACCAAAAGAGAAAAATCTCCCCTTACCTAGGGTTTCAATTTCCATGATTTTGGTTACCAACAGTCAACTGTGTTCCAAAAATATATTAAATGGAAAATTTCAGAAACAGACAATTCATAAGTTTTAAACTGCATGATGTTCAGAGTAGCGTGATGGAATCTCTCGCTGTCCTTGTCTGGAACATGAGCCCTCCCTTTGTCCGGTGGCTCCACACTGTAGATGCTCCCTGGCCCATTAGCCACTTAGGAGCCGTCTGCAGAGTGGATCAGATTCACCGTTGTGGTGTCACAGTGAATTCAAGTAACCCTTATTTTACCTAGTAATGGCTCCAAAATGCAAGATTAGTGATACTGGAAATTCAAATATGCCAAAGAGAAGCTATAAAGTGTTCTCTTTAAGTGAGAAGGTGAATATTCTTAATAAGGAAAAAAAATCTTACACTGAGATACTGAGATTGCTGAGGTCTACAGTAAAAATGAATCCTTTTTTGTCTTTTTGTGAAAGTGTGAAGGAAAGAGAAGCTTCTAAGAAAAGCAAAAATGCCTAGTCCTTGTGTAATTTGGTCTGTGCTTACTGCATGGCAGTTCAAAGCCAAACAGTATATTGTTTCTCAATATATACCTAGGTGGTTAAAATATAAAGAAATCTATAGAAATGATTGACACAAAATGTGGGGATGGGAGAGTAGAGGGACTTGATTGGGAAAGGTGGTACTAGGAGGCTCCCAAGGCACTGCTCAAATCCTATTTACCTTAATAATGGACTCATGGGTGTTCATTCTATTATTCTTTCAACCACACATATGCATATTTACATTTCTCTATATACATTTCACAATAGCATTTTTTAAAATCACATGACATTCTTTACTGCAGAATGCAAAGTAGAAAAAAAAAGTTTTCATTTAAATTGGATAGTTGCAAGTCTGCAAGATTTTTCAACATAGAAAATAAAAAAAATGCCAAATTATATACTGTTTGGTTTGGGAGCCAAATGAAAACCAGCATTTAAATTTTTGTTGTACCATCAAAATAGATATTTAAAAAACAAAATTTAATATTCTAATATATGGAGTTCTTTTGTAAGATCAGCTGTTTTCACAGTATTTTTGAATTTTGACTTCACAGTGTAAGAAAGAGGAACTTACGCTGCTATTTTGAGCATGTCTAATATCACCACATAGTCATATGTAATAAATGTGGTAAATGACCTCAATTTACAGATTAGATGACTGCTATGTGAATTTTCATGTTTGTATATCAAGAAGAAGAATAATTGCAATAAATTGAAACACTTAAAATATGTTGAAATTCATGAGTTATATCGAAATCAAGTTTTTTGAAAAAATCTCCTTGGTCACCCCTTGAGGATGATAGATAGCTAAATCATTATTTGAAAACAGGCAAGTAAAGAGAAATATTACACATTTGACTTTCCTATGAAACTGTATCATTGGGGAAACAAGTAAGTAACTAATAAGAAGAAATTTCTCC